>NC_000001.11:184434587-185059587 GCF_000001405.40 Homo sapiens | reverse complement strand
CTGCAACCAGGACACTTTTCCAGTCGTTAAATATAACAATTAATACCATATGTAATGACTGGAAGTACTTGTAATGTGATTAGAGATAACACTAATTTGCATCTGCGCTACAAGGACAGCTACGTAAAAGTTATGTTCTAGAAGGTGATATGGACTCGGTACTTTTTTCCCTCAGTATTTCAACTCCCACTATTACTGTTACCATATTACAATAAGGCACAGATTTTTAGCAGTTTTAAGGCAAAAATAGCCAAGAACAGATAAGCAAAGAATGTGTTTCCTGTGTCCCCCGTCACATAGGTAGATTTTCTTTTGCAGAAAAAGAAAAAGAAAAACTATTACGGAGGTTTTTTTTTTTTAATCCAGACTGGGATTCAGGAGACTTCTATTCTCATTTTTCATTCTTGAAACAATTCCAAAAGGTAGACTAACTTAATCTCTCTCTTCTCTTCTGGCCTTGTCGCCAGATTTCTGCAACTTGCAACAAAAAAGCTTAATCCTGGCAGAAGTAGCTCCAGAGGTTTCAAAGGCTGAAAGAAAGCCAGGGACCAGGAAGAGGAAGCTAGAACAAGAAACCAGAAACTAGTAGAAGTTTTATAGCTCTGATAAATCTAAAATTAGCACAATATTTAGGTTCACAAAAGCAGCAAAAGTATGGCACACTTCATATATACTGGAAATCAACATGACTTTAACCAAGTCAATATACAGACCTAAACCTCTTTATCTATAAAATGAGCACGTTTTAAGTGATATCTAAAAAAATCTATTGCTCTGGAAATATTGCAAAGAGCTCCAAACAATAAAAATACATATACCGAAATGCCCATTAGGGCAAAGCTACTTATAAGCAACTAGACTTTGATAATCTTAATGTGAGTTCTTCAAATAATCAATATTAAAAAGAGAAAACCATAACACAATAAAGAAAAACTTAAGTAGTTAAAGTAGCAAAATCCATTCTCTCAAAAGCAAAACTCATTCCACATTACCGAACAATAAAGAGGAAGGAAAACCAACATTAATTCAAGACAACAGATACTGTTTCAAATACTTTTTACAGTTTTCCCTCTACTTCCACTTTTAACAAAATTCCTGTTAGGTCCATGGTTTTTAACTTTTCTGGGTCTACATTCCTCTTAAGAATCTGATGAAAGTAAGGAACTCTCACCTCTGGGAGAAAAAAAGACATACAAAAGCACATGCACACAAAATTACAGAGTACAGTCCTCCCTGAGTATCCATGGGGTTCTGAAGATACCCCGCACACCACAGACACCAAAAGCCACAGATATTCAAATCCCTTACATAAATAAAATGGGGTAATATTTGCATAACCTACACACATCCTCTGATATTCTTTAAATCATCTCTAGATTACCTATACTACCTAATACAATATAAATGCTATGTAACTAGTTGCTAGACTGCATCTTTAAAATTTGTATTACTATTATTATCTGAGATGGGGTATCGCTCTGTCAGCAATGCTGGAATGCAAAGGCGCAATCAAGGCTCACTGCAGCCTCAACCCTCCCAGGCTCCGGTGATGTTCCCACCTCAACCTCCTGAGTAACTGAGACTATAGGTGTGCACCACCAAGCCCGGCTAATTTTTGTATTTTTTGTAGAGACAGGGTCTCACCATGTTGCCAAGCCTGGTCTCAAACATCTGGGCTCAAGTGACCCATCCATCTAAGTGCTGGGATTATAGGCATGAGCTACCTTGCCTGGCCAAAAATTTGTATTATTTTTGAACTGTTTTACTGTTTTTTTTTTTTTTCCCCTTTAGAGTAATTTTCCACCTGCAGTCTGTTGAATCCAAGGATACGAAACCATGGATACAGACGGATGACTGTATTTGTGGATCCTTAGACACTCCTGGACTGAAGGTCAAGAACATATGCTCTGCACTACCTAAAAAAGAATTCTCAAGCCTAAATGGGGAAACAGGCTATCTTCTTTCATTCCTTGTTTTCTTCAGCTCTACTGCACAACAAGCTACTGCCATCAAAGACAGCTACAGATTCATTCTTGGAAAGGTAAACTTACGGGGACAACAGGTACTGCTTTACTTCCATCCCACCGCCACATGAATAATGGACGTGCTTATCATGAACATAAATACAAATCTTAAAAAAAACTTATAAACGAACCACAATGAAATGATTAAATATACTATGGTTCATACACCTAAAATATTAATCATTAAAAATGTTAACAAACTAGCTATGGCACAGAAAATGTTAATTATATTTAGATTTTATTTATTTATTTATTTATTTTTTGAAACAGGGTTGCCCAGGCTAGAGTGAAACAGTGTGATCATGGCTGATTGCAGCCTCCAACTCCTGGGTTCAAGCAATCCTCCCACATCAGCCTGCCTAGTAACTGGGACTACAGGTGTGCACCACCACACCCAGCTAATTTTATTTTTCTTTTTTATAGAGACAGGGTTTCATTATGTTGCCCAGGCTGGTCTTGAACTCCTAGTCTCAAGTGATCCTCCTGCTTCTGCCTCCCAAAGTACTGGATTACAGGCATGAGCCACCGCACCCAGCCCAGGTTTTAAAACACACATAAATTTAGATCTACATATAAAATACAGTTAAAACTATGTTTTAAACAAAATCAAACCAAAATCTAAAATTTATTTCCAAAGGAAAATAGAGCAAAATATAAGACTGATTAAGTACCAAAAGCATTTTTTCCTACTTCTTCAATTTCCTAAATTTAAAAAATAAATTTTAAAAATGAATAAAGCAACAACTGAATACTATTTTATTCAAAGACATTTTAAGTAATAATTTATGAATTTACCCCCATTCTTAGCTCTTAAACTACCTCCAAAAGGACTAAGCAACATATTGAACACAGGGATTAAAAATAAAAACAATCCATTTAAGAAATGAATGATAGGCCAGGTGCAGTGGCTCACACCTGTAATCCCAGCACTTTGGGAGGCCAAGGAGGGAGGATCACTTGAGGCCAGGAGTTTGAGACCAGCCTGGGCAACATAGCTAAACCCCGTCTCTACAAAAATAAAAAATAAAAAAAAATAAATGAGCCAGGTGTGATGGTAGACACCTATAGTTCCACCTACTCAGGAAGCTAAATTGGGAGGATCCCCTGAGCCCAGGAGTTCAAGGCTGCAGTAAGCTATGATCACGCCACTGCACTCCAGTCTGCACAGCAGAGGGAGGCCCTGTCTCTAAAAAAAATGAGAAAAAAAAAAAAAAGAATGATGGATAATTTATCTTGTAAAATTTTTTTTCACTGGCAAACCAATATTGTCTTAATTTTCCTAAATCAATTATTCCAAAGATTACCCAAAAGCTTTCAGAACAAATTAAACTGACATTAATAATGTTATCTACACTATACACAACTGTAATATTATCTTTCCAAGTAATGGAGAACTCTTCAAGTAATGGAGAACTCCTGAAAAAAATATTTCAGAAGACTAACAAATCATCACAGAGCAATCCAAACTGATAAATGGGACCTACATTTCAATGCAACTGTAACAATTCTAACATTAAGAATAAAGAAATTTAGATTTACTATTCTAGATAGTACTTTAATATTTGAGAGCCTTTAAAAACATACATTACTTTACAATTATTTGAGGAAATGTTACTAGAGGATAGCACCCCACAGCTATCTACATTAAAAAAAAGCACTTTTGCACTAATTCAAAGAGCCCTGTTTTCTTCACAAATATGCTAACTAAAAATTTTAAGATCAAGGACAAAAGGATAGGTTCATAAAACTAAACAACAGATATAACTTCCAATCTTACCAAGTATATTTTTAAAAGCAGAGATTTTCTGAATCTGATATAACTCTCATATAAAACGAAACTACAGGCCAGGCACGGCGGCTCACACCTCGTAATCCCAGACTTCGGAAGGCCAAGGCAGATGGATCACTTGAAATCAGGAGTTCGAGTTCGAGACCAGCCTTGCCAACATGGTGAAACCTCAACTCTACTCAAAATACAAAAATTAGCTGGGCGTGGTGGCGCTCGCCTGTAATCCCAGCTACTCAGGAGGCAGGAGAATAGCTTGAACCTGGGAGGCGGAGGCTGCAGTGAGCTGAGATAGCACCACTGCACTCCAGCCTGAGGAGCAAAGTGAGAACCCATTTAAATTTAAAAACAACAACAACAAACAAACAAAAACCTACAACAGTAATTTCTAGCCAAAATAAACGATACAGGTTTATCACCCCAATAAGAAAATCTAAAACTTTTTGGACATGGACATGATGCTCAAAAAATCATGCTAAAAAGAAATGCTCATTGGAACATTTCTGATTTCAGATTTTTGAATTAGGAATGCTCAACTGGTAAGTATAATGCAGATATTAGAAAATCCGGAAAAATAAATCTGAAATCCAAAATACTTCTGGTCCTAAGGATTTTGGTTAAGGGATACTCGATCTGCAGAGCATACTTTCCCTATTCCCTAAAGCCCTAGTCATTTAAACAATCTGCAAAGTGATAGTTTTGTTCCTACATGTGTAATGAAACTTTTGGGGTGTTCTCTCAAGATACAATCAACACATGCAACCTTGGTGAAAAGAAACAGCAGGTGCATTGGCTCATGCCTGTAATCCTAGCACTCTGGAAGGCCGAGGCAGGCGGACTGCTTGTGCTCAGGAGTTCCAGACCAGCCTGGGCAACATGGAGAAACCTTGTCTCCACCAAAAATAGAAAAAAAATAGCCGGGCGTGGCGGCGCCCGCCTGTGGTCCCAGCTACTCAGGAAACTGAGGTGGCAAGATCGCTTGACCCCGGCAGGCGGAGGATGCAGTGAGCTGAGATCGCGCCACTGCACTCCAACCCCGGCGAAAGAGACCCTGTCTTAAAACTGAAAAAAATAATAAAAAATTTTAAAAAACCCACAAAGAAAGATTAAAAAGAAACTGAGGCGACATGTCAATCTTGAAAGACAATTATTTAGGAATTCAGGCCCCGCCTCTAGAGGCGTGGCCTCGGGGTCCTGGCGGCCGCCATTTCAGAGCTGAGGAACCCGCTCTCAGGAAGAGCGCTCGTAATGGAGAAGAGCCGGCGTCTGGCCGGCCCGGAGGGGCCAGAGACCCAGATGGGAGAAGAAGGCCTGCTTGCCAGTATTGCAAGGCCCAGCTATCACCAGACGTGCCCCAGGACACAGAGCACAGTGTCCAGCCTTGACACGTCCTCTCCGGAGTCGCTTCTGATGCCAAAACACGGCTCTGCCACTTGCCGGTTATGTATGTGAACAGTTCTGAACTTAAGCCGCCATTTCCTTACCTGTAAACTGGGGGTTCGTTTTCCGCCATCAGATTAGCAAAAAGAATGAATGATAATGTCCAGTTTAGTCCAAGGCATATTGAAACCCGTTGCGTGCCCTAGCAGCTCTACCAGGAGTGGATAATTAGAGTAAAACTTGGCATTACCTACAGACGTTTTTAAAGTATATATCCTTTTTCCCGGCAGTTTCACTTCTAGACACTAGTTATAAAGAATAAGTACACATATACAAAAGTCATTTGTGAAGATGTTTAATGCCATATTGTTTGCGTGCTAGAGAAACACTGGGTGGGGGGGGAATGTAGATTAACAGGAAACTGGTTAAGTGAACGCTGCTACATTCAATCCGGGTTACTAACATCCATCCAAGAATGAGCTACATCTAGGTAGTGACTTTTTTTTTTAATACAAGACATTAAGTTTAAAAAGCAGAACACTGCACATTATATAATCTTATTTATTAAAACACAGGCACACAAGACCTAATACTACTTAATGTCACGTGCACTACTCCTTTTAGATATTTATTGAGAGCCTATTACGTACCACACATTGTTTTGGATATTGGGAAATCAACAGTAATTAAAATCCCTGCCTTCTAGTAATGGGAGAGCAAAAGAAAATGCAAATAATAAAATTCAGGCTGGATGTGGTGGCCAAAGCCTGTAATCCCAGCACTTTGAGAGGCCAAGGAGGGAGGACTGCTTGAGACCAGGAGTCCAAGACCAGCCTGGGCAATATGAGACCCCGATCTCTACAAAAATAAAGAAAAAAGAAAGAAAGAAAATAAGAATATTAGTGCATGGTGGCACACTCCTATAATCTCAGCTACAAAGGCGGCTGAGGCGGGAGGATCACTTGAGCCCAAAGTTGGAGACTGCAGTGAGCTATGATTGCCTCACTGCACTCCAGCCTGGGCAACATAGCAAGATCCTGTCTCTTAAAAAAAAAAAGAAAAAGAAAAAAAGGAAAATGAAGCAAAGTGAGAAAATAATGACAGGAGTATGTGGATCAACATAAAAATAAATGTAGGGGGAAAACTAGAAGGCATGGAATGTGGGGAGACTATGAAGGGGATTTTTTTATGGGAATAATAACAATAATACCTTCCTTAATAAAGGATTAAATGAGATAAAACCTGGAGAGTTCCTAGAGCAGAGCCTGGTGGTTGAGACTTCAATGTCTAGAGCCTGACTTGCCTAGGTTCAAATGTGGACTATGTCATTTCCTGTGTCTTGGAGACCTCATTTAAACTTCTTAATTCCTCAGTTTCCTTGTCTATAATGGAAATGTGATGTCATACCACCTCTTAGAGTTCTTAAGGATTTAGTAAGTTTTAGATGTAAAGTACCTATAACAGTGCCTGGCTCATATTAAGCACTGTAGCTGTAGTACAGCCATCTCTTATTATCACCGTCATTACTTGAGGCAGAGCTTTGAAGCCACACTTGCTGACCCTCTGGTTGTTCCTTCCTTCAGCATCCCCAGCTGATATTTGCCCAGCACTTCACAGCTTAAAAATTCAAGGAGCCTATGCCTCATTCAAACTTTTCAGCTCACCTAAAACGATGGTCACCTCATTTTTTAAAAAAACTTACTGGGGTGAAATGAACCATTTTAAATTGAACATTTAGTGGCATTTAGCGCATTCACAGTCTTGTGCAGCCACTAACCCTAGTTCCAAAACATTTCCATTACTCCAAAGTAAAACTCTTTACCCATTAAGCAGTTTCATCCCCATCTCCCAAACCTCTGGCAACCACCAATCTATGGATTTTTCTATTCTGGATATTTCACAGAAATGGACTCATGTAATATGTGGCCTTTTGTGGCTGGTTTCATTCACTTGGCATATTTTCAAGGTTCATCCACATTGTAACATGTGTCAGTACTTTATTCCTTTTTATGGCTGAATAATATTCCACTGTAAGTTTATACCACATTGTGTTTATCCATTCATCTGTTGACAGACATTTGGGCTGTTTCCATTTTTTGGGTATCATGAATAGCGGTGCCAGGAACCTGTGTGTTACATGCTAGATTGCCTGGCCCTACTTTGGATACCTCCGGTTTAGTGGTAGGAGAGGTCAAGAGTGCTGCAGTTATTAGGAAAGGTCTCCGAAGAGGAATGGGAGGAAGGAATGAGTCTGAAATGGTCTGAAGGAAGAACAGATATTCCATGATGTCAGATCAAACGAGGAGGAAAATAATGGGGGGTGTCACAGGTGAGGGAAGAGGATTGGCAGGGAAGGCTAACACTGAAACTTTCCTGGGTAATAGAATGTTCCACTTCTTAATTTGAGAAGTGTTACATGGGTGCATGCATATATATATATATATGTAAAAATGTATATATAATATGTATATTATAAATATATGTATAAATACAAATACGACTTTTTACATACACACATTTTTACATATATATATGCATGTATATATAATATGTATATACATATATACATAAAATGTGTGTATATATATGTAAAAATTGGTGTGTATTTTTGTATACAGTTGTTATACCTCAATAAAAAATTCTGAAAGATGAAAAAAAAAAAAGAATTAGTTAAGGAGGGGGAATGCTGCACTACCAACCAGATTTGTGACAAGTAGGGTTATAGGACATCCACAACTCCTCCCACACCCCATTACCACCCTAAACACTTTTTTAAATATAGAAACTCAACAACTTGAAAATAGACACAAAACAATCCCCAGGATCCAAGCCAGGGACCAATGGATCTCACTCTCACTTTTTTCTTCACATACACCCCTTAAACTTACCATGTGCTTTACTCTTTACAAAGACCGCTTTACGTACATTACTTCTTATATCTTTTCAAATAATCTGTAAAGTCAGTGAGGCTGGCATTTTTTATTTTTTTTAACAAAAGAAAAGAGACTCAGAAAGGCCAAGAATCTTGCTAGTAGTGGAACCAGACCTAGAAACCAAGTCTCCTGCATTCAATTCTGCAACTCCTACTATACACAATACTACCCCTTCTGTAATACAGTAAAGCCTTCTAGAAAACATTTGGCTGGGTTCCAAGACAGCCGTCCCAGACTGAATAAGACTCTATATAGCAAACAGTGTAAATAGTGAGGGTTTAATGCAATTACTGGCATGGAGGCATACATCTTTTTTTTTAAGTGAAGAATTAGTTGGTTTTAAAGTAAATCAACATAGTGTGTGAATGGTGTGGGAAACAAGCAGAACACTTCTAAAAAGTCAAAATGAAGTACTGTCGATTTGCACATTTCGCAATAGCGAATAGAGGTAGTGGTCATCAATACAGGAAGGAGAAAAAAAGACAACAAAGAGTGGACAATTAAGAAACTACATAATGTTTTATTTTTGGGAACTGAAATGAGGAATTTCTCCCCATCCCACACCGAAATACCTTGAGATTGAGAACATCAGTTTATAAAATACTAAGAAGTAGGAGAGAATTTTATTTAGCCATCAAAAGGAATGCCTGTCAAAATTGCTGGCTCTGAAAGATAGCTGATCAGAAATCCAAAGCCCCATTTTTAGATCACCTATTGGTACTATGCAGTTTAAATTTACTATTTTACCCTTTCAATTTTTCTATCTGTAAAATCAAGTAACACTTTACCCAAACTATTTTCTAATGACCTTGGAAGGAAGAAATGATGTCTAAAAAGGTAATGATCAATATTTTATTTCCATCAGCCACTGAAAAAAGTATTTCTCAAGTATCTATGTGCACAGTACTAAGCTAAAAGTGCAAAGAAAGCAATGGTCTTTATAATCTAGATGAATAAAGCACAGAGAAATACAAAATAATAATTATGTGACGAAATTGAGACATCTCAGAAAAAGCTTTCACAGGAGTTGGGTTGAACATAGCAGTCAGAAAGAATGAAATTGGATTTAATCAGGATAGAAGATAAAAAGAGTAGTTATAAAGTTAGGTAGGCAGAGAAGAGGCAAGTTGGTTGCTGTCTTTTGGGCTCCCAAAACATAGCACTCATTTGCTATTGCACTGAAAACACTGTACAGTAGTTTGTCATTGCCACTTACACTATAAATTCCTCAAGGACAAAGACCTTTTTCGATTCATTTTTCTATTCCTAATCCCTTGCACAGGGTCTGGCATACAGAAGATAAATACTTTTTGAAAGGCAACGTTAACACAGAATTCCCTATTTAAATTACTACATCTTAACCTACACTATTCGTCCAGATCATTTACTTATTGTCTCTCAACTCCAAAACTACCCTCCCAGACTCTATGTTGTTATGGCTGAGACTGCAACTATATTTCATCAACTCCTTTGCCAGCTGGGATCTCCTTAGGCTTTGCCAATAGCAGCAGTAAGTGAAGACTGGAAAACAGGAAGATGGGAGACGGGACATCTTTCCAGTTCCTGTCAGTAGCAAATGCAGCCCCTGACCCTGGCAGTTAGCAAATGGTTCCAGTCTCCAGGTTTTTGTGGTTCTCCCAGAACCAGCAATAACACATGCCTTTATAAGTACTAGCAGCAAGCACACAATGCTGACCTACTCAAAAGTCCAGCACCGGGTCCATAGAACCTCTTCTCTGAGCTCTTAGGTTCTGATTACTGTAATGTTCCCCCCTCCCCCGCTTTTTTTTTTTTACACTCATCTAACCAACTCCCTATATTAAATCCTTTCTGTTGAAATTCTTACTAAAGTCTCCGTTTTCTCTACTGTACCCTAGCACATTGTAAAACAATAATTCTAACTGCTCTCAGATATCTTGTTGCTTCACTGAAGGGGAAAGTAAACAAAATTTGGGTTATTTCATAAAAACTATTTCATAAAGGATAACGTGAAACCCTCTAAATTTGCTTCTGTTAAGCTGCAGCATAAAAATAATTTTTGTGATTTAAACTACTACACTGTTTAAATGAGAGAAAATGAGAAATAATTTTAAAAGTGCAAGTTATTCCAAACACACACACTCACCTCCTTTAATGTAGCACATATCCTAGAAATAATGTGAAATGATAAAGTAAATGTTCTGCTATTCCCCAGTGGTCCCAGTTCTCACATCCTCTGATAGTGTGGCATGAGATCCTGATTTTTTTTGAGGCAGAGTCTCGCTCCGTCACCCAGGATGCAGTGCAGTGGCATGCACTGCAACCTCCACCTCCTGGGTTCAAGCAATTCTCCTGCTTCAGCCTCCTGAGTAGCTGGGATTACAGGCGCGCGCCACTATGCCTGGCTAATTTTTGTATTTTTAGTAGAGACGGAGTTTCACCAAGTTGGTCAGACTGGTCTCGAACACTTGACCTCGTGATCCACCTACTTCGGCCTCCCAATGGATCCAGATTCTTAAATTTAAAGGCACTCCCCTCCCAAGGCACCTCCCCCATCCCCGCCCCAAATGCAAGGTCCCTAAATGCAAGCTAACTACTTCACGCAGTGCTCAAAGAAACACCAAGAAACTGCAATGTGTTCCAACACCAAAGCTTAGCTGAACTTATTGGTATGTTGTTCTGCCTTCCTGAGGGATTTTCAAGCATGATTTTTTTTTTTACTACATGTGATTTTCATTCTATGCATCGACTTTAGAATCTAACCTCTTCATACAACTCCACTCTATAGCATAGAAACAAAAAGAAATCCCCCTTGCAGAAGAGCCCGTAAGTAACATATCTTTTGAAAACAAATGACCAAAATGCTTACATGTTTTTCATTTGGCTGGTTACTTCACTTAATAGTATGCTCTCATTAGAAAATTTAACCCAAGGTTAATTTCAAAAATAACTTTTCACCATTGTACTTAATACAGATAAACTGATTTTTAAAAATTATGATAAATGGCAAACATGTTAATTCTCAAAATGAAATGGGAGAAGTAAATTTAAGCAATAGAAATCTTAGAATTTTTAGTAATGTATATAGCTCCTTGAGCATCCAACAAGATACATAACTAAGCCTAATCATACCACTCTGCCTCAGCTGTCTAAAAACCGTAAAGCAAAGGAGAATTAAGAACATGGCCAATTCTACCGGAGTTGCTCCACACAACATAAAACTGGATAATGGGTCACACCTACGCTCTTAGCACCTATAGTCAGGGACTCATCACCTAGCTCCTGCCTGGCAACACACTAACACTAGCTTCTACTTAAATGCCAAGAGTCCCATGACCACAGTCAAAATATTTATGTAAGACCAATCAAACTGCGCTTCCCCCAAGAAATACCAGAAGACCCAGTAGACACATTAGGTAGAAAGGGTAGAAGACCAGTAGGCAAACAGTCAGGATATCTGGACCCTTAAGGAATGGACTGTGTAAATGCTATTATACCTTTGTACCCCAAATTATATGGGCACCTACTCAGTATTAAATGCAAATAAACACTAAGTTACTATGACAGCTTAGATGTCAAATAAATGAATCAATCGAGAAATTAACCATTGTCTGATGACAATGTCTTCTACAGTGTGTGCAATAACACGAATTAAAAACCAATTGTAGATGTGTACGTGCGCAGAGTACATAATCTCTTATTTTTCTTTTAAAAGCTGCAAACTGTGATGGATTTTTAGTTTATCCAGAATTTAATGAGTCATTTCAAAATTATGAAGCGCTTTAAGTCATACTAGAAACACTGCCATAATTTTAATAAAGTGCGTTTTAATATTAACTCATTTCTCTTGCTGGAAGAAATTATGCTTCTTTGCTAATGTATAGAAATGAAACTGTCACTGAAACATCTGGTTATATATTATTCATTAGGCATATATATCACCTTTACTCCAAAGTCTGCATAATATAAACACAAATCATGAATAAATCAGATTAGAGACACAGACGTGACACCACAAACTGTAGGTCACTAATAAAATTCCAAACATGTTTGCTGACCTGGTCTATATTTCTATCCATTCAAACCTGGGAGCTTCACACAGGCAGAGAAAAACTCCAAATTCCCAGTATTTTGAAAGTCTGCATGGTCTACATTATGTTAGTGATTGTAACTGGAAATTTTTCTATGCAACACACTTTAGGACAACTAGCTTATTTTTCAAATACTCAAACGGATTGGCCTGACTCGGGCAATTTTTCTTCGTAAATCTGCCTCTACTATAATTAACCTCAAATGTGGATGCCACAAGGATACCTGAGGAAAATAACTACAATCCTTACAAAAAGTGAGGGACCATATTTGCTGTGCTACCCCTAGAAAAAGGAGTCACCTATAACTACCTATTATTTTGCTAAAAAGTAGTTTAAGAGTACAATCAAGATTTTTAAAGATACTTGTTGATTGTGAAAAGTAGAAATTTCAGGGGAAAAAGGGAATAACCAAGAGTCATATTGCTGCTATTTAAATACTTTATAAATCCAAGGATCAAATTTCACTATAAGAAGCAAACTCTCACACCCACCTCAGTTATTAGAATATTCAACAACTGCACTTAATACAAAACAGATAGATTAGCTACCAATTAGACTAAGTATTCCAGCTGATCATCTTGGAATTACCAAAAGTAGATTATGTAATGCAAATCGCTCGTACATTCGTTTTAAACATATCCTCGGTTTAGAACACTGAAACCATGCCTTAATTTTTTTAATTGAAAAACAGCGTATTACTAAAATACTGAGTGCATATGTATATCCTTTTCACGGCACTTCAAAGAAACCTGACATCTTCAAATCATTTTACAATGTAAAGTTACATTCTCTAAAACTTCCGACAGCCTCGAAAAAGATACCCAAAGGGGCTTCAAATAGATGAGTCTATAATTGATCTTAGCGGGCAAATAACTGGAATGAACCTCAAAGTTTGAGATCAATTTTTACTAACACCATCTCTGAAAGCAAGAAGGAGACTTCTGTAGAAGGTAAACGATTCTGACCAGCAGGACGTGGGCTCCCGGCAAAAGTGGGTACTAGCATCTCAGCGTAAACGACACGGTTCAAAACGCGAATCTTCCCGCAGAAACTAACCAAGACACCCCCTCCCCCCACGACTCCTCCTGGGTAAGCTCACGGTTTTAGAAAGCAGCAACAGATACTCCAGAGCAGGAGGCGGCACTCCAGGAATGTGTGAAGCTGAAGGGGTCTCCCCGAGGAACCCCGAGGTCGAGGAGCTCCTCTACACTGGAACCCCGACTCCGACCCCCCAGAAGGAAGGAGCGATATCTGCACAAAGTGCCCCCTACCCCACCCCCACGATGCAGACACACATCCCTAGCTGCGAGGCGAAAGCCCAGAGAAAAAACTCGCATTCCACTCCGTCCGCCTCCGGAGTAGGGCTGCAGAGAGGCTGGGGCCCCCGCCCCCGGAGGCGAGGGGACCGCGCCGCAGCGCCGGCCTCCGCGCAGAGGAAAGGGCAGCGAAAGGCTCGCGGCGAAGGAAGGAATCCCGGCGCTTCGCTGACTGGGTCCTCCGCAAACCAGCTCCCTTCCCTCCCACGACCCTCGAAGACACGGGAACAATGAGAACCCGCTTCACCCGCCGTCTCCGCCGCGAGAGCGGCCGGGGGCGGCGGCGGCGCCATGTCCCTTCACACCCCCGCGGACACACACCCCCCCCACACTCCGGGGCCCCCGTCAGTCGCCTGCAACGCTGCCGAGTAGACGCGTGTCCCGGCCCGCTGCTTCCGCGTCCTTCGCCTCCCCGCCCGCCCCACTCACCGGCTCCTGCCCCAGCCCAGGGCTCCGCTGGCCGCGGCCGGAGCAAGACTCTGGTATCAGCTGCCGCGGACGCCGGCGCCGCCGCACAATATGGCGAGCCTCAGCTTCCGCAATGGAGCTCGGGAAATACAACAGGGGCCGCTCAATATTCATGAGAGACTGAGGGGAAGCCGGCTCGGCCGGCGCTGCGGGGAGGGCGGGAAGGAGCGAGCGAGCGAGGGGCGGAGGCGCGGGACGAGGACGTGCACGGCGCGGGGAGGCCCGCGGCGCGAGGGAGGGTGCGCCGCCGCGTGTTGGCCTGGAGAACCCGCGCCACCGCCCCGCCCTGGGCTGGCCGGCCACGCCCCCCCGGCGCCCACCGCGGTCCGACGTAGCCCCCGGGCAACGCCCGGATGACGGCGCAGCCACCTCGTGCTCAACCTTCTGCTTGGGTTCTTCTGCCCTGGCTTCGGCCCACCCTTTACACCTTCCTGGCCGGCTTCTGGGGTTTGGGCTCAGACTTCTTTCTCATGAGTTCGTCCTCTTAAACCTGTCCCACCCGGCGGAAATCCTCATCAGGCTTTGGTTTGCAGAACTTCACATGAACTTCGGCACCCTTCCGCTCTCGTACAACAAACATACACTTTTCATCCTTGCAGGATAAAACTGCAAGTGTAATTGCTCCTGGGAAAATGACCTTCCACTCTAAACTTAGCTTAACATTCTGATTGTGGTCATCAGCTCTTACTATTTACCTTGCTGCTGCTTTATTCCTACCTCCTTGGCCCCTTCCAGTGTTACCTTCTGAACTTGAGGATTTACGAAGTAATAGATTAATAGATGTAATCATTACCTAAAACACAGCCAGTTAGTCTCCAGTAAATTATCCGACATTTAATGCATATAAATTATGAGCTGAAGAAGTAACGAAGAATTGAAAGTTCCCTGATCTCTATATGTACTATTGTTGAGATGTCATGTTCTCTTGAGAAGATAACCAGCAATACCAGACCGTAAATCTGAAGGCATAGAGGCATAAACCAATGGACTGCAGTGGGAATTGGGCAAACTAGGTTCATAGCCTCCAATGTGTGTCTATGTGACTTACGTAGATTGCGTAGCTCCTCTGCACTTCATTTTCTTCGTCTGCGAGATGAGAGAATTGTATTGAATCCTAGGTCCTTTCCAGTTCTTTAACGCTCTGAAACTCTCTATAAGCAATTCCAAATAAATGACATGAATTTACATAGGAATTTGGAAAAGAAAAATATCAATTCCAGCTGGTGTGTTTGGGGATGATTTCCTGAGGAGCCGGGATTTAAGATGGCCTTTGACGCCTTGGATGGGTGGAAAGAAAAAGGACAGGTGTTAAATACAGCACATTATATATGCTACCTAACAATCCATCAAAGAAAACAAGCATTATTCTTTTTCAGTGGCTTGAAAGCTTTTGCCTACTATCTATAACTTTAAATAACAAGTGACAGTTATCTGACTCTACAAGCCCTTCAAGGTTAAACTCTTCCTCCAATGTGGGGGGAGAAAAAAAGGCTGGGTGTGGTAGCTCACGCCTGTAATCTCAGCACTTTGGGAGCCCAAGGCCACCGGATCACTTGAGATCAGGAGTTCGAGATCAGCCTGGCCAATATGGTGAAACTGTCTTTACTAAAAATACAAAAAAAAGTTAGCCAGGTGTCGTGGCACGCGCCTGCAGTCCCAGCTACTCGGGAGGCTGAGGCAGGAGAATCGCTTGAACCTGGGAAGCAGAGGTTGCAGTGAGCCGAGATCGCGCCATGACACTCCAGCCTGGGTGTCTCGGCGAGACTGCGTCTCAAAACAAAACAAAACAACAACAACAACAAAATCAAAATAATCAGGGAAGCTCTGCTTCTCCCTTCTTGTGAAAGTCCACTTTCTAGAAACAGTGCAGTTGCAGAAGCATCTCCCTTCTTCCTTCATGACGAGTGCATGTGTAGTTCAATTAAAGGAAGACAGGTGTTCATAATTTAGAACTTTTGCTCTAATTAAAATGCCTTTGAAAATCATGATGTGTGGTTAGATTAAGCAATTCAATTGATGTTGAGAAAAGTGATGATTTGTAGAAAGCGCAGGAACTTTATGGATGAAAGTTAAATATAGTGCTTAAAAAAGACTCACAGGAGAATTAGTGGAAAAACGGAAAACTTATGGGATATCTGGATTAAATGTGATTAAAAAGCTAGACCTCAGGCTAACATCCTTAATATGAAAAACACTACTGACAAATTAATGGAACTCATTTTATCTATTTTATCTCTTACTCAGAAACTTGGCACTGGATCTTCTCTGACTATATTAATCAGGAAAGGTTATGTTATGGTATAGTAACAAACATCTCCAAAATCTACATGCCTTAACACAACAAAAGTTATTGTTTGGTTATGCTTCATGCTTCATGTGGATCCAACTCACTCTGTTCTGGTCACTCCAGGAACCAGATTGATAGAGACACCACCATCTTGTAGCTGTACCACCCTGGAACACAGAAACTTATTCTCTGCAGCAGAGGAAGAAAATGGCTAAAGAATCCCCGTGAATTTTTCGTAGCCTTAGCTTGGAAAAGAGAGCACTGATCACATTTCATTGCCCAGAACTGGTTGTACAGCCCCACACATCTGCAAAGGGACTGAGTCCTTGAACTGAGTTCAGAAAGAGAAGTGGGGACATTGGTGAACAATGCTAACGTCAGCCACCCTGACCTCACCACTAGGTTCCTAGATGCCATGGGAAAATTCTAAGAGGTTTTATTCTGTAACACTGGTTCTCTTGAGTGACCCCAAGAAAGTTATGCGTTCAAAAGTAAACTCTCTTACTTATTAAGAGTTGACTGCCATGTAAATAGAGTGGACTTTCCATTTTCTTCCCTGTTGTTTTAATCGTATATTATATCGATGTAAACTCCATAGTAAATATATCAGTAGTGATTCACATATCCAGACCACATTATTTTTGCTAATGTTTTGACCTGACATAACAGATATCGTTCTAAAAAACATTTTCTAGTAACACTCTATCTGCATGTTAAATGTGCTAATTGGAAGTGATATTTGTATTTTAAGTAGAGGAACATTAAATTAACACTACATAATAGAAGTATATTATGGGTGATGACTAGATGAATTCTAGTTAAAAAAAAATTGTCTTCCTTTAACACTTCAGAAGTAGTATCAGGTTAACTACATGATGAATTGGGTAGGTATCTCTAAGTGATCATAAAAATCACCTCTTGGCTGGGCATGGCGGCCCAGGCCTGTTATCCCAGCACTTTGGGAGGCCGAGGCCGGTGGATCACCTGAGGTCAGGAGTTTGAGACCAGCCTGGCTAACATGGCAAAACTCCGTCTCTACTAAAAATACAAAAATTAGCCGGGTGTAGTGGCAGGCGCCTGTAATCCCAGCTACTCGGAAGGCTGAGGCAGGAAAATTGCTTGAACCTGGGAGGCTGAGGTTGCAGTGAGCTGAGATCATGCCACTGCACTCCAGCCTGGGTGACAGAGCCAGACTCCATATCCAAAAAAAAAAAAAATGAAAGAAAAAATCACCTCTTAACTGGTATTCTGCTATAGTCAGGCTACAAAATTAAAACTAGTTTAGTTCAACCAGCTTTTATTGAGCATCTAGTATGTGCCAAGCACTTTGTTAAGTACTTGGAATAAAAACATTAATATAACTAGGATATGAGTTCCTTGAAAGCAAAAATCTTGTTCACCAGCAGATACCTAGAGACTAGCACAGTGCTGGCACTTAGTAGATGCTCAATAAATAGGTGTTAAGAGAATGAAAGAATGGGATTCTTTGACTCCAGTGTGTATATGAAATAGAATAGCACATATGAGCTTGGTTTGCTTCACTTTCATTACTTAACAGAGGACGTTTCTGTCAAGAGTTTGTTTAGTCTCTCCAGAGGCTTTCTCTGCTTAGGCAGTGTGTCTTAAATGGAAATTCACACTTGCCTATTCTATCTCTACCATATACATTTATTTTCAGTCATGCTTGAAGTATTTAATGGTTATCAGCTCATCTGAGATGAAGACTGCAGGCCACCAATCACCTGTTAATGCTAAGCTATGTATGCATCACAGTTTATAAAGAAACTTTAGATCTGTTATTTCATGAATTTTCAGAACAGTTTTCCAAGGTATTATTCCTACTTTATGGAGGACAGGAATGTGACTTCTGCAGCTCAATAACTCTCCCAAACATTGAGTTAGTAAGTGGCAGAGCTGAGGCTCAGACCTTGGTCATTTGACTCCAAGTGCCAGATATATTCCATTCTGCCACATCTGCCTTGCCACTCTGTGCTGCATACACAACTGCAGTATCTTTCTTCTTTCTAGTAAGTGGTATATGAGTCAAACATCTCTGGAGTTTCCTCTCAACATTATCATTTATCCCAATCCTCAGTGTAGTATTTTTTCAAGAAGCTAGAGATGATTTTCTTTTTTTTTTTTTCTTTTTTTTTTTTTTTTGTGACAGACTTTCACTCTTGACGCCCAGGCTGGAGTGCAATGGCGCAATCTCAGCTCACTGCAACTTCTGCCTCCCCGGTTCAAGCGATTCTGCTTTCTCAGCCTCCCGAATAGCTGAGATTACAGGCATGTGCCACCACACCTGGGTAATTTTTATATTTTCAGTAGAAGCGGGGTTTCACCATGTTGGCCAGGTTGGTCTTGAATTCCTGACCTCAAGTGATCTGCCCGCCTCAGCCTCCCAAAGTGCTGGGATTACAGGCGTGAGCCACCATGCCCAGCCAAGATGATTTTCAAGAAGCTGATACATTAATAGGAAACTAGCAGGTGATGGTTTTATCTTCTTAGAAAACTTACTTTTAGAGAAAAAGCAAAAATAAAAGTAAAAGGTAAGCTAGAAGACTGGAGGAGCTTGGGATTTAACCACTATGTATAGATACTATTGTTGAAATATATCCTCTACCAAAATCTTTATTTGCCATCTTTTAGATGTGTTGTGCTTTCTTTGAAAGAGCCAAGTTAAGTGGGGACATTGTAGAAAGGCCTAGAGAGACCTATAATTCAGGGTGGCTCCAGGAAGCAGGCAACTTGAGATTTACGACCTTTTCAGCTGAAAAAATATAGCTCTAGCCACAAGCTCTAGTGAAGTTTTATTTGTATTTCAGCACAGTGCATTTCTATTTGTGATACTTCCCTTGGCACTTTAATTCCTTTTTCTATTCCCCAAACAACCAAAATAATAGGTGATATTTTATTTGCTAACTGTCCAACTTAAAGGAGTTAAACAGGTTAAATGAGATGGGCTAGTTAGAAAGACTTTTGAGGAAAACTAAACAATATTGCTATTTCCCTCCCATGGAGATTTGGAATGGTATTTTATATGTCCCAGATGTGGCCACATTCTGCCTAACATCTGTTAGTGCATTTTATTAAAATAATGAACTAACGTGTTTGAAAAGCCAAAAGGGTGAATTAAAGTTTTCATTCTGATGCAGCATGGATAGCTGTTTCTTTATAGTTCATAATGGAAGTGTATACTATTGTGATATCCATTTTCAAATATAAAATAAAGTATGATTTAATTACTGGCTTTCAGTAATTACTGGCTTCTAGTACGAAGAAAGTTCATTCCATTCACATAAACCTTTGCAGATTTTTTTTTCTTTCAAAATGGTTACTGTGAGAGATGAGGTTTGTGCTTTGGCATTGATCTAGGAACATCAACAATCATTCTGGAAGTTAATAAGGAATAGATGATTCAGATTGAAACTCAGCACTGAAGTGGAAATTCCTCCAGTAAAGAAGGATAGAAGATCCCAATGGGAAAGTACAGATGAAGAGTGCAAAATATTTAAATCAAGTTACGATTCGCTCAGACTGCCTTTGTGGACATCTTAGTTTTTCCCTTCTTAAGAGAAGCATAGTGCCAGAATGATTTTTTGTGAGGTGAGGGAATGGAGGGTAAAGACATCTCCTATCTAATACAGTTCGTAGAAATATTTTTTAGTAAATAATTTAAAAGAACTGCCAAATCCCACCCATATAAGATAATTTAATTTTATTTTAGACTATATCAAGATTTGGAAACTCTTGCAGTATCCATCTGCTGAGACATTAGCATTTCATAACCCACAAAAGCAAACCACTTAAATATATATTAAAAAACATGCTAAAGTAGGTTATAATCTAGGTGAATTTGAAAAACCATTGTGGTCAACCTATAATATTAAGGTTTTGTGTGCTATACTTCTAGTCTTTCCATGGAAAATTTTTGTTTTATCATTTTTTAAAAAATAAACACATTTCATAGGTCATGCTTATAAGATCAGAACTGACTGTCGTTCTGTATGTATTATGAAGACTAACACATAAGGAGTAAGATGGCGTAAAGCTAGCTGTAAATGTCTCCTCTTGTCATAGTGTCCTGTTAGGGGTATATGGGGGCCTAATGCACCACCTTGTGTCCCTCTCTAACACTTCTCCGCTGATGTAACTATAACTAATCCTTGTTCTGTAACAGTGTTATATTCAGTTAGCGGATTTCCAATTCCATAACTTCTTGGCATGTACACATCCTTAGCTATCATTCTTCGTTCTTGGACGTTATCACATTAGCTGCCCTAGTTGGACCCTTTCCTAAAATTTTAAAGACTGCTGTGGGCCTGTTCTTAGTGCAGCTGTCTCTTCTTCCACATGATCAGTTCTTAGCTAGTTGCCAACCTATTCACTTTCTGACTTGGCCCTTTAATTTGATTTGGCCATATCTTCAACCCAGCCTTTAGCTTGGGGTTTGACACATAGTATATGTAAACTGCATTACAAGCGTGTGTCACAAACATAATTCATGGTACTCCCATTCATGGCACAGAAAAAAACCCTTCTTCTCTATGCCATTCATGGCACAGAAAAAAGTACCTTCTTCTCTATCAACAAATGCAGAAAGAAGTGGGAAAAAACTGAGAAGCAATGAGGTTGACATCATTGGTATTGAATACTAGAGGAATGATTTTAGGTCAGGATTTTGGGTCACCATGTTATGTTACGTGATAATGTTGCAACTACCTAAAGGAAAATAATGCCCAACAGGAAAGTTTTTTCTTGGTGAACTATCAACATGTAGAACTGTATTTAGATGTTGATTTTAAAGAATCCTATCAAAATACACTATCATTTAAAAGTAAAAGTTTAAAATGCTATACATTAATCCTTATATTCCAATTGGAACTTGAAATTTGACTAGTTCTATACTTAGACCACATTTAGCATTTGTCTTTTTCCCCTGTTCACTCACTTGGATTAGTAGTATGCAAATACATCCCTGCCCTGCCACAAACTACTAGTCCAAGCAAACATACATTAGTAGTATATCACTAATCCTAGCATGAGGATACCATGTCGTTATTCATCTTTCAACACCGGTCATTATTCATCTTTATGTGGGTCCAAGCAGTTGACACAATGCAATATACATTTACATAATATATGTATATATGTGCCTTTCTGTGTGTGTGCATATATGTGTGTACACACACACACACACACACACACACACACAAATATCTTATCCCCAAGATACTTTTGGTATGGTTTTGAGTAATAATAATAACTCCAATTTGTAAAAAGCAGTCACTAAAAATATCTGCTTTAAACATTACAATAACATTTAGAAAATGTACATTTAAATAGGAACAATTTTCTACTTAACCTTTTTTTTTTTTTTGGGTGACTCCACTCTGTCACCCAAGCTGGAGTGCAGTGGTGCGATCTCGGCTCACTGCAACCTCTGCCTCCCGGGTTCAAGTGATTCTCCTGCCTCAGCTTCCCTAGTAGCTGGGATGACAGGCACCTGCCACCATGCCCAGCTAATTTTTGTATTTTTAGTAGAGACAAGGTTTCACCATGTTGGTCAAGCTGGTCTTGAACTCCTGACCTCAGGTGATCTGCCTGCCTCGGCCTCCCAAAGTGCTGGGATTACAGGTGTGAGCCACCATGCCCGGCCTCTACTTAACCATATTAAAGGAATCATAATACTCAATGTTTATAAACACAGATATTGCATACATTACTGATGTTCATAAAAATGATACAACCTTTTAAGAGGGCAATTTTGTGGTTATCTCTCAAAATTTTTAAAAAGTTTTAAATTCGTCTTTTAAACATATTTTTTAAAAGAAATTTTTGTAGAGACAGGGTCTCACTATGTTGTCCAGCCTGGTCTTGAAATCCTGGGCTCAAGCAATCCTCCCACTTCAGCCTCTGAAGTGCTGGGATTACAGACATAAGCCACCATGCCTGTCCTCTCAAAATTTTAAATATGTATATCTTCTAGCCTAAGAAATGTCCAATTCTAGAACTCTCTCCCACAGAAGTACCCACACAAGTGTGCAAAGAAATGTGTACATGGGTGTTAATTTTTGTGTTACTTGTATTTGTAAAATATTGAAAATAACCCACTTTTTTGGCTAAGTAAATTTTGGTTCCATAAAGAATACATCATATAGCTGTCAAAAAGAACAAGATAGAGCCACAAGCACTAACATAGAAAAATATTAAAGATATATTAATAAGTAAAAAATCAAGTTAGCAGTATGTTCCATATAATCTTATTTTTATAGTACAAAAAAACTCAAAAGAATGTGCATGAAACTATTAAAAGGGATTGCATTTGAGGAGAATTTCTGAACACTTTCAATTTCTAAAGTATTTCTTCATTTCTGTACTGATTTGAATGCTTCCCAATGAAATAAAAAATTGTGTTTTATTACAAAATTGGTAAAGACACAATTACATATAAAAAGCAAACTGATCTAATAAAAATGAGTGAAAATTTTAACATATATCTACCTATTATTAACTGCGAGACGGTGGTAAAGAAAACAGCTGTTCTAGATCAGGCATCATCAGCCAAAACAAACAGAAAAGCTATAACTTCAAAATTCCTTGTTTCTGCAGGTCTAGTTGTGTAGCGTCCCTGAAAATCAGGCATTCAAATGGCTTATTATTAGACCTTAATCTCTACTCCCTTAAACATTCCTTACCCTATTTAGTAAGAATTTAGGCTAAACAGAGACCAACCAATGACTATAGATCCCTCAAATAGCAGCAAAGAGTTCTAGGACCTATATAATTATCTTGGGACTCAATTCTCCTCCTACTAATTTATATCCCACAATCTCTAGGGAAAATATCAGGTGTTTTTTGCTAATTAGTCTCCTTAGCACTCGCTCAAGAAATTCCTACTGATTTAACACGTGATTGCTGGAAGCAACTACACATGGTAGGTTGAGAATTTACTATTTGAATTTCCCATCTTATACACCTCTATTCAAGGGGGTTTTAATTTTTCAGATGTTTTGATATCACCATATGGTGAAAAGTTTCAACGATGCATTAGGCTTGTTTCAGAAGACTTGACCTCCCTCCAAATCTGGTGCAAATGGCTCGAGAGGTCACAGCAAGAACACTGGCCATTGCAGTTAGGGTAGAGTGGGGTGAGGGTCATGCAGACATAGAGGGACCCCAGGACTGGCTGAAAAGGGCAGGAGATTTGTCCAAAGTGGCCAAATGCCCAGAGCTGGAGCAAGAACCGAATACACAGGCAAGCAGGAAGTTGGGAAAGTAGGGCTCAGTATAAGTTTAATGGGGTACAAGAGACTCACTTGAAAATTGAATTGGGGGTCTGAAGCCAAGAACATAAAGAACAGCTATACCTCCTCCTCCAGTGGAGAGGATGGCAAGTGTAGTGGGGAATAAGGGATAGGTGCAGTATGGGTGATGTGAGCTGAGGCTGGCAAAGGGATACCCCTGACCTAGACTCTAGGTTCTAAAGTTATAAGTGGGCCAATTCTAAAGACACATGCAAAACCCAAAGTTATTGGTGAGGGTCATGAAAAACAGAGGGTCAGTTAAGAGATGCAGATGCAAACAGCTCATGAAAATTGGAAACAAAAGCTTTGAGATAGATGTGAGGAATCAATGAGTGAGATGAAAAGAGCCAGGGACAGTGAGATCTGGACATATAATGACTGGACTTTATCTGGGTTCTCCTAATTTCTCTGACCCACTCCAGCTCAGTCTCTTTTCTGGCTTCTCATCATTCACCCCAAACCCTAAAGTTTTGGAATGTCCCAGGATTTAGTCTTAGGACCTTTTTCCCCTCTTACTTTATATTCTCTTTCTGGGTAATCCTATTCAGTCACATGGCTCTAAGTACCATCCATGTGTTGACAACTTTCAATTTTCTCCAAACTTAAAGACCCCAGAAGTTTCTCCAGACTTACAGTCCTCTCCTCTACTTATTCACCCCTCCTTTAGATGTCTGATAGGTATCTCAAATATCAAATGCCCAAACCAGACTTCCTTTTCGAAATGTAAACAAAGAGTAATATATGATGTTAACTGTCTTTTTATTTGTAGCTGTAATATCAATGTTGCTTTACTAGTCCCAGGGGAATTAAAGGAACATATTCTTTATAATTACTTAAAACCACAAAATAATTCAAATGTAAAATTAATGTTTTAAGTGTATTTGCATACATTTCATTTATACATTATTCCCTTATTAAGAGTCAACAAATCACCAGACTAATTTAGAGAGATGTAAGATATAAACCTTATCCTTGAAGAACCCAGCATCTAATGGGGGGAAGAGGCACATAACAAATGTTATGAGGCCAATACGAGTAAAGGCAATAGGAATAACTGCCCCTTACAGCTCATTATTAATTACACACTATGGAATAGCATCTCTCATAGGGCTCTAGTCACAGCAACATTAGTTTTAATCCTGGAAATTAGAAGAGTTATAGGCAAATTCACAACTGTGCTAATAGCAAACAACCTCATAAACTCTGTGTCAGGTACAGTGCTAAGTATTTTGTAAGTGTCATTTCCCTGAATCTTCACAATCCTATGAGGAAATTACCTTCAGTATTACCACTTTATGCATTAGAAAATAAAGGTTTAAAGCATCTTAATACTTAACCTGAGTCACCTCAAAATAACAGTGTGGGCAAATCCATTCTCTTAAGCACTATTCTTTTTTTTTTTTTTTTTTTGAGACGGAGTCTCGCTGTATCCCCCAAGCCAAAGTGCAATGGTGTGATCTTGGCTCACTGCAACCTCTGCTTCCTGGGTTCAAGCGATTCTCCTGCCTCAGTTTCCCAAGTAGCTAGGACTACAGGCACCTGCCACCACACCTGGCTAATTTTTGTAGTTTCAGTAGAGACAGGGTTTCACCATGTTGGCCAGGCTGGTCTCGAATGTCTGGCCTCAGGTGATCCACCAGCTTCAGCCTCCCAAAGTGCTGGGATTACAGGTGTGAGCCACCACGCCTGACCCCACCCTTAACCACTATTCTAAACTGCCTTTTCGTAACTGATGGCTCTGCTTTAACTAATAAAATACTGCTCAGGTTTTTTGGGGTTTTTTTTTGGAATATTTGTACTAAAATAAAAGAATAAATTTCTGAATAAACCACATAGTGAATATTCCTATTATACTCCAATAAAAAACCTCTATTACTAAACATATTTGGGTAAAAAGGACTATAGGGCAAGGAGCCTAGCTCCATGAAATGGTGGGGTCAGTTTCCCAGAGCTCATAAAGACACGGTAGCAGAGATTGGTCTTTTCAAGTTTCCTGCTGATTGATTGCCTTTGGAGATAAGCTCTTCATTCCAAAGGACAATCTGTGTTTGGGGCCCTCTCTTGGTAGTTATCCACAGATAAACTAAGATGGAGAAATCATCAAATTTGCAGAGGCTAAGTGAATAGAAGCCAAAGCCTATAGGAATACAACCTTCCAAATTTATTATCTGTTATGCATTGATTTATCGCATATGGCAAGAACTTAAACCAGATGTTTAAGACGAGAGCACAGGAATGTGGCCTCAACTTGAAAGTAGAGAATCAAGACTTCTAGGTAGTTCAGAAGTTTCCTTTTATGCTAGTTGTACACTAGAATAAAACTTTTCCAATCATCTTTTCAAATTAAGTGGGATTCCACTTCTTAATCTGGAAGTTGTTGAAACTTCTGGCTTTTGAAACTCAATTATTTTCATTTTCCAAAAGATCCATGATTTTCTGGTAGTTTTTACTTAATCTAAAGCAAAACATTCTTGGAAAATATAGCTTCAACATGTAAATATTCACATCTACACATCCCCTTTTGCTCCATTCTCGTCTGGAGTTTAGACATCACATTTTCATAGCTAGAATTCAATAACACATCTTTGTCTGTCATCTGCTTTATTTTAATTAAACCAGTGTCTTAAAAACTCTATTATTTGAAGTCACATTTAAGTATTGAAAAAAATTTCATTTTAATGATGTATGTATGCTTAAGGAAAAAAAATTTTCCACATTAGCCCAAAATGAATTTTGGATGCACAGTTATAAAACCTTTTTATTTTTCAAAAATTTTAAAAGCATTAGTGGAGAAAAAAATATTATAAATGCTTTAGTTTAGGAATAATCTTGGAAATTAAAAGTATACAATATGGGCCAGGCCAGTGGCCTCTAATCCTAGAACTTTGGTAGGCTAAGGCAGGAGGACTGCTTGAACCCAGGAGTTAGAGTTAGCAAGACATCGTCACTACAATAATAATATGCAACAGAGAATAAATATGCAGTCCTTTCTCTCTGAGAGAAAATGATATTGAAAATCATCAACTGAGCAATGATACTACAAGTACTTGTGATTTAGTTTTCAGTATGGTTTCACAATACATTTACGTGGTAAGATACATTTTTAAAAATTATTAGGCAGAGCACAGGTGGCTCACGCCTTTAGTCCTTGTGCTTTGGGAGGCCGACGCTGGCAGATCCCTTGAGTCCAGGAGTTCGAGACCAGCCTAGGCAAGATGGCGAAACCCTGTCTTTACAAAAATTGCAAAATAGCCAGATGTGGTTGCATGTGCCTGGAGTCCCAGCTACTCAGGAGGCTGAGGCGGAAGGATGGCTTAAGCACAGTATGCAGAGGTCGCAGTGAGCTGAGATCATGCCACTGCACTCCAGCCTGGGTTAGGGAGGCCAGACCCTGTCTAGAAAAAAAAAAAAGAGAGAGAAGAAGTCAATTTAGACAGTTTCTGCTGCAGGTGAACAATCAAAGACCTTCAGTCGTACTGCAGATATGTACACATGTCCACACATACATGTGATTGAGTGCCAAAGAAAGTTACTTTACTCAAAACCAGAAGAAAAATCCCTCACTCTATAAGGAGTTATCTGTAGGAAACTAAACACACACCTAATAGAAGCTATCTGAATACCTCATTGCATTGTCTATAAACAGCCAAAGCAATTGGTTCCTTTTTTAGAACTTTCCTTGATTGTGTGTTGAGCATTCGTTTTATCCTGAACTCCCTTCTAGGCATGGGGGTGGGGGTGGGGGGTAGGGGCACCAAAAAAGATGCATAAGTGATATATCTTGTTTGGCCAGTTTAGAGTAACCATAAGGTCATATTTCTTTCTTATGAAGGTAATATTTACATATAGTAAAATGTACATCTATTAAGTATACAAATGAATGAATTTTAACAAATACATGTATCCATGTAATCAATACCCCAACCAAGACATAGCACATTTCCGTCACCCCTAGAAAGTTCTTTCATGCCCTCCTTCAATCAGTCTCCCTTTCCCCATATACAGTCTTGTTCTGAATTCTTTTTTGTCACCATGGGTTAGTTTATCTGCTCTTGAAAGTCACATAAACGGAATTATACAATATGTATTGTTTTTAATCTGTTTTTAACTCCATTTAATGTTTTAGGGATTCATGGTGTTGTATTCGTAATTCATTCCATTTTATCACTGTATAATATTCCATTGTACAAGTGTACCACAATTATTTTTCATTCATAATCCTTTTGAGAGATATTTGAGTTTGTTTCCAGTTTTTGACTATTAGGAATAAAGCTGCTATTAACACCATTGGTCAAGTCTTTTTGTGTGTGTGTGTCAGGGTCTTGTTCTGCTGCCCAGGCTGAAGTGGTGCAGTGGTGTGATCACCACTCAACACAGCTTCAACCTCCTGGGCTCGATCCACCCCTCAATCCTCCCACCTTATCCTCCTGGGTAGCTGGGACTACAGGCATACATCATCATGCCCAGCTAATTTTTTTTTTCTTTTTTTTTAGAGATGAGTGGTCTCACCATGTTGCTCGGGCTGGTCTCAAACTCCTGGACTCAAGCAATCCTCCTGTCTCAGCCTTCCAGAGCGCTGGGATTACAAAAATGAGCCACTGTGCCTGGCAAGTCTATTTGTGAACACGTATTTTCACTATTTGGGTAAATACCTAGGAGTTGAACTGCTGGGTCATTAGGTAGGTGTACAATTTTATAAGAAGCTCTCAGTTTTCCAAAGTGGCTGTATTATGTCATACTCTCACCAGCAGTGTATGAGAGTTTCATTTGTATCACACCCTTGTCAACATTTGATAATTGTCAATTTGTTTAGTTTTCACCATTTCTGTAGGTGTAAGGTGGAAGTTTAGTGGGGTTTTAATTAACATTTCCTTGATGACTCATGATATTGAACACCTTTTCATGTGTGTATTGACCATTTTTATGTCTTCTTTTGTGAAATGTCTTTTTGTCTTTTGACTATTTTTTAATTGGATTGTCTATTTTTGATTTGTAGAAGTCTTTTATATGATACAAGTTCCTTATCAGATACATGTATTAAGAATATTTTCTCACAGTTTCTGGCTTGTGTTTTTTAAGACTTTATTTTTTAGAGCAGTTTTAGGTTCGCAGTAAAAAATACAAAGATTTTCCATATACTCTCTGCCTCACAAATGCACATCTCCCACTTTCAACATCCTGCATGAGAGTTTTACATTTGTCCAACTGAATGCTTCTGCATTGACACATTACCAAAGCCCATACTTCACATTAGGCTTCACTCTTGGTGTTGTACCTTCTATGGGTTTTGACAAATATATAATGGCTTATAAATATACCACTATAGTATCATACAAAATAGTTTCCCTGCCCTAAAAATCCTCAGTGCTCTGACTATTCATCCCTCCCACTCCATAAACCCTATAAACCACTGATCCTTTTCCTGTCTCCATAGTTTTACCCTTTCCAGAATGCCATATAGTTGTCATCATACAATATGTGGCCATTTCAGATAATTTTTTTCTGACTATGTACCACCCATTTAAGGTTCATCCATACCATGTCTTTTCATAGCTTGATAGCTCACTTCTTTTTAGTGCTGAATAATATTTCATTGTCTGGGTGTACCACAGTTTATTTATACATTTACCTACTGAAGGACATCTTGGTTGCTTCCAAGTTTTGGTTATTTTTAATAACTCTGCCATAAACATTTGTGTGCAGGTGTTTGTGTGGACGTCAATTTTTAACTCATTTGTGTAAATACCCAAGGAGAGCAATTGCTGGATCATATGGTAAGAATATGTTTAGTTTTGTAAGAAATTGCCAAACTGTCTTCCAAAGTAGCTACACCATTTTACATGAATGAGAGTTTCTTTTGCTCCATATGCTCACCACAGCATTTTATGGTGTTAGTGTTTGGATTTTGGCTATTCTTTTTCTTTTTATTTTTTGAGATGGAGTCTCGCCCTGTCGCCTAGGCTGGAGTGCAGTGGTGTGAACTCGGCTCACTGCAACCTCCACCTCCCAGGTTCAAGCAATTCTCCTGGCTGAGCCTCCTGATTAGCTAAAATTACAGGCTCACGCCACCATGTCCAGCTAATTTTTGTATTTTTAATAGAGATGGGGTTTCACCACGTTGGCCAGACTGGTTTCCAACTCCTGACCTCAAGTGATGTGCCCACCTAAGCCTCCCAAAGTGTTGGGATTACAGGCATGAGCCACCCAGCCTGGCCCGAATTTTAGCTACTCTAATGGGTGTGCAAAGGTATTTCATTGTTGTTTTAATTTGCAATGCCCTAATGACATACAATATTAAGCATCTTTTCATATGCTTATTTGCCATCTACATATCTTCTTTTGTGAGGTTTCTGTTCAGGTCATTTGCCTATTTTTAATTGGGTTGTTTATTTTCTTATTATTGAGTTTCAATAGTTCTTTATATATTTTAGATAATAGTCCTTTATCAGATATGTCTTTTGCAAAGATAACTCAGTCTCTGGCTTATCTTCTCATTCTCCTGATAATGTCTTTCACAGAACATGAGTTTTTAATTTTAATAAAGTTTAGCTTATCAATTCATGGATCATGCCCTTGGTGTTGTATCATCACCATACCAAGGTCATTTAGGATTTCTCTTGTTATCTTCTAAGAGTTCTATAGTTTTGTGTTTTAAAAGTAGGTTTGTGATCCATTTGGAGTTATTTGTTGTGAAGGGTGTAAGATCTGTGTTTAGATTTCTTTTCTTTACGTGGATGTCCAGTGTTCCAGCACCATTTGTTAAAAAGATTGTCTTTGCTCTGTTGTATTGCCTTTGCTCCTTTCTCAAAGATCAGTTGAATCTGCTTATGTGGGTGAATTTCTGGGATCTCTATTCTGTTCCATTGATTGTCCATGAGATCTGTAGTGATGTCCTCTCTTTCATTTCTGATATTATTAATTTGTGTCCTCTCTTTTTTTTCTTAGTTACCCCAGCTAGAGGATTATTAATTTTATTGATATTTTCAAAGAACCAGCTTTTAGTTTTGTTAATTTTCTGTATTGATTTCCTGTTTACAAGTTTATTGATTTCTGTTTTAATTTTTATGATTTCTTTTCTTCTTCTTACTTTAGATTTAATTTGCTCTTCTTTCTCTAGTTTCCTAAGGTGAAAGCTTAGATTATTGACTTTGGATCTTTCTTCTTTTCTCTTTCTTTTTTAAAACATATTTTCTTTTTTTATTTTTATTTTTAGTAGAGATTGAATTTCATTAATAATATGGTTTGGCTCTGTGTATCCACCCAAATCTCATGTTGAATTGTAATCCCCAGTGTTGGAGGTGGGATCTAGTGAGAGGTGATTGGATCATGGGGGCAGATTTCCCCCTTGCCGTTCTCATGATAATGAGTAGTTCTCATGAGATCTGGTTGTTTAAAAGTGCCTAGCACCCTCCCCCCTGCTCTCTCTTCCTCCTGTTCTAGACATGTAGGACATGCCTGCTTCCTCTTCACCTTCTGCCATGATTGTAAGTTTCCAAGGCCTCCCCAGCCATGCTTCCTGTGTAGCCTGTGGAATTGTGAGCCAATTAAACCTCTTTTCTTTATAAATTACCCAGTCTCATGTAGTTCTTTATAGCAGTGTGAGAACAGACTAATACAGAAAATTGGTACCAGGAGTGGAGCATTGCATGAAAATGAAGAAGTAGCTTTGAAACTGGGTAACAGGCGCAGGCTGGAACAGTTGGGAGGGATCAAAATAAGCCAAGAAGATGCAGGAAAATTTGGAGCTTCCTGGAGACTTGTTAAATTGTTGTGACCAAAATGCTGATAGTGATATGGACAATGAAATCCAGGCTGAGGTGGTCTCAGATGGAGATAAGGAGCTTGTTAAAAACTGGAGTAAAAGTCATTCTTGCTATGCTTGAGAAAAGAGACTGGCAGCATTGTGCCCCTGCCCTAGAGATCTGTGGAACTTTGAACTTGAGAGAGATGATTTGGGGTATCTGGCAGAAGAAATTTCTAAGAAGCAAAGCATTCAAGATGTGGCCTGGCTGCTTCTAACAGCATATGCTTATATTCATGGGCAAAGAGATGATCTGAAACTGGAACTTATGTTTAAAAGAGAAGCAGAGCATAAAAGTTTGGAAAATTTGTCCTGGCCATGTGGTAGGAAGGAAAAAACAATTTTTAGGGGAGGAATTCCAGCTGCCTGCAGACATTTACAAGAGTAAAGAGGAGCCAAATGTTAATAGTCAAGACAATGGGGAAAAGTGCCTGGAAGGCATTTCAGAGATCTTCACGGCGGACCCTCCCATCACAGGCCCAGTGGCCTAGGAGGGAAGAATGGTTTTGTGAGCTTGGCCCAAGGTCCCACTACCCTGCACAACCTTGGAACACTGCTCCCTTTATCCCAGCCACTCCAGCTCCAGCTGTGGCTAAAAGAGCCCCAGATACATCTCAGGCCACTGCTCCAGAGGGTGTAAGCCCCAAGCCTTGGTGGCTTCCATGTGGCATTTGGTCTGCAGGTGGGCAGAAGGCAAGAGTTGAGGTTTGGGAGCCTCCACTTAGATTTCAGAGGATGTATGAAAATGCCTGAATGTCCAGGCATAAGTCTACTGCAGGGGTGGAGCCCTCATGGAGAACTTCTACTAGGGAAGTGCAAAGGGGTAATGTGGAGTTGGAGCTTCCACACAGAGTCCCCACTGGGGCACTGCCTATTGAAGCTGTGAGAGGAAGGCCACTGTCCTACAGCACCCAGAATGGTAGATCCACTGACAGCTTGCACCGTGCACCTCGAAAAGCCACAGGCACTCAATGTCAGCCCATAAAAGCAGTCAAGGGGGTTGTACCCTGTAAAGCCACAGTGGCAGAGATGTCCAAGGCCTTGGGAGCCCATTCCTTGCATCAGTGTAGTCTGAATGTGAGACATGGAGTCAAAGGAGATTATTTTAGAACTTCAAAATTTGGTTGGGCGTGGTGGTTCATGCCTGTAATCTTGGCATTTTGGGAGGCTGAGGTGGGGGGATCACCTGAGGTCAGGAGTTTGAGACCTGCCTGGCCAACATGGCAGAACCCTGTCTCTAATAAAAAATACAAAAATTAACCAGGTGTGGTGGCACATGCCTGTAATTCCAGCTGCTTGGGAGGCTGAAGCAGCAGAACCACTTGAACCCAGGAGGCAGAGGTTGCAGTGAGCCAAGATCGTGCCATTACACTCCAGCTTGGGTGACAGAGTGAGACTCTCTCTCAAAAAAAAAAAAAAAAAATTCATGACTGCCCTGCTGGGATTTGGACTTGCATGGGGCCTGTAGCCCCTTTGCTTTAGCCAGTTTTTCCCTTTTGGAGCAGGAGCATTTTCCCAATTCCTGTACCTCCATTCTGTCTCTGAAGTGACTTTTTAATTTTGCAGGCTCATAGGCAGAAGGGACTTGCCTTGTCTAATATGGGACTTTGAACTTGGACTTTTGAGTTAATTCTGAAATGAGTTAAGAATTTAGGGGACTGTTGGGAAGGCATGATTGTGTTTTGAAATGTGAGAAACTTGAGATTTGGGAGTGGTTGGGGCAGAATGATATGCTGCGGCTCTGTGTCCCCACCCAAATCTCATGTTGAATTGTAATCCCCAGTGTTGGAGGTGGGACCTGGTGGGAGGTGATTAGATCATGGGGGCAGTTTCTAATGGTTTAGCACCATCCTCCAAGTGCTGTCTTGTGACAGAGTTCTCACAAGATCTGGTTGTTTAAAAGTGTGTGGCACCTCCCCCTGCTCTCTGTCTCTCCTGCTTGGCCATGTGAAGATGTGCCTGCTTCTTCTTTGCCTTCTGCCATGATCATAAGTTTCCTGAGGCCTCCTCAGAAGTAGAAGCCTGTAGAACCCACAGAACCACGAGCCAACTAAACCTCTTTCTTTATAAATTACCCAGTCTTGTTGGGCGTGGTGGCTCATGCCTGTAATCCCAACACTTTGGGAGGCCGAGGCAGGTGGATCAACTGAAGTCAGGAGTTCGAGACCAGCCTGGCCAACATGGTGAAACCCCATAAAAATAAATAAATTACCCAGTCTTGGGTACGTCTTTATGGCAGTGTGGGAACAGATTAATACAGCTGTGTTGCCCAGGCTGGTCTCAAACTCCTGGCCTCAAGTAATCCTTCCACCTCAGCCTCCTAAAGTACTGGGATTAAAGCATGAGCCACCATGGCCAGACAGATATTTCTTCTTTTCTACCACATGCTATAAATTTCCCTCTAAGTACTGCTTTCTTTTCACTTTTCCCCCAAATTTTGATAAGTTGTATTTTCATTTTCACTTAGTTCAAAATATTTTAAAATTTCTGTTGAGATTTCTTCTTTGACCCATGTGTTGCTTAAAAGGTTGTTGTTTAATCTCCAAGTATTTTTAAATTTTCCATATATTTTTTCTGTTTTCAATTTCTAGTTTAATTCCATTGTGGCCTAAAAGTGGACACTGAGGCCGGGCGCAGTGGCTCATGTCTGTAATCCCAGCACTTTGGGAGGCTGAGGTGGGCAGATCACAAGGTCAGCAGATCGAGACCATCCTGGCTAACACGGTGAAACCCCGTCTCTACTAAAAATACAAAAAAAAAAAAAAAAAAAACCAAATTAGCCAGGCATGGTGGCAGGTACCTGTAGTCCCAGCTACTTGGGAGGCTGAGGCAGGAGAATGGCGTGAACCTGGGAGGCGGAGCTTGCAGTGAGCTGAGATCATGCCACTGCAATCCAGCCTGGGTGACAGAGCGAGACTCCGTCTCAAAAAAAAAAAAAAAAAAGCAGACATTGTATGTTTTCTATTCTTTTAAATTTGTTTCCATGTGTTTTATAGCCTGGAATATGGCCTATCTTGGTAAATGTTTCATGTGAGCTTGAGAAGAACGTGTATTCTGCTGCTATTGGATAAGCTATAGATGTCAATCATGTCCAGTTGATTGATGGTGTTGAGTTCAACTGTGTCCTTACTAATTTTCTGCCTGCTGCCATTATAAAGTACTTGCACTACACATGAAGTGATATAGTGTTATTTGGAAGTGGACTTGGATTACTTGTAAATGTATTTGCAAACTCTAGGACAACCACTAAAAAAGGTGATAAAAGGCCGGGTGCGATAGCTCACACCTGTAATCCCAGCACTTTGGGAGACCAAGTCAGGAAGATCACGAGGTCAGGAGATCAAGACCATCCTGGCCAACATGGTGAAACCCCATCTCTATTAAAAATACAAAAATTAGCTGGGCGTGGTGGTGCATGCTTGTAGTCCCAGCTACTCAGGAGGCTGAGGCAGGAGAATGGCTTGAACCAGGGAGTTGGAGGTTGCAGTGAGCTGAGATGGCACCACTGCACTCCAGCCTGGACTCCATCTTAAAAAAAAAAAAAAAAAGTGATGAAAGAGGCCAGGCCTGGTGGCTCATGCCTGTAATCCCAGCACTTTGGGTGACCAAGGCAAGTGAATCACTTGAGGTCAGGAGTTCAAGACCAGCCTGGCCAACAAGGCGAAACCCTGTCTCTACTAAAAATGCAAAAAAAGTAGCTGGGAGTGGTGGCGGGCGCCTGTAGTCCCAGCTACTCAGGAAGCTGAGGCAGGAGAATGGCATGGACCCAAGAGGCGGAGCTTGCAGTGAGCCAAGATCGCGCCACTGCACTCCAGCCTGGGCGACAGACCAAGACTCCGCCTCAAAAAAAAAAAAAAAAAAATTAGCCAGGCATGGTGGCACATGCCCGTAATCCCAGCTACTCCGGAGGCTGAGGCGTGAGAATTGCTTGAACCTGGGAGGCAGAGGTTGCAGTGAGCCAAGATTGCACCACTGCACTCCAGCCTGGGTGACACAGTGAGACTCTGTCTCAAAAAAAAAAAAGTAATAAAATATAACTAATATGCTAATAGAGTAGAGAAAGTGGCATATAAGCTGCTCAATTAAAATCACAATAGGCAGAAAAAGGGTGGAAGACAAAAAAATAGGAAGAAAACAAGCAAAACAAATAGAAACCAGTAACAAATATGAAGATAGTAATCCGACTGTATAAAAAATCACTTTGAACATCAATGGTCCGAATAAACCAATTAAAAGACAGAAATTATCTGAGTGGATCAAAAAACAAGAGCCAGGTTACAGAGCAAGACTCCGTCTCAAAAAAAAAATAAAAAAAAATAAAAAAAAGAGCCAACTATATGCTCTGTACAAGAAACCCACTTTAAATATAAAGAAGAATATTGAATAAAAGAAAATGTGTGGAGAAAGATATACTATATTTTCTCCATTCCTGTATCATGCTAGTCACTCATTTCACTTACACATAAGCATATGTGTATGTGTGTGTGTATATATATATATATATTCAAATAGATGATTGCTATTATTATTTTGAAAAAGCTATTGTCTGTTAGATCAATTGAGAGTAAAAAAATAAGTTCTTATTTCCCCTTCATTTAGTCTTCTATGCGCTCTCTTTCTTGATTGATCTATATCATTTTCTTCTCTCTGGAGAACTTTTGTAAAAAAAAAATTTCTTGCAAGGAAGGTCTACTGGTAACAAATTCCCTCAATTTTTCTTTGACAGAGTTTTTATTTCTCCTTCATTTTGAAATATAATTTTACAGGGTACAGAATTCCAGGTGAAGGTTTTTTGTTTTTGTTTTGTTTTTTTCTCAATATTTCAAATACTTCACTCCTTCTGTTCTTGCTTGCTTGATTTCTGAAGAGAAGTCAGAGTAATTCTTATTTTTACTCCTTTATAAGTAAGATGTTTTATTTCTCTGACTTCCTTCAAGATTTTTTCTGTACCTTTGATTTTCTGCAGTGGAATATGATATGCCTAGGTATAGCTTTTTTAGTATTTATGCTTTTTGGTGTTCTCTGAGCTTCCCAAATCTGTGGTTTGGTGCCTGACATTAATTTTGAAAAGCTGTCAGTCATTCGTTCAAATATTGCTTCTGTTCCTTTCTCTCTTTCTTTTCTTCTGGTATTCCCATTACACATATGTTATACCTTTTACAGTTGTCCCACAGTTCTTGGATATTCTGGAGTTTTTTCAGACTTTTTCTCGTTTTCAGTTTTGGAAGTTTCTATTGCGATATCCCAAAGCTCAAAGATTCTTTCCTTAGTCATGTCCAGTGTGCTAATGAGCCCATCAAAGGCATTCTTCATCTCTGGTAGTGTTTTTGATCTCTAACATTTCTTTTTGATTCTCTCTGAGAATTTCCATCTCTCTGCTCACATTACCTACCTGTTCTTGCATGCTATCAACTTTATTCATTAGAGCCCTGAGCACATTAATCATAGTTGTTTTAAATTCCTGGTCTGATAATTCCAACATCCTTCCATATATGAGTTCTGTTCTGATGCTTGTTCTGTTTCTTCAAACTGTGTTTCTTGACTTTTAGAATGTGCTATGGTTTGAATATGTTCCTGAAAAAGCATGTGTTGGAAACTTGATCCCTGATGCAACAGTATTGGGAAGTGGGGCCTAATGAGATGTGATTATGCCATGAGTCTCTGCCATCATGAATCGATTAACGCTGTTATCACAGGAGTGGGTTCCTTATAAAGGGAGTTCAGTCCCCCTTTTCATTCTGTCTCTCTTGCCCTCTTGCCTTCTGCCAGGGAGTGATGCAGCAAGTAGGCCCTAACTAGATGCTAGCCCCTCAATTTTGGACCTCCTAGCCTCCAGAACCATAAACCAGTACATTTTTGTATACTATAAATTATCACTTTCAGGTATTCTATTGTAGCAGCACAAAACAGACCAAGATGGTGTGTCTTGTAATTTTTTACTTTCTTTGTTTCTTTTTAGAGATGGGGTGTTGTTATGTTGCCTAGGCTGGACTCAAACTCCTGGGCTCAAATGATTCTCCCACCTCAGCCTCCCAAGTAGCTGGGACTGTAGGCATGCACCACTGGGCCCAGCTATTACCTTTTTCTTGGCAGATGGACTGGATGTATTGGGTAAAAGGAACTGAGGTAAATAGGCCTTTAGGAATGTAGTGGTAAGTTGTGGGGGAAGGGGAAGCATCCAATAGTCCTGTGATTAGGTCTCTCAATCTTTTAATGAGTCTGTGCTTTGGACTGTGAATTCCACAATAATAATTTTTTCTCTCCCTTTAGTGGGACAGAATTGTTAGAGTGGCTGGAGTTGAGTATTTTCCTTTCCCAGGTTGGCTAGCCTCTGAAAAAAGCCCTAATTGTTTAGGCTCTTTAAAATAGTTTCTCTTGAGGTCAGGACTTGTTAAAACAGAATGCTCTGGTATATTTCAAATTATACTTTCCTCATTCCCCTTCTAGAAGCAGGTGGGGATTTTTCTCCAATATGCATTGTGAAGATCTGGTCGAGCTCTTGGAGGTAAAACTCACAAAAGTGTGGGGATTCCTCCATGACTGGGTCCTCCTTGAATTTTTAACTCTCAGGATTGTCTACACTGGGCCTCCATTGATTTGTCAATTACAGTTCAGGTCTTCCTATCTCAGACTGGTTTCTGTGGCAATTTCTGCTTCTAGGTTTCTGTCCCAGGAACTTGTAATTCCCTGTATTCATCTGTCCGTTTCTCCAAGCTTGGGCGAGCAGTTTGCCATGTGACCTCACTTCTCTGATGGGTTTAAGAAGAGTTATTAATTTTTCAATTTGTTCATCTTTTTACTTTTTGGAATGGAGCAATGACTTCAAAGGTGCTTATCTACAGGACTGAAAACCCAATTTGCCTTTTTAATTATCTTAATGGTGTCTTTTGATGATCAGAAGTTTTAAATTTTGATAAAGCCCAATTTATCCTTTTTTTTCTTTTATGGTTAGTTCTTTTGGTGTTCTGAGAAGTCTTTGCCTATCGCAAGGTTGCAGAGATATTCTCCTATGTTTTCTTCTAGGATCTTTGTAGTTTTATGTTTTATATTTCATCTGTGATTCATGTCAAACCAATGTTTGTCTATGCTGTGAGGTAGGGTCAAGCTTTATTTTTTTCCATACATTTTTATAGCTGTTTCAACCTCAACTGTTTAGAAGAGTTCCCTTTCCCATTGAATTGACTTGGTGCCTTTGTAAATATTCAATTGACTGTATATTTTTGGGTCTATTTTTGGACTTACTATTCTGTTCCATTAATCTATTTGCCTATTCTTATGCCATAATCATGTTTCTCTTTAATATACAAATTAAATCATTATGATTTCAGTTTCACCTTTTTAAAGATTACCCTTTGGAGTTTACCCTACCCTACCCTCTGCCTTAAAACTCAGGATACACACTCATTATTGAGGTCAGTCTTGTTTTCATGTAACTAGTTCAGAGAGAAGCAGAGACTGTAATCAGCCCACCAACTAGTGTCTTTTGTTGCTGCCCTGGCTGTAGTCTGTTGTTCCTGGAAACACAGAGTCTCACACCGCCAGAGATCATCACTGTCCACTGCTGGAATGACCACGGTCCTTAACCACTGCTTGTTGGAGCTGCAGTTTTTTAGAGCATAAGGAGGAAAAAGGAGATATCGCCTTTACTATTATGATCATCATGCCACTGATGAGTCCTCTTCTTTAATATACACTCTTCTCCACAGCTATTTTGACCAAGCATGCCCCCAGTGCTATGGTGATTGAATCAAGAGAGTCTCTGGCCTCATGTTACTCCTCTGGAGCCTTATAATATGCCCAGGTGCTCCAGCTTCTTGGGGTGCTGGGTCTCCTTTCCTTCCAGGTGAATTCAAGTGAGACTATATATCTATATCTCTCTAAGATGTTGTAATAACCTGGAGTCTCAAAAGAGAAGAGGTTGATATCTGTATCCATTTTTCTCCCAGGAGATTTCTTCTAAGGTCTATATTGGAAAAAATTTCCTCTCCTTCCCAGAACACAAAATAAGCTCCCCAAAGTATCATTATACTACAGGTAGTGAACTGATGGTCACAGGCCACATCTAGCCTGCAGCTGTGATTTGTTTTCCTGTCAGTGTTTTCTGGATTCGAGCCAATATTCTAAAATGGAGAGATTTTTAGTTAACAATATAGATAACCTAGCTTCCACACGACCCGGGAAAACTGGATCTGCATGCTGCATGGCCTCTGTTAATTGGAACTGAGTTGGGTTTACTCACTTTAGATCTCGCTTAGAGCCCTAGTCACTTATATCTAGCTTTCTTCAGTATCAGCCTGGCTCCTAAAGCATTGCATTTGTGAATTCTCTATCGAACCTGAGAATAAGTGTTCACTCCTTGTCACACATCCACATAACTAAAAGGAACAGGTCACATCATTGATCTCTGAACAAAGCTCACCACCACAGTAGCTTCTAAATAGCTACCACTAGACTTAGAAGTAGCTGACAGCTTTAATAATATCTGTTTTTGTTAACAACAAAAAGTTTAGATTTCCACTTCACCCTGCTACATTTATTCATCCAACAAATACTTATTTAGCACCTACTTTGTGACAGGCACTTTTTTCTAGGCGCTTGACATACGTCAGAGCACAAAGTAACAAAAGTGCCTGCCTTTGTGACACTTGTAGTGCTTTTGGAAAGATAAACAATAAACAACTGTCATAGTAAATGTATTAGCTATATAAAATATTACAAAGTGTGGCAGAGTATACAGTGAATGCTTGCCAAATGACCCATGTACTTTCTTATATTTCTTAGCCAGAAAAAACTGAGCCCTGGAGTATTCCAACATTAGGAGGCTGGGAAAGAGATCAGCAAGGGAGCCTGTGAAGGCACAGGGAGTAAGGAAAGTGAAAAAGAGGAGAGTGGGGCATCCTGGAAATCAAGTGAAGAAAGGCTGTTAGAAAGACAGAATGATCTATTGTCAGATGTTGCTGACAGGCCAGGTAGAAGATGATTAGACCATGAGATTTAACCACGTGGAGGTCATTGGTGACCTTGACAAAAGCAGTTTTGATTGGGACAAAAGCCTGATTAGAATGGGTTTAAGAGAGAATGGGTGAACAGAAATAGGAGCGAACCACAATCTAGACTAGCAAAAGGAAGCAGGTAAATCCTACCAGGGAAGGAGTCGTGAGATGGAAACATTGTTTTTTCATTTCATTGGTGTTGGTGGGTGTTTAGGTTTTTTTTCTTTTTTTTCTTCTTTTAAGATGGAGTCTCGCTCAGTCACACAGGCTGGAGTGCAATGGCACAATCTCGGCTCACTGCAACCTCTGCCTCCTAGGTTCAAGCAATTCTCCTGCCTCAGCCTCCCGAGTAGCTGGGATTAAAGGTGGGTGCCACCATGCCTAGCTAATTTTTGTATTTTTAGTGGAGATGGGGTTTCACCATGTTGGCCAGGCTGGTCTCGAACTCCTGACCTCAAGTGATCTGCCCATCTTGGCCTCCCAAAGTGCTGGGATTATAGGCATGAGCCACTGCACCTGGCCTGTTTTTTTTTTTTTTTTTTTCCTTGACATGGTGCCTTGCTCTGTTGCCCAGGCGTGGTGATCATAATAGCAAAGGTGATACATCCTTTTTCCTTCCTTTTTTTTTTTTTTTTTTTTTTTGAGACAGAGCCTTGCTCTGTCACGCAGGCTGGAGTGCAGTGGCGCGATCTTGGCTCACTGCAACGTCCACCTCCTGGTTTCAAGCAATTCTTGTGCCTCAGCCTCCTGAATAGCTGGGATTACAGGCATGCACCACCACGCCTGGCTAATTTTTGTATTTGAAGTAGAGATGGGGATTTACCATGTTGGCCAGGCTGGTCTTGAACTCCTGACCTCAAGTGATCTACCTGCCTTGGCCTCTCAAAGTGTTGGGGTTACAGGCGTGAGCCACCATGCCTGGCCGGTGTTGGTGTTTTTTAAGAAGGCAGACCCATGAGCAAATTTGTATGCTGCTGGGAACAAGTCTAATAGAGGAAAAACCTGAGAGTGTTGAAAGAGAGAAGAGAGAATTACTGGAATGATACCCTTGAGTAGGTGACAAGGGTTGAGCTCCAGTGTACAGATGAAAGAACAGCTTTAGATAAGGGTATGGGTAATTCTGCTACAGAAACAGGAAGGCAGAGTGTGAGGACAGATGCTGGCAGGTGGCTAATGATGGCAGCAACTGTCTCTGTGTGTTTCTCATTTCCACAACTCGACACTAAGACTCTGACATCTTAATGGAGATCTTGAGGAACTGTGGACCACAAAAGTAACAATATTCTATAAATTTAAAATAGAGAGCTTTATTCCTAAAGGTACCAAAACCCGTAGGAGGAAGCGGAGCTTCCAGTGGACATGAAGACACAGTGCTTCAAGGGAGGGGTAAAAGGAACAGGAATTTATGCTGGATGGGGTACCCAAATAGATATATTTAATAAGCTATATGAGGCATCATGAATGTTTATGAAAGGAGAAACATGCATATGCACAATTGAGCTTTAGGCCTCTTCATGGATCGCAGGTTCAAAAAATAGCAGTGTCACCATGACCTAAGGGTGGAGTTTTTAGCTCTCTGATGTCAACATGTGAAGCAGAGGACAGGAAAACCCTCACTGTGCATCTTCCATAGATCAACCAGTACCCCCCCCATGGTTGAAGGTCTCTTGTTAAGAAGAAATGCTGGTCAGTTGTGGTACAGAAATTGCAAAACATCCAGTCATGGCCTGCGATGACTGGCTAACAGCAATAAAGGAATGAGTCATTCATTTCTTGTTTTCCAGAGCTGGTTTCTGCTTACTCCTTAGGAAAGAATTCTGGTTAAAGGTTAATAAGGAAGGGGTATACTGAGGCATAACCATCTTCCATTCTGCATGGCCAGTATCTCAGTGAACTTTTTCTTAGCTTTTAGGGTCTCCGAGGACAAGGGGAACTGGTTTAATCCAGTGAGGGGGTGTCAGGATTATTTCTCAGAATCGTGGCTCTAAAGGCTAATGTATTCTGTGCAGGAATAAAAAACTGATGCAGGTAGAGCTGCATTTCTGTAGACTGTGTTTCCTTTGGAAGAATGATCCTTGAGTAGTAATGGCTTCAAACTATGCCCTGCCAACCATCAGCTGCTTGTCCTTGTGGAGGTGTGCATATTCTGTCCAAGTAGTTACATCAGGAAGCAGACCTTGAAACAGGAGGAATGCTGGTGACATGATTTGGCTGTGTCTCCACCCAGATCTCATCTTGAATTGTAACTCCCACAGTTCCCACTTGTCATGGGAGGAGCCCAGTGGGAGATGATTGAATCACGGGGGGTGGGTCTTTCCTGCACTGTTCTCATGATAGTGAATGAGTCTTAGGAGATTCGATGCTTTTAAAAATGGCAGTTTCCCTGTGCAAGTTTTTTTTTGACTGCCACCATCCACGTAAGATGTGACTTGCCCCTCCTTGCCTTCCACCATGATTTCTTCAGACTCATATCTCACCACAGAAAGGAACACAGGCATATGAGAGACATAGAAAGAAAAATCTGGGTTGGGATCAGACTGAATATGAGAAGTAAGAGTAAGAGAGGACTCAGATCACCAAGGTTTTGTTTGAGTGTACCAGAACCCCTACTCTGGGTAGCTATGGTCTCTCTGATGTTAGTGTTTCTGATAGGAAAAGCACTTCAGATTTGTTTTGTTAAAATAGCTTTTTTCTTCTTTAGAGACAAGGTCTTGCTCCGTCACCCAGGCTGGAGTGCAGTGGTGTGATCTCAGCTCACTGCAACCTCTGCCTCCTGGGTTCAAGTGATTCTCCTGCCTCAGCCTCCCGAGTAGCTGGGATTACAGGCACACACCACCATGCCCGGCAAATTTTTGTATTTTATTAGAGACTGGGTTTCACCATGTTGGCCAGGCTGGTCTCGAACTCCTGACCTCAGGTGATCCACCCACCTCAGCCTCCCAAAGTGCTGGGATTACAGGCGTGAGCCACCAAGCCTGGCCTAAAATGTATGTACATATTTTTAACTATTGGGAAAATCTTCAGACACCAGGAAGCTGGTTGCTCCCTGACAGATAAAGTTACAGAGCTTTAATTTGGTCTGGGAAAACTTTGTTCCTTAGAGATTAAGCCACACATTGGGAATGTGTTGGGAGGAAAACCTTTTCTCCACCAACTTTACTGAGGGACTGTGGATTAAAAGTTAACTGACAATAGACTAACAGGAGAAAAGACAAAATTTATTCGCATGCTTGCAGCAACACACAAGCAAGTGGCTATCTGAATAGCGGGGGTAATGGTTTATATGGCTGAATAATGGTAATGGCTGAATAAAGAAAAGAGGGATTGGGCAGAAGATAGATTTTCTAGGGAAACAAATGAGACAGTTGGTAATAAAGTTTGTTCATACAATTTTCATCCCTGGAGGTAAAGGTCAGTGTCCTAGCTGGCTGAAAGGTCTCTGAGAGAGGAGATTTATGACAACTTCATTCTAAAAGCTCTGCCTTTATCAGATAAGGGAAGCTCAGAAAAGGCTTCTTTCTGCATCGCATCAGCTGTATTCCAAATGACTTCAAGTAGTCTTTATGCCATTTTGGTGGAACATTAGCCCTGTCAAATGCAACCCGTAAACTCTAGTGTTTTGGAGCTTCTGTCCCGATGCGTTAATTTCGTTCCATCATTCCTGCTACTCCTTTGACCTTAAAATCCCTCTTATCTCTTTTTATAAGGCCAATGCTTTTCAAGTGTTGGGCCTCACAAAATGCTAGTACTAATAAGGGAAATTATGAGGGGTTGCTAGTTTGTGGAAAAAATAAAGAATTTTATTTTAGATGAATTGAGTTTCAATTAAAGGTAAGAAATCTAAGTGCAAATGTCCACTTTTGTAAATAGAAAACAAAGACCTGAGCTTAGGAAAGAAACTGGAAATACAGATGCAGATTGGAAGGTCGTGGTCATAAGCTGAAAGGTGAAGGAGGTGACGATCCCAAGAGAGGAGATGGAACTAGAAGGCTCTGAACTGAGCCTTAGAGGAAGTTTACTTTTATACTGTGTGGGAAGGAAGAATCAGTGAGAGGATCGGAGAATGAAAGATGCAGTGTAGTCACATAAGAGGAAGCCTATGAGACTGTAGCCTCAAGAAAGCAGGGGAAATAGTTTCTAAATAGGAGAAGCCATGTTTGCAGTCATACCAACCTGAATGTGCCCATCTCATCTGATCTCAGAAGCTAACCAGGGTCAGGCCTGGTTAGTACTGGATGGGAGACCACCTAGGATTACCTGGTGCTATAGGCTTTTTTTTTTTAATTAATTTTTTTTTAGTTTAAAAAGGAGAGGACAGTCAATAATAGTCTAAGCTGTCTTAAATTGAAGGGGTCTGTCAATAAAAAGAAGTCCAAACGGCCGGGTGTGCTCGCTCACACCTGTAATCTTAGCACTTTGGGAGGCCAAGGCAGGCAGATCACCTGAGGTCAGGAGTTTGAGACTAGCCTGGTCAACATGGCAAACCCCTTCTCTACTAAAAATATGAAAAATTAGCCAGGTGTGGTGGCAGGCGCCTGTAATCCCAGCTACTTGGGAGGCTGAGGCAGGAGACTCGCTTGAACCGGGAGGCAGAGTTTGCAGTGAGCCGAGATTGAACCATTGCACTCCAGCCTGGGTGACAGAGAGAGAAAAAAAAAGGCGAAAGAAAGACACAGAAAGTGATACAGAACCCAGTCAGTTGAGCAGAAAGGAGCCAGAGTTACAATACGCAATTAATGTTGTAAAACAGGTTGCCTTTTTTTTTTTAAATGGGTAAGAGGGCATTTGATACACTAGGTTGCAAGAAAATGGGCAAACAACAGGAGGCCCATTACTGTAAGAAGGGGCTCAGGAACTGGCCCCAGGTTCAGAATCCCTGACAGAACCCAAATCTGTGGCACTCCTGCAGCTCCAAATTTTAGGCTGAATAAGATGGAAAGTCTGCTACTCTTGTTGAATAAGTGATTGTGAAACCGTGGAAATGTATATAAGGTAATAGTGTGGCTCAAATTTATAGAATGCTTATTTTTCATCAGTTTAGAGATATGTTTTGTAATTATTGTGAAAATCTATGTGTTTGTTGGTTATTTAAATGTTTAGGTAGATTGTGTTTTTTAGGTTTGAAAGTTTATTCTGTCAGATATTTGAAATATTTGAATAAAATGTGTAAAATACAAAAACATAGTTTAAAATATTTTAGGGGAATTTAGTCTTTTATTACTAATAACAAATTGCATATTAACCTAAGAACAAATCAAATTGTTCTTTATTTTTAAAATAATTGGATTTATAAATAGAAGAAGTTGAACTTAATAATAAAGTTTTATTTTAGAAGGGGCCAGGTGCAGTGGCTCATGCCTGTAATCCCAGCACTTTGGGAGGCCAAGATGGGCAGATCACTTGAGGTCATGAGTTGAAGACCAGCCTGGCCAACATGGCGAAGCCCCATCTCTACAGCAAGACTCTGTCTCAAAAAAAAGAAGAAAACATATGGAAAAAGTTTTATGACATTGGATTTAGCAAAGATTTCTTAAATATGACAGCCAAAACAGAAACAACAAAAGAAAATAAATAGAACTTCATCAAAATTAAGAACTTTTGTGCATCAAAGAACATCGTCAAGAGAATGAAAAGACAACCGATAGAACGGGAGAAAATATTTGCAAATCATATATCTGGTAAGGGATTAATATCTAGAATATATAAAGGACTCCTACAACTCAACAACCAAAAAGCAAACAACCCAATTAAAACATGGAAAAGTGTTCAGAAACGAAACAGACTTGAAAAGAGTTTTCTACAAACAACTATACAATGGCCAACAAGCACATGAAAAGATGCTCAACATTACTAGTCATTAGGGAAATGCAAACCCAAACTACAGTGAGATACCACTTCACACCCATTAGGATGGCTATTACGAAGAAAGAAAAATAAGAAGTGCTCATGAGGATGTGGAGAAATTAGAACCTTTGTGCATTGCTGGTGAGAATTTAACATGGTACAGCTGCTTCGGGAAACAGTTTGGCTGCTCCTCCCAATCTCAAGCAATCCTCCCGCCTCAGCCTCCCAAAGTGCTGGGATTACAGGCATGAGACACTGTGTCTGGTCTTATTCTGCTTTTTTTTTTTTTTTTTAGATGCCGTGTCGCTCTGTCACCAGGCTGGAGTACAATGGCACGATCTCGGCTCACTGCAATCTCAGCCTCCTGGGTTCAAATGACTCCCCTGCCTCAGCCTCCAGAGTAGTTGGGACTACAGGCGAGCACCACCTCACCTGGCTATTTTTTTGTATTTTAGTAGAGACGGGGTTTCACCATGTTGGCCAGGCTGGTCTCGATCTCCTGACCTAATGATCCGCCTCGGCCTCCCAAAGTGCTGGGATTATAGGCATAAGCCACCATGCCAGGCCCTTATTCTGCTTTTATGAGGTACCTAGAATAGTTGAGTTCATAAAGACAGACAGTAGAATAGTGATTACCAGGGGCGAGGGGGAAGGGTGGAATAGAGAGTTATTCTTTAATGAACACACAGATTCTGTTTGGAATTATAAAAAAGTTCGGGAGATGGATAATGGTGGTGGTTGTACAGCATTGTCAGTGTACTGAATATTACTGAATTGTACACTCAAAAATGGTTAAAATGGTAAATATTATGCTATGTGCATTTTACTACAACAGCAAAAAAATGAATTTTAAAGCTTTGTTTTAAAACGTACAATTTTAACAAACTGGATATTTATTTTAATACAAGTAATTGTAGGTAGGTATTTCCTTCCAAACTCAAGTCTTCCCTGGATGGTGACAATTGTCAGTTGACAGAACTGTAAACAGGTGCAGTTTGAAGTTGGGGTCTTTGCTGATTTTCCAGAGATCAGTTTAAGTTGTTTGAAGAGGGTAGAAGGTAGAAGTGACAGGCTAAGGAGAACGTGTGTGATGAGGAAGTTGAAGGCTTTGATTTTGATTGGCAGAAGTAGGCTGTAATTGGAAAAAATATTTAGGGTGAGTGGCAGTGTTTTAAATGTAACTTAATATCAAGGCTGGGCATGGTGGCTCACGCCTGTAATCCCAGCCCTTTGGGAGGCTGAGGCAGGAGGATCACTTAAGGTCAGTAGTTCAAGACTAGCCTGGCCAACATGGTGAGACCCCCATCTCCACTAAAAATACAAAAATTAGCCAGGTGTGGTGGCACATGCCTGTAGTCCCACCTACTTGGGAGGCTGAGGCCGGAGAATCGCTTGAATCTGGGAGGCAGAGGTTGTAGTGAACCGAGATCGCACCACTGCACTCCAATCTGGGTGATGGGAGTGAAACTCTGTCTCAAAAACAAAAACAAAAACGTAATATCTAAAGAGACAGAATTGGAAGAGATTGTAGATGGTGGAAAGGGGAGTAAGTGAGAGGAAGAAGTCCTGGGAGAAAGTAAGGGAAAACAGACGTTGGAATGAGGGATGCCTATTTCTCTAAGATGCCAAGGAGAAGAGAAAAAATATAAAGATATTTTAGAAGTAGAAAGGAGGAAAAACTGAAGAGATTACTTACAAATAACTTTGATCTCTATAAAGAAGGAGGTTGGAGGTTAATCGTCTTTGGATGAGGATGAGTCCCTAGAACATAAGCGTGTGCATGGCCTGTTTCCTCTGTCTCAAATGCTTTGCCCCCAGTCACCCATGCAGTTCATCTCCCATTTCCTTCAAGTCCTCTTCTCAGTGAGGCCAACTCTAGCACCATATCTTAACCTGCTCTCTGCAATCTGGAACCCCTTTAGTTTCTTCTTTTTCTCTTTTTCCATAGCTCTTATTACTGTCAAATATACGATATAATTTACCTACTGTATTTGTTTTCTGTCACCCCTCGCTAGAATGTAAGACCATAAGAACGGGGCGTTTTTGTCTTTTTTGTTTACTTAGAACGGTGCCTGCTGTTCAACAAATGTTTGTTAACAGATAAAAAGGAAAGTAGATGTTGAATGGAGGCAAGAAAAAAAGGAAAGATCATTTTTGGAAAACTTGTAGTAGAGCTGATATTTACTTGCTTCAAATCATACAGCTGTACTGGTTGTTAAAATATTGACACACTTCCCTATCAGTTGGCAAGTATCTGCTGCTCAGGTAACCTCAGCTTCTCCCCCAGGCCCTCAATCAGCAATGAAAGGGTAAATGCAAAACGTACCCGGGTCCTCTCTCAGACCCTGCTCTACAGCCATATCAATTTAAGGTTGATGCCTCTGTCATACTAGTTGTTAAAAATTTTGAATATTATCCCTGACATAGATGATTTTAAGGAATCAGTAAAAAATAACTAAATTACTGGGCATTACTGGGCAGATTATTGGGCAGCAGTATGGGCCCCATTGAAGTGAAAAGTGTGAATTTATAGAAAGCCATGTCAACCAAGTTTGCTGACTTCCTCCATCAAGTCATCAGCACAAAGAAAGTGACAATAAAGATGATTAAGAGAGAAGAGATGGGCATGAAAGTGGGGGTGGGAGGTGGGCTAGAGATTTTAGGTGATAAGAAGAAGCTTCTTTGAGATGGCTGATAATGGGATCTGGCTGAGGGTTCAATGTCATTCTCCTGATGACATTTAACTGGATGAATGGGTTAGATGACTTGGGAGGGCTCCAGTGATGACAGAATCCAGAGTGGTGGTCCCCTTACAACTGCCAGGGAGAACACATTTTCCTTTACCCTCTTAGATTCAATTTTTGGAGGCTTTCAAGTGAAACTGACAAAGAACAGATTAGCAAGAAAATAGATTGAATCATTTATGTACAGGACTACACATAAATTGGGACCTATATGCCATTTCAACAGGGAAGGGGAGGAGAAGAGTATTTATGGGAAAACAAATGACTTTCTGGAAAGACTTATGGACTTTTAGGAGAATAGATGGGACATATAATAGTTTTGTGACAATGCCTATTTAAGAGTGGTGTGGAGACTTGTGGCTCATACCTGTAATCCTAGCACTTTGGGAGGCTGAGGTGAGTAGATTGCTTGAGCTCAGGAGTTCGAGACCAGCCTGGGCAACATGGTGAAACCCCATCTCTACAAAAAATACAAAAATTAGCCAGGCATGGTAGCACATGGCTGTAGTCCTATCCTAGCTACCGGGGAGGCTGAGGTGGGAGGATCACTTGAACCTGGAGAGGTCAGGCTGCAGTGAGCCATGATCATGCCACTACACTCCAGCCCAGGTGACAGAGTGAGACCCTGTCTCACACACACATACACACACAAATAGAGTAGTGAATTTTGGAGCCCTTCACTACACAACTCATTTGAGCTTTGGGACAAAAAAAAAAAAAGACTCAACTTCAATTATTTTTGTTCCTGTTGTCATATGTCTGAGGACCTTGTCATTTCAATATTAAATTGAGACAATAGCTCTTTATCATAGATTGCCCTTAGTGTTATAGAAAATAGCATAATGATACAAGGCATACTGCCTGCCCTCAAGATGCTTATCATCTAGTGGGAGAGGCAACATTGATATTCTTCAAGCATGTCACTTGTAAGATCCTGTATTATAGATTATAAATATGATTCAATTTTAAATTCTATGAAACCAGTGTAAAATAGTGGGTCATAGGCAGAATCTGATAGACATCCACTGTTCTCTTGGATTTGATCACCAGTGTAATACTGCAGTTTCAGCTCTCCTAGAGAATTCTGCTTGCCAGTAAAAGTGCTACTTTGAGATTGTGTTGTAAAATGTTCAAGCCCACTTCAAATTTAAAGTATCTTACAATTATTATGATTAGTCAAATTATGCCAGCTCTTGACCACACCATTTTAAGTATCCTCTTTGGAAAGAGAAGCTCTGGTAATATATATCTTTTGGCCAAGTGGCAATTTTTATACCTTCCCTTTTACTTTTAAAGAGGTTTTTGTTTATTGTTTTTTTTTTTTTGGATGTTATTAGCTGTCTACACAGGATCTGTGTAACACACAGATCCTGCTTTGACTTCTACTCTAAATCGTGGAGTAAGTCTGTGTGATTTTAATTCAACCAGTGCCTGCTTTTCAGTCTAGACACACATTTGCCTGACAGTAACAGGTGATATCATCTCTATATGGGAATATGCTCTTGTTAAACACATTTGTGGTTGAAAGCACCATTTTTTAATGAGAGAAACCATGTAGAGAGAGCTCTGCTTGTATTATGGGGGGGAGTTGGGGAGGGAATGATATATTTCTTCCTTAGCTTATTATAATTAGAGATATTTGTGTGCAAATAGAATCTCTGTTGCTTAAGTGTTGCTCAGCTCCTGCTGATCTGTTCTCACTCACAGGCATAGTCCTTTGTGATATAATAGTTAGTTGCTGTGGAGATGATTATCCTGTCATGGAGAAAAGAGACTTATGAATTTAAATGAAGAATGAGCAGCAGGAGCAAAAGAACTATGCCAAAAGCCAAGCACTTCATCCAATTTAATTTTCTCTTGCATTTTTAATATATGTTATGTCATAAAGTTGGATGTATCCCCTTAAATAATACAGTTTCAGGGTTAATGATTAATAATGACAAAAGGCAAATTTGAAAGGAAAAGCAAAATATAATACTGACATCCTATACAGAGGCAAGAATGAGTTCAAGTTACAGAAAATTCAACAAGAATAAACATATACGATTGGACCATGCCCTATGGTTTAAATAAACAATGAAGTATTCGGACACTTCTACTGCAGTCATGATGAATTAATTGTTCGGGTAATTTAGGCATCATTCAACAAGTAGGAAGCAGAATGTTGAGATAGAAAGAGAATGGTCTATGTATCAAACAGCTGATTTGAATTCCTACTCTGCCATTTACAAGTCATTGTCTTAGGCAAGCTCTCAATGCTTCTGTTTCATCAATTATAAAACTGGGATAAATTTGTAGAGTTGTTTTCATCGCTATTTAACTGGTATGGACTCATATGGCCATGTCAGTCATGTACAGCCGATGACGTTCATTCATTGGTCATTGCATTCATTCTAATATGTTAGTGCCTGTTCTGTACTAGTTATTACATATTCCAAATATTATCTATGTTTGTCAGGACAGGATAGGCTATGCTGTTATAACAGACAAATTCTGAAATCTTAGTGGTTTAACACAATGAAATTATATTTTTCACTCTTGTAGATTCCAGTGTGGATCTGTCAGCTCATCTTCTCTTGTGGCTTCCAAGCCAAGATAATTATTGCAGGAGAAAAGAGGGATGGAGGAGGCATGTCAGCTTTTAACTTCTTTGGCTCCAGACACATGCTATTTCTACTCATAGTTCTTTGGTGGGAACTAGTTCCATGGTCCCCATCTATCTGCAAGTGAGGCTGGGAGATGCGGACATTTTGCAGTCATTGGTGAGCACTGTAACTGTCTCTGCCATATCACCCTTTGTTTTTGTGAGTATTAGATAAGATAAGGTAGATGAAGGATTTACAATTGTCTTTGATGAGTGACATTAGATAGAAAAGCTTGATCCAGGTTTAAGGCTTGGCATGAATAATGACACGGTTGAGATTTTCATTTTTACTTGAAACTAGCAAATAAGCAGAAGAAAGAATATTAATGAATTGATTAAAAATACAGGGTAATACATGTTGAATGTAGTGCTCCAGTGCCTCTACCTGCCTTGTTCCTTTTTTTCCCATTTACTAAGCATTTCTTTCTTTCTTTATTTTTTAATTAGTATTATACTTTAAGATTTAGGGTACATGTGTACAATGTGCAGGTTAGTTACATATGTATACATGTGCCATGCTGGTGCGCTGCACCCACTAACTCGTCATCTAGCATTAGGTATATCTCCCAGTGCTATCCCTCCCCTCTCCCCCCACCCCACAACAGTCCCCAGAGTGTGATGTTCCCCTTCCTGTGTCCATGTGTTCTCATTGTTCAATTCCCACCTATGAGTGAGAATATGCGGTGTTTGGTTTTTTGTTCTTGCGATAGTTTACTGAGAATGATGATTTCCAATTTCATCCATGTCCCTACAAAGGACATGAACTCATCATTTTTTATGGCTGCATAGTATTCCATGGTGTATATGTGCCACATTTTCTTAATCCAGTCTATCATTGTTGGACATTTGGGTTGGTTCCAAGTCTTTGCTATTGTGAATAATGCTGCAATAAACATACGTGTGCATGTGTCTTTATAGCAGCATGATTTTGTAGTCCTTTGGGTATATACCCAGTAATGGGATGGCTGGGTCAAATGGTATTTCTAGTTCTAGATCCCTGAGGAATCGCCACACTGACTTCCACAATGGTTGAACTAGTTTACAGTCCCACCAACAGTGTAAAAGTGTTCCTATTTCTCCATATCCTCTCTAGCACCTGTTGTTTCCTGACATTTTAATGATTGCCATTCTAACTGGTATGAGATGGTATCTCATTGTGGTTTTGATTTTCATTTCTCTGATGGCCAGTGATGGTGAGCATTTTTTCATGTGTTTTTTGGCTGCATAAATGTCTTCTTTTGAGAAGTGTCTGTTCATGTCCTTCACCCACTTTTTGATGGGGTTGTTTGATTTTTTCTTGTAAATTTGTTTGATTTCATTGTAGATTCTGGATATTAGCCCTTTGTCAGATGAGTAGGTTGTGAAAATTTTCTCCCATTTTGTAGGTTGCCTGTTCACTCTGATGGTAGTTTCTTTTGCTGTGCAGAAGCTCTTTAGTTTAATTAGATCCCATTTGTCAATTTTGGCTTTCGTTGCCATTGCTTTTGGTGTTTTAGACATGAAGTCCTTGCCCATGCCTATGTCCTGAATGGTAATGCCTAGGTTTTCTTCTAGGGTTTTTATGGTTTTAGGTCTAACGTTTAAGTCTTTAATCCATCTTGAATTGATTTTTGTATAAGGTATAAGGAAGGGATCCAGTTTCAGCTTTCTACATATGGCTAGCCAGTTTTCCCAGCACCATTTATTAAATAGGGAATCCTTTCCCCATTGCTTGTTTTTCTCAGGTTTGTCAAAGATCAGATAGTTGTAGATATGAGGCGTTATTTCTGAGGGCTCTGTTCTGTTCCATTGATCTATATCTCTGTTTTGGTACCAGTACCATGCTGTTTTGGTTACTGTAGCCTTGTAGTATAGTTTGAAGTCAGGTAGTGTGATGCCTCCAGCTTTGTTCTTTTGGCTTAGGATTGACTTGGCAATGCGGGCTCTTTTTTTGTTCCATATGAACTTTAAAGTAGTTTTTTCCAATTCTGTGAAGAAAGTCATTGGTAGCTTGATGGGGATGGCATTGAATCTGTAAATTACCTTGGGCAGTATGGCCATTTTCATGATATTGATTCTTCCTACCCATGAGCATGGAATGTTCTTCCATTTGTTTGTATCCTCTTTTATTTCCTTGAGCAGCGGTTTGTAGTTCTCCTTGAAGAGGTCCTTCACATCCCTTGTAAGTTGGATTCCTAGGTATTTTATTCTCTTTGAAGCAATTGTGAATGGGAGTTCACTCATGATTTGGCTCTCTGTTTGTCCGTTGTTATAAGAATGCTTGTGATTTTTGTACATTGATTTTGTATCCTGAGACTTTGCTGAAGTTGCTTATCAGCTTAAGGAGATTTTGGGCTGAGACAATGGGGTTTTCTAGATATACAATCATGTCATCTGCAAACAGGGACAATTTGACTTCCTCTTTTCCTAATCGAATACCCTTTATTTCCTTCTCCTGCCTAATTGCCCTGGCCAGAACTTCCAACACTATGTTGAATAGGAGTGGTGAGAGAAGGCATCCCTGTCTTGTGCCAGTTTTCAAAGGGAATGCTTCCAGTTTTTGCCCATTCAGTATGATATTGGCTGTGGGTTTGTCATAGATAGCTCTTATTATTTTGAAATACGTCCCATTAATACCTAATTTATTGAGAGTTTTTAGCATGAAGGGTTGTTGAATTTTGTCAAAGGCCTTTTCTGCATCTATTGAGATAATCATGTGGTTTTTGTCTTTGGTTCTGTTTATATGCTGGATTACATTTATTGATTTGCGTATATTGAACCAGCCTTGCATCCCAGGGATGAAGCCCACTTGATCATGGTGGATAAGCTTTTTGATGTGCTGCTGGGTTCGGTTTGCCAGTATTTTATTGAGGATTTTTGAATCAATGTTCATCAAGGATATTGGTCTAAAATTCTCTTTTTTGGTTGTGTCTCTTCCAGGCTTTGGTATCAGGATGATGATGGCCTCATAAAAAGAGTTAGAGAGGATTCCCTCTTTTTCTATTGATTGGAATAGTTTCAGAAGGAATGGTACCAGTTCCTCCTTGTACCTCTGGTAGAATTTGGCTGTGAATCCATCTGGTCCTGGACTCTTTTTGGTTGGTAAGCTATTGATTATTGCCACAATTTCAGATCCTGTTATTGGTCTATTCAGAGATTCAACTTCTTCCTGGTTTAGTCTTGGGAGAGTGTATGTGTCGAGGAATTTATCCATTTCCTCTAGATTTTCTAGTTTATTTGCATAGAGGTGTTTGTAGTATTCTCTGATGGTAGTTTGTATTTCTGTGGGATCGGTGGTGATATCCCCTTTATCATTTTTTATTGTGTCTATTTGATTCTTCTCTCTTTTTTTCTTTATTAGTCTTGCTAGCAGTCTATCAATTTTGTTGATCCTTTCAAAAAACCAGCTCCTGGATTCATTAATTTTTTGAAGGGTTTTTTGTGTCTCTATTTCCTTCAGTTCTGCTCTGATTTTAGTTATTTCTTGCCTTCTGCTAGCTTTTGAATGTGTTTGCTCTTGCTTTTCTAGTTCTTTTAATTGTGATATTAGGGTGTCAATTTTGGATCTTTCCTGCTTTCTCTTGTGGGCATTTAGTGCTATAAATTTCCCTCTACACACTGCTTTGAATGTGTCCCAGAGATTCTGGTATGTTGTGTCTTTGTTCTCGTTGGTTTCAAAGAACATCTTTATTTCTGCCTTCATTTCGTTATGTACCCAGTAGTCATTCAGGAGCAGGTTGTTCAGTTTCCATGTAGTTGAGCGGCTTTGAGTGAGATTCTTAATCCTGAGTTCTAGTTTGATTGCACTGTGGTCTGAGAGATAGTTGGTTATAATTTGTGTTCTTTTACATTTGCTGAGGAGTGCTTTACTTCCAACTATGTGGTCAATTTTGGAATAAGTGTGGTGTGGTGCTGAAAAAAATGTATATTCTGTTGATTTGGGGTAGAGAGTTCTGTAGATGTCTATTAGGTCTGCTTGGTGCAGAGCTGAGTTCAATTCCTGGGTATCCTTGTTGACTTTCTGTCTCATTGATCTGTCTAATGTTGACAGTGTGGTGTTAAAGTCTCCCATTATTAATGTGTGGGAGTCTAAGTCTCTTTGTAGGTCACTGAGGACTTGCTTTATGAATCTGGGTGCTCCTGTATTGGGTGCATATATATTTAGGATAGTTAGCTCTTCTTGTTGAATTGATCCCTTTACCATTATGTAATGGCCTTCTTTGTCTCTTTTGATCTTTGTTGGTTTAAAGTCTGTTTTATCAGAGACTAGGATTGCAACCCCTGCCTTTTTTTGTTTTCCATTTGCTTGGTAGATCTTCCTCCATCCTTTTATTTTGAGCCTATGTGTGTCTCTGCATGTGAGATGGGTTTCCTGAATACAGCACACTGATGGGTCTTGACTCTTTATCCAATTTGCCGGTCTGTGTCTTTTAATTGGAGCATTTAGTCCATTTACGTTTAAAGTTAATATTGTTATGTGTGAATTTGACCCTGTCATTATGATGTTAGCTGGTTATTTTGCTCGTTAGTTGATGCAGTTTCTTCCTAGTCTCGATGGTCTTTACATTTTGGCATGATTTTGCAGCGGCTGGTACCAGTTGTTCCTTTCCATGTTTAGTGCTTCCTTCAGGAGCTCTTTTAGGGCAGGCCTGGTGGTGACAAAATCTCTCAGCATTTGCTTGTCTGTAAAGTATTTTATTTCTCCTTCACTTATGAAGCTTAGTTTGGCTGGATATGAAATTCTGGGTTGAAAATTCTTTTCTTTAAGAATGTTGAATATTGGCCCCCACTCTCTTCTGGCTTGTAGAGTTTCTGCCGAGAGATCCGCTGTTAGTCTGATGGGCTTCCCTTTGAGGGTAACCCGAACTTTCTCTCTGGCTGCCCTTAACATTTTTTCCTTCATTTCAACTTTGGTGAATCTGACAATTATGTGTTTTGGAGTTGCTCTTCTCGAGGAGTATCTTTGTGGCATTCTCTGTATTTCCTGAATCTGAATGTTGGCCTGCCTTGCTAGATTGGGGAAGTTCTCCTGGATAATATCCTGCAGAGTGTTTTCCAACTTGGTTCCATTCTCCCCATCACTTTCAGGTACACCAATCAGACGTAGATTTGGTCTTTTCACATAGTCCCATATTTCTTGGAGGCTTTGCTCATTTCTTTTTATTCTTTTTTCTCTAAACTTCCCTTCTAGCTTCACTTCATTCATTTCATCTTCCATCGCTGATACCCTTTCTTCCAGTTGATCGCATCAGCTCCTGAGGCTTCTGCATTCTTCATGTAGTTCTTGAGCCTTGGTTTTCAGCTCCATCAGCTCCTTTAAGCACTTCTCTGTATTGGTTATTCTAGTTATACATTCTTTTAAATTTTTTTCAAAGTTTTCAACTTCTTTGCCTTTGGTTTGAATGTCCTCCTGTAGCTCGGAGTAATTTGATCGTCTGAAGACTTCTCTCAGCTCATCAAAGTCATTCTCCGTCCAGCTTTGTTCTGTTGCTGGTGAGGAACTGCGTTCCTTTGGAGGAGGAGAGGTGCTCTGCTTTTTAGAGTTTCCAGTTTTTCTGCTCTGTTTTTTCCCCATCTTTGTGGTTTCATCTACTTTTGGTCTTTGATGATGGTGATGTACAGATGGGTTTTTGGTGTGGATGTCCTTTCTGCTTGTTAGTTTTCCTTCTAACAGACAGGACCCTCAGCTGCAGGTCTGTTGGAGTACCCGGCTGTGTGAGGTGTCAGTGTGCCCCTGCTAGGGGGTGCCTCCCAGTTAGGCTGCTCGGGGGTCAGGGGTCAGGGACCCACTTGAGGAGGCAGTCTGCCCATTCTCAGATCTCCAGCTGCATGCTGGGAGAACCACTGCTCTCTTCAAAGCTGTCAGACAGGGACATTTAAGTCTGCAGAGGTTACTGCTGTCTTTTTGTTTGTCTGTGCCCTGCCCCCAGAGGTGGAGCCTACAGAGGCAGGCAGGCCTCCTTGAGCTGTGGTGGGCTCCACCCAGTTGGAGCTTCCCGGCTGCTTTGTTTACCTAAGCAAGCCTGGGCAATGGCGGGCGCCCCTCCCCTAGCCTCGCTGCCACCTTGCAGTTTGATCTCAGACTGCTGTGCTAGCAATCAGCGAGACTCCGTGGGCGTAGGACCCTCCCAGCCGGGTGCGGGATATAATCTCGTGGTGCGCCATTTTTTAAGCCCGTCGGAAAAGCGCAGTATTCGGGTGGGAGTGACCCGATTTTCCAGGTGCCATCTGTCACCCCTTTCTTTGACTAGGAAAGGGAACTCCCTGACCCCTTGCGCTTCCCGAGTGAGGCAATGCCTCGCCCTGCTTCGGCTCGCGCACGGTGCGCACACCCACTGACCCACGCCCACTGTCTGGCACTCCCTAGTGAGATGAACCCGGTACCTCTGATGGAAATGCAGAAATCACCCGTCTTTTGCATCTCTCACGCTGGGAGCCGTAGACCGGAGCTGTTCCTATTTGGCCATCTTGGCTCCTCCTCTACTGCCTTGTTCCTTATGGAAGCACATCTCAGATCAGCGCCTCAGCAGCCTATGGAGGAGAGGAATATACCAGGTCTGAGGAGCCCAGATCAGAGGCTTGCTGCCTTTCAACTATTTTAGGGCTGGATGGTGGTAGTACCGTGAGTGAAAGGGATATGTCGACATGCAAGAGTGTGCCCTATTACCATATAGAAATTTCTTTGCCTTGATATCTCAGTTAGGAAAAAAGAAAGAAAGAAAGAAATTTCTTGCTGAGTTATAGTTACCTATTACACAATTTATTCCTCAGTGCATCTTTGAGCCTGTGTGAAAAAGAATGTCCTCAGTTTATACTTTGTGTCTATGGTAGAATTATGCTGCATATTGTAGGGTATGCTATAGAAAAATAACACCTAATCTCTTCTCCTAAAGTGTTTATCATCTAAGGAGATGGAAGTCTCTATCAATAAACACATCGAAAAATAAATGGCAAAACTGTATGTATGAAACAAAGACAATTTTAAAACAGGGTAGAATAAAATAAGGTGTTGATTCTGAGGTACAAATGACCAAAACAAAAGAAATGAAAGAAGAGGAGGAGTACTAGGAAAGTTAGTAGAAGTCAGGCAGCATTAATTTCCCATGTACGGTTAAAGAATATTGTAGTTTAGGTTCAGGTACCACAGCCAAGAAGTGCAGAGATCACATTTAAAAACAGGACTAGTCTTGGAGGCTGAGAAAACTCCAGCTCAGTTGCTGTGGACAAGGTAACACCAGCAGTAGCCTGGGTGCTGTGGGAATGAAATGTGGATGAGATATGCCCTGGGGCATCTCAGCAATGTCAGAGGAAAACTGGGAAGGCACATTAAAAAGTGGGCAAAGGACATGAACAGACACTTTTTTAAAGAAGACATAAATGAGGCCAACAATCATATTAAAAAAAAAACCTCAGCATCACTGATCATTAGAGAAATTCTAATCAAAACCACAGTGAGATTTCATCTCACACCAGTCAGAATGACTATTATTAAAAAGTCAAAACATAACAGATGCTAGCGAGGTTGCGGGAAAAAAAGGAATGTTTATACACTGTTGGTGGGAGTATAAATTAGTTCAACCATTGTAGAAGACAGTGTGGCAATTCCTCAAAGACCTAAAAACAGAAATACCATTCGACCTAGCAATCCCATTACTGGGTATATACCCAAAGGAATATACATTGTTCTGTCATAAAGGCACACGCATGCATATGTTCATTGCAGCACCGTTCACAATAGCAAAGACATGGAAATCAACCTAAATGCCCATCAGTGGTAGACTGGATAAAGAAAATGTGGTACGTATACACCATGGACTACTATGCAGCCATAAAAAAGAACAAGATCATGTCCTTTGCAGGAACGTGAATGGAGCTGGAGGCCGTTACCCTAAATGAATTAACACAGGAACAGAAAACCAAATACCACATGTTCTCACTTATAAGTGGGAGCTAAATGATGAGAACACATGGACACGTACAGGGGAACAACACACAATGAGGTCTATTGGAGGGTGGAGTCTGGGAGGAGGGAGAGGATCGGGAAAAATAACTAATGAGTACTATGCTTATTACCCGGGTGATGAAGTAATCTGCCCAACAATCCCCCAAGGCGCACATTTACCTATTTAACAAACCTGCACATGTCTCCCTGAACTTAAAATAAAAGTTAAATTAAAAAAAAAGAGAAACTGGGAAGACAGAGCTAAGGGCTTGCCATTAACCAGCAAGGGGAAAATGAGAAAGAAAAATTGTGCAGTGTTGTATTCATATCAACAGGTTACAGAAATATTTAAATTAACTCTATAATTGTAATTGCTATCTGTATATAGCTTAAATCTTAATATTGTATATTATGAGCATTTTCCCATATTATGAAGTCATATTTAAAACATAATTCGTAATATACAGAAAATAATATCCCTCAAGTATTAGATTATATGCTAAATGTTTAGAAACTTACATTTTTCATTTAATTTTTGTAGTATTTATATAAAGTAGGTAAATTATCACTACCTTACAGATAAAAGCATATGAGGCTAGGAGATGTTAAAGTCATGCAGCGAGTATTTGACTGAGTCAGGTGAAACCTTAGACTGTCTGTTTGGAAAGCCTGTCCTCTGGCCATATTGCCTTTCATATTGTATATCATCATGTCAAGGTGCCACCAACTAATCAACGGATTCCCCTACTGTTGAATATTTAAGTTGTCTTAAAGTTTAAAAAAAAATTATCAATAGTCTGTGAACACTTAAGTAGATCACTTAACATTTAAATAGATCTTAAGTGTTTTCACCTTTTACATACACGAAAATGGTAACTGTGTGAGATGACGAATGCTTTCATTAACTTGTGTGATAACCATTTCACAATGTATATAAATATCTTTATCAAATCATAATGTATACATCAAATATGTACAATTTTGATGTGTCAGTTATATCTCAATAAAGCTGGAGGGAAATAAGCTAAGGTGAACATCCTTGCACATACATTTTGCATATATAAGATTTACATATATACTTACACATGAATTTCTTTAACATTGATGCTTTATTTAAAAAAACTTTTAGGTTGAGGGGCACATGTACAGGTTTGTTATACAGGTAACTTGTGGTCATGGGGGTCTGGTGTACTCATTATGTTGTTACCCAGGTAATAAACATAGTACCTGATAAGTAGTGTTTCTTTCGTTTCCTTCCTTCCTTCCTTCCTTCCTTCCTTCCTTCCTTCCTTCCCTACTTCCCTCCTTCCTTCCTTCCTTCCTTCTTCCTTCTTTCTTCCTTCCTTTCTCTTTCTTTCTTTCTTCTTTCCTTTCTTTCTTTTTTTTGAGACAGGGTCTTGCTCTGTTGCTCAGGCTGGGGTGTGGTGGCACAATCTCAGCTCACTGCAACCTTTGCCTCCTGGGCTCAAGTAATCCTCCCATCTCAGTTCCCCAAGTAGCTGGGACTACAGGTGCTCACCACCACACCCAGCTAATTTTTTGTAGATATGGGGTTTCACCATGTTGCCCAGGCTGATCTTGAACTCCTGGACACAAGAGATCCACCTGCGTTGGCCTCCCAAAGTGTTGGGATTACAAGCATCAGCCACTGCACCTGGCCCGATAGGTAGTTTTTCCATCCTCTCCCTCCTCACAACCTCCACCCTCCAGAAGGCCCCAGTGTCTGTTGTTCCCCTCCATGTGTCCATGTGCTCTCAGTGTTTAGCTTCCACTTATAAGTGAGAACATGTGGATTTTGGTTTCCTGTTCCTGTGTTAGTTCGCTAAGGGTGATAGCCTCCAGCTCCATCCATGTTGCTGCAAAGCGTGTAATCTCGTTCTTTTTATGGCTGCATAGTACTTCGTCGTATATATGTACCACATTTTCTTTATGCAGTCCACTGTTGATGGACATTTAGGTTGATTTCATGTCTTTGCTAGTGTAAATAGTGCTGCAATGAACATACATATGCATATGTCTTTATGGTAGAATAATTCCTGGGAGTGAAAATACTGGTCATCAAACAGTTTAAACGTTTTAAAGTTTTTGATAACATTAAACTTGCCAAATGAAAAGTTGTATCAACTACACTACAACCAATAGTGTATAAAAATGACTATTTCCCTGAAACCTCCTGCACAGTGGGTACGGTAACTTTAAAGTCTTTTTGGTCAGTCTAATGGCAAAACATCCAAAGCACAGAACACTAACAATTGCCTAGATTTGTGGTATTCTAGCAGCCCTTGGTGATCCTCGCTTAGCATTAGTCTTTAATACAGTAACAAATGTTATATTAATTAACTGTAATTCATTTGCATACTTAACATTAGCCCTTCTTGAACCATGAATGCAAACCTATATTATAAAAATTAAGTCCCTGAAATTTATTTAATTCAGGTCAGCAACATTGCTCAGCCAAAGATGATTACTCTGTCTATTGGGAGACTTTTGACTAAACTGTATTGGAAATTCCTTCTATAGAAGACGGAAAAAAAATCACTATCTTTTAACATCTTTGTAGACAGGAAGTCATCAGGTATCCTTGTGTTTTTGATCCTGGGTATGGGTTTATGTGTGGAAGGACAGAGTAGAAGACTGGAGTGCTATTGTATAGTATAAATGAAATTTCAGGAAATGAAGGAATGTGATGAAAAGTGAAATTTTTCTTAACAATAATAATTGCTAAGAAATGAATTTTTAAAATATTTTGTATACTGTTTTATGTTTTAGGAGAAATAAAAACCTTCCAGGACTCAGTAAATAATGTCTAGAAAATATGTATAGCTCACCATCTAACACATAAATAAGATTATTATCTGAAAAATAAGTATTTTCATGGAAGTATTAAAATTACTAATGACATGTTCTTTATAAGAAGCCTAAAATGCTACCTAATTTGTATCTGTTCAGCTGACTAAACTACAGAGTCAACAAGGAGGCTGCCTTAATTTCCAATTTCGGATAAAAATACCTGGGGTGTAAACATGTATAGTAAAATGAAAAGCAGTAGTGCTAAAAAAATCTCAGTATTAAGAGGATAGGCTTTTGAGTCAGAAAAAAATTGAGTTTATATCAAGTTCTGTCACTTCCTAGCTGTTTAAATTTGGGGGCAAGGGACAGTTGTTTAACCGTTTCTGCATCATTTCCCAAACTATAAAATAGGGATGCTTACATTCACCTTGTGCCCAAGTTGGAAGGGTTAAAGGAGAATATGTATTTGAAATGACTAGACATGTAGTTGGCTATTAAGTGTTACCTATTTCATTATTCAGCATGTTCTTGTTAGATAGACTAGTGACCCAGATCTGTAATTATTTAGCTACTATGGACTCATACTAATTTGACCTTATAGTAATTTAATTTGCTTAGTTATAATAAGCTGTCATTCTCACTGTGGGTACCATTAGGTGTGAAGTAAACAATCTGTAGCTCATTATTTTCAGCTAACAGTAATGCAAGCCAGACTCCAGGAGATGAATAAAAAAGATGAAGAGCAAAATGTCCAAGGGCACTAGAATATAAAATAACTCTTGAAGAATCTTGAGAAAATAAATTGTTTCAAGGTCGACATTTATTTGAAAATGAGATATAACATTAAACATGTGAAGGAAATTTTATGCTTTGAGTGGACATGGTTTAGTGCTAAAGTCTTTAATATAATTCATTTAACAGCCCTGTAATCTGTTAAATAGCCAAGTGATTTTATTTTTATGTATTTTAGGCAGCAAAATGAATAGCTCTTTAAGTGCTTTTTGATGCGTGAAGTAATACACTTTTTAATTGACACTAGTTAAGTATCCTTAATTTAGTAAAGTCTCTTCCCCATCTGTTGATGTTTTTTTCTCTGACAAAGCAGAATATGTTTGTGCATTGGTATCCATAGATATTATAATGACCTTTTATAAGTATCATGACAAAGGATTTGATAATAATATGTGAATAGGTAAATATGAAGATTTACATGAAATGTAGCAAGGTAAAAAGTTATCTTTATAAGTGGCACCAGAATTTATCTTAGAGAGGGAATTGTGTTACTTCAGAAAGGCATAGCATACTTTAATAGACTGCTTGGAGTGGAAGATGAGACTCTCGGGCCAGCAGGAGACACGGGCAAAAAAGGTAGCACAGTTGAGAGGATTCTGAAAAGATGGTAGAGTAGGGAGCACTAGAAATCTGTCTCTCCATGTAGAGAATAATTGCATTGGCAGTCTGTCTGATGTAACTATTTTGGAAATCTGGAGCTTATTAAAGAATTGCAACATCTAGGGGAAGGCTTGATGGTATATTGTGGTTAATTTGATTGGGTTTTTTCGTTTGTTGGTTTCTGAGACGGAGTTTCGCTCTTTTGCCCAGGCTGAAGTGAAGTGGCGCTATCTCAGCTCAGTGCAACCTCTGCCCCGCCGGGTTCAAGCAACTCTCCTGCCTCAGCCTCCCGAGTAGCTGGGATTACAGGCGTCTGCCACAACGCCCGGCTAATTTTTGTATTTTTAGTAGAGACGGGATTTTGCCATGTTGGCCAGGTTCGTCTCAAACTCCTCACCTCGGGTGATCCACCCGCCTTGGCCTCCAGAAGTGTTGGGTTTACAGGCGTGAGACACCGCGCTCGGCCAGTTAGGGTTAACATTAGCTCTTAGCATAGTAGCAGCTACCCATTCCCCACCGTTCAGCCCTGTGGCAGGCAACTGTGCCTGTGTATACAACTTATAGGAGCCACGGTGAGCAAAACAGAACCTGACCTCCAAATATTAGTAATCTGTGCTCTGATCACTGATTGCTGCTTCTCAACACAGGGATGCAGACAAAGAAGGCGGGGGCATTGTTTTGCACTTCTCCCTGTTATTGCAAGCCCCTCCTGCTGTGACTGAAGTGACTTCCAGGGAATTTAAAGAGATGATACGTTTTTATCCTCTTTCTTTCTTTTCTTTTCTTTTTTTTTTTTGTCCCTTTTAGGAGCCAGACATTGAAGAGTAGGACACTCGAAAGCAACTGCATATAAAAGGAGAAATTAGAAAGTCACCACAGATACCCAGGGTAAGGTGCAGGCTCAGAAAAGACCTGAGAAGACCTTAAGTTTACACCTTAGGCTGATTCTTGGCAAAGAAACATCCTACAGTAATAAATACAAAAACAAAACCCAGCAGACTCTGGGAAGAAGAATCTGATTTCCAGAGTTACCACATTAATAGATTCAAGCCTTCAGTTTCCAACAAATCGATACAAAGAAACAGGAAAGTATGGCACATAAAAGGAAAAAATAAGCAAATTAATAGAAACTATCCCTGGAAAAGACCTGATAATGGATCTACTAGACAAAGACTTTAAAAACAACTGTCTTAAAGGTGCTGAAAGAACTAAAGGAAGATGTGGAGAAGGTGATGAAAATGATGTATGAACATAGTAGAAATATCAGTACATTGATAGAAAACCTAAAAAGAAACCAAAAAGAAATTCTGGAGCTAAAAAGTACAGTGACTAAAATGAGAAATTTACTAGAGAGATTCAAAGGCAGATCTGAGGAGGCAGAAGGAAGAATGAGTGACTTCGAAGATAGGATAGTGGAAATTATCAACTATGAGAAACAGAAAAAAGATTGAAGAAAAGTAGAACAGAGCCTAAGGAACATGTGGGACACCATTAGGCAGACCAACATATGCCTTGTAGAAAGAGTGAAGGGCAGAGAGGATATTAATAATGGCTGAAACAGTCCCAAATTTGATGAAAGACATGAATATAAACATGTAGCAAACTCAACAAACTTCAAGTAGGATGAACTCAGAGATTCACATTGAAACACAGTATGATCAAACTGTTGAAAGTCAAAGAAAAACAGAGAATTTTGAAAGCAACAAGAGAGAAGTGACTCATTACAAATGAGTGATCCTCAAAAAAGATTATCAGCGGATTTCTCTTCAGAAACTTTGGAGGCTAGAAGGCCGTGGGCTGACATATTCAAAATGCTGAACAAAAAAAATAAAAATAAAAAACCAAAACTGTTAATCAAGAATCCTATATTTCTGAGTCAAGCAGATGGCTTGAGCCCAGGAGTCTGAGACCAGCCTGGCAACGTGGCAAAACCCTGTCTCTACAAAAAATACAAAAAACTAGCTGGGAATGGTGGCACATGCCTATAGTCTCAGCTACTTGGGAAGCTGAGGCAGGAGGATCTCTTGAGCCTAGGAGGTTAAGGGTGCAGTGAGCTGTGAGCATGCCACTGCACATTAGCCTGGACAACAGAGCGAGACCCTGTCTCAAAAAAAAAAAAAAAAGACAATACTAGTTGGAGACTTCAGTACCCGACTCACAATAATGGATAGGAAAATCTGACAGAAGATTACATTAGGAATTAGAGGACTTAAAAAAAACAATAAAGCAACTAGAACTCATAGTCATGTATAGAACACACTACCCAATAATAACAGAATACACATTCTTCTCAAGCCCATATGGGACATTTTCCAGGATAGACCATTTGTTAGGCCACAAATTAAGTCTCAATAGAATTTTAAAAGATAGATATCATACAAAATATCTTCTGTAGCCTTCTATATTTTCTTTGGCTTTTATTCAGCAAAATTGGTAAATTTATATTAAATTCAGAAGCTTACTGAACACATTTACTATAAGGCAAAATTACATTATTTAAGATAGATGCTGTATAATGAGACGCTTAACTTCTCAATCAATAATTTAATCATTTGGGTGAAGGGATATGCATACTGCTCATCCATAAGAATTGAAAGCATTTGGAATACTTTTTTCCTTTAGAAGTTACACTAATATCTTTTAAGCTTTTGGACCAAAAATATTAACATAGGAGCAATCAGAAATAATAGGCAGGTGCCCTATCTGGCATAAATATTTGGGGACTTGGGTCCTGTACATCCTGGCTCCTTTTGCTCCAATTGCTTATTTCTCTTGGAGTCACTTCTGTCGTCTCTCTGGTCCCAGTACCTCTAAATGGAGCTGTCTTACTCTCACAAAGCTTGCATTAATAGAATCTAGCTTTTGACGTAGGTTTCTGAGTATTTCACTCATTGCCTCTGGATGTTCCTCTCCCTGTCATCTGAGTTGAGCTGCCTTTCAGCTCCTCTGTCCTCCTTAGCTTGATAATCTATTTTTGATGTGCTTCTCTGGCTCATGCTCTTTATTCTCCTTCAGGTAGTAACTGTGTGTACAGGTGCACCTGCATCTGGATGCCAGAACCAAGGAACTGTTCATTCAGACCTGTTTCCCACCAGACCTTCCCACCAGAAGAGGAGAATCTTGTATTAAGTTCATTCATCAGTCTGAATTCAGTTTTCTATCTGGTTTTCAGAGGAAGATTTGTACAGTGACCTCCAACTTCCACATGCCTTTCTTCTCTAGACAGAGTTCTTGGCTAACTGATTATGGCTTCTGCACTCAGCTTTTAGTTCTGGCCTTCCAGTTGACTGTTCTCCTCCCCTCCTTACCCTCGGAACCTAATTAACTAGTCCTGATATACCCATAATTGCTATTCTCCCTGCTTCTGTTTCCTAACTGCAAAAGGCACAATACATAAAAAGGAATGAAGTTCTGACACATGCCCCAACATGTATGAACATTGAAGACATTATACTAAGTGAAATAAGTCAGACACAGAAGGACAAATATATGATTCTGCTTGTATGAGATACCTAGAATAGGCAAATTCATAAAGACAGAAAGTAGATTAGAAGTTAGTAGGTGCAGCCAGGCGCGATGGCTCATGCCTGTAATCTCAGCACTTTGGGAGGCTGAGGTGGGCAGATCACCTGAGGTCAGGAGTTCCACACTAGCCTGGCCAGCATGGTGAAACCCTGTCTCTATCTCTACTAGACCAAAACCAAAAACAAAACAAAACAAAACAAAAAAACAAAAATTAGCTGGGCATGGTGGCATATACCTGTAATCCCAGCTACACGGGAGGCTGAGGCATGAGAATCACTTCAACCCAGGAGGGGAGATTGCTGTGAGCTGATATTGCACTACTGGGCTCCAGCCCAGGTAACATAGCAAGACTGTCTCAGAAAAAGTTACCAGGGGCCCGGCAGGGCCCGGTGGCTCACGCCTGTAATCCTAGCACTTTGGAAGGCTGAGGAGGGCAGATCACTTGAGCTCAGGAGTTCGAGACCAGCCTGGGCAACGTAGTGACAGCCCTGTGTCTACAAAAAAAAAAAAAAAAAAAAAAAAAAAGCCAGGCATGACGGCCCATGCCTGTAGTCCCAGCTACTCAGGAGGCTGAGGTGGGAGGATTGCTGTAACCTGGGAAGTTGAGGTTGCAGTGAGCTGAGATTGCACCTCTGCACTCCAGACTGGGTGACAGAGTGAGACTCTGTCTCAATAAAAAAAGTTTACCAGGGGCTGCAGGGACAGAGGAATGAGGAGCTAGTGCTTAATGGTTGCAGAATTTCTGTTTGGGATAATGAAATAGTTTTGGAAATAGTGGTAATGGTTGCACAACATGGTGAATGTAATTAATGCCACTAAATTGTACACTTAAAAATGATTGAAATGGTAAGTTTTGTGTCATGTATATAATTAGCATAATAAAACAACGCAAAAATATACAATAATAATTCCTTTACCTTTTTTAGTTTTTTGTGGGGCTTTTCTCTTTTCTCCTGCCTCTTAAACATTAGGGTCAAGCAATGTTTGCTCCTTGGTTATCTTCTTTCCTTGTCCTGCTTCTTGCTCTGGGGATTCTCATCCAGTTTGCTAATGATGACGAAACCTGTATTTTTGGCCTAAACTTTCTCCTGAGGGGCAGATCCAGGTTATTAAGTGGTTACTTGACATCTCTACCTGGATGCTCCACTGGCTTTTCAGTCTCAACATCCCCCAACAGAACACATCCTCTTTCTCCCAAAGCAGTCTTTTCTTCTGTAAATCTTTAGCTTTCTGTTCTCTGCCAGTCATAGTTTCTCAGATCAAGCGCTCAGGTGTGTTTCTCCCTCCTTTTCCCACATCCAGTCTCTCACTAAGTCCTACCTTTCCCACTGCATGTTGGCAAGCCCCCTTTGTATACCCAACAGCAATGCCAAGTGGCTGGCCTGGTCCTAAATTTGCGTCTGTGCCTCTGAAAGTCTCCCCTGTCTGCCTGGACTGTTGGAGAATAACTCCTTGCTCTTGGCCTCTTTTCTCTTTACCTTCAAAGTCTTTGCTCCCTTGACTTCAAGATCTGGCTGGAAGGTCACCTTCTCTGTAAGGGTGTTTGTTACCTTCCTTCTGCAATTCTCTTCTCTCTAGCAGAGGAATCTTTCTGTCTTTCTTGCCTAAGCTGTCTTAATCCATTCAGGCTGCTATAACAAAGTACCACAGACTGGATGGCTTATAAACAACAGGTATTTCTTTCTCACAGTTTCTGGAGGCTGAGAGTCTGTGATCAGGGTGCCAGCATGGTCACGTTCTGGTGAGGGACTTCTTTTGGGTTGCAGACTGCTAACTTCTCATGATATTCTCACATGGTGGAAAGAGGGAAAAAGGACTCTCTGAGGCCTCTTTAATAAGGACACTAATCCTATTCATGAGGGCTCCACCTTCATGACCTAATCACCTCCCCAAATTCCCACCTCCTAATATCATCACCTTGGGAGTTAGATTTCAACATACGAATTTTAGGCTGATGCAAACCTTCAGTTCATTGCATGAGGTGTTCCTGTAAATCATTGTAAATGGAATAGTTGTATGAATCAGTTTAGTATGGCACTGAACATGTTACAAATTATTCTTACTGCTTGTTATCTTATTTGTTGGTCTTCATCACCAGACCCTCATCTTCTCAGGAGGGGAAAGCTATGTCCAGCTCCTGAAAAACACCCTGGTCCATGGTAGGGGCTCCTTAAAGAACTGAAATGTTTACCTATATAATCTTTCAGAGAAATAGACATGTTTTCAACACTTGAGGTTCGTATACTTTTCAGACACTTCAATTTATCTTATGTTTCGTTCCCCTTTGCTGCCAGATATTGCTAAATGGCTGTCACCTAACTACGCAGTGAACTGTAGTTGTACTTCCCTCAAGTTTTTTTGTGGTGGATACGCATGCTTTTCTGATAGTTCCAATGTCATATTTTAGTGGTTGTAAACTTATTGTGGCACATCTAAAGATGGATATTGCAACACAATCTGGATATAAGCTAAGGACTGAAAGAAAATCCTAGGGGGATCTCTGAAATTAGTGCTTCAGAGTGTTTAAAGCTGCAGCACTTTCTCATCATCTGGCTTAATGATGACCTTAGCACTTTCTCAAAGTTAAAAATCACATGTATTTTTAAAATAAAAATGACCCACAATTTTATTTTTTGAAGTATTCTATCTGTAGTATAATTAGAGATGACAGGATTCCAAAGCCTTTGGAATTTATGTTTCTGAATAGATGCTATCAAAGAGAGAAAGACTCCTAATTGCTTTCATCTTTTATTTTTTATTTTTTGAGACTTAATCTCACTCTGTCGCCCAGGCTGGAGTGCAGTGGTGTGATCTCAGCTCACTGCAACGTCCACCTCCTAGGTTCTAGTGATTCTCTTGCCTCAGCCTCCTGAGTAGCTGGGATTACAGGCACACACCACCACACCTGGCCAATTTTTGTATTTTTAGTGTGTTTAGTGTATTTAGAGATGGGGGGTTTCACCATGTTGGCCAGGTTGGTCTTGAACTCCTGACCTCAGGTGATCTACCTGCCTTGGCCTCCCAAAGTGCTGGGATTACAGGCGTGAGCCACCGCGCCCGGGCTGCTTTTAGCTTCTTAATACTAGTTTATTTTTATCTGTTGCAAATAGCATAGCTGTTGTATCAGCAAATGTTCTCTAGAGAAACAGAACTAATAGTATATAATATTAGTATTATAGTATTATAGTATTAGTATTATAGTATTATAGTATACTATACTATAATATATATTATATAATTATATATATAATATAATATAATTATATATAATATATTATAGTATTGTATAGTATTAGTAATCTAGTATTAGTATTACAGTATTATAGTATTATATATAATAAAATATATATATATATAGTATTATGTTTATACTAAAACACACACACACACGTTTTGTGTGAGCAGGGCAAATTTATTTAGAAGTTCTGAGACTGGAGAGTCAACAGGAGTGAATCCATAGAGATTAGTAATAAGAGCAAAAGGAATCAGGTTATATAGGATCAAGGTTCCCAAATATTTATGCCAGAAAGGGCATCTGCCTATTATTCCTGATTGCCCTTATGTTAATATCTTTTTAAGGAACTGGCTCATGCAATTGTGGGGCTGGCAAGTCTGAAATATGTAGGGCAAGCCTGCAGCCTGGGAAATCTGGCAGGATTTCTGTGTTACAGTCTTGAGGCAGAATTCCTTCCTTTCCAGGAGTCCTCAGTTCTGCAATTATGTCTTTCAGCTGACTGAACAAGGAAAACCCACATTATTGAGTTTTACTTAAACTCAACTGATTGTAGATGTTAATCACATCTACAAAATATCTTCACAGCAATATCTGGGCTAGTGTTTCACCAGACAGCTGGGCATCATAGCCTAGCCAAATTAGTACATAAAATTTAGCCATCACAGACACCCTAGCAGATATATTCATTAGCATAGGATAACAAAAAGCAATAGAATAATTCATCCATTTTATCTATAAATTTCCCCACAAAAGATTTGGATGGTAAACCAGAAAGAAGTCTAACAAGGTAAATCTTAGTGGAATTCCTGACTATGTTGTTGCAAGTACATTTTGAGTAGCTACAATGGGAGTTTTTAAATGTTTTTACTTAGGAAGAGATCAGAAATATGTATAAAACTGCTGCTGTTATTTTTGCCTTACTCTGCAACTTGCCTTTCAAGTTAGAGCACTTGATTGAGGAAGATAATTAATTTTGAACTTAGATAGGCAGAGTTCAGGCTATTGAGCTATAGACTGAGTGTTCTAGGATTTGCTAATTCCCACAGTTGAATAGATTGTGTACCTCCATTAGAAGACAACCCCTACCTTATTTGTAAAATAGAAATAGAGGATAAAATAATGTATTAAAGTGTCTAGTATGCAGTAGACAGTAAATGTTTTCTTCACTCCTCCTACAATAGTTCTCAGAACTGCAACCAGGAAGAACCCTTGAGCAATAGCTCCTTAGGGCTCATGAACCGGATAAGAAGATGAACCTTCTTTCTTTGTGGGCTTTCCATGAACCTTCAGCAACTTGTTCTCTTTCTTCTGACTGTGCAAGTCAGCAGAAACAGAAAAAGTATCACCTTCCCTCCATTTTCTCACACACATGTGTGCATGCATTCATTCACCTATCCATTCAACAAAACTTCACTGAATGCCTTCATGTTCCAGGCATGGTGGCAGTTACTGGGGATACAACACGACTGTCACTGTCATCTTTGTTCTCATGGGCTCACTGAAGACGATAGAAGTGACTAGGATGCTCACACATAAAACCAGATAGGATGAAAAGAAGTAGATTTAGGGTTCTCCTGACAGTTTCATATTTAATTGTGGAAATAATATAATGTTATCTGCAAGCATCCAGTAAATAATATTTTATAGTTCAAGAAAAATACAAGATATTAAAATGGGAAAAGAGAGCAATAAAGGATGAAAATTGTCTTAATGACAAAATTTTGTCAGTTGTTGCTGGCATTTGTATTATTCACCATTTGTTCCATTTGTTACTATAGATGGCCCACTTTAAATGCCTTACATATCATTTAGAATAATCAAGTTAAAATGTAAAAGAACAGCTTTTACTTTAAAGTTTCTGCTGCTTTTGTACAAAATTAGGAATGGTGATAGTTAACCTTTAGCTTTGATTATATTTTGATCTGTCTGGAATTTATTTTTGTGTAAGGTTTGAGCTTTATTTTTTTCCAGATGGCTACCAGTTATTCCAGTAAAATACAATGCCTGTTAAACTGCTTTCAGCTATAAGTGGCAATAATCAACAAAAAACAGCTCAAACAATCAGTACATTTATTAACTCACATAACAAGAAATCTGGGATAAGGCCATTCCAGAGTTGCATAATTCAGGAGTTCAATGATGATTTTAAGGACCTTGGTTTTTTCTAGTTTCTTAGTTTGTTGACTTTATTCCTTTGAATAATTAGAAACTTAGGATGATGTCTCTTTTACATTGTATTCAAAATAAGCTTGGTGCTATAATAATTTCATTTGATTAAGTAATGACACTTTTGCACCACTAAACTTAGATGATTACATTTGTAGAACAATCTCACACTGCAAATCAGTAGAAGTAGGAATTACATCTTTCAAAACTTTCAGCTATTGTGTCCAATACAAAAATATGACTTTATAATTCTAATGGTGGCTATGTGGTTGCAATCTGAAGTAGGATTTGGAAAAATTGGGTTTAACTTTGACGGAATTAGTCAAGAATTCACCAAATCCTGCAGCACATCTGCACCTGCACCTGAGCCCAAGCAGCTAACCTTCCCACAAGTCACAGTGGAAGAAGCATCCCTGCTGTATCCAAGGCCAAAGGCGAAATCTTCCTTACATTGCTTTGTACATCATCCTCTGTTGCCCTCTTCAGGACTTCCTCACTCCGTGGAAACATTTCTGAAAGCCATGTTTAACTTGTTGCTGCTTTGTCCTCACCTCCCGTTCTTACCTCACTACATGTCAGTCAGGCTTTCCTTCCCCCGTTCTCCCATTTCCATATTAATAACAGTCCTTATCAAGGTTGTCCAGGAGACATCCAGGAAGCCAGACTCTTCTGTGCTCTTTCTCAGCCTTTTTTTTTTTTTTTCCTGGCTCCTCTTCCTCCAGAAAATATCTCCTAGTGCTCCAGACTGTCTCAGTCCTCCTTTCTTCCCTAACCACAGGGTTTCCCTAGAGCCATGGCTTTGAATATCATCTCTTTGTTGGTGATGTCCAAATCCATGTCGCCTCTCCTGACCTCTGTTTTGAAGTCCAGACTTATCTATCCAACTACGTTTTAGCATTTCCACTTGAATGTTTAATAAAAATTTCAGGCTTATTAAACCTGACAAAGTTGATTAAAAAAAATTTCAGACTTGACATGTCCAAAGCAGAGCTAATCATTTCCCCATTCTCCCAATTCATTTTCCAGAGTCTTCTCCATCACTGTAAATGGCATCTTCATTTGCCCAAATGCATCTAGCAGTAAGTCCTATAGGTACTTACAAATGTCTTGAGTCCAGCTACTGCTCGCCCTCTCTACTGTCAATCCTAGTCCAAGTGACAATCATTCAGCCTGGATTACTGGGGCAGTCTTCTAATTAGTCTCATGGCGTCATCTCTTCCCTTATCCAAGTCCATTCTCCACACAGTAGCCTGAGTGATTTTTCTAAAGTGAAAATTAGGTAATATGACTCCTTTCCTCAAAACCTTTTGAACAGTGTCTCATCACACCCTGTAAAAACCCACAACTAATTTTCCGGATACACAGTGTTCTACAGGGTTTGGTGTTGGCCCAGCTAACCTTGTCTCTGTTCATTTTCTTCTCCTCCTCATTCTGGTTGAAACACTATGGCTGTTTTATTTTCATGAAACACATCAAGCTTGTTTCCATCTCAGACCCTTCGTACTTGCATTTCCAATACCCTTCCTCCATACCTTTGCATGGCTGTCTCCTTGTCATTCAGGCCTCAGCAACCCTATGAGAGTCTTTACAGCATCCAGTTCTGAGTAATCTAAGTCAATTGTGTTTCTCTCCACCCTCCATCATTCTCCATCCCAATATTCTGTATTAGTATTTTTGTAGCATCATTTTATCAGGGCCTGCAATTATCTTATTCATTTACATGTTCATCACTTTTGCCACTGGAATATAAACTCCTTGAAGGCAGAGACTTTAACTGCCTTGTGCTCTGCTGTGTCCTCATTATCTGAAATAGTATACACTATTTGATAAATGTTTGTTAATTGATTTACTATTCCTTTCTCTGTTTTGGGCAGTCACTTTACCTTTTCTGGTCTCAGTTCCTTTACTATTAGGATGAGGAAGCTTGAAAAAGGGACACCTGAAAATTCCTTCTGGTTTAGTACACAATGGCCATGTTTTATTACCTACAGCAATAACAGAAAAACTCATGTTGCACCAGATTTGCGTCTGTTATAGAACACTCATTCGTTCAATAAACCTTTATTGAGCACTGACCATAAGCCTGGTGCTATTCCAGTCAGTGGATACCAAGCCATGGCAATAAAGATCATAGTGCATCTGTCTCAAAAAACCAAAACTAAACAAACACACAAACAAAAACTCCCCGACAAACAACAAAACCAAACAAAAAATCCCATTGAAAACCCAGAAAGTTGACACTGTCCTTGTTCTCCAGCTCGTTTTCTACTGATACTTTCATGATAGCTGTCTCAATATTGTTTAATTTATCTACACTGTGCTCTCTCTAAATTAAAGTTATTATAAATTAACGGTAATTTCCAAGAATTCTAAGATTAAATCATATAATTTACATGGCTGTAACTTCAATAACAGTATGTAAAACATGGCCGTTAAGGTTGCAAAATTTCTGCCAATCTGATTTAGTTCTAACCCAAAGTCTGCCATGTTTCCTAATTTAATTGCAGCATGACTTGAACTAGAAGTTAGAATTTTATGAATCTAGTTTTTTAAAAAATGAATAAAATGGGAGTAAGGTCGGACTATATTTACATATATTCAGATCATGAGGCGTGGAATCACTGCTAATTCTCTTGCCAAGATTTCAGCCAGCTGCTTTTAAATATAAATTGGAATTAGTGTATATGTGTAGTCAATAATTAATGAAATGTCTAGAATGAAAATAAATCAGTTTCAAAACTGACTATAGAGAATAACAAATGAATGAGAAAAGTAAATTGTTATATATTGTGGCAACTGCCATTTGTTGGCATGTGCTGCAAATCACTCATAGAAAATGATCTGCTTATATTTGCTTTTATCATTTATATAAAAGGATATAGTATAACTACAGAATATTTTAATCTTGCACACAAGCACTATATTTAAAGCCTTCTATTTGTCAAAATACTTTTTGTTGGGAAGACAGAAATCCAATTCACACTTGCTTAACAAACACAATGAGAGGATTTGTTTCATGTAACTGGGCAAACCAGGGCTCAACTAATGAGATATCATCAAAAAATTATTTTCTTTCAATCAAGGTCTGTCCTTCTGGTAGACAAATGTCCACTTGGTGGCTCAAGATTCCTATTCTACCAACTTATTGACCCCAGGGGAAAGCAACAGTTTTCTTCAATAACTACAGTAGAAAAATCCTGGGCAAGATCCTGATTAACCTAGTTTGGAAATAGACTACCATGATGTGTTTTGATGTTTAGATTACTCTTTCCTTCTTCTCCTTCAATACTGTTACTCTGGCAATGAGCTGATTTTAGCTAAATTTTACAAGGCATGCAATCTGATTATATGAATTCACCTTAAGATATTTAATATGATAGCTTTATAATTTGTAACCCAAATGAATTGATAATTGGTACAATGTCAAAATAGGAAAAAGATTTTAAGGCAGTATGGATGCAGATAATTTTAATTAGGTACAATAAGTCATGCCAATGTAGAAGAGCATATATTCCTTCCATAAACAAGGCATATAAATCGAGACATCTCTGCCTCACTCCCTACACCATTTGTGAGTGAAAATATTTAGAGGTATATGGGAAGGAATGCTGTGGGAGTGGTCTGTCCTTGGTTCAGGCAAAAAGGGGTACACTCTGTAGAGCACTGAAAAGCAATAATAAAACTAACTCAGCTTGCATTTTTTTAAATCACCATGTGCAGGAATTCTAAACAACATTAGTGACATAATACCCCACCCCACTTTGACGAATCAGTCCCACTGTTCCTACACGCCCTTGTGGTTCCACCACCAATACTTCTTCCCGGCTGGGTGCGGTGGCTCATGCCTGTAATCCCAGCATCTTGGGAGGCCAAAGCAGGTGAATCACTTAAGGTCAGGATTTCAAGACCAGCCTGGCCAACATAGTGAAACCCCATCTCTACTAAAAATACAAAAATTAGCTGAGTATAGTGGTGTGCACTCGTAGTCCCAGGTACTCGGGAGGCTGAGGCAGGAGAACTGCTTGAACCCAGGAGGAGGTTGCAATGAGCCGAGATCGTGCCACAGCACTCCAGCCTGGGTGACAGAGCGAGACCCTGTCTCAAAAAATAAATAAATAAAAACTTCTTCCCATCTCCCCATTCAAGCACAATAGAATAGAAATCAGAGCCCTGGCCTATTCTCGGCAACTACTGACACCTGCCTAAGAGAATTACTGTGCTGGCATTTTGCACCGTAAAGAGAAGAGGGAACGATGACTCTTAAGTCAAAAGAATGAAAAAAACCCTGTGCTTTACAAAATATAATTAATGTCAAAAATGTGTGTTATGAGCACATTTTGTGGGTACAAAGCTTACACATGTGTACAAGTTTGCATGTTAAAATACTAGAATTAGCCCCCTTAAATAAATTTAGCCGGAAAAGTTCTGTTCTCAAAGAGTGATTCACTTGTTAGCTGAGGAGAAAGAAGCTTGGATATTAATATTTGTAAGAAATCGCTGAATAATTCCAAACGACTGTTAAGCTAATCTAGATGTAGCAAAATGAATTTGATTTGGACCGGAGTCAGTGTTCTTTCCCACCCTGCCCAGTAGCTGTGGCCCCACGGGGAGCATCATCGGTGGCCCAGCAGGTGGCACTCTTCCCTTTGTGCACTAACACTAAACTAACTTCCCCAAATACAAGGTCCTTCAGAGCCTTGACTTCAGAAGAACCCATGTAATCTGTTTATCTTTGGCGGTAATATGGCTACAGTTTTCACAAGGGCAACTGTGCTGGTCTGGTATTTGTCAGATTTGAAAGACTGGTGCCTACACATCTAAACGTCTCCTTGGTTCTAGAGTTGTCATCCTTAGTTCCAAGCCTTTACTGGTTTCTGTTAAAATACTTGAACTTGTATTCTGTGTCTATGGTCTTATGCAAATACTAGAGGTTTATATATAATTGTGATGACTTACATTTGAAAAGCACATTGAGCAAGTGTTTCTCAACTTAAAAAATATCTGTCTTTTTCCAATAAAAATGCCGCACAGTCCTGGAATTCCTGCAACTTCAAGAGTCATTGATAAGCAGAAATTGGATTCCATCTTCAACATGTTACCTCTAGAAAAGATTTTATTCAGCTTGGCTTTCTATAGTTTGTATTATGAAGACAGTTATGTTTTGTTGTTCACATATACAATTAAAACATAGTAATACACATTTTCCCTTTCAAAATTGGTATTAATACCTGCCCCTGGGGAGTTTGATGTACTGGCCACAAAAGTATTATAACAAGCATATGAATAAAAAAGACTAGCACTGATAAAACAGTTAAAGTATCTTTTTATTTATCACTAGTTATATATTAGCTTCATTTAGAGAATGATAAATATGTAGGTATAGTCATATGTATTAAGTATATTACACATATGATCTTATCTAATTTTTGCAGATACCTATTTTGAAGATAAGGAATATGAAGCTTAGAAAATTTAAGTTATTTCCCAAGATCATGAGGCAAGCCAGTATCAGAATGAGGATTAAAGCCTAGTCTTTTCCACTGTAAATTTTGAGCCCCTAAGACAGATTGTATTAGATTATTATAACCATCTTTTGAGGCAGCTAGTAAGTAAACAAATTTATATATTTTTTAAAAATTTGTAAAATGACTTCCAAGTTAATCCATTTTGTATAAAAACCCTAGGTACAACAACCTATAAGAGATATTATTGATTAGGCTAGGCATTCTTTAGACATTACGTAAGGCTAAGAGGGAATGAGGAAAGATGAGAAGGTGGCAGAGACAAATCTGATTTTTAAATTTGCCTGCAGTTAGGTCAATATTCAGAAAAGAAAATCCAATATAGAGCACAGGGAAATATGTTTCCGAAAGAAAAATGTGTTTAATTTGCAATGTGTTTTACAGTAAAAGGGTTAATGTCTCTAATATAGATATAAAATGTTTCCATAACAATAAGGATAAGAAATCAATAGAAAAATGGAGAAGTACAAGAATAGGCAATTCACAAAGAAGGAACACATATGGCCAGAAAGCCCATGGAAAAAATATTCTTCCTCATTAAAAATTTCAAAATTGAGCAACAGAATATGACACCTATTTAGACACCCAAATTGACAAGTATTAATAATAATAATAATAATAATAGGCTAATTTTAAAAGATATTAAAATGTCCAGTGTAATATAGGGGTATGCAAATGAGAATTACACATTGTTAGTAGGTAGATGAATTAAGCTACATTTATACAGTGAAATACCATTGACCTAGAAATAAATATTTAGTTAAGTGGAAACATTCCATATGAAAAATTATGACACAGATTAAAGAATGTATAGAGCGCAACATCTCATTTTGGTGAATAAGTAATTCTAGTAAGTTTATATATACTTATAAATTATAATTATGCATGTATTCATAATTATATGTGAATCTGTAGGAATTTACACCAAACTGGTAATTGGGGCTATCTAAAGATATCGATGTTGGGATTTGGACATTTTTCTCCATTTTTCTTATTATTTATCTATATTTTCTAATTTTTTATAGTAAAACTTGGATTACTTACGTAAATAAACAAAATCAAGATTTAAGATAAAAGCATTATTATGGTTAAGAGGATGAACTCAAGTCAGACAAGCCCAGGTCACAGGTGATCTTAGATAAATTCCTAAAACTTCTTAACCTTGGTTTCCTCATCTGTGAAGTGATGATAATAATAGTGCTTGCCTTAGTGGGTTTTTGTGAAGATTAAATTAGTAATGATGTAAACTACCGTGTGCACTTATCAATTAATCAATTACAGAATTTCTACTGCTATATCACAAGGCTGTATAAGGTACTTGGAGAATTACAAAGAAGTTTGAAATAGTCTCTGCTCTGCAGGCAGTTAAGTAGATAGATTCCACTAACTCATATGAGACCATGGCAAACAAGGGCTTCATAGTTCTATGATGTGCAAGGGAATCCAAAACACACACACACACACACACACACACACACACACATTTTAAAGATGCTAAATGACTACTGAACTAATTCGAGCCTTTGGCAAAAAGGGTGAATTTATGGTATACGAATTATATCTCAGTGAAGATGTTTAAAAAGTAATCATTTTAGTGTGTGATAATTACCTTAAAGAAATGGTCTTAAGAGTATTTTAATACAAAATACAGATACAGTACAGAAACTAACATTGCAAAGAAAATTTTCTGAAGTAGCTGATTTGAATAATGTGAAATTGAATCTGGTTCATAAAGTTATTGAATTGCTTGGAGACTCATTTTTAGTGTGTGATTAATAAAATGATGCCCACATAGGATTTGCAAATATTAAATACTATGACTAAAATAATGAATTCCTTAATTTTTCCTGTAAACCACTGGGGGAAAAAGAACTTTGTTTGGAGGAAGAAAGGAAGCCGTAGCTCTTTCTTCATGTAACATCAATAAGTTTCAAGGTCCAATTAAAATTTCACCTTCTCTAGAAAATTGCTTTCCTTCCTCACTTTTGCCCTTTTTGATAATAATAATCCTAGCTTCCCTTTACTGAACACTCACTATGCTCTTGGGAATATGTCAAGTCATTCATAGACCTGATCAAACTTAATTTTGACAACAGTTCATGAGGTAAATGTAATTAGCTCCACTTAACAGATGAGACTGAGACAAGTAAGTTAAGCAACTTGACCAGGTCACATGGTTATTAATTAATTCAAAGCTGGAATTGCCAGGTTACAAACCTGCTAACCTGTAATCCTATGCTATATGAATCCATCTTTAAAAATATTTTATTCTATTTTTTTGACTTTTATTTTAATTTCAGGGGTACACGTGCAGGTTTATTCTGTAGAGAAATTACCTGTTGTGGGGGTTTGGTGTATATATTATTTTGTCACCTAGGTAATAAGTATAGTACCCAATTGGTAGTTTTTTTGTTTTGTTTTGTGTTTTTGAGACAGGGTCTTGCTCTGTTGCCCAGGCTGGAATGCAGGGGCACAATCTCAGCTCATTGCAACCTCTGCCTCCTGGTATCAAGTGATTCTCCCACCTCAGCCTCCAGAGTAGCTGGAACAATAGACACATGCCACCTCGTCTGGCTAATTTTTTTGGTATTTTTTGTAGAGATGGGGTTTTGTTTTGTTGCCCAGGTTGGTCTTGAACTCCCAGACTTAAGTGATCCTCCTGCCTTGGCCTCCCAAAGTGCTAGGATTACAGGCATGAGCCACTGTGCTTGGCTGATAGGTAGTTTTTTTATCCTAGCCCTTTTTCCACCCTCCACCCTCAAATAGGCCCTGATGTCTATTGTTCCCTTCTTTAAGTCCATGTGTACTCAAAGTTTAGCTGCCATTTATAAGTGAGAACATGTGGCATTTGGTTTTCTGTTCCTGTGTTAATTCACTTAGGATAATTGCCTCCAGCTCCATCCACTTTGTTGCAAAGGACATGATCTCATTCTTTTTTATGGCTGTGTAGTCTTCCATGGAGTATATGTACCGCATTTTCTTTATCTAGTCTACTGTTGATGGGCATTTGGGTTGATTCCATGTCTTTGGTATTGTGAATAGCACTGCAATGAACATATGTATGTATATGTCTTTATGGTATAGTGATTTATATTCCTTTGGGTAATATCCAATAATGGGATTGTTGGGTTGAATGGTAGTTCTAAGTTCTTTGAGAAATTGCCAAACTGTTTTCCGCAGTGGCTAAACTAATTTACATTCCCACCAGCAGTGGTAGCTTTTTTTTTTTTTTTTTTTTTTTTTTGAGACGGAGTCTCGCTCTGTCGCCCAGGCTGGAGTGCAGTGGCGCGATCTCGGCTCACTGCAAGCTCCGCCTCCCGGGTTCACGCCATTCTCCTGCCTCAGCCTCCCGAGTAGCTGGGACTACAGGCGCCCGCCAGAACGCCCGGCTAATTTTTTGTATTTTTAGTAGAGACGGGGTTTCACCGTGTTAGCCAGGATGGTCTCCATCTCCTGATCTCGTGATCTGCCCGCCTCGGTCTCCCAAAGTGCTGGGATTACAGGCGTGAGCCACTGCACCCCACCGGAACTTTTTAATAATAGCTCTCTAACTGGTATGAGATGGTATCTCATTGTGGTTTTGATTTGTATTTCTCTAATGATTAGTGATGTTGAGCATTTTTTCATATGCTTGTTGGCTGTGTATATGTCTTCTTTGGAAAAGTGTCTGCTTATGTCCTTTGCCCACTTTTTAATGGAGTTGTTTGTTTATTACTTGCTACTTTAAATTTCTTACAGATTCTGGATATTAGATCTCTGTTAGATGCATAGTTCACAAATATATTCTCCCATTCTCTGAGTTGTCTATTTACTCTGTTGATAGTTTCTTTTGCTGTGCAGAAGCTCTTTAGTCAAATCAGGTCCCATTTGTCAATTTTTGTTCTTGTTGCAACTGCTTTTCATGTCTTCATCATGAAATCTTTGCCAGTGCCTATGTCTAGAATGGTATTCCTAGATTTCTTCAAGAGTTTTTGTAGTTTTGGGTTTTACACTTAAGTCTTTAATCCATCTTGAGTTGATTTTTGTGTATGGTATAATATAAAGAATGGGTCCAGCCGGGCATGGTGGCTCACGCCTGTAATCCCAGCACTTTGAGAGGCCGAGGCGGGCGAATCATGAGGTCAAGAGATCGAGACCATCCTGGCCAAAATGGTGAAACCCCATCTCTATTAAAAATACAAAATTAGCTGGGTGTGGTGGCACACGCCTGTAGTCCCATCTACTCAGGAGGCTGAGGCAGGAGAATCCCTTGAACTCAAGAGGCAGAGGTTGCAGTGAGCCGAGGTAGCGGCACTGCACTCCAGCCTGGTGACAGAGCAAGACTCCGTCTAAAAAAAAAGAAAAAAGAAGGGGTCGAGTTTCAATCACCTGCATATGGCTAGCCAGTTATTCCAGCACCATTTATTGAATAGGGAGAGTCCTTTCCCCATTGCTTTTGTCAGCTTTGTTGAAGATCAGATGGTTGTAGGTGTGCACCTTTATTTCTGGTTTATTTCTCTATTCTGTTCCATTGGTCTATGTATCTGTTTTTGTCCAATATTTTTGGTATACTGTTTTTGTACCAGCATTATGCTGTTTTGGTGACTGTACCCTTCTAGTATAGTTTGAAGTCAGATCATGCCATGCCAACAGCTTTGTTCTTTTTGCTTAGGATTGCACTAGCTATTCAGGCTCTTTTTTAGTTTCATCTGAATTTTAGAATAGTTTTTTTCTAATTCTGTGAGGCATGTCTTTGGTAGTTTGATAGGAAGAGCTTTGAATCTGTACATTGCTCTGGGCAGTATGACCATTTTAACAATATTGATTCTTCTTATCTATGAGCATTGAATGTTTTTCCATTTGTTTGTGTGAATCCATCTTTGTACTCTGTTTCATCCGTGAATATTTACAAATGAGTGGATAAGGGTAGATGAGGATAATCAGTCCTTTCTCAGAGTATTCCTGAAGTAGAGGTGACAAGCTAAAACTACACTTCTGGCAGGAGATCCAAGCTAGTTTTCTTCAATAACAATAACAGTATTCTGAGGCACAGTTATAGCAATTTATATAGTCAAAGAAATTACTTCTCCAAGAAGATACACTTAATTCTAGGAGCCAACTAGAGTATTGAGAGAAGAGTTCAACACTAAATATTTTAAATCATTGAGTTGTTATCTGGAAATGCTTGAGATCACAGTTTTTGTTGAGTACAGATTTTTACATTTTATTTTTCATTCATTCACTTATTCAGTGGTTATCTACTGGACACCTACTACATGCTAGGTGCTCTTCTAGGCATTTGAAATACAGCAGAGGACAGAATAGACAAAAAAATCCCTGCCATAAGAGGAAAAATAATAATAAAAAAGGAAACAGAAATTTTGAGGGAAAAAGCCCCAAGAAACAACAATAACAACAAAGAAAATCCCTGATCTTATAGAGTTTACATCGCAGTGGGGGAAGATAGACAAAGAAATATGTGTTAGATGATACTAAGTGATATGAAACAGAAATAATGAAGAGCAAGTGGCAGAGAGAGGTGATGGCTGGTGTTCCTGGGTCAAGGAGAACCTCTCTGAATTACTAGCATTAAAGTGGAGGCTTGAATGAAATGACTGAGAGAGTAACCTATGTGAATATCTGAAGGAAGAGCATCCTACAGAAATGAAAAACAAGTGCAAAGGCCCTGAGCTTGATGTGTCTCAGAAAGAGTAAAAAAAAAGGCTAGTAGGGCTGGAACAGAGAGAACAAGGAGTGGTGGTAGAGAAGATCACAGAGGAAACTCCACCTAGGCCCTGATAGACGTCGTGGCTTTTCTCTGAAGAAGGTAGATCAGTTAGGCAGCTAGTGTAATGAATAAGGTGAGGAATGATATGGGATGTCAGTAGAGGGGATGAGAATTGGTTGGCTATTGGACATATTTAAAAGCTGAATTGACAGGATTTACTGACAGATTGGAATGTAGAGTGTGAGAGATTGGGTGTGAGTGTGATGAAATAATTGTGTTAAAGTGCAAGTTAGCTAATAGGGAAGGCGGGGGTGTGTGGGAAAGCCTTCAAAGTCCTCCTCAGGCCTGGTTCTAGTGTATACAGACCATTTGACCTTGAGGTTAAGTCAATAGGAGTCGCAAAATAACTGACTACTAAGAATAGGATGAAATCAGCGGTGACCCCTCTGCCCAAGTGGGTCTTGTTCCGAGAGGCTGCCAAGCTAAATAGTGGTTGTGGGAAAAGAACAAATATCTTTTCTAATGATTGATTTCCAGTTAAGGAGAGGAATGGAAAGTAAAGGGGTAAGGACAGACGTTCATCAAGTCTTAGGAAGTTTCAGGGCTGGGAGTATATTGCAGGACCAAGCCTTAGTTTTTCCCTGTCTTTCCATTTTTTTTTCTCTTTCCTTTTTTCCTCATTTCCCCACTCCCTCCTTGGTCCAGGTTCTCGCCTGCAGAAAGGTATAGTTTACCTCTAGTTCTCAAACTTCAGCGGGCATCAGAATTCCCTGGAGGGTTTGTGCAAACACAGATTGCTGGGCTCCACTCCCACAGATTCTAAGTGTGTGTGTGTCTGTGTGTGTGTAGAGGGGTGGTGGACGAAAGCGCTGAGATTTTGTATTTCTAACAGGCTCCCAGGTAATGCTTGGGAAGAACTGTTGCTTCTTGGACAGCAACACTTACAAGGCAACGTGATCTTGAGCTCCACCTCGAAGGATGTGAGCTGGGAAAGTTCCAGCTCACAGAGATTTAGTCACTTGAGAAATGGTCCACTTCCTCCAAGGTGTTTCTTGGATGCCCCAAAGGGATGAAAACAAGAAGTGACCGTGGGCGAGGAGGAGGAGCTGGCCGACCTCCTCGGTTGCCAGCCCGTCGGAGCTCACCAGCTAGGCGAGGGCGGGAAGACAGCCCCCGGGCCGGCCCACGGATCATCAGAAGGCGCGGACCTGGAGGAGGCGCCCCAGAAGGCGACGCCTCTTGCCTCCTGTCTCTCGCCTCTCGAAGGAAGTTTGCTCTTAATTTCAGAGCCGGGTTCGCCGTCGGATCAACCTCCAGGAGCTAGCAGCGGGCGCGGACCGGGCAGTTTCCGCGCTCAGCACAGGCAGCTCGCGGTCATGGGCGGCTCAGCCTCCAGCCAGCTGGACGAGGGCAAGTGCGCTTACATCCGAGGTACGCCCGCCCGCCCGGGGGCCTGGGGAGCACCCTGACCCGTGCACCAGGCTGGCTGCCGCGGTCGGGGCCCCAAGGGGCGCGCCCCGGGCCCTCTCCCTGTAGCGCGCGGGGATCCCCGACCGCAGCCCGCCCGCGCGAGTCGGGTTTCCTGCCCCAGCCGGCGCGCTCCGGCGCGGGTGTGGACCGGGGACCGGGAGGGCTTGGGAGCGAGGCAGGTGCAGGATGCGGGTGGGGACGCCGGCGCCTTCGCCGCTCCCGCCGCCTCGGGGTCAGTGCCGCCCCCGCCCGGCGCACTTCGCCCTCCAGTACCTGCCCTGGACTGAGTTCTGAGCGGTTTCTGAACTGGCCGCCAAGAGAGCAGCGGGGATATCCCGCGTTTCTAGAGATACCCCTGGGGATTCCCGGCAGCTAAAGCAGAATTTCCCTCTTAGTAATGTTGGCCTGGCTTTGGAAAGCGCGGCGTTGGCCGCAGCTTCGCTCGCACTTCATCCTAGCACTTGCAGGATGATTTCATCAGCGGCAAAAAGGACAATGTCATGCCGTTCCCTTCCCGCCCCGGAGAGGGGCGAAGCAAAAGAGGAACACTGGCGTGCTTTGTAACTGCCCGAAAGTTACAGATGGGGAGAAACTCATTTAGGGAGACCCTCAGAGATGTGGGGACTCAGTAGAGAGCGTGAGGCTGCAAAACAAACAAAACAAAACCCAAACCGAACTGAAACTGCAGGAAGTCCTGACTCGTTATCTCCTTTATTTCCTGGGCGTATTTGGCCTCCCCTCTTCTCACCCCCCACCCCAAACTTGCCTTCAACCGCTACCTAACATTTGGTTATCTTACCAATTTACTGTCTTTCCCCCGCCCCGCCGCCAGATCCCCCACCCTCGGCTTCAGAAATATCTTCCAGACTATGTATTAAACTCTAGGTTTATTTGGCCCTTGAATCCTTTCCTAAGAGGAAATCATTTATTTGGTGTTCTTATTCCACATTTGTTTTCAGTCACCACAACATTTAAGACCGTTTTAAAAAGATATCAAATCAGGGTACGTGAAGAGCAACGGAGCTGATTTTACAGATTCCTGCTCTGGTGCTTTTGGAGGTAAAAGATCCTCAACAACCTGTACTGTCAGGGGATAACACTTGGTCAAGTATCTCTTTGCTTTTGTTTGTTAAAGGGGAAAAGACGGATGATTTATTTATATTAGTAAAAGAGCTGAACTAAGCTTAAAAGAAATAAATGAAGCCTGCCTTAGTCTTAAAAATGTGGCTACATGCTTGTGTTACCAGTGTATAGGGACTGAAAGGGCAATCAACAGAACGTAGTGAGAAAGGGCTTGCATTTGAATGTTAGCAAAGTTGTGTTTAAGGCATTTATATAAGACTTTATTTCACTGGAAAGCTTAGGAGCACCTAATGTGGACGCATGGCCAAGTACACTAATCATTTGAAGTTAAGCAATGTGAAGGATTAACATGCTTAAAGAAGACTTCCTGGCCGTGCCATTTGTTGCTATTGATGCAAACATTGTACTCAGATAATAAGAAAATGCTATTAATTTCTTTATTCTGAAAGCTATTAAATTATTACATATACAAAAGTACGAGGGAGTTAGGGCAGATGAAGAACTTGTAATGCAAGTGTTTGAATGAGTAAACCTATAGCATATGGTGTGACAGTCATTACATTTCCCAGTCTTGTTCAGCTTTCTCTCTTCATTCTATATTCAGGAGGGCACTTGCAAGGTATGTGTAGTGGGAGAGGGAAGAGAAGAGTTAAAGTTAGAATACCTCCAGGGAAAAAGACTCATCACTTCATGTGAGAATGCTAGTCTTGCCAAAAGAGAAAAGAACCTTGGAAAAATGCATGGTGTTGTACATTGTTAGTGCATGAGCAAATGAGGGTCACAGGGCTGTGATTTCCTGATGGTTTTGAAGCCCAGGTTCCTGAGTAAAATCATAGCCCTATCTTTACCTCTTTGCCCATTTTTTAGCCTATAAATATTCTCAAGCTTTGATTCAATTGTAAGCAAAACGATTGGAAGTATGACAGTAAAGTTTAAATATACTTTTATGACCTGTTTCTCATAAAGTAGCCATCAGTGAAATATAGATTTGAAAGCTCCTGAAGCTGAGACAATAACTTTCTTTTAAGCTTGATAAACTTTGCTAACAAGGAGAGTAGCTAGTCAATATATTTTGAGTGACTTTTGTTAACTTTATTTTGTATGCATCATAAACCGCTGTATGCTACTGACGCTGAATCAGCCTTTACTTTAAGACAAATCATTTAACAGCTGCCATTCCTTGTGTGCCTCAAAACATCTGTGTCATATGGATGTTTTGAAAATACATTGTTTCTTAGGATTTAGTTAATCTTCAGGTAAAGATATATCATCTACGTTAAGGAGTTACTTCATTTCTAAAGATGTTAGTTTGGGAAATTACGGCAATGCTCATGTTTCTTACAACAGAATAAATTTTTAGGATTGTTTCTAGAAGCCTTTCAGTAGTGTCCCTTGATAAGATGTTTCTATTAATAAATAATACTGAGACCAACTTGTGATCACATGAGCTGTGTCATATGTTAGTCTTAAGTGATGCTTTTAGCACTGACCTAAAATGATCCTTTTTTTTTGAGACAGAGTCTCACTCTGTCACCAAGCTGGAGTGTAGTGGCACGATCTCGGATCACTGCAACCTCTGACTCCCTGGTCCAAGTGATTCTCCTGCCTCAGCCTCCCGAATAGCTAGGATTACAGCCACGCACCACCATGCCCAGCTAATTTTTGTATTTTTAGTAGAGACGGGGTTTCACCATGTGGGCCAGGATGGCTTCGATCTCCTGACCTTGTGATCTGCCTGCCTCGGCCTCCCAAAGTGCTGGGATTATAGGCATGAGATACCGTGCCCAGCCAATCTTTTTTTTAATGAGGAAGAAAGCTCATAGATTCCAGGCATCAGTGATCAGTTTGGGTGCTCTTCTCTCTTTATGCCATGTTTTCTTTTCTTTTCTTTTTTTAGTTTTCTGAGATAGGGTCTCACTCTGTTACGCAGGCTGAGTGCAGTGGTACAATCACTGTGAGCCTTGACCTCCCCTGGCTCAGGTGATCCTCCCACCTCAGCCTCCTGAGTAGCTGAAACTGCAGGTGTGTGCCACCACGCCCAGCTAATTGTATTTTTTGTAGAGATGGGATTTTGCCATGTTGCCCAGGCAGGTCTCAAACTTCTGGGCTCAAGCAGTCTTCCCGCCTTGGCCTCCCAAAGTGCTGGGATTACAGGCATGAGTCACCATGCCCGGCCTCTTTTTCTGTAAAGCTTTTGGTATGCATGAAATTAAACTATAGCTTAAAAAAAAACCCCAAAACAAAACCAAAAAACCCCCCACACTGTGTTTTCCTGTTTATGCAATAATTTTATTTCCTTCTAAAAATTACCCTTGAATTTTTAACGAATCAAAAAGAAAGCAAACCTGAAAGATCTCCCACATAAGAAGTCCTGTGGAGGGTCAGAAAAGTACTGGACAGTCAGTGCCGCAGCTGAAAACCATGGGATAAACAGATCCTAGTGGGCACTTGCAGGCCTGCCAGCAGCAAATACCAGTTAGGAAAACTGTTTTCCCCCACTGGATTTATTATTGCATAGTCAGTTACATAATATATAAAGGGCCCAGTGGCTTCCTCCAAAAGCTTCTCAATGATCTGATGCTTATAAAATAAGAAATGAGTTTCAGCTTTAAAATAGCACATATTTTTCTCAGGGAAGTTCCCTCTTATTTATACAAGGGTTAACTTAGGTGGCTAGATACAAAGTTTAAAGTGATGTGTCTAGAATGAAGTCTCCATGGGCAAGGTGGAGGATGGGGAGAGCTGTACACATCTGTAGTCTACTTAGTGTGGATGTGTCGTACTAGTCCACACATTTGCTTCTTCGGTCATAATTTGTTGGTGGGAGATGGGCATAAGAACTGGTCTGACTTAACCTGAATATTTTTGGTAGTGTGATCTTAGAGTCCAAGTTGGCTAGTAATGGCAATATACTATGATGAGAAAGTTAGGAAATGCATTATGGTAGACACCGTGGTATGTCAACCCAACATCTTTTTCCCACTCCTCCATTTTTTTTTTTTTTTTTTTTGAGACAGGGTCTCACTCTGTCACCCAGACTAGAGTGCAGTGGGACAGTCATGGCTCACTGCAGCCTCGACCTCCCTGGGCTCAAGCGATCCTCCCACCTCACCCTCCTTAGTAGCTGGGGGTACAGGCATGTGCCACCATGCCCAGGTAGTTTTTTTGTATTTTTTTGTAGAGACGGGGTTTCGCCATGTTTCCCAGGCTAATCTCAAACTCCTGAGCTCAAGTGAGCCACCTGCCTTGGCCTCCTAAAGTTCTGGGATTACAGGCATGAGCCTCTGTGCCCAGCCCCCATTCCTTTTTCTAACAGAACTCCAGTTTTGTTCAGGCATTAAAACTCCTGGCCAGGTTTGGTGGCTCACACCTGTAATCCCGGCACTTTGGGAGGCTGAAGCAGTAGGATTGCCTGAGCCCAGAAGTTTGAGACCAGCCTGGGCAACATGACAAGACCTTGTCTCTCTCTTTAAAAAAAAAAAAAAAAGAAAGAAACTCCTGATATTGCCCTCTGTTTCAGAGACACTAGCCCCATTTAAGGTCCCTGAAAGGTGGCTGCTGATTGGTCTGTACCTGTTGTGGTGGTGTGGTCTCCTTGCCAGTGATTATAGTAGGCATGGGATTATGTTGCCAGCTGGTCAGTGATGCTTGAGGGGAAGTTTGCCACCTGCTTCTAGGCGACTTTTCTTCCCTTTTAAAAAGGAGGCAAAGTGAAGGGCACTTCTTCTCCATCTTTTGACTTTGTTGCATCTGAATGTGATGCCTGCAACTGCTGTTTTTATCTTGATGAGCAGGAGGGGAGCTAGCCTAAAGACAAAGCCAATACTTGGAGCACTGCAAAGCTGAGGTGTCTCAGAGAAAAGAAGCTAGAGCCCTGACAAACTTTGCTGATAGCCACTATATACTAACCCTGCATAATTCGTATTGTGAGAGCCACTAAATCCCCTTTGAATTGGAATAGTGAAGATTGCTAGTTATCCACAATAGCATTCTCCCATTATGTTTAATGATAGAATCCCCAAATTTTAGCTGTCCACATGAACTCCCATAATAAAGATATTTCCCAAACTCCTTTGCAACTAAATGGGAGTATGTAGCTGAGTTATGGCCAATGGGATGTAGATAGAAGTGCTGTTCTAGAAAGTGACATTAAAGGGGAAGGGTATGACCATCTTCGTCCAAGTCTCCACACTGCTGGCTGGATTGTAACCATGGCTGGACAGCTGTCATGGACCATGAGGTGTCCTTTCAAGAAGGAGCACATGTAGGGCAGAGTAACTGGACAAAAGGAGGCTAAGTTCCTGTGGTTTCATAGAGAAGAACCTCCATACCAGCCCTGGACCATTTACCTCTGGACCTTAAAAAGAAAGAAAGAAAGAAAGAAACTTCCATCTCTTTAAGCCAGTGTTATTGTGGTTTTATTGTTGTCCATAGACAAACCTCATTCTATCTAATACAGTTATCTTCTTTTTACGTGCGGCCCAAAGCATCCTAACCAGTATACTAAATGCTGCCTTATTGGGTCCCCTTTCAGAAAAAGTAATCCAAAGAAAGTAGAAAGTGGGTAAAGATTATAGTATTTGTCTCAGCTCTAAATTTGTAGACATGAATAGGCTTTTGTAAGAAGTGAGAAATTGCAGCTCCTCCAGAGTAGTGGGGATGGAGGAAACAGGAGAAAGAGGGTCCACTATGAATAGTGCACAAATGCATATTGATCACTTTATATTTTAAGTGAAAAAAAATGCCTTCAAGCATGCCAGACTACCAAGGAAGCTAGCAGGAGTTTCAAATAAGTAAAACTACTGCAAATTAGGAGTTGCTAGTATCAATAATTACTTTCTATTTCCTTTGGTCTTTGTGAATTGAAACCAATACTTTAGAAATGGGAAGCTCTTTAGGAAACCAAATCTCATGTTGCAAAGCCATGAAGGATTTTGTGAGTTGTGATTTCTTTTTTTTTTTTTTTTTTTGAGACGGAGTCTCGCTCTGTCGCCCAGGCCGGACTGCGGACTGCAGTGGCGCAATCTCGGCTCACTGCAAGCTCCGCTTCCCGGGTTCACGCCATTCTCCTGCCTCAGCCTCCCCAGTAGCTGGGACTACAGGCCCCCGCCACCGCGCCCGGCTAATTTTTTGTATTTTTAGTAGAGACGGGGTTTCACCTTGTTAGCCAGGATGGTCTCGATCTCCTGACCTCATGATCCACCCGCCTCGGCCTCCCAAAGTGCTGGGATTACAGGCGTGAGCCACCGCGCCCGGCCGTGAGTTGTGATTTCTAAGAGTCAACCACAAAGACAGAAAAGACAGTAGACTGAGACAGATTAACATTTTCTCCTGTACTTGTGGAACAAAGAGTGACTTTCCCTCTTGTGGCTTCTAATACAAGCCTTGATAAATCCCATGGAGTTAGATGATGAATCAAGCCCTGGTCTTGATGAAAAACTTCTTTTTACTATGGACGTTGGCTGTAAGAGGGCCACATCATCAAAGGTGCTCTAGTAATAGTAACTACTAGGATGACAATAGTAATTTTTATTATCTTTTACTGTGAACTACTGAGCTTTTTACTTTATTGTAATCTCTGGGAAGGTTTGAACTGGGTTCACAGGTAGAAAGTGCAATAGCAGGAGCCCAATTTGTAAAGGTAGTTTCTAATTTCATTAATATAAATGTACTGTGAACGTTTTACAAAATATGCAGTGTGAATCATGGCAGTGAACTTTAATCTCCTAATCAGAAATTTTAATTTTTTTTAGTATAGCTGGGTAACTCTAAGAAATAAGGTACATATAACAATTTGCACTGTGAAATGGGAAATGAAGTCAGAAGTGAAGATAAAAGCATAATGGAAAGGAAGACAGGAGAATAAAAGCACAATTCATCTGCTACAGTCTGTTTAAGGCACTTTCCCAACAGTTCAAAACTAACACACATATGTACACACACACACACACACACACACAGAGAGAGAGAGAGAGGGAGGGAAAGAGAGAGAAAGAGATTTAACAGAACCCCAAATGCAATACAGATTTTCTCCTTTGAAACTGGAAAATTCATTTTAAAAACAGACTAGCAAGTTGCTGCCAATGCGAAAATGCATGCCAGCTTTTAAAAAGTGCCCCCTACCTTGGTACTGTATGTTTTTTCTCACTTAGAAAAGAGAATAAACGCTTTAGAGGTATGAAAGCAATTAATTCACTTTTGCAAATTGCAGGTTCTAGGACCTAAGGAAGTTTGTATTTCTATGCTTGATGTTGTATGGAATGAGTCTATAGGATTAAAATAAATTAATAGTTTTTACTAGGAGCCCCAAAGTGACTTTTAAAAGGTCCATGGTCTCAAGGAATTTTGGAAGAAGGGTAAATGTCTCTATGCCAAACCATGTGGTTTTTTTTCTTTTTCCTTTTTAAAAACTATTTTTATTTTAAAAGAAAACATAGGCCCAGACAGCCACACAAAACAAATGCATAGCTTAGTGAATCATTATAAGGCAAATACTTAGTAGCCACTACGCAGGTCAAGACATAGAAAGAGCTTCACTAGTCATCAAAGGAGGCTTCTGTGTGCCCCGTCCCAGTTCTAGACCTCTTTGTTTCTCCAAAAATGACCACTATTTTCAGTTATCTATTTATAACTACCTCAAAGATCCTGACTCTTAAAACAGGTATTTATTTGCTCACAATTCTGCTGAACTGGGTCCAGGCTGGGTGGTTCTACTTTTTATTTTTGCTGGTGGTCATTCCTGTGGATGCATGCATCTGGTGGATCAGCTGGTGGCTGGACTTAGCTGACAAGGCTTTCTTTCTCTCCAGGTGGCCTTTCTACATGACCTCTCCAATAGGATACTGAACTGTTTAAATGGTGGGTCAGGATCTTACATTGCTAGAGTGTAAAAGCATGTAGAAGCTTCTAGGACTTCTTGTGGCTTAGGCCTGGAATGGCGCCACATTACTCTGCCACATTTTGTTGGTTAAAGCTGGTCTCAGAGCCAGCCCAGATTCAAGAGAGGACTACACACAGGCATGAACACCTATGCAAGGGCTACCCTGGTAACAGACTACCACCTCACTAATCCTAGCTTTTATAATAATGTCTGCCTCTATTTCCTTATGGTTTCATCACCCAACTATGTATTTGTAAACATTATAGTCTTACTCACTTAAAAAGATGTCTCTTTTAATCTACACATTTCCCTTACATCTTTTACTCGCAGATTATCTGTTGAAAGACTTGAGCTGTTTGATATGCAGAGTTTTTCACAGTCTGGAGTTTACTCATGGTGCAGTTCCACACATTTCTCCTGTATTTTCTACAAATTGACAGAGATAGTGAGACTTGATCAGTCTCAGAATCAATCCTTTTTTTTAACTTTTATTTTAAGTTCAGGGGAAGATGTGCAGCGCGTGCAGGTTTGTTACATAGGGAAACGAAGCGCCGTGGGGGCTTGTTGTACAGATTATTTCATCACCCAGGTATTAAGCCTAGTATCCATTAGTTATTTTTCCTGATCCTCCCTCTCCCCTCCACCGTTCACCCTCTGATAGGGCTCAGTGTCTATTGTTCCCTTCTATGTGTCCATGTGTACTTACCTATCATTTAGCGCTCACTCAGCAGTGAGAATAAATGGCATTTGGTTTTCTGTTCCTGCGTTAGTTTGCTAAGAATAATGACCTCCAGCTCCATCCATGTTCCTGCAAAGGACTGCATGCATGTATTCATTGCAGCACTATTCACAGTAGCAAAGATATGGAATCAACCTAAATGCCCATCAATAAAGAAAATGTGGTACATATACACCTTGGAATACTATGCCGCCACAGAAAAGAATCAATCCTTTTGTGAAGACTATAGGTGGTGGTGTGTATTCTTCTCTTTTTTTTTTTTGAGATGGAGTCTCACTCTGTTGCCCAGGCTGGAGTGCAGTGGCGCGATCTCGGCTCACTGCAAGCTCCAATTCCCGGGTTCACGCCATTCTCCTGCGTCAGCCTCTCGAGTAGCTGGGACTACAGGCGCCCACCACCACACCTGGCTAATTTTTTGTATTTTTAGTAGAGACGGGGTTTCACCGTGTCAGCCAGGATGTTCTCGATCTCCTGACTTCGTGATCCGCCCGCCTCGGCATCCCAAAGTGCTGGGATTACAGGCGTGAGCCGCCGCGCCCGGCCCTGTGTTCTTCATCTGGAGGCACATAACAGCTGGCTGCCTCTCTTTTTGTGATGTTAGTAGCTGTTCCATTGATACTTATAGCTGAGACCCATTAATTCACTGGGGGTTGAACTGTCTCCGCTTTAGAGGAACTTGAAATTCAATGAGAAATAGAATTAAAGTTTTTGAACGGTGAAATAATAAAGGCAACATATATTAGGTACTTCAAAATCATCTCTACCCTCTTGGAAATGCCACCATGAATTTCAGTATTCTCTGATTCGGCCCATGAGCAACACTGGCCAGGACAGACCTCTCTTTCCTCTCCGCCAACCTTCCCTCTTGTCTTCCCCTAGAAAGCTGCCATGGAGTCTTCGTTGAACCCTTACCATGGGACAGACACTGAGCTAAGAGCATTGCATGCATGAGCTCACATAATCCTCACAACACCAAATGGAGATATCATTAGCTCCGTTTCACAGAAGAAGCAATCAAGGTTTACAGAGAATAGAGAACCTGGCCAAAGTCATCCAGCCAGTATGTAGTAGAAGAAGGTTTGAACTTAAATACTTTCTGCCTCCAAAGTCCTTGCTGTTAACCGAGCTGTGCTGCCTCCCAGATGGTCACAGTCATTGCTCCTTTCATCTGAATTTCCTCTTCTCTGTGCATGCTTTTTCTCACATGAGTAAGTATCAGAAACTTTTCCTGTTCTTGGATTTTAAGCCTTCTGGTTTTCTTTAGAGCACTCGGAAAATCCTATCTTTTGCTAGAAGTCCTGACTGAAGGGAGCTCTGTGAAAAACTCCCCATCTGCATCCTAGGCAAACTCGTTGTCCCTTCCACTCCTCAGCAGTCACTCAGGCATTAAACACTTACAGGATTCTCATTCCTGCAAACTATTACCATCAATGGTAGAACTGAACTGAACTCATTGACTGGAAATGTATGGCTCTTGGTTCCTTTTTTTTTTTTTTAGCTTATTTAGTCCAGTCCCTTGGTTTATTTGTCTAATCTCTGTGCTGGTATAACACCGATTTAGTTATTATTGCTCTATGATAAATCTTAATAACCAAAGGGCAAGACCCTCTTTCTTCTTACTCATTGTCAGAAGGTGTAGGCTATCCTTCCATATTTGTTAAACTGTTAATTTCATGAAAAACCATTTTGTAATTTTATTGAAATTGCATGAAATCTACAGATGAATTTAGGAAGAAGTGACATCTGTATGATATTGAGTCTTTCAAACCTTAGTATGGCACATCTCTTCCATAATACATGCTTTTCTTTCATCCTTAAAGTTGTATAGTTTTCTACATAACAATTTTACAAAAATGTTTAATAAGTTTATTTATTGGTGCCTTTCACTTTTTCTTACTATTGGGATTGTGTTCTTCTTTTCTATTGTATTTTCCATCTGGTTATTTTAAGAGCACCAGAAAGCTATTTTGTTTTTGCATGTTGATCTTTGTATCCTACAAACATCTCAAGGCCTCTTATTAGTTGTAATAATTTGTTCATTCACTCTGATTTTTTGTGTGCATGTATTATCTGCAAATTTGACAGTTTTCAATTCTTTTAAATCTTTATACCTCATTTTTTATTGAATTTACTAGGACCTCCAGCACAATATTCAGCAATAAGAATGACAGCAAACATCCTTATCCTGTTCCTACTTGAAAAGGGATGTTCCCCATTTTGCTATTAAGTGTGATGTTAACCATAGATTTATGGTTTAGCTTAAGGATACTCCCCCCTTTTCGTTAAGTTGCTTAAAATTTTTAATCATAAATATATACTGAATTTTATTAAAGACTTGATTTTTTCTAATAATATTTTAATGTGGTCATTAGAATTTCAATATTTAAAATATTGTTCCATTGCTAAGATATACCCTACTTGGTCACAGTGAAATGTCTTTAAAAAATTTTTATTTTTCTATTACATGGAATTTTGATTTGCTTATGTATTTTTTTCTTACTTTACCACTTGCATTAATAAAAGTCATACAAAATGAAAAAAAATTTATTGGGGGTTGAAAAATGGTGATATTCTAATATGTCATTTTGTTTTCATTTATTAGCTGGGATAATTTTATAGAGCAATACTTCCCATATCTATCATTTGGTTACCTAGTATGATAGTTCAAAAGCAGGAAAAAAACATTATTTTTTCCTTTTATTTACCAGTGTTTAATATAAGTTACTGGTTTCTTGACATCCCTTAAAGATGATCAATTGACTATAAAAATCATTATGAACTCACAAATCCCATTGTAATTCTTATTTTATTGAAGCTCCAATTTCCCATCATTGGCCAATGAAAAACTCTTCAAGTTGGCTCCTGAATCTTTTGGAAATTACCCCAGTAGTATTTGATAGCTTCCTTGCCATCTGGTATGTCAAGATGTTTTAGGTTCATCCTGTTTCTTTCCTGTCCCATACAGGGAGTAAGCAAAATCTATAAGAACCTCTGATTTCTTTTAGTGGGAAATAATATTTCAATATTACAATTTGAATCTAGCTATGTTTACTGCTACAACTGGGTTGGCCATTATTTCTGGACTTTTTTAGTTTATAGAACTAGGGAAAATATATCTTTTTAATATTATATTTATACATATCCTTTTCCACACTGAGAATCATGGTTCTCAAAGGCACTAGGCAATGATAGAATTAAATATACACAAATTCTCATTTGCTTTATCATACCAAATACACACAACAGTCTCAGAATAATAATACAAATACTGCCATCATCAATTATGATTATGGAAAGCTGTTGAACAAACTGTTTTTAAAATCAGAGACAAACTTTTTGTATATGCTAATCCAATTCTTCCCCACGTTTATTTTATGATTTTACTACATTAAACCATATAATCATTATATTCTATTCTCTTTTCTCATTCACTCTTTGTTTCACAATGAAGTGTTATTTAATGCATCAGTCCTTATGTTGATGTCTCTCTCTGGTGTTTAGAGCTCATCCCAGTAGATTCCTCAAGAAGAGCTCATGGGAACGTAACAAAGAAGTATGAAGATAGGATTAATTAAGTGGCTCAGTGATATCACCAAAAGCCAGCTTATTTCTTCCTACTGTCTGTGGCCCAGGTCTCTTATGCTTGAAAGGTGGCTGCAGCAGTAAATAGTATTAAATTCTTACGCACAGCAATGTCCTAGAGGCTAAAAAGAGATCTGTCTATTCTTTGAGTCTCCTTATAAGAGCAAAGAAGCCTTTCCCAGATGCCTTACTAGCAGACTTTCCCTTACATCCCACTGATCAAAATGGGGTCACACATTCCTTCCTAAGCCATCACTGGCAAGAGTATGGAATTATCATGATTTGGTTAGACCAATCAAGATTCACCCCTGAACTGGGGTTAGAGCCATTTCTCTGAAGCACATGGTTATAGGGAGGGTCATGGATACCCAAACAGAATCAGGTTCAGTTTAGCAAGAAGGAAGCATGATGGCTATTAAGTAGGTAACCAACATTACAGATTTTGATAAGTGTCACGAAGGGATTAAAAACAGCACTGAGATAGAAAACTGATGGTGGCAATTGGGCAAGGAGATGAGATAGACTTGGCTGTGGTATTCAGAAGGATAATAAGTTGCTATCTGTGTGAAGAACCGGGGGAGTATATTTTGGTTAGAAAGAACAGCATGTAGGCTGGGCGCGGTGGCTCACTACTGTAATCCCAGCACTTTGGGAGGCCGAGGCGGGTGGATCACGAGGTCAGGAGACCCAGACCATCCTGGCTAATACGGTAAAACCCCGTCTCTACTAAAAATACAAAAAAATTAGCCAGGCGTGGCGGCAGGCGCCTGTAGTCCCAGCTACTCAGGAGGCTGAAGCAGGAGAATGGCGTGAACCCAGGAGGCGGAGCTTGCAGTGAGCCGAGATCGCGCCACTGCACTCCAGCCTGGGCGACAGAGCAAGACTCCGTCTGAAAAAAAAAAAAAAAAAAAAAAAAAAAAAGAACGGCATATAGAAGGGGGAGGAGGGGGAAGTACTTGAAGGAATTGAAGAAAGGGTGTTATGTTGGGAGTGTAGTGAGCAAGAGGGAGGTTTGATGGGAGGGGATGCCTATTAATATTTTGTTGCCTGGCTGAGCGTGGTGGCTTACGCCTGTAATCCCAGCACTTTGGGAGTCCGAGGCAGGTGGATCACCTGAGGTCAGGAGTTCGAGACCAGCCTGGTCAACATGTTGAAACCCTGTCTCTACTAAAAATACAAAATTAGCCGGGTGTGGTGGCACACGTGCCTATAGTCCCAGCTACTTTGGAGGCTGAGACAGGAGAATCACTTGAACCTGCAGTGTGGAGGCTGCAGTGAGCCGAGACTGTGCCACTGCACTCCAGTCTGGGCAAGATAGAGTAGACTCCGTCTCAACAACAACAACAACAACAACATTTTGTTGTTGTTGTTGGTGTTGTCTGTCTGCCACCACTAGAATGTAAGCTGTATGAAAGCAGGGTCTTTGTCTTGATTCATTGTTATGAAATGAATAGCACCCTCAGCAAATAGATCAGTGTTTGGTTCACAGTTCCTGACAGATAAATATTTGCTTAATGCATGAATGAAAGGAGAAGAAAAAATTTTAAACTGTAATGAATATCTTAGAAAATAAGAGAAGTATTTCATTTGTAAAACAAGTTCAGGATGTGATGAAGAAACAATAATAGAATAAGAAAGAGCTCTTGGAAATTAAAAATCTGGTGATCAACATTTTAGAAAATACAATTGGTGCCTTGGAAAATAAAGTTGAGGGGATCTTGCATCTAAATTCTAAGATCTAAAATTCTTATTTAAATTTAAACAGTACATTTCAATTATTGTTATTAATTTAATTCTTCTCTCTAAAAAATCATTTTAAGCATGTATATGTCAGATATTACACATTTGCCATAGTTGCTTATAAAACTTGTCTTTATTTTAACTTTAAGCCTCTGTCTGCTTTGCTTAGACAATAGAGTACAAAGATTAACAGATGGAAAATAGAAGAGGCAATATAAAAAAAATTAAAGGGTCAATCCAAAAATTTCAATATCTGACTAACAGAAGTCCCAGAAAACAAGAGAACAAAGAAAATGAACGGGAGAAAATTATTAAACAAGTAAAAGCTTATTTTCTAGAACAGAAGATCATGTGTCTCTGATTTATAGGGCCAAAGAATTCCTGGACTTCACTCAGAGCTGGAAATAGTTCATGCTTCCATCATCCAAAGTAGAAAGGCCTTATGATAGATATGAGTTAGAGTCTTCAGCAGTAGTGAGCAGAAATTAGCCCTAGACTAGAAGGCTGCTCTGGACCTGCTCTAATAAAAATTTAAAAGCAAACCTCAAACAGATCAAACTGATCCCAAGTAACTTAACTGCCTGCTTGAATAAAGTGCAAATTCTTTATAAGAATGCAACAAAATACCCATACAACAATGTAAAATTCACAATATCTAATATCCATCATCCAGTTAAAAACTATCACAGTAGGCAGAAGAAGAAGCAGGAAAATATCCACAAGTATAAAGAAAATAAATCAATAGAAATAGACTCAGGAATTATAGACATGGCGAAATTAGCAGACAAAGATGGTAAAGCAGTCATTATATGCTCCATGTGCGAACACAGAGGCAAACGTGAACATGATGAGAAAAATGGAAGATATAAAAAAATCTTCCTAGTCTCCAGTCTTCAGGCAAGAGCAATATGACTACTGTGTTTCTGTAGCCTGCTGGAACATCTAGGCAGAATGTAGCTGTACTGCCCTGCTACCAACATTCTCCATGGAGTTGGGAGAGGAACGAAGTAGCCTGCAGAGAACTGAATGTACACTGGGAGCTGCTGAGATGTGGCTGGTCTGGGGCCAGACAGCTGAGCAGGATCAGTTCAGAAATGAGGGAAAACTGTGGATGTTCCTTTAAAAAGCACATCATTATTGGTGGCCTTGTGCCCTTAATTCTGGTTCGCACACAGAACAAGTGACAATTTCCATGATTAGCTAAAAAGAATTCAGAGATTTTCCAAATTTGGATTGAATGCGTTTGTTTAAAGGATTATTTCCTGTGTAACTCATTCAACACAAGTTATACAGGAAAAATTGCCTAAGCAAAGCAGATGCAGGCTTAGAGTTAAAATAAAGCCAAATTTTATGAGCAACAATGGCAAATGTGTAATATCTGGAGTATAAATATTTAAAATGGTTTTGTTAGAGAGGAGAATTAAATTAGTAACAATAATTGAAATGTATGGTTTACATTTAAAGTAAGTAAGAATTTTAGAGCATGACTAAGACCTGAGCATGTCAAGTGAGATATCAGTTCCTAACTAAAAATGCTAACTCCTGGCCTGAGAAATGATAATCACTGTAGTAAAAGCTAACATTTATTGAGTGCCTACTATGTGCCAGGCAAGTAAATATCTTAGACGAAAGGTAACAGGGTATCAAATGCTCTTCCAGAAATTCTAAGTGTTTCTTTTAGAAATTCCAAGTATACATAGCTTTTTCTTTAATGAAAAGGAGTATCAGCGTGATAGGATTTGAACGCTCAGCTGCTTTAGCTACCTTAAATGAGCTAAGTGGAAACATTTACTAAACTTTTGATTCAATATCTTAATTCTAAATTATTTGGCTATTTGTGTGTGTGTGTGTGTGTGTGTGTGTGTGTGTGTGTGACTCCTCTGTCACACAAGCTGGAGTGCAGTGGTGTGATCTTGGCTCTCTGCAACCTCTGCCTTCCAGCTTCAAGCGATTCTCATGCCTCAGCCTCCTGAGTAGCTGGGACTACAGGCTCCTACCACCACAGTTGGCTATTTTTTATTGTTTTGTATTTTTAGTAGAGATGGGGTTTCACTATGTTGGCCAGGCTGGTCTTGAACTCCTGACCTCAAGTGATCCACCTGCCTTGGCCTCCCAAAATGCTGGGATTACAGGCGTGAGTCACTGTGCCAGGCCTTTGGCTACTTTTTGAAGTGGATATTTTCAGTGGGTGAGATGGTAGATTATAAATAGCTTAATCCAGAAATTAAAAGTCACCTAAATGTTAGCAACACCTAATATGGAATTTATGAATAGCCCAAAGCAGCCTTTGCAGCCACTTTAAGCTAACTTTAAATAAAATGATACCTTTATGCAACTTCTTCATTATCAAATAAAATATTTATATTTGGGAAGTAAGGCATACAATAAAAAATAAATAAATGGAGCTTTCACCTTTGGAAAACAGGCACGATAATTTCCTGAGGACTCGCTGAATCTGAAGTTGGATTCTCTGGAGATTTTGGACTTGTCAACTGGCTGCCTTCAGTTTCTCCTATGAAAATGAGGACAGTAGTAATGCCCAGTGAGAAAAGGAGGGTCAGAAATGAATAATATAATGTAATAAATGTGATATAATTCTCACATTTCCCAGTCCTACCATTATGTTAATCAATTTGTTTTACTATCAGTAATGGCATCAGGCCTTTGCAGAGTAAATGATTGGCTTTCACATACTGCTGAATAATACCTAGCCCACACATTTGTTCTGCAGACTAATTAATGTTTCAGAGTGTTTAAACACAATGCCTCTACAGAAGCAATGGCATTATAATGTGTTGGGACACTCTAGTGTTGTAATTAGTACTAATTAGGTTCTTTTCAACAGCTTGTTGAATTTACAAATTACTGCCTGTGAGGTATTCTGCTTTATTTATTCATTATGAAAGAGTCGGACGCAGGGTTTAAATAGGCACCTTTAAACAACTATTCTCAAGGTCCTACACATACTCCTCCCCTCAAACCAGGGAAGGACAATAGGAAGACACCCTTCTCGGAATGGTTGTGAGGGAGAGCAACCCCAGTGCTGTGCTAGGAGCCAGCTCACACTGGCTGGCAACAGCTGAATCCAGGCATCTTTTCCTAACTGTGAGCTCAGTGATATCACATTGATAGCTTGAAACCAGCGATGGTGGGAGTCTTTTTGTGTTGTTGTTGGTTTTTGAGACCCAGTTTACCAGCACATCACTGCTGGTGTCTTCTCTTCAATGCAGGGAAGCTGGTGGCAATGTTAACCAGTGGCAGTGGCCTGAAGCCATGTTTCAGTTGTACATTAATTAGAATGGTCTAACTGCTGAAACAGACATCAACGCTCAGTGGCTTATAGTGATTTGTATCTCACTCATCACACTATCCAGGGTGATTTGGTGGGGGGCTAATGAAGGGCAGTGGGCTTGTGTGTGGACCCAGACTCTTTTCATCTAGTGCATGGTACCATGGACACCTTTGGTGGTTTGTTAAAGCCTATGGACCCCTTTTTAGAGTAACATTTTTAAATGAAAAAAATATAGAGAGGATGATAAAAGAAACCAATTTTATTGAACTGTAGTTATCAAAATATTTTTAAAATCTGTGATATGGTAATATATGTGCTCTTTATTAATGCATTCAATGACAAGGTCTCATGGAGGGTTTAATAACTACTGTCATTTTGAAGAAGTGCTATTCTAAGATATGCAGCAACTTAAATGTGCTACGAAAACATCTGTGAGCTCTATTGGTGACAAAGTCACAAGTACTGCTAAATTACACTGTTTTGTTGCCTACATTCAGGGTTGGAGAAGTGCTGAATTTGAGTTGAAGGTTAATAAAACACAGGTGTTCTTTTCCTCCATTCAGTGTTTGGATGGCCTGAATTCTATCCACAGAGCCCATGAGGGTCTACAGGCTCCAGATCAATAATCTCTGACCTGGCTGGGCATATTCCAGCACCTTAGAAGGCCCAAGGCAAGAGGATCGCTTGAGACCAGGAGTTTGAGGCCAGCCTGGGCAACATAGTGAGACCTCGTCTCTACAAAAAACAAAAATGAGCCAAATGTAGTGGCGCATGCTTGTAGTCCTAGCTGCTAAGGAGGCTGAGGTAGGAAGATCGCTGGAACCCAGGATCAAGAGATGCTGCAGTGAGCTGTGATTGCACAACTGCATTCCGGCCTAGGCAAGAGTGAGAATTTGGCTCTAAAAAAAAAAAACAAACAAAAAGAAAAAATAATCCCTGACCTAATGGCTAGTGGCTTCATGATTCTTAGGGCCACAAAGACACTAAGTGGACACTGTGCATACATCTGCAGATAAGGGCAGATAGACAGTGGAGGATTATGTGGGTAGATTTTGTGCTCCAGGCCTGGAGGTGGCATACATTATTTCTGCCCAACCTTCTCATCTCTACATGACACACCTTGCCTTTGTATCTTTCCATTGGCAATTCCTGTCAAAAGTCCTATCCCTTGTTTTTATTGTCACTTTTTCCTTTATATCACCCTCAACATGTTGAACCTAACATTTCAATGAATACATTTTCTACTTTAAGTGGATTCTAATTTTGAAGGCAGGGTATAGGCTTCATATTCTTTATGTAAGAAAAGTTGAGTCTGGGCTCTGTGGCTCACGCCTGTAATCCCAGCACTTTGGGAGGCTGAGGCAGGCAGATCACGAGGTCAGGAGATTGAGACCATCCTGGCCAACATGGTGAAACCCCGTCTCTACTAAAATACAAAAATTTAGCCGGGCGTGGTGGTGCGCACCTGTAGTCCCAGCTACTCGGGAGGCTGAGGCAGGGGAATGGCTTGATCCTGGGAGACAGAGGTTGCACACTCCAGCCTGGTGACAGAGCAAGTCTCCATCTCAAAAACAAAACAAAAAAGAAAAGGAAAGGAAAGGAAAGGAAAGGAAAGGAAAGGAAAGGAAAGGAAAGGAAAAGAAAAGAAAAGATTGAAGCCTTTTATATCTATTTGTCCATTGCAGCAGCCATTAGGGACATATAACTAATGAGCACTTGAAATGTGGCTAGTCCAAATTAAGATATGATGCAAGTTTAAAATACACACCAATTTTGAAGTTTTAGTACAAAGAAAATAATGTAAAATAATTAATATTATTTAATACAAAACTGCTATTTAATAGCAATTACATATTGAAGTAATACAATTTTGGCCCTATGATTGGGCTAAATAACATATATTAAAACTAATGTAATCAGTTTTTAAAAAATTTTAATGTGGCTACTGGAAGACCAAATAACATTTGAGGCTTACATCTATGGCTCACATGGCATTTCTTTTAGACAGCTGTTCTCGAATAAAGATTCATAGAAGATTCATAGAGCTGCAAGGAAACTTAGAGATAAGCATCTAATCCAACTCTTTTATTGTAATCTCAGAAGCTGAATGAGCTGTTCTCATCTGCCTAGCTAGTAAAGCACACATAGGCTTGGAATTCAGGTCTCCACACTCCTGGTGCAGAGCTCTTTTCATAATCCATGGTATCCAACCAAACCAAACCAAACATTTCCAAGATTTAAGTTTCCAGTTCAAACCAGAATATACTCTGATTCTGAGTTACACATAAGCATCCCGAAAATGACAAGCCTTTTTTCCAATCTGATGTATTTTCAACCCTAGACTTAAAACTTAAGTATAATTTGCCCTGCCCCTGAAGAACTGCAGGCACAAGCAGCCAGCCAGACAGGCTCGTGCTTGACTCCCTCATTAACCCAGATAAAAGAGGCCCTGAGGTCATTTGCCTTTGCCCTGGTCTTCTGCATTTCCCTTAGCTGAATGGTTAAACTCACAAGGAAATGCTAAGATTTTCTTATCTCTTCTGAATTTTCTCTTAAAGGGATGGAAAGATATGAAAACCTAGTATTTCACATGACTACCCCTTTTTCCTAGCCAGGAGGTGGCACCGTGGATAGCAGTTAAGGGAAATAACAGATGAGTTTCATTCTCTTTTGTCTCATTTTCTGTTCTTGGCTTCCACTCTAGACCTATAACCAAATTCCCAAGGTCTGGAATATTTTCTGAACTTTTTGTCCTAGAATAGTCCAAGGTTTCCCCCATCCAACTTACTCTCCCTCTCTAACTCACCGATTTCCATAAAATCACATTTGAGCCGTTGTGTATGTAGATAATGTTTCAGATAAGGGCTTAGATGTTTAAAAAGTTTCTTATCTTAAACAATGTAGTACCAATACATAATCTTTCCCCCTTAGGAATTTTGAGTAATGAAGTGCTCCTTGAATCATATAATTTGCAGTTGAAATTGAAATAACATAATTACCTTATCCAGTGTTCTTTGGAAAACACCGTCACTAGACTCTGAGGTTGTCTCATTTTCTCTGAACTTTCTCACCTTTTTCAGTGATTTCTGGAATGTTAAGTTCTGAGAAGCCATAAGATATGTCTCCTGACCCATGACAACTTTAGTGACTAACCCACTTACTCACACATTTCATGTTTCAGCATTTCCTCCCTTCGGTATCATTATTTGGCACTTCCACGAGAAACTCCTGAGGCGTACTATAGCTAACTACTTTGTTTATTTCAGATCATCACTGCTATTGACATCAGTGGATGTCTGAGAAAGGGAGCACAAACCTTCATGTCTCCACATGTTTTTAATGAAAATATTTGATGCCTTAAGGTGTGCTGATAACCAAACTCAGCATTTCTCCAGGGATATGTTTAAATTTCTGCATTGTTCATTCTAAGGAGAAATATACACATATGATGTATTTTGCAAATGAGCATAAGTTTCACTAAGATATGTAAAAGACGCTTTCAAAATGATATTTATAATATGTCTCATTTTTAGAAGAGTGGACAAAATAAAATGAACTTACAGAGCAACTAAACCCTTAAGAAACATTTACCATAAAATGTTAACTGTGTAGCTTTCTTGATTCAGTAGGGCATTGGCTGTGGAGGTAGAGCACCCAAGTACAGATAATGGCCCCATCTCTTGCTAGCTGTGCTACCTTCTGCAAGTTATCTAGCCTCCTCTAACCTTGGTTTCTTCCACTACAAAGTGGGGATAATAGTACCTCCGAAGGCTGTTGTAAAGACTCATTGCACTAATCCTCGTAAAGCACTTAACACTGTGATAGGGACATGGACTCTCAACAACTGGTTTTATCACTTATAATAGTATACCTTCTGCAACCTAAAGTCAAAGATTTTAAATAAACTGTACATCAAATAAAATACTTTTCTTCAAAATCCTTAGTCAACCATTCCTGGAGCCAGTTGGAATCAGAACTGAATTTCTATATATTTTCTATAATTTATGGAGTTGAGACTTCAGTATGCTTCAGACTTAATAGACAGCATAAACTTGAGGGGCAAGTACATGAACTTGGTGTAGAAGAACTTGTTTGAATCCTGGTTCTGGCACATACCATGTGACTTTGGGCTTGTCTTTAGGCCTCGGTTTTCTCATTAGTGAAACAAGTTGTTTAATTGATTGATTAAGTCTTTTCAAAAAAACTTACTTAGGATGAACTTATAAACCTTAATTTGCAGCATTTAGTTTAGTCCAAGCTTGTGCAATCCATGGCCTGTGGGCTGCATGTGGCCCGGGAAGGCTTTGAATGTGGCCCAACACAAATTTGTAAACTTTCCTAAAACATTATGAGATTTTTTTGTGTGCAATTTTCTTTTTTAGCTCATTAGCTATCCTTAGTGTTAGCATATTTTATGTATGGCCCAAGACAATTCTTCTTCTTCCAATGTGGCCCGGGGAATCCCAAAGACTGGACACCCCTGGTTTAGCCCTTAAAACCTCAAACGTCATGGAACACATCTATTTCTTTTTCTTTTTCTTTTTTTGAGACAGGGTCTTGCTCTGTCGCCCAGGCTGGAGTGTAGTGGTGCGATGGCTCACTGCAACCTCTGTCTGCTGGACTCAAGCTATCCTCTCACCTCAGCCTCCTGAGTAGCTGGGACTGTAGGCATGTGCCACCACACCTGGCTTATTTTTTCAATTTTCTTTTGTAGAGATGAGGTCTTGCTATGTTGCCCAGGCTGATCTTAAACTCTTGGACTCAAGCACTTGCCCACCTTGGCTTCCCAAAGTGCTGGGATTATAGGCGTAAGCCATCATGCCTGGCCTATCTATTTCTTATAATAATGAAGCATTCATTGTGTGTCTTTCCTTCTAGTCATCAAATAGAAATATGCCCTGTTCTGTGAAACGGGATGAACAAAGCAGACTAAATCCCTGCTCTCATGGGACTTACATCATAGAGGTGGTGGTAGGGAGAAATAAAACTAAGAAATAATAAGATGGTATCATTACCAAGGATGATGAAGCAGGGAGGTCAGTGTGGTTACGGAGGAATGAGCAATGGGAACTGTGAGCAGAGACAGGGCAGCAAGGTAGGTGGGATCACATCTCAGGGGGACTTATAGGCCATTGGAAGGACTTGGGCTTTTACTCTGTGTAAGAAGAGAAGCCATGGGGAGTTTCGAGGAGAGGAACGCCATAGTCTGAATTATCTGACTGTTGTGTAGAGAATAGACTGTAGGGGGGACAAGGGAGGAAGCAAGCCAAACAGGAAGAAGCTGGAGCTGTGATCCGGGCCAGGGATTATGGTGGTGTGGACTAGGGGGTAGCTGGAGGTAGGGAGACATGGTTGGGTTATAAATACATTTTGGAGGTAGAGCTGACAGGATTTGCTGATGAAGTATGTGGAATATGAGGGGAAAAAAAGTGGCTTCAAGGATGACTCCACAATTTCTGACCTGAACAAAAGAAAGAATGGAGTTGCTGCTTATTGAAAGAAGGAAGACTGGGGGAACACATTTGATGGAGAAAATGAAGAGTTCACTTTTGGACAGGCTAAGATTGAGGTTCAAGTGGAGATGTCAGCTAAGCAGATGGATGTCTCATCTGATAATCACTGTCATTTGTTAAGTGGCATCCTTAATTACCTGCCAGGCACTAGGGTAAGAACATTACACGTGTTACCTCATCTAAATTCTCATAATAACCCTCCAAGATAGGTACTGTTATCATTTGCAGATGGTGAGACTGAAGCCCAGGGAGACTGTGGCAAAGGCCACACAGCTAATATTTAATGCACATGGTCCTCCTTGAAGCCAATGCCTCACTCTTGCATACAATGTCACTCACTACATAGCCATGAGAGGAGGCGGCTGGGTGTCAGAAAAACTGAGCTGAGTTCATGCTCCCATGAGGAGTTTGCTGTATGGCTTATATCCATTGCCTCAACCTCTTTCTGTCTTAATTCTCATGGATACCTTGAAGGTTATTGAATTCAAGTCAGAAATATCACTTACTATTTAAGAGCAGAAAGATGCTGATGATATATGCTCACAATATATTTTACTTCTGAGGATTACAAGTAATTTTCAGCACCAAATACTGTAATTCAAGGGAGCGGTAAGAACTGTCATGTAATGAAATTATTGTTTCCCAAGGAAATCAGGTTGGATGCTGTTCTATGTCGATTATTGTCTTCTTTTATAGCTGAATTAGGCATGTGGCCATGAATTTTCATTTCTAGCATAACCTAATCGAAAACCAGCTTCTTATTTGTGATGCTACTGAGCAAGTGAAGTTTTTCAATCTATATTTCACGATAGCCTTTAGATGAACAAGCAGAAGTATAATCATGATGTTCTCATTTGCATAAGCATCTTCTTGACAGGTCATCAGATATCTTTATTGTTCTTGGGTACATTTCATGGGCTGCTGAAAGCGTGCATAATGATCTCTAGCAATTCATCTTTTTACCTAGCTTAATGGCCCTTGTTACATATTAGGAGAATGATGGAGTGAAAAGACAAAGTGTCTGGGGCCTGCCTGCCTAAGAATGTGGAGAAAATTACATTGGGGAATAAATTATATTAACTCCTTCTCATCATTCACTTACCTTTTGTAAATTTCATCTCACTATGCTAAACAATCCTGGATGGCCTGGGAAAAAAGTCGTGCACCTTCTCACTAACAGGCTCAGATTCCTTGTTCATCGTTAAGATAATAGAGACCATTATATTATCTCATGAGATTATCTGCATCTAAATTAACAGACTCCTCTGCACTAGTGAACAGGGTGAATGCATTCATTTGGGTTGGGGTTGGGTGGGGTTCTTACCTTTATAACTCTTGTTTTTTTTAAAATGATTTTGGAGATAAAGCAAATAAAAAATCATTATCTTGATAGAGTAGTTTTAAATAAACATTTGATGGAATTATCTTTTTATTGTTTCATTCTTGGCATCCATTCAATAATAATGATGGTGGTAGTGATGGTGATGACTGTTGATTGCCTGGGGGTGCAAGAGCCTTACCTATGGCTGGTCTGTGACAGAGCAGGGACCCCAACCCAGTACTGCATAATTTTCTGTGGATATTGTCATCCCCAATTTCCCCATTAGAAACTGAGACCTAAATTCTAGTCTGAGATTCTTCACTTGATTATGTGCCCCTTAGCATAATCCTAGTTCAGTTTTAATAGTCACTCTGAAGGAAAACTTTTTCACAGGACTAATGACTCCTCTGCTTTCAAAGGGAAGTGCAGTGTGCTATCTCTTACTCTTATTTAAACTTATAGTTAGTTGGACAAGCAGGAGAAAAACTTGGGTAGCCATGTGACTCAATGGAAAGAGTGGAAGAAGGATTGGGGCAGCCCATGTTTGGGTCCTCTTTGCGCAAGTTATATAACTGAGCCTCAGTTCCTTTGTATGTGAAATGGGATAATAACAACTAATTTACATTTTGTTGTGAGAATTAGGTTATGCGTGTACTGTGTTCATAAGGGCTCAATAAGTGGTGGTTATTCTTATTACTATAAGCCAGTTTATTTGAACAATATTCCACTTTCATTTATTTATTTATTTATTTTTTGAGACGGAGTCTCGCTCTGTCGCCCAGGCTGTAGTGCAGTGGTGCAATCTCGGCTTACTGCAAGGTCTGCCTCCCGGGTTCATGCCATTCTCCTGCCTCAGCCTCCCACGTAGCTGGGACTATAGGCGCCCGCCACCACGCCTGGCTAATTTTTTGTATTTTTTTCTTAGTAGAGATGGGGTTTCACCGTGTTAGCCAGGATGGTCTCTATCTTCTGACCTCATGATCCGCCCGCCTCGGCCTCCCAAAGTGCTGAATATTCCACTTTCAAAGAAAAGAAAATCTCTCACCAAATGTCAGAGTATAGCAAATCCAAAAGATAAATCCAAAAGATTTTAGAACAAAAATTAGGGAAAAATATTAAAAGCCATTATTTTTATTTAAATATTTTAAGTAACAATTCTGATTCTAAATTACTACATAAAACATGAAGAAAAATAGAAAAAAATAAATTATCCATGATCCTTCAATCTGTTGTTAAGTAATATAAGTATCTATTTCCTTTCTCTTCTTTCTCTTTCTCTTTTCAATGTTTCATATAAACATATCCACACACATAAAAAACAAAATTTGGGTCATATTTTGTACAAATCGGTATACTGCCACTCCACATTATATTGTAAACATTTCCCTTATCATTAAATAGTCTCCGAAATCTTAAGTTTTATTGGCTGTGGAGGATGCTGGCTGTCGTATATCCTGTAATTTATTTAACCATTCTCTTCTTGTTGGACATTTAGGTCATTTTAAAATTTTCATTATTATAAATAATATTTTAGTGAACATCCTAATGCATAAATATTTATATGAATCTCTGATCACTTTCTTAGAATTATTTCTTAGGTGTCAAAATGTGAATAATTTTTTAAAATTACAGTTTTAAAAAGAAAGGCCATCATAGATGCATAATATATCAGCCACACTGAATTTCTAACCTCTTGGAACACAGTAACTAGTCTGGACTCCTGGTAGCAGAAGTTTTATCTTATTCATTTTCCTACCCTTTTTGTGTTCCAGGATATCTGTCCTATTAAGGTCAACTTGCTTGTGGCATGAATGAATAAATGAATACATATATGCTTTGAACAGGAGTTAATTGAGTCTAGACCTGTTTCAGATAGAAATGTGCTGGAATTAGCTCTTTCTAAGTACCATATATATCTAAGAAACTCTTGAAAACAAATTCATAAGCTTATATAATGACTATAATTCTTATTCCTAAGGATTTTTTTTTTATTTCCTATTTTTGAATATCCCAATATGCTTATCTGGGAGTAGGTTGAATAAATAATTTGAGAGTTCTTTTTCTCCATTATTTTTCCATTTTGCTGGAAGTGGAACATTTGGGGGACATTTCTGTATGTCTTATAGTTTAAGGAGATTATGGTAAAGGAATAAACATCACGTGCTTGCTCTTTTGGAAGGGAATTTAAAGGTCATTAAAGATAACTTCATGCTTGAATGCCCTTACCAAGGGGGTAAGCAGCTTTCAATACCTCCAGTAATAAGAAACTCACTATCTCCTGAAGCCAGTCAATTCATATTTGGACAGTTATTTTGTTAGTGAATTGTGCCAGGACTGAATTCTTCCTAATTTCTGCACCACCCCTTGGCTCACACTTAGCTCCTGTGCCAAGTCCTCTGCCACTTCCTCTTGCCTAGGCCCAGCCAGCTCTCTCTGGCCTCTGGCCCCTGGTCAGCACAAGGCTCCTGTCTGTATAGGAAGGGGGGTTCAATATACAGGAATCTGGGCTTCAAACCCAGGATTATTTGGTCAAAGCCAGGCCTTTTAAGAAATTATTGCTGGAAAATATACATATTTATCATGTTAAACATTGGCAACTTGCAATTCAGCAGCATTAACTATATTCACAATATTGTATAACCGTCACCACTATCTACTCCCAAAATGTTTTCATCATCGCCAACATAAACTTTGTGCTCATTAAATAACTCCCCATTCCTTCTCCTCCCAGACCCTGGTAACCTCTATTTCACTTTCCATCTATGAATTTGCCTGCTCTGTGTACCTCATACCGCTAAATAATACATTATTTGTTCTTCTGTGTCTGAAGCCAAACCCCTTTTTACTACAGCACCCTACCTTCATAGCATCGCTTTCTATCACTAATGCAATTTGTCTACTTAACCTTCTTAAAGTCATTTGAGTACAAGAGCTGTCATACTTTTACAAAGATCTCAAAGACTTGGACTACATGTCATTTGATCCAACAGAAAGCAAGGTAGGAGAAACAATGCATTTCTTTTCTTTTCTTTTCTTTTTGAGATGGAGTTTTGCTCTTGTTGCCCAGGCTGGAGTGCAATGGCGCGGTCTTGGCTCACCACAACCTCTACCTCCTGGGTTCAAGAGATTCTCTTGCCTCAGCCTCCTGAGTAGCTGGGATTATAGGCATGCACCACCACGCCCAGCTAATTTTGTATTTTTAGTAGAGACAAGGTTTCTCCATGTTGGTCAGGCTGGTCTCAAACTCCCGACCTCAGGTGATCCATCCGCCTTGGCCTCCCGAAACAATGCATTTCTTTGTTTTGAACCATGTACTCCTTTTAAGGCAGCTTTTTCTTCCTGTTGTTCCAGATTTCTTTTTATGAAAATATGAAGAGTGGAGAATGTGGCCTTCCACTCCCAATAGCAGGTATTCTAGTTTTTATTCTGCTTTTTAAAAGAAAATATCTCTATTATTTCTCCAATAAATTTGATAGCAACTTTTAGTTTAGAAACAGTTACTATTTATGATCTAATTTTTTATCATGAAATTTCAAGACTTCCCATTACTGTCAACTCCATAATCTTTCCTGGTATTACAGTTAAGCTCCAAGGCGTAAATAAATCTGCATACATTTCCATTCATCCTTCCTCTTTCCTCTTTTTGAGAATCAGATCTACAATTGTCCATTCAACTCTTCCAGCACTCCCACAGGTTAACAATAGTTTAGCATTCTTATTTGTAAATTTTCTCAGCATGCTGGATTGTTGTTATTTTATAGCATCTCAAGGCTCACTTTAAATCTCTTTACTAATCCTCAGCTTCCTTTTTCTGTAACCATATTTAGTCTACTATTTTAAGTCTGAAAATCACTATTCTTGGAAGAGAAGTAATTGCGAAAGTAATAGGGGAGCAGTTCTCCTTTCACTTTGTTATTCCAGCAACATGATGTCATTGGTGCCAAACATCTGGCTTATTTCTCCCTTGTGTTCCTTTTGTGCCTAACATAACCATTAGAATGCTTCTTGTTGTTCTTACAAATTATAGGTCTCAATCTATCTGTCCCTGTTTTTGGAGAGACCCAAAACTCTCTTGCATTTGTTCTTGAGGAGCCCCTCTTTCTTTTTTTTTTTTAATCCCAGCGCTTTGAAATCAGGTCATAATAGAACTATGTAGGAACCTCCATCCTTCCTTCCTTGGTGGAATCACCATCTGTGACTATACAGACAAAATTGTCCATAGTCTGCGGACAGATGGATGCTATTTGACTCTCATTCAGAACGCTCTTCCCACAGAGTCATGATGCTGTTTCTGCTGATTCTTTTGAAATCTGCCTTCTTGAAGTCCATGCTTTCTTGTCATATTTTCAGCGACTCTCTATCTGGCTATCAGAAATGTCAGGGTAAATGTCTTTTGTCTATTGCTGTTGGAATGGAGTGGGACAATTAACCAAAAGACCGTTAAAGTAGCAAATCATTAAAAGATACACATATCTTGAATCTTTTAACTTAAAATATGTTAATGAAACAAATATATTCACTCGCTACTCTTTGACCTAGGGCTAAGGTCTTTTTTTAAAGATTGCTTGCAGTTCCATATTGTCATTTTTGCATCATCTATAATTTTCAGTCTTAATTTCTTTTAAGTTGGGCAAGACCTTGTAAAGAAATCTGATGACAGAATCCATCTAGATCTGTATTTATAGTTGTTTTACCTACATGTAATTTAACAGTAATTATTTTTAGAAACTCTTTATCAAAACTTTCTAAAGCATATTTTACAGAGTGAAAAGCCTTGGATGAGTGGAGGGTGGTTAAGAGGGTTTCTGCCATGTTCTCTCATGACATCATTGATTTCACCCAAGGTTCATTATTTCACTTCACTAGCTGGTATCTCTCCAAGTAGCAGTTCCCCTGGTTACTTCCTCTCTCTGTAAAGAAAAATTCAGTGCAGGCAGTAACTTGCCAGACTTTCTGCTTTTAGTTTAGTCTCCAATCAAACGCAGTAGAAGTTTCCCATCATAACTGTTTCGTGCCTCTGTGCCAGCATTGTATACTAAATTAGGAACATATCTCTCATTTCTTCCATTTGGCCAGATAGTTTGTTAATATCTATTTCATCAATAATATGATTTCTTTTCCTCTTATTTAATTCTTTTTCGAATGCCTCTGTGTCCTCATTACCATCTAGGTGCATGGATTTTCACACAGGTGAGGGGTATTTCTTTACCTCCTTTCCTTACAGATATTTCTCTGGAATACACTAAATCCCAGTAATTATTATGAGATTGTATTTACCACCTTATTCTCAAGTTCCCATGCTCTGGCCTGGGCCTATACAACTAAAAGACCCTTGAGAGTATTACTTTGGGAACATTTTCCAGTTGTTTTCTGTAGGAATCTCATGGCTCCTCTCCCACTATTCTTTTTCCCATGACATTACTGCAGACCTTTATGACAACTGGTTTCATGGTTTTATATAAGCATTGCTTTCTTTACTGTCCTATACTAAGTTTAGAGACTGCTTAATAGTCTCCAAGATGTTCTTGTCCTCATGACATGTACTCCAACCCTACCCAAAGTCCATTCCTGCATTACCTAAAGGCATCAAACAGAAAATATCCTATTCACCACGTACCTCTTCATAGTTAGCTGTTCACTTTCCCAATATTCTCTCTTTTTCAAAGTCCTAACCATTGAGAGGAAGAAGCTACAAGAACGCCACCTGTGTGGCTGGGTCTTCTAGTCTTCAGCTTGTGACTTCTTAGATGCCAATGCTGCTTCTCTGTCTTCTAGCAGTGTGGTCATTCCCATAAAGACCCAAGTACTGAATCATGGACTAGTGGGCTTAGTATGTCTCAGCAGACTATTATAATCTAGAACTAGTCACCAGAAAGATGGACAACAAGCTTGACTGACCATATCTTATCTGCACAGAGCCTTTCACTATCACCAATGAGTGGTGACCATCATCCATCCTCTACCTCCCAGGGCAGCAGTGGGTTTCCTTTCACTAGTGGTACTTGGATATCTTCTGGATATGACTTCTTGATGCTCCATGTACACAAAGACAGCAATCAGCAACGTCCGTAGAGGTAATTGTATAGCTGTTGCTGTACAATGTGTCAGGGACAAATGTAGTGTATGATTTTTCCATATGTCTTTTTGCAAGATCATCCTATCCATCTTACCCTGTTTTTGTGATAAGCTTAAAATCCTGAGCTTTATTTTTTCCCTTTCGGTTGTACTCTTCCATAGTGAACTATATACTGTTATATCACCTCGGTGTCTAGTGCAGTGTGTTAGAAAACTTAGAACTTAATAAAGATTTTTAAGTTAATTCACATAAGCTAAAATTCCACTTATATGAGCAAAGATTTTGGGAGTCATTTTTAAAAATTTTATTTATTTATTATTATTATTATTTGCTTCTCTTTGATAACCTTGGTACTAAGATTTTTGGGGGTCATTTTTGAACAATAATTTGCAGTTGCTGAGTTATTAGTCTATGACTTGCTACATTGCATTCCTTAGCAAGTTGCAAATATTCAAGCAGCAAGATATGTGGTCAACTTCTAAATAATATGGTTGTTGCTGTTTTTTTCCTGTGTCATTCAGCATTAACATTATCCTCTGAACCCCAAATACAACCTCTTTGCTTCTATCAGGAAAATAGAAATTCTTCTCTAAGAAATGGCATTGGTGCATTGGGAGACTAAAGTTGCAGTGATCGGATGCCTATATTAATCCCAAAGAGTCATCATTTGAAAAATTGAATTTAAGTCTGAAATAAAACATCCATAAAATTGAACTGTAGTCTCTTTTCTTTACTTTCTCAGGCTAAACCCCTTGTTTTTCCATTTGTTGGCCAATGAAGGCTTCTCATGGAACTCATTCTGATCAAATTTTGTAACTGAAAATATTAGGCTTGCTAGTTTTAGAAGGGTTCTTCACAGACATCTAAATCGAAGTGTCTTGACTTGAGGTCAGGGAATGGGAAGCAGCAGAATTTTATGTCTACTATGTTTTTCTGGTATCCAAAGCTTTCAGCAGATCATTAAAGGGGCCTATGACCCAAAGCTAATCATTTTTATAGACAAATTATAAGAAGAGATATCACTTTCCAAAACAGCAAAATGCTAAGCTCTCATTCCGCCACTGATGTTCTTCTCTTTGCCTATTACTTTTTCCTCTTCTTGGAAAGAATAATTGAGGATTTTTATGGAACATCCTGATTTTCGAGTCACTTGGAGGTCCCTTTTCTCATATTCGATGTCACAAACCATAGGGCTGGCTGCGTTGTCAGTGCAGAGTTACAAGGTGAGTGTGAGACTGCTCCTACCAGCCATTGCCTCAGAGCTGAGTGTGGCCAGTTAGGTAGGCACATCAGCAGGCAGCGTCCAGGAGGAACCTGATTCTTTTTTTTTTTTTTTTTTTTTTGAGACGGAGTCTCGCTCTGTCGCCCAGGCCGGAGTGCAGTGGGGCAATCTGGGCTCAGTGCAAGCTCCGCCTCCCGGGTTCACGCCATTCTCCTGCCTCAGCCTCCCAAGTAGCTGGGACTACAGGCGCCCGCCATCACGCCCAGCTAATTTTTTTGTATTTTTAGTAGAGACGGGGTTTCACCATGTTAGCCAGGATGGTCTCGATCTCCTGACCTCGTGATCCGCCAGCTTCGGCCTCCCAGAGTGCTGGGATTACAGGCGTGAGCCACCGCGCCCCGCGGCATCTGTCAGTTTCATTTGTGTTCTTCCTACTATGCTAGAGATGTGGTCCAAAGCTGTTTTTGTATTTTATAACCCACAGATTGCATCTCTTTTAAATTGAAAACAACTAAATGGACTAAAAAAGTATAACTTTAATGCACACAGCAAGTGGAAAGATACGGTACTTACCAAGTTCTTTTTCTGATAGTTTATTATTGTGTTTCTTGGCCTGTATAACTTTCATTATGATCTCTATCAGCTCCCTGAGAAATTATTCTTCAGATCAATAATTTGTGTGTATTTGAGTAAATGATAACTCAAAGACTTCAATAAACTTTAAATTGTCTACTTAATTTGTTTTTTTAAAAAACTGTAGGCACAATTATGATACTATGCATTGTCTTAAGGTAGTTTCTGTTATTGGGTTATTAGGTATGGGAAGTTGAGTCAAGATTACTCAGAGAGTCGCAGAATGAGTGGCCGAAAAATTTGTTACAAATTAGGGCAAATATGGTCTCCTCTGTCTGAGCAGCTGATCTGCTACTGAACCCCGGTTGTAGCTGCATCTCTGAGAATACTGCAGCAACATGACCACAGACATCAATCTGTGTTATTACTTAGCATGGGACACAGGGAAACACTTCTGACTGGCATTTAGTAAACAGAGTAAAACAACTATCATTGTAAAATACATGTGTTATGCTTCCCCATCTCACACCCCCAGGTATCTAAATTCAGATCTATGGGATCTTTCCCAGGTTTTTTTTTTTTTTTTTTTGAGACAGGGTCTTGCTTTGTTAAAGCCCAGGCTGGAGTGCAGTGGTGCGATCTTAGCTAACTGCAGCCTTGATCCCCCAGGCTCAAGTGACCTTCCCACCTGAGCCTCCTGAGCAGCTGGGACTACAAGCAGGTGCCACCATGCCTGGCTAGTTTTTGTATTTTTTGTAGAGACAGGGTTTTTCCATGTTGCTCAGGCTGGTCTCAAATTCATGAGCTCAAGCAATCTACCTGCCTCGGCCTCCTAAAGTGCTAGGATTATAGGTGTGAACCACTGCACCCGGCTCTCCCACATTCTTTAAATGAAAGTGTTGACATTTTAGGTGTTTAACTTTCCTAATTTAGGGTGTTCAATTAGGAAAAGAGGAAGTCAAATTGTCCCTGTTTGCAGATGACATGATTGTATATCTAGAAAACCCCTAATTTAGAATAAGACTTAGAGTTGAGAGGGAAAGGATTGCCAAATAGTTTCAATTGCTTTAGTTTACTTTCCTTAATTTCTTCTGTCTTCAAACTCTTCTCCTTTCTTTTTCCTCCTTCTTCCATTTGTCAAAACTGTAAGTGCTTTGGGTACTGTCCTAAGTGATGTTCAGAGTCAATGCAATGTATATCAAATTTTCCCATAATGTGAACTGGAAAATAATTGGAATATAAGAAAGGATAGACTGACGTGTGTCCGGATGCCTTCTCTGTTGTACCTGTTTGCGGCACATTGCCCGCTTAACCCGCTAGGAGATGTAGGAAGTCAACCTGTTCAACACATCTCAAGCAGATCGAATGATGAAATGTTGATGATTTCACCATACCTTTTCCACTAAGAAATGGAATGATCCTCCTCATATTTTTGCAGCGGTTATCTATTTCATCTATTAACTGAGAATGCAGAGTGTGCCTGAGCATTTTTACTCACAGAACTAATGAAAAAAGTTAAAAAATTTTTATGCAAGTGGTTTGCTTGACTTTCTTGCAAAATGCTCATAGGAAGTTAATAGGAATCATATTATTATCAGAAGGTTTTAAGACAACACTAGTTCTCCCCCTAGCCCACTACCAAAATACACTGTGGTATACTAATTTACACAAATTAGGTTACTATATACTTGTTACTATGCTTTCATCACAAAAGTATTTAAAACCAACACATCATAGATTGTTTTCTTTCCTATATTTTAAAGCCACTCAAAGCTGAGTGGTATGGGAGAAGTCTGTGGTATTATACAATTTGAGGAATTCAAAAAGTTCCACATTACTGCCAGGCCTGCTAAAGTAATTTGGAGGAATTTATTTACTATCATGCTTCCTTGCTACCATTTACAATCACTGATTTGTTAAAACTAGATGTTTTGCAGTGGAAGTGGAGATTGTATTTAGCCTCTGAGGTCCAGCCACGGTTCTGCTGGTGCCGGCAATCCAGGGGTTTTGGCTCCTGGGGTCTCTTGTCAACATCATCTCTGGGTAGCCAGTTACCCCCAATGTCCTTTTTCAGGGCACAGGGTGTCTGGCCAGAATCCCCACTTAGCCCAGGACCTGGCCCCTTCACCTATTCCCTCTTATTCTGCATCTGGAGACATTGCCTTCTCACTGGTTTTGTCTCATCCCAGAAACAGTCTAAAGTCTTTCAAATTCAGAATCACCATCTGCTTATTGGATATTTTCTCCTGAAGATATTCTGAGACACTCCCGGAACCAGATATTTGTCACTGAAAATTTTAATTTATTCCATATTTTCCAAATGCCATAATGGAGTGTGGAGATACAAAGATGAATAGGATTTACCCCTACCCACCAGAGGTGTGCAATCTAGTGTGGGACACAGCGCTCTAAGTATGGAATAGTGATAGCAGCTAGCACCTATTGAGCCCTGACCTTGGTAGGTACGGCAGTAAGCCCTTGACATAACTTACTCCTTGTAATCCTAGCCAGTTCTGTAGGTATCAGTATCTCCATTTCCTAAATGAGGAAAGCAAAGCACAGGAAAGTTAGATAACTTGCCCACAGTTTTTCTGGTGACAAGTGGCAAAGCAGAGACTTAAAACCAGGCAATCCAGGGGCTTTAAGTGATTCTTAAATATTAAGTGATAAATGCATTTAAAATGTGTCCGGAATGGGCTTTGTGAATTCCAGAAAGGGAACTAAATTCTGCTTAAAAAGAGAAGGCTTCTCAAAGGGAGTAATGTTTGACTTGAGACCCAGAGAAGGAGAAAGGAAGGAAGCTTGCAGAGGAGCCTTGGTGACAAGAGGCATGCTCTATTGTGGGGACAGTAGGAATAGGGGAGAAGCCTTGGCCTTGTCACTTTCTGCTTTTTGGTTTATGCAGTTGTCTCTGCCTAAGATTTTTTTCTACCTTTGTTTCTGCCTCCAGTTACTCCCCCTGGAAGTGTCACTCTCTTTTAAATTCAGAGAGCCTTGTTTATGGCACTGATGTGGTGCCCAGTGCATTCTGCTTTGTACTAAATATGCTGTATCTCACCTTTGTGTCAGCACCAAACTGTGTTCTTTATAATTCTGCAGCTTCTAGTACATTTGTGCATAGTAGCAACTCAATGCACATTTGTTGAATGTTGAATGAATGCTAGTCAAGGCAAGACAAGCAAAATTCTCAAATAAGTCAAAATAATCCCTAATTATTTCCAGATGGAATGGTAATCAATTTGCTTCAGGAATAAATTAGCCAATGGATGTTTGATAACATAACCGACCCTAAGTAACTCGATTTAGCTGCTGAAGCCAGCTTTTAAAGATGCAGTTTATCCACTGGCCATGGGATATCGGCCATGATTACTGGAGCAAGCCCTAGTAATACAATCTTTATATAATAAATATAATCTTACTAAATGTCAGTGAGAATTATCTTTATATAATAAATACAGTCTTTAAAATTGTATTTATATTTGGCATTTATGCCTCTCAGCACTATGTAATTTCTTATTAGAAGTACACTTTAACTTGAGAATTCCATTAGAATCATTAAATTTTCTGAATAGAAAGCTTAACAGTGTTTAAAAATAAATTTTTAGTGGCTTCATGATGTCAAAACAATCACTTGAAAGCTGAAAAATATGTTAAACCTACTTTTGTATTTATGTCCCAGTTTGCTTTTTTCAATTCACAAAAAAAGATTTGACTTGATTACAAAGAAGAAAACACAGAAAGAGCAAAAAAGAAAAGAAAGATGAAAGGAAGGAAGAAAGGGAGACAAAAAAAGAAACAAAAAGAAAAAAAGAGAAAGACTGATTATCTAGTTGTTTTGTGATTAGGTAGACATAACTCGAGAATCTTGGAGCCATCCTTATCTCTTCCCTCTCCATTACCTGCCACAAACAACCCCCCACTAAATAGTAAATTCTTACTCCAAAATGTCTTTGATATTCCTTCTTTCTTATTCATTTCCATGTCACTGCCTGACTTCAAGCTTTTATGAAGCTTGAAGTTATATATCAAATTGTAACTGATCTCCTAATTCTCATTTTGTGTGTGCATTCCCCAAATCATTCTTGACATATCTGTGCAAATCTCAGCATGTCACTTTCCCAGTAGTAGGTATCCATCAGCTCCCTGTTAATCTCCATGACCAGAGATTCTGTCCACCTCTCCAGCCTCATCTTGTGAGCTTCTTTCCAATCACCTCATCCTTTGCCTCCTTAGCTTTTGCCTCGGCTGGCCTGATAAACCTCTACCTGCCTGCCAAGTTTCAGTTCAAGCCTTAGCTCTCTGTCAAGCTCCCGCAGTCCCTCACCCGGACTCACATGCTCCTTGCACCTGCAGTGGGTCAGCTGCTTTACATATATTGTACTCTTTACTTCTCACGTAGCTGTTTAAGGTGGGTGGTCTTTGTCTCCACTTTGCAGGTGAGAAAAGTGAAGCTCAGAGAGCTTAAGTAATTTGCTGACAGTCACACAGTAAGAAAATCAGTGGCAAACTGAAATACAAAGAACCTGAGCTCACTCCTCAACATGTTGCTCCTTGGCTTTAGCTTTGCCCACACCTGCTTTTATTTTGTTACGACGTTTGTCACATTTACTGTGTTTGCAATTCTCCATTTCTGCTACACTCGTTGAAAGCATCAGCCCCACCTTTCATCTTTATGTCTCCAAAGACCTGCACAGTGTCTGGCTCATGAGAGGTAGTTAAGAAATATTTATTAAGGTGATGAATGAACCAAGCAATATACAAACAATATACATATTCTTTTCTTTGTGGTGGTGTGGAGAAGAAAGGGAGAAGTAATAAGTTCCACTTTCTGGAGTGGAAGGGTTCTAGTGGGACAATAGAAGATTGTATGACCTCCAGAACCATCTTAAGAGTGATTTTAGGATTAGCTACTAAGGGCCAGGCACAATGGCACACACCTATAGTCCCAGCTAGTTAGAGGCTGAGGCAGGAGCATTGCTTGAACCCAGAAGTTAAAGGTTGTAGTACACTGTGATTGCATCTATGAATAGCCACTGCACTCCACCTGGGCAACATAGCAAGAACCTGTCTCTCAAAAAAAAAAAAAAAAAAAAAAAGAATCCAGCTATTAACAGAAGTCAGCAATGAATACCAAGGTCCTCAGTATTACATAATATTTATTGCTTCCTTGGATGAACTTATTAATTTCTTATAAAGAAATGCGCCCGTATAAGGAAGAAAGGAGCATAGGAGGAAAGGGATAGGATGGAGAAGAGTCTTGTAGTGTGACTTCATATAAGTCCCTCAGTTTCTTTACTTGAAAACATCTTTATATTAATCATGGGGATGAGTTTTATTAATGTGGGGTAGTGGGCTGAAGAATGCTCCCCAAAGATGTCAGGTCCTAATCCCTGGAACTTGTAAATGTTACCTTATTTGGAAAAAAGTGTCTTTGAGGATGTGATTAAGTTAAAGAACTTGAGATTAGGGGATTAAATGCAATCACATATATCTTTATAAGAGAAAAGCAGAGGGAGGTTACACACACACACGCACACACACACGCACGCACGCAGTGTGAAGACTGAAGCAATATGGAGTGATGCAGCCACAAGCCCAGGAGTCCCAGTAGCTACCAAAGCTGGAATAGGCAAGGAGTGGAGCCTCTGAAGGGAATGGCCCTGCCAGAGGGCAGGTGGGCCTGCTAACTCCTTGATTTCATCCCAGTGATACTGACTTAGACTTCTAGCCTCCAGGACTGCAGAGGAAGTTTCTGTTCTTTTTAAGCAATGAAGTTTATGGTAATTTCGTATAGCAGTGGCAGAAAACTCACCAGGAGGCAACAATACAGGAACATGAGAAATATGAGGCCTGACAGAGAGCTCCTTTGGATGGCTGTTCCTCCCCACTTCCCTTGGAAAGCTTGCTCCTTCACTCTCCAGGGGATCAAAACCTGGGAGACTGTCTGCTGCTGAAACTACACTCCCGGAATCTGTGAGTTCTCCTGTTGTTCTTTTTCCCTCAGGATCCTCCATTTCCAGCATCTATCATAGTCCAAGCAGAGCACATAAGCACTCTTTTGGAGTACATATGGCTTTCATGGTCTGGTGATGGAATCTGGGAACACAGTTATGTTTGGATGAGGTCAGTTCTGAGTGGCAAGCTCATGTTACTTAATTAGTTTAGCATAAGTGTAAACCTTTCAATAGACGCTTAGTTTCCCCTGTTTTTTTTTTTTTTTCATCTATCACAAAAATAGGTTGGGTTAGATATAGCTGTGGTTCGTCAGCTCTGAAATCCTGCAACTCTCTCACTAGTCTGCATTTGCCTTCACCTGTGAGCCTGTCTCCCGTTTGTCCCAGGGAAACTCTTCTAACATGAAATCCAAGTTGAGCTCTCTCAGCTATGTAGGTTCCTGGAAAAGGATTGGTTTTCATTCTGGATTTTAAGTCAAAACTTAAAAAAAAAAAAACCCTAACTCTTGACTTAGTTGGTGTCCCTAGATTCAGACCTTGAAATTTACCCAACTAGGCTTTCTTTTTCCCAGGTACCTATGTTGTACTCAGAACTGTGAACAAAGCTTGATCAAGCCAGTCTGAATTTTTGCAAATTTTCATCCCCCTTTTATTTTCACATTTAAAAAAATATATATATTTCTATGTATTAAATGTTGCTTGCTTTAGACCTTCCAAGCTCAATCAGATCAACGTTAGATTATTGCCCCTTTCTTTTATTTGCTGGATCTTATTATTTTTAAGACAGGGTCTCACTCTATCACCCTGGCTGGAGGGCAGTGGCACAATCATGGCCCACTGCAGCCTCAACCTCCTGGGCTCAAGTGATCTTCGCACCTTGGCCTTCTGAGTAGCTGGGACTACAGGTGCTTGCCACTGTGCCCAGCTTTTTTATTTTTATTTTTTGTATAGACAGGGTCTCACTGCATTGCCCAGGCTGGTCTCGAACTGCTGGGACTCAAGTGATTCTCCCACCTCAGCCTCCCAAAGTGCTGGGTGAACCACGATTCCCAGCCTCGGATCTTATTTTTTATTTCCCTCTGAAAATCTCTACCTCACAGACAGAAGCTTTGATTGTATGACAGCTGTAGTATGTGACATTTGCTAAAACTTAAAAAAAAAATGTCTGCTATTAAATGATGGTCTAAAAATAAATTTCAAATTGATTTTCCTTTTTTTGAGACAGATTCTTGCTCTGTTACCCAAGCCGGAGTGCAGTGGTGTGACCACGGCTCATTGCAGCCTTGAGCTCCCCGGCTTAAGTGATCCTCCTGTCTCAGCCTCCTGGGTAGCTGGCACTGCAGGTGCATGCCACCATGCCCGGCTAATTTTTATTTATTTATTTATTTATTTTTTGAGATGGAGTCTCTCTGTCTCCCATGCTGGAGTGCAGTGGCATGATCTTGGCTCACTGCAACCGCTGCCTCCCAGATTCAAGCGATTCTCCTGCCTCAGCCTCCTAAGTATCTGGGACTACAGTCATGCGCCACCATGCCCGGCTAACTTGTGTATTTTTAGTAGAGACAGGGTTTTACCATATTGGCCAGGCTGGTCTCAAACTCCTGACCTCGTGATCCACCCGCCTCAGCCTCCCAAAGTGCTGGGATTACAGGCGTGAGCCACTGCTAGTGGCCATTTATTTATTTTTGTAGAGATGGAGTCTTACTGTGTTGTCCAGGCTGGTCTTGAACTCCTGGCCTCAAGTGATCCTCCTACCTTGGCCTCCCAAAGTGCTGCGATTACAGGTGTGAGCCCCTGAGCCAGGTCAATTTCAACTCTTATTTTGGATTCAAGGGGTAGATGTGCAGGTTTGTTACATGGTATATTGCATAATACTGAGATTTGGGGTACAATTGATCCCATCACCCAGAGAGTAAGCATAGTATCCAATAGTTTTTTTAACACTTGCCCTCCTCCCTTCCTTCTCCCTCTAGTAGTTTCCAATGTCTATTGTTGCCATCTTTATGTCCATGAGTACTCAATGTTTACTTCCCACTTATAAGTAAGAATATGTGGTATTTGGTTTTCTGTTCCTGCATTAATTCGCTTAGGATAATGGCTTCTAGCTGCAATTATGTTGCTGCAAAGGACATAATTTTGTTACTTTTTATGGCTGCATAGTATTCCATAGTGTATATGTACCACATTTTATCCAATCCACTGTTGATGGGCACCTAGGTTGATTCCATTCTTTTATTGCCTCTTTCTTGAACCCATGATTTCCCATATGCATTCTGAGATCCCTCACAGCTCTCATCTTCCTCTTCCAACTTCCAGTAAAGGTTCGGTATGTTCCTGCTTCACACAATGTCAGGGAGGTCAGTTGGTTCTCAGACCCCCATCATTGTGAACCAGCATTGGCATTCACCAGAATACTTGGAACACAACTTTCTTATGAAACATTCTTTGAGTAGCTGCTATAAACCAGGCATTTCTATAGCGAGTGTTGAAACTTATGTTAGACTGTATAAGATTCAATTCTTGTTTTAAAATGTCATTGTAATAGAGAAAGTAAGATAACCACACAAATAATAATAAGATGAAGTGGGTGCTGCTGTAATATTGATGGAAATAGCCGCAGATACAAAAGTTGATAAAACTACATTTCATTTCCTAACAAGGCATTTGCCATGGATGTGAACTTATGAACATCAGTTTTCTTACATGCCCAGGGGTCTATGGAGGCCTTATTTGTGTATGAAGATGTGGTGTGGAGTAAATGATATAAATGCATGTGAAAGTGCCCAGCACTATCCCTGATTCATAGTAGGGGATTGGTCAGAGATTCTTAAATACCAGAGAAGGGGTTTAAAAGGAAGAAGAGATCACAGGTGGTTTGGCAGATCCAAAAGGGCTTTGCGGAAAATGTAGCAATTAAGATAGGTCAGACTGGTGGCTCCTCAGGGCAGGGACCTTCTGAATTACTTTTCCTGTCCTTAGTATTTTATAAATAGACTGTAGTGGATATATGTTGAGTGAATGGACCTTAAAGGATGGACAGGATTCTGAAAGGTTGAACTGGACTTTGAGAAAGGGCACTGCAGCAGGGGCATAGCAGGGATGGTAAGGTGTAGGTCATGCTGTCAGAATGGCAGTCTACTTTGGTGGGAGTGTAGGGAAGTAGTAGAAGTAAGAGTGAAATGTAAGTTGGGAATATTCTGTGAGTATTGAAAGTGCTTTCATTGTTAGACTGAGAGCTTGCACTTTATCTAATTACTCTTTAATTTTTGTGTCTCTAGTCAAATTTAGGAGGAGGAGATTTTTGTTATGCTTTCTGCATTATTGAGAGTTTACCATTATAATTGCCATCTGTCGTGTTTCTCTTTTTTGTCAGAAGGGTTGTAGGCAATCTTTGGCTGGGATAAACAGATAGTTTTTCTACTCACTAAAGAAAATAGATGCAGAGAGACTGGCACTAACAAGGAATAGAGAAGGAGATAGTTTTTTCTTTGCTTATGCCTAAATCTTGTCTTTGTTAAATATTATGTTATACATTATTCATAACTTTTAAGCTTTTAAAAAATCAAAATTTAAGTCAAATAAGTCAAATATACAAAAGAAAAGAATATGTGAGCCTATGACTTTCCATGTGTTCTAGACCAGGAGTTCCCAACCGCCAGGCCATGGACCAGTACCGTCTGTGGCCAGTTAGGAACCAGGCCTCATAGCAGGAGGTGAGCAGCAGATGAGCAAGCGAAGCTTCATCTGTATTTACAGCCGCTCCCCATTACTTGCATTACCACCTGAGCTCCACCTCCTGTCAGGTCAGCGGCAGCATTAGATTCTTATAGGAGCACGAACTCTACTGTGAACTGTGCATGCAGGGGATCTAAGTTCATGATCCTTATGAGAATCTAACTAATGTCTGACAATCTATCATTGTCTCCCATCACCCCCAGATGGGACCGTCTAGTTGCAGGAAAACAAGCTCAGGGCTTCCACTAATTGTACATTATGGTGAGTTGCAAAATTACTTCATTATATATTACAATGTAATAATAATAGAAATAAAGTACACAATAAGTGTAATACACTTGAATCATCCCAAAACCATCTGCCACCCCAACCCTGGTCCATGGAAAAATTGTCTTCTATGAAACTTGTTCCTGGTGCCAAGAGGTTGGGGACCACTATTCTAGATCATCTCAAGGAACATTTTTACAGCTTGAACCAGCCTTGTACATAACTCGTTTTATAATTAGATGCTATGTTTCAAATATTAGTAGCCCTGGGAGGGGTAACACTAATATTCAGAAATAGCTGGGCAGTATATGAGATATCTGGAGGAAGGGAGAACATGGAGAGGGTGCTAAAGACAAACTTGACTATAGTATTTGATGTGAACATGACCTCAGTTGAAAGTACACCACTATTTTATGTACCTTTAAGAAAAAAGTGCTGTCAATGATGTTTAATGATTGTGCTGCGCTACACATGAGTTGGTCATACTGGCTTCTTATTGCTTTGACATTTCCTGCCTTTCTTCTGGGATATTTGGCACTTTTGCCTGCCTTCTTGTATGGCTTGGCATAAGATAGACAATTCTTTGCACATGTCTGTGTAGCAAAATGCAACTCAACTTCATTTACCTTTTGTTATAGATCCTGTAAGACAACTGATTGCTGTTTGCAATAAAATACAGAATTGTGGTCATTCTTCCAAAGAAAAATATGTATTCCACTAATATCAAATTTATCCTCCAACTTCATTTCTATGCTTTTCTACTTATACAATAACTTTTTGTTTCAATGTTGAGTTACATGTAAAGACATATAAAATGGAAATGAAATTTAACACTATAAGTAAATCTTAGCTAAAGCGACAATAATATTAATGTGTATGACCAAGATTGTACACGTGCAACTACATCATGATAGCAACTAGTGGAAGCCAGTTATAAGACTGCATTGATTAAAGACATACTCACAATATAGAGAGGTTAAAATGAGGGCTGGGTGCGGTGGCTCACGCCTGTAATCCCAGCACTTTGGGAGGCCGAGGTGGGTGGATCACCTGAGGTCAGGAGTTCGAGACCAGCCTGGCCAACATGGTGAAACCCCGTCTCTACTAAAAATATAAAAACTAGCCGGGTAGGGTAGTGGGTGCCAGTAATCCCAGCTACTTGAGAGGCTGAGGCAGGAGAATTGCTTGAACCCAGAAGATGGAGGTTGCAGTGAGCCGACACAGTGCCACTGCACTCCAGCCTGGGTGACAGAGTGAGACTCAGTCTCAAAAAAAAAAAAAAAAAAAAGAAGAAGAAAAAGTGCACTTAGAAACAATGAAACACGCTCTTTTTAAAATGTGCCTGCAGACTCATCTACCTCATGCTGAAGTATTTTATCTAGCACTTAAGACTAATTGGTTGAACCACATCCCTTTATGGCTCTGGTTTTATGATGTACACTAATGTGTCATAAAACCATAATGTACATTTGGTGACCACAATCATCTTATCAAAGGGCTCTGCTGGAAGTGAGGCTGATGCATGAGCATCCATACCTTAAGCTCTGTTTTCCAAGTTGGTGGTTGTATGATTATATATAGAAGCGTCATGGTCATATTTGCCCTTGCTCCCTTCTACCCACTACGTGTACCAGTTAGGAGTTTATTTAATGGGTGTCGTATGATTTTCTTGTCTGGTTTACCTCTTGATGGTCCACATTTCATAAATCATATCTCCTCATATATACAGGAAAGCATATGTTGAAATCACTGAAATTACATAACTTGCTCCCCTTTGAATCAGTTTCCTTCTTATCACTTTGAACATGCTCATTTCAGGCATCTCTACGCTACGGAGTGTGCCCTACAAATAGAAATGTGGGAAACCTGCCAGGAGAAATTAAACTGTCAGTCTCCTCCTCTTCCAGATGAGGGTTGATAGATACATCTCTCTATGTTGTGGCAGCCTTCAATCTGAATTGAGCAGATTTCAAACATTTCTCTCAGCTGTGTACCTAGAGTTTAATCTCTGAAGACTTATTTCATTGCCGATCATTTGCAAAATGGATAGATTTGAGTCGTACCCTATCCATTTTTCTCCTGTCACTTACTGGTAAAATAAACACTGAGTAGGAAGTTGTGAAAGAGGATAAAGGAAAGCTCGGCAAACTGGATGGTCCTGAAAAGTCTGTAAGAGACACATGGAAGGTAAACAAGCTGGTTGCTTTTGTTCTGCCAGCTGAGGTCATTGGAGCATGAACAGGGAAACTTCAACTTGGAGCTGATGTCCTGATCCTTTGGAAGCTCTTTTGGGATGGAAGGGTTCTCGATTCCTGTTTTTGGTCTTACTCTTGTTACTGTCTAAGAGGGCTGTCTCTGTTCTAATCTGCTAGTTGCAGGCTTACAGTTGGTTAGATGATGAAATGTGATGTTTACAGCATCAAGCACAATGTTCAGTAGAAGTTTTGACAAATCCTCCTGCTAGAACTTCATGATAATTTGATCTATCAGATACATTTTAACAACCCTTTTGACCACACGTTAGTGGAGCTGATGCAATTAGCTAGTTCTTGTTTTATTGTTACATTAAGAAAAAAACCAAAATTTAAATTTAAATATACAACTCATGTGGTGGAGGAAAAAAGACATACTTTCAGAGGGAAAATCTTACAAGTGAGTTTTATGCTTAAAAACTGAATGCCTTAAAATTTATATATCTTCTTTTTTGGAGGTGAAAAAAATCTTCTAGGAAGTTGCTATTTATAAAAAAAAAGTGGCATAGACCTTCCTTTCAAACTTTAGAAAAAACTAGACTTATTAAATCTCACATGGTCAAAGGACAACACCATTTAGAAGCATTTAAAACATTATGATTTTGGGGTACTTGAACATTTGAATAGGAATAAAAGCAATTTTTTTAGATGGCCTGAATTGTTTTTTTAAGATTGGGTTTTTGGTGTGATAAAAATATTTTATTTCATGATTGTGTGGTAGTTGTACAATTATAAATACGTGTCAAACTCATTGAATTTTACTCTTAAACTTGGTGAAATTTTTGTCTGTAAATTATACTTTAATAACACTGACAAGAAAAATAAAGTATTTTGGGATTTAGAAAAGGACTGGCTGGGATTTCAAGGAAGGGAGTTTCTGTGGACACGCAATATGACACTAAAATCATGGATAGGAACAGAAATTATTTTAATCAAAAGCCAAATGTAATGAAACTATTAAGAAAAATGATTTAGTGACTGTATTTTACATGTTTATTATACTTCTCATTACATTGGGGTTATTTCCCCACTTACATTCATTTGTATGTGTGCAGGTAGAGTAGGGTGGGGACAAGGGGATGGGAGAGTGGGTGTGCATCACGTGAAAATGAAGAGGACTTGGGGCAGAGCAAGATGGCCTAATAGAAGCCTCCAGCGATTTTCCTCCCTGCAGGAACACCAAATTGTACAACTATTCACACAGAAAATCACCTTTATAAGAACCAAAAATCAGGTGATCACAGTACCTAGTTTTAACTTCCTATCACTGAAAGAGGCACCAAAGAGGGTGGGAGAGGCAGTCTTGAATTGCCTATACCACCCAGTCTTCCATTCCCTGGCAGTGGTCGCATGGCACAGAGACAGAATCTGTATGCTTGGGGGAGGGAGAGCACAGGAACTTTGCACTGGAACTCAGTGCTGCCCTGTCACAGTGGAAAGCAATGCCAGGAAGAACTCAGCTGGCACCCATGGAGGGAGTATTTAAACAAGCCCTAGCCAGAGGGGAATCACGCATCCCAGTGGTCAGAACCTGAGTGCTGGCAAGCTAAAGTACTTTGGGGTCCTAAATACACTTGAAAGGCAGTCTAGACCACAAAGACTGTAATTCCTAGGCAAGTCCTGGTGCTGTGCTGGCCTTGGAGCCAGTGGAGTTGGGGGACATGTGACCCAGTAACACACCAGCTGGGGTGGCCAAGGGAGTGCTTGCATCACCATTCCCCTAACCCCAGGCTGCACAGCTTGCATCTCCTGGAAAGACTCCTTCCTTCTGCTTCAGGAGAGGGAAGAGTAAAGAGGACTTTGTCTCACACCTTGGATACCAGCTCAGCCACAGTAGAATAGGGGACCAGGCAAAGTCCTGAGGCCCCCATTCCAGCCCCTAGTTCCCAAAGGACATTTCTAAACACACCCTGTGCCAGAAGGGAACTTGCTACCTTGAAGGGAAGGCCCCAGTTCTGGCTGGATTCATCACCTGCTGGCTAAAGAGCCCTTGGGTCTCGAATAAACATCAGCAGTACCCAGGCAGTACTTGCCATGGGCATTGAGTGAGACTCAGAGCTGTGCTGGATTCAGGTGAGACCCAGTACATTCCCAGCTGTGGGGGCCACAGAGAGAGACTCTTCTGCTTGTGGAAAGGAGAGGGAAGAGTGTAAAAGATTTGGTCTTGTGGCTTGGGTGCCAGCTCAGCTGCAGTAGAATAGAGCACCAGGTAGATTCCTAAGGTTTCTGACTCTAGGTCCTGGCTCCAGGATGGCATCTCTAGACCTGCTCAGGGCCTGGGGGGAACTCACCATTCTGAAAATAAGGACACAAGCCAAGCTCATCTTGCTATCTGCTAATTGTAGGGCCCTAAGGCCTTGAGCAAACATAGGTCGTAGGCAGGCAGTGGTTATCACAGGCCTTGGGTGAGTCCTAGTGCTGTGCCTGGCTTCCGGTCTGACCAAGTATAGTCCCAGTGGTGGTGGTCACTGGGTGCTTGTGTCACCCCTTCCCCAGCTCCAGGCAGCTCAACACAGAGAAAGAGACTCCATTTGTTTTGGAGAAAGCAGGGGACGAGAACAAGACTCTGCCTGGTAATCCAGGAAATTTTTCTGGATCTTATCCAAGACCACCAAGGTGGTATCTCTATGAATCTACAAGAGCCACAGCATTACCTAATGCAGATATGGCAGAAGTGACCAAAAACTTAGACTACAACACTTAAGTCCCTTTGAATACCTGGAAAGCCTTCCTAAGAAAGAAGGGTACAAACAAGCCCAGACTGAGAACATGACAATAAATACCTAACTCTTCAATGCCCAGACACTGATGAACATCCACAAGCATCAAGACCATCCAGGAAAACTTGACCTCACCAAAGCTAAGTAAGACACCAGGGACCAATCTTGGAGAGACAGAGATATTTGACCTTTCAGACAGAGAATTAAAAATAGCTGTTTTGAGGAAATTCAACAAAATTCAAGATAACACAGAGGAGGAATTCAGAATCCTATCAGATAAATTTAACAAAGATATTTAAATAAGTAAAAAGAATTAAGCAGAAATTCTGGAGTTGAAAAATGTAATCGACATACTGAAGAATGCATCAAAGTCCCTTAATAACAGAATTGATCAAGCAGGAGAAAGAATTAGCGAACTTGAAGACAGGCTGTTTGAAAATACACAATCAGAGGAGATCAAAGAAAAAAGAATGAAGCATGCCTAGAAGATCTAGAAAATAGCCTCAAAAGGGCAAGTCTGAGTTATTGGCCTTAAAGAGGAGGTAGACAGACAGATAGGGGTAGAAAGTTTATTCAAAGGAATAATAAGGCTTTCCAAACCTCAAGAAATATATAAATATTCAAGTACAAGAAGGTTATAGAACACCTAACTTGGGTTATAGGTTTAACCCAAATAATACTATCTCAAGACATCCAATAATTAAACTCTGATAGTCAAGGATAAAGAAAGGATCCTAAAAGAAGCAAGAGAAAAGAAACAAATAACATACAACAGAGGCTGGGTGTGGTGGCTCATGTCTGTAATCCCAGCACTCTGGGAGGCCAAGGTGGACAGATCACTTGAGGTCAGGAGTTCAAGACCAGCCTGGCCAACATGGTGAAGCCCCGTCTCTACGAAACACACAAAAATTAGCTGGGCTTGGTAGTGCATGCCTGTAACCCCAACTACTCTGGAGTCTGAGACAGGAGAATCACTTGAACCCGGGAGGTGGAGGTTGCAGTGAGCAGAGATTGCACCACTGCACTCCAGCCTGGGCGATAGAGTGAGTCTCGTCTTAAAAACAAAAACAAACAGACAAATAAAAAACATACGATGGAGCTCCAATATGTCTGGCAGCAGACTTCTTAGTGGAAACCTTGTAGGCCAGAAGAAAGTAGCATGACATATTTCAAGTACCGAAGGAAAAAAAAAATACCTTGTATCCTAGAATAGTATATCCAGCAAAAATACCCTTCAAACATGAAAGATAAATAAGAACTTTCTTAGACAAGCTAAAGGATTACATCAATGCCAGACCTGTCCTACCAGAAATGCTAAAGGGAGTCCTTCAATCTGAAAGTAAAGGGCGTTAATGAGCAAGAATAAAGCATTGGGAGGTTCAAAACTCACTAGTTACAGTAAGTACACAGAAAAAGCCAGAATATTATAACACTGTAATTGTGGTGTGTAAACTACTCACGTCTTGAGTAGAAAGACTAAAAGATGGACTGATCAAAAATAATAACTACAAGTTTTCAACACATAGACAATACAATAAGCTATAAATATAACAACAGAAAGTTAAAAAGTGGATTAACAGAAAGTTAAAAAAATGAAGTTAATGTATAGAGTTTTTTTTTGTTTTCTCTTTGCTTATTTGTTTATGCAATCAGTGTTAAGTTGTCATCAGTTTAAAATAATGGGTTATAAGATATTATTTGCAAGCCTCATGGTAGCCTCAAATAAAAAAATCATATAACAAACAAAAAAATAAAAATAAAGAAATTAAAAACACCACTGGAGAAAAATCATCTTCACTAATAAAATGGCAGGAAGGCAGAAAAGAAGGAAGAGAAGACCAAAAAGCAATCAGAAAACTAATAACAAAATAGCAGGAGTAAGCCCTTACTTATCAATAATAACATTGAATGTAAGTGAACTAAACTCTCCAATCAAAAGACATAGAATGGCTGAATGGATAAAACACAAGACCCAATGATTGGTTGCCTATAGGAAATACACTTCACCTATAATGACACACATAGGCTGAAAATAAAGGGATGGAAAAAGATGTTCCATACAAATGAAAACCAAAAAAGAGCAGGAGTAAACTATACCTATATCAGATAAAATAGATTTCAAAATAAAAACTATAAAAAGAGACAAAAGGGGTCATTTTAGAATGATAAAGGGGTCAATTCAGCAAGAGGTTATAACAATTGTAAATATATATGCACCCAACACTAGAGCACCCAGATATTATAATAAGCAGCTAATAACAAGCAAATTAATAATAAAGATTGGAGCAGAAATAAATGAAATGGAAATGAAAAAACAATACAAAAGATCAATGAAACAAAAAGTGGGGTTTTTGAAAAGATAAGTAAAATTGACAAACTTTAGTCAGACTAAGAAAAAAAGACAAGACCCAAATAAAATTAGACCTGAAAATGGAAACATTACAACCAATGCTGCAGAAATTCAAAGGATTATTAGTGGCCACTATGGCTAACTATATGTCAATAAGTTGGAAAACCTAAGAGAAATGGATAATTCCTGGATACCTACAACCTACCAATATTGAATCATGAAGAAATTCAAAACTTGAACAGACCAATAACAAGTAATGAGATCAAAGCTGTAATAAATATATAGCAAAGAAAAGCCCAGGGCCTGATAGCTTCACTGCTGTATTTTACCAAACATTTAAAGAACTAATACCAATCCTACCCAAACTATTCTGAAAAACAAAGGAGAAGCAAATAGTTCCAAATCATTCAATGAGGCCAGTATTACCTGACACCAAAAACAAAGACACATCAAAAAAAGAAAACTACAGGCCAATATTGTTGATGGATGTTGATGCAAAAATCGTCAACAAAATACTAGTAAATTGAATTCAACAAAACATTAAAAAGATCATTTATCGTGATGAAGTGGGATTTATCCCAGGGATGCAAGGATGATTCCATATATGTAAATCAATCAATGTGATACATCATATCAACAGAATTAAGGACAAAAACCATATGATCATTTCAATTGATGCTGAAAAGCATTTGATAAAATTCGACATCCCTTTGTGACAAAAGCCCTCAAAAACTGGGTATAAAAGAGACATACCTCAACACCATAAAAGCCATATATGACAGGTCCACATGAAATCCTTTCCTCTAAGATCTGAAACACAACAAGGACACCCACTTCATAACTGTTACTCAACATAGTACTGGACATCCCAGCTAGAGCAATCAGACAAGAGAAAGAAATAAAAGGCACCTAAACTGGAAAGGAAGACATCAAATTATTCTTGTTTGTAGATGACATGATCTTATCTTTAGAAAAATATGAAGACTCTACCAAAAAAAAAAAAAACTATTAGAACTGATAAACAAATTCAGTAAAGTTGCAGGATACAAAATCAATATACAAAAATCAGTAGCATTTCTATATGCCAGCAGTGAACAATCTGAAAATGAAATCAAGAAAGTAATCCCACTTATAATAGATGCTAATAAAATTAAATACCTAGAAATTAACCAAAAGAAGTGAAAGATCTCTACAATGATAACTATAAAACACTGATGAAAGAAATTGCAGATGGCACACACAAAAAGGAAAGATATTCCATGTTCATGGGTTGGAATTATTAATATTGTTAAAATATCCATACCACCCAACCCAAAGCAATCTACAGATTCAATGCAATCCTTATCAAAATACCAATGACATTCTTCACAGAAATAGAAAAGACAATCCTAAAATTTATATGGAACCACAAAAGACCCAGGATAGCCAAAGCTATCATGAACAAAAAGAACAAAACTGGAGGAATCACATTACCTGACTTCAAATTGTAGTACAGAGCTATAGTAACCAAAACAGCATGGTGTTGGCATAAAACCAAACACATACACCAATGGAACAGAATAGAGAACCCAGAATAAATCTATATATCTACAGTGAACTTATATCCCACAAAGGTAACAAGAGCATACTTTGGAGAAGGGACAGTCTCTTCAGTAAATGGTGCTAGGAAAGCTGGAGGTCCATACGCAGAAGAATGAAACTAGACCCCTACCTCTTGCCATATACAAAAACCAAATCAAAATAGATTAAAGACTTAAATCTAAGATGTCAAAGTATGAAACTACTAAAATAAAACATTAGGGAAACTCTCTAGGACATTGGACGGAGCAAAGGTTTCTTGAGTAATGTCCCATAAGCATGGGCAACAAAAGCAAAAATGGACAAATGGGATCCCATCAAGTTAGAAGGCTTCTGCACAGCAAATGAAACAATCAACAAAGTGAAGAGACAACTGACAGAATGGGAGAAAATATTTGCAAACTATCCATCTGACAGGGGCTGATAACCAGAATGTATAAGAAGCTTAAACAACTCTATAAGAAACAATCTAAGTTAAATCAGGCGTGATTTAACTCACGTCTGTAATCCCAGCAGTTTGGGAGGCCGAAACAGGTGGATCACCTGAGGTCAGGAGTTCGAGACCAGCCAGACCCACATGGTGAAACCCTGTCTCTACTAAAAATACAAAAATCAGCTGGGTGTCATGGCAGGTGCCTGTAATCCCAGCTACTTGGGAGGCTGAGGCAGGAGAATCACTTGAACCTAGGAGGCAGAGGTTGCAGTAAGCTGAGATTGTGCCATTGCACTGCAGCCTGGGTGAAAGAGTGAGACTCCAACTCAAAACAACAAAACAAACAAACAAAAACAAAAAAACAAAACAAAAGGGACAAAAGATCTGAATAGATATTTCTCAAAAGAAGACAACCAAATAGCAGACAGGTACATGAAAAGGTGCCCAAAGTGAGACCTTTGTATGTTCTCACTTGTTTGTGGGAGCTAAAAATTAAAACAATTGAACTCACGGAGGTAGAGAGTAGAACAGTAGTTACCAGAGGCTGGAAAGAGTAGTGGGTGAGGTGAAGGGGGTTGATTAATAGGTAAAAAAATGTAGTTAGATAGAATGAATAAGATCTAGTATTTGATAGTATAACAGGGAGACTACAGTCAACAATAATTTATTGTACATTTAAAAATAACTAAGTATAAATGGATTGTTTGTAACACAAAGAAAGGATAAATGCTTGATGTGATGGCTACCCTATTTATACTGATGTGATTATTACACATTTTATGCCTTATCAAAATATGTCATGTATCCCATAAATACATATACCTACTATGGACCCACAAAAATTAAAAATTAAAAAAAATGAAGGAGATGTGAAAGGTAATTGGTGAGGGTGTAGTTGTGGGGAGAGTAATTCCTTCTACTCTCATCAACTTAATTATGTGCGTGTAATTCACATTTGTATTTCAAAGGACTTGTGTGTTATAATATAATACAAAAAGCATTTGCTTTTATAGAGAAACAGATAAGCCCCAATTGGTATTATTGATATTATTATACAATTACTGCTTCTTTAAAGTTGAGCCTACGTGCTGAAAATAACCAGAGCACAGAATCATAGTTTAGCTAAATTGCCTTATTAGAACCATTTGAATGTTCCTGAAAATAATGGCAGAATTGATGCTAATTTGGAGGTTACTATTGATTGACTGCTCCTCTTGAAATTATTGAATTGATAATGCTGTGCTTTGGCAGCTGATGGCCACCCATTTGCCTTGATTGTTACATACTAACTTAATGATATGTACTAGTTTTAGTTGGGCAAATATTGTGTGCTTTCTAAGCAGCCTATTACTTTGTACTGTTTCTTTGGAGAAAATTTCTTTCTTATCCACTCAAAAATGAAATATGTCTTAAAAGCACAGCCCTTTGTAAAGACGGAAGGAAAAATTTGTATCTATGGGCCTACTACCCAGTGATAATCACTTATCATTTTGGTATATTTTCTTCCAGTCTTTCTTCTCTGCTCAGCTGGTTCTGTTTCTTTTACTTTTTTGTGATCGCTGTCTCTATAAAAGTCTGTATTCACTTTTTTGTTGTTTTCGCTTACCTTAGGATGTCTTTTTATATGTTAGATATGTTTTACAAATTTTTTTTTTGAGACAGAGTTTCACCCTTGTTGCCCAGGCTGGAGTGCAATGGCGCAATCTCGGCTCAGTGCCACCTCCGCCTCCCGGGTTCAAGTGATTCTCCTGCCTCAGTCTCCCAAGTAGTTGGGATTACAGCCATGTGCCACCACGCCCGGCTAATTTTTTTTTTTTTTTTTTTGAGACAGAGCCTTGCTCTGTCACCCAGGCTGGAGTGCAGTGGTGCAATATTGGCTCACTGCAACCTCTGCCTCCCTGATTCAAGCGATTCTCCTGCCTCAGCCTCCTGAGTAGCTGGGACTACAGGCGCCTGCCACCACACCCGGCTAATTTTGTATTTTTAGTAGAGACGGGGTTTCACCATGCTGGTCAGGTCTCGAACTCCTGACCTCAGGTGATCCACCTGCCTTGGCCTTCCAAGGTGCTTGGATTACAGGCGTGAGCCACCGTGCCTGCCTACAAATATATTTTTAATGGTTGCATTCATTTTAAAATATAGAATGCCTTACTTCCCTGAGTTTACCATTTTCTTGTATTTCATTATACATAATTAGATCAGAAAATACATTTCTTTTTGGTAGGAGAAAATTATTGTTTGCTTCGACTTTTATAATTTTAAAGCAGTTGATAGACTACCAAATTTAATAATAATTAAGATATTTAATAAATATTGCATGTTCTTACTCATGTGGAAGCTTAAAAAAGTTCATCTCATAGAAGTGGAGAGTAGAGTAGTGGTTACTAATAGTGGTTAGAAGCTGGGAAGGGTGAAGGGAATAGGGAGAGGTTGGTTAAAGGATGTCAAATTATAACCAGGAAGAATAAATTCTGGTGTTCTATAGCACTGTAGGGTGAGTATAGTTAACAATAATTTGTTATTTATTTTCAAATAGCTAGAAGAGAGGATTTTTTAATGTTCCCAACACAAAGAAATGATAAATGTTTGAGGTGATGAGTATGGTAATTACCCTGATTTGATCATTACACATTGCAAATATCAAAATATCACACTCTGTATCCCATAAATCTGTACAACCATTGTGTCAATTATTATGTCTTATGATCGCTTCAAATAGCCATAAACGTTAATTGGTTGTATTTCATATCTTTCCGATAATTTAGTCATGGGCTCTGAGTTTCTTTCTTAAGATGAGAGCCTTGATTTTCCATTTTTACACGTCTTGTAGGTTTCCTCCTCCTCAATGTCCTCCAGTTGGAGGCTCAAACCCACTTCCTCTTTAAAGTTTGCTGCATTTCCTGTCCATTCATTTCCCTGACTTTGGTGTCAGGTCTTATTTATTTAAAATTATAACAACTATAAGTTTTTTCTTTCTATCCCTGGGTAATGAATTGCAACAAGACTTTTCATCCCCAACACCTCCCCCTCCCCCAGCCCCTGAAAAAAGGAAATTTCTTCTGCTTGAAGGTACTTTTGATTGCCTGTGATTAAAAACAATTTTTTTTTGTTATCTGGAGATTATTAAAGAGCCAATGACTCATAGAAGGCATTGTATATTTACGTATATATTATACTCATTACCTAGGATGTTTACAGAATTTCCCCCTTGGGAGTTAATATGCAGCTGCGTTTTATTCCTCACCTGTTACCATTACCCTAATAGAGACAAGTCCAAAGTACCACGGAAACCCTTCAGGAGAAACAGCAAAACAGATGACAAAGCAGCTCATTTCTTTTCTTCTTAATGGTCTCTTTTTTTAAAATTATTTCCAAAGCAAATTTGAGTGTGTTTTGATTTTCCAGGAAGTAAATAACTTCTGATATTAAGACCGTTTAAACGTGGTTATTTTCCCCTTTGCACTGAATCGGATTAAGCCAACCAAGTATTTTGTGCCATATAAACATGGTCTTAATCTAAATATTCACCTCAAAACTTTCTTTGTAAACATGTAGTTTTGATGCCTTGGCTTCCAGCAGAATGGTAAGCTTCACATGGGATTTGGAGAAAAGGAATCAAACACTCCAGCGCTCCCTTTGGGAACTCCTTCCCTGGAATCCAAGGCTGCTTCAGGCAGGTCACCTTGATTCACCTATAGGTCAGGACAGGCCAGTTTGTACCAGATATTTACATGCTTAAATTACTGATCTTTTTTTGTTTGTTTGTTTTCAATGTGTCTCACACTAAATCACTGCATAGCTAAACATATTACTTTAGGATGAGTCTTTCTGACAACTTAAAATTTATTTGTAGTCTTTCTGGTTCTCTAATGAAGGAATAATAAACTCACAGTATGTAAGAAAAAGAATAGTTTTGGAATGGAGTTTTCTAAAGAATTTTAGAGGTTTTTTTTTACAAGTTTAAATGTTGGTGTAAATGTTCCATTTGTGTGGCAAATTAATTTTCCATGTGCATTCCCTTTATTCCAATGGTGGAGGATGTTGGGAGGGTGGACAGGGAAAATACACTCACTATACAGCTAATATCAATTCTGTGCCTGCTACTGACCACTCTAGGCTCTCAGGAACAAAGATGAGCAATGCACTTTCAATGAGCTGCTATACTGGAGAGAGAGGGCATGTAAATAAATCACTATATTACATTATGGTGTAGACATTGGAGAAATGGGGGTTCAGGTAAAAGACTGGGTAAATATAGAAAAGGGAACAATTAATTCTGACCAAGGCGTTAGGTAAGGAGAATTCAGGAGAAGCTTCAAGGTAGACTTGCAATTTGACTTTGCAGATGAATAGGAATTTATCTGGGTCTATAGGTTCTAGGAAGGGTGAACAGTACAGGCAGTTATAATGTGCTATGCTTAACCACTGTGGGGAACGTGCCATAGCCAGCATATACAACGCTCTGTGGATAGAGGAGAAGCTGGACAGGTGGGTTGGGACCAACTTGAGAAGAGCCTGGAAGAACCCAAGGTGGCTTTTATCAGGGGAAGGACCTGATCAGTTATGTGTTTTCTAATGTTACCTTTGCCGTGATGTGAAGAGTGGGTTTGAAAGGGGAGCAGTTAGAGGCAAAGTTAGGAGCTCATTGCAGTCATTATTTTTGTAAGAGACGAGGGCCTGAACCAGTCGTTGGTGGCAAGATTGCTTTTGAGAGAGATCCCCAAAGCCCAAAGGGCAGGGTTTGCTGACTGTGGCACCTAGAGGAGGAGATCCAAAAGGATGATTCTGAGGTTTCTACTGCAGGCACCCAGGTGATGGTGAATCTGTTAACCGAGACAGGGGAGCAAATTCGAAGTGCCTGTCAGGACTTTCACAAGGAGTTATTCAGCAGGAGACATTTGGAAATATGCGGCAGGGATCCAGGAGAGGTTGGGACAGCAAACACACATGTAGGAGTCATTGGGTTGTACAGGCAGTTCAGTGGGGTTGCGTTTTTAAGGGAAAGAGTGACTGATTAAGAAGTGGATAGAGGTGATGAATCTGAGAACAATGGATTCAGGGTATTGTTTCAAGAGGTTTGATGGTTAAGGGTAAAAAAGAGGGCAGTTGCCTGAGAGGTAGATGAGTAATTTTCTTTTCTGGGACTTGAATGCATGTGTGGGTGAAAACTAGTGGTGAGGAAGACAATGGCAATCCGAGAAAAAGGAGATAATTAATGTAGTGAGTTTGGACGAAAAATATTGGGGGGGTCTTCCTTTTGAGGTGGACAGGAGGAGGAAAGTATAGTAGATGATGAGATGAACTTAGAGGTGGATAGAAGAGAAATGAAACTTATTATATCTCCATTTGCTTAAAAGAGGAAGTCTGAGTAAAGGGAGGGTGGAGAAGGGAGTTTAAGGATACTTTTGAAGATGTGAGAGCTGCTTTGAAAAGTGGAAGAGACCGGCCGGGCAGGGTGGCTCACGCCTGTAATCCCAGCACTTTGGGAGGCCGAGGCGGGCGGATCACGAGGTCAGATCAAGACCTTCCTGGCTAACATGGTGAAACCCCGTCTCTACTAAAAAAAAAAAAAAAAAAAAAAAAATTAGCCGGGCGTGGTGGCGGGTGTCTGTAGTCCCAGCTACTCGGGAGGCTGAGGCAGAATGGCATGAACCCGGGAGGTGGAGCTTGCAATGAGCTGAGATCGCGCCACTGCACTCCAGCCTGGGCGACAGAGTGAGACTTCATCTCAAAGAAAAAAAAAAAAAAAAGTGGAAGAGATAGTCATGGGGATAAGAAAAAGTTTGCTGAACAGCAATGAGTCCAGCCCAGGCTGGGGCTCATTTGTCTGCAGCGGAGCCAAGCGCACAGCATAGCAGTGTTTTCTGTACTGCTGGGAAGCCTGCAATAAGCAGCCGGGAAAATGGGCAGGTGGGTTGATCCGTGGCTAGATATTGGCTGGGCAGATTTTGAAGAAAGATTTTCTTAGGGATAGGAAAATCAAAGATATTCTTGACTGGTGTTAGTGAATCAACTATGAGTCCTGGAGATCAAGGATAAGTAGTGAAGGAAGTAAAACTTGGAGGGGTTCTAGGGTTAGGGAAATCGGGAGGGGCAAGAGCTTGGAAGGCTGAAGGAGATGAATAGTAGAATAAGCAGGTTTAAACGAGAAAAGAAAAAGGAAATAATGTTATGGATCAGGCATAGTATTTTCATACATATCTAGTTTATCAATTCATAAGTCATTCCTTCAATAACAAAAATATTTATTTTTGTCTTATTATAAATATAAAATATCTTTATTTTGTTATATTAAATGGAACAAACACTTTTCAGTCTTATCCTGGAAATTGAATATTTTACTTAAAAAAAACCCCTCATTTTAAAACTTTGGCCAAGTTGTATATGGTTTATTTGGAGACACACACACACATAATTATTCAAGGGGAATAAAGGGAAGTTAATGAATTGGATTTTTTTTGCTCATAGCTAATTTATTCCCCATCTACTGTGGTAGTAAAATAAAAATTAAATATTTACAGTTAGCCTATCATTGTCATGTACCTGTTACAATTAAATAAAGTGAAAATTTAAAATGTAAGCTGAAGTTAAGTTTCCAACCTAAGTTTCTTTTAGCATTACATGTAAATAATGTATTTACCTATTACAACTTTCTTTTTCCCCTCATTACCATTTTTTCGTTCCCCTACATCGATATCTCTGTTACAAAGCAATGGTATCTATTTATACTATGCAGATCAGCTTCAATGATGTGAAGAGCTCACAGAAATAATAATAGACACATTTATTTGCATATTATGTTTCTGCTTCTGCAAGTAATATTCTTTCTTATAATGCTTGTATCTTTTATTTGGAGAACTTCAAGTGATCTGGAAGAATCCCATTGTATTCCATAAAGGAGAGTAGATGAGCAGATGGCTTCCACATCTGCAAAATGGGAATGTTCGTGGACTTCTGAAACTATATTGAAATTTCAGAATTCTCTGTGGCAGTTATATAATATGCTCCTTGAAACAACAGCATATTCAGGAATGGACTAGAATCCAGGCCTTTTGCCAACAAGCCATTCTTTAATCCTACTGAGGTCATTATTTTCTCTATTTCCTAAAGTCAACAACCTGACATTAAGGAAGCCTTTGCTATGCAGGTTTCTTTCAACCTATGTCTCTCTGTCTCTGTCTCTTTCTCTTTCCCTTTTATATCTGTTATTCAAATTACATTTATGTGTAGTTACACATTAGTTGTTCTCTCTTACCTCCATTCTAAGTTCCTTCACTAGATTTCAAAAATCGCTTACCACATCAAATACAGCCGAGGCCATCCATCCTTCAAGCTACCCATCATCAGAGCCATACCTTATATATTATTCTATTCCTCTCCATCACAACAAAACAAAGGAAAACTGATCAAGTGCCCTCAGCATTCTGGAATACAATCTCCCCCATCACCCCAGAAGTACTAAACCATCTTACTATTCTTTAGAGGGCTTTGAAGTTGGTACTTTGATACCAGTGAGCACGTATGTTGGTGCAACTAACTTCTCCAGAACAAGAGCCTTCTCCCTCTGCGATTGTACAGATCCAGGCATCTTGCTAATGCTTACAAATGTCAGATTTATTCTTCATTACAATGCTATTGAATATAACAAACTGGCCTCATCGTAAGAATCTCCTGGAGGAAGATATTGAAAACACAGTTTCTCTGACTTCCCTCATATAGATTCTGATTGAGTAGGTCTGAGGTAGGGAATGGAATTTTCTACTTTTTATCAGGCAACTCAGGAGAATCTTATGACCAGTAAGACAAAGGAAACACTGAGATTGGTGATTTTTATCCCTATTTTAAGATGAAGACATGAAAGGTTTTCTAGAGACATACTGCTCAATATGGTAACCATTAGCCACACGTGGCTATTAAAATGAAAGTTAATGGGCTGGGCACAGTGGCTCACGCCTGTAATCCCAGCACTTGGGGAGGCCAAGGCAGGCGGATCACGAGATCAGGAGATCAAGACCATCCTGGCTAACATGGTGAAAACCCGTCTCTACTAAAAGTACAAAAAATTAGCTGGGCATGGTGGCGGGTGCCTGTAGTCCCAACTACTCAGGAGGCTGAGGCAGGAGAATCATTTGAACCCAGGAGGCAGAGGTTGCAGTGAGCTGCGAGATCACGCCACTGTACTCCAGCCTGGGTGACAGAGCGAGATTCTGTCTCAAAAAAAAAAAAAAAAAGAAAGTTAACTAAACCATTAATTTTGTAAAAGTATGTGAGATGAGAGATATGTTAATCTTCTTCACTACAGTAACCATGTTACTACCCATATGTATCCCATAGCATCATGTTGTAATCCTCAATTATACATAAGAAAATTTATCTTAAAAACTAAAGAGAAAAGAAAAACAGGTATTAAGTTTTTCAGTCACACTAGCCACATTTCAAGTGTTCAGTAGCCCCATGTTACCAGTGACTGTTGTACCGCACAGAACAGATACAGAACCTCTCTGTCATCCCCAAAATTTCTATTAGACAACACTTCTAGTAGACACCACATTTGTTAGCATGTGATGTTTTTGCTTCTGCGAGTAATAACCTTTCTTGGAATGTTTATCTTTTATTTGGAGAGCTTCATGTACTCTGAAGGAATCCCGTTATATTCCCTCAAGGAAAGCAGATGAGCAGATGGCTTCCACATCTGCAAAATGTTTTCTAGAGAAAAAGTGACTTGCCCAAAGTCATATAATTAATACGTAGTGGAACCAACTTAATGAGGATTTAGACCTGCACCTTTCTGAAGTAGAATCTTGTGCCACTGTAAGTCCAGCTTTGTTCAGTGGAGACTGAGTCAGCTTGAGGGAAAGGATTGAAAGTTTGCTCTGTGCTGAGATTGAACAAGCTCTCCTCAGATATTTCTGAAAGCCTAGATGTCTATGTCTTCCTTTTTGGGTAGTAGGACTGAAACAGAATGGGCCTCTGAGAATGGCTTAGTATAAACCATTAATGGTACCATATTTGGGGGAATGCAGACAGATGACAGCCATTAATCTGACTGCACAATAAGCCAGATTTGCATCCATGGCTGCAATCCACTTCTTACCTACATCCAATCAACAGGAAGTTCACCTGGTTCAAGAGAGCATCTACTTTTAAAATGTTTCCTTTTCGCAGTGTGGAAATAACAGTTGCTCTTATGTCTAGGCAGTCCTTCAGGTACTCACAGTGTTTCAAATTTAAATCAGTGGTTTGGATTCTGGAGTACTTTTATCTTGCATAACAAATATTATTGAATGTTGGTTTGGTTTTCACCTATAAAAATCTGCAATGTACATAAAAGAAATAATACACCTGAATTATAATACAGAACTATAAGTACAATATCAATTATATGTAACTGCCATTTACAACTTGTCTTTTATGAGACTATACAATAAACATTCCAACTGTATGCTGGGAATAATTCTTCCCATTCTGTTAACCCATAATAGTTTCAATGGAGTGCATGAGCTCAGGTACGTGAGCTGATATGTCTTGGGCTCTTACTAACTTTCTACACCTATATAAATGATGCATCTCTCATTGGCAAAGACACAAAAGTTTGAGAACATGCTGGTGAGCCTGTGTGTAAATGATGATCTCCTATGATAATGGTGGCAGTGCAAACGGTATAATTCCTATGGAGGTCAATGTGTCCATTTTTATAAAAATTACAAATGCATTTCCTCTTTGACTTAGCATTTTCATGTCTACAAATTTTTCCTATATATATATATACCTGCATGGTATGAAAGGCATATATATATAATATATATATATATATACCTGCATGATATGCAAGGCATATATAAAACAATTCATTGCAATATTGTGCATACTAGACAAAGGAAACTGCCCAAGTATCCATCGATAGGGGACTGATTAAACCAGTGGTTCTAAACTTCAGTGTGGATCATAATCACTTGGAGGGCTTGCTGAAACACAGATTGCTGGATTGTACCTCCAGAATTTCTGATTCAGTAGGCCTGGGGCCAATGGGCAAGCAGAGCTAAAATCCAGCCCATGTTGCATTCTACATTCATGTGGGGCTGGCTGCATCTGCCCTGAAGAAGGGGCACCTTTCCATAGTTTGCACGTAAATGCTATACAGCTAGCAGTAGTCTGAGACTCTATGAAAAAGCTGTCAGTCTCATAAAAATCATAAATGTATTGTTATTCTGATAAAAATGCCAGCATTGTTTTTCCATAGGACTTGACATAATTCACCCTAAATTTATAAACAATTCCTACATGTCAGTAAGAAGACAAATGGGGAGAGGATATGGAGTCACAGGATAAGAAACCGCAATGGCCAGTAAATATATGAAAGGTTGCTCAGCCTCACTAGTAAGTGCAAATGAAGGCACCATTTTTCACCTGTTGAAACAGGCAAAAATGTGGAAGTGGGACAGTACCGAGAATTCCTGAGGATGTGGGAGGAGGTAACTCTTATACCCTGCTAGTGGGATGTGAATTGCGCAGCCACTTTGGAGGGCAGTTTGGCTATATGAAGTGCAGGTGAAGATGCTCACCCTTTGACCTAATATTCTTAACACACGCAGTAGAGAAACTTGTATATATGCACCAGGAGATTCGTGCACCAATGTTCACATCAGCATTGATTGTATGAGCAAAAAGAGAGGAAATATGTGAGAGGTCCATCAACAAGGAAATAAATTGTACTATATGTTAGAATTATAAATAACAGTTAAAATAAGTAAACTAGAATTAAATATACCATGTACATGTGTGTATATATATTTACATACATATATGAGCTATATATCATAATGTGAGTGAAAAAAACAAGCTGCAGAATGATAGGTAGAATTAAGCTTGAACACATGGATAATAATATTATGTATGGATACATACATACGTTGTAAGAGTCTAAAATGATTGACAGGTGTAAACACCAGTTTTAGCGTAGTGGTGCCTGGTGATGTTGTGGGGCAGGGTAGAGGGGGTTGCAAATGTAGCTGTAGTATTTTGTTTAAAATTTTTTTGAGGCAAATGTGGCATAGTATCACCATTTTATTTAGCTGGGTAGTAGGTATATATATTATTCACTTTATTATTCTGTCTGAACTGTTTCATAACTAAAGAAAACATGCACGTACACCAAACTGTTGTTATAGTAGTCTATAACTCAATGTATCTCATCTCTTGGCTCATATAAAGTTGGATACAGAGCAGGGTCCAGAGAAGCTTTGTTAAAGACTTTTTAAATACCATGCAGATGATGGGACTGGTTCATAGCAGTACTTTTTAACCTTGATTTTGTGCAAAACAGATTCTTAATCAGTAGATAAGAAAATCTACCTAATTAGTGCATTTTCCCAGGGAGCCTTATGGTATTAGCCAGCAAAGACTGCAGCTTTAATTGAGACAGTGATGCAACTTAATTGGAACACCTGAATGCGATTAAGGGAGGGGGTACTCATATAAGGTCAGCTGGTTTCCCTGGTGCCCAGAGCTCTGCTGGGTCTATACCTTTTTGCTGACAACCTCTGCCAACTGGGATGAAGCTGAGCCAAATGCTTTTACTGTCTTTCTTAGATCACTTAATGAAATGTTTTAAATACAGATTCCATGTATTTCAGTGTGTATTGTGAAACACATTGGCATGCTGATTCTACTGGTAAACTTTAGAACTTATTACATAGAAGCACTAGATATTTGCATTGCTTTTAATTGTTATTGATGCAGGAGTTTAATATATATTAAGTGAAATAAATTGATAATTGTGTTGAGACTCAATAATGTATTTTAGTTGATTACATCTTTATTTGGGTTCTCCAGAGAAACATAACTAATGGGATATATATATATGTGTGTGTGTGTGTGTGTGTGTGTGTGTATTTGTTATAAAGAATTGGCCCACACAATTATGGAGACTGACAAGTCCAAGGTCTGCAGCTGGTAAGCTGGAGGCCCAGGAAAGCTGATGATGCAGTTCTAGTCTGAAAGCTAGCAGGCTGGAGACCCAGGAAGAACCCATGCTCCAGTGCATGTCCAAAGCCTGGAAAAGACCAATGTCCAAACTCAAGGGATTCAGGCAGGAGAAAATTTCGTCTTACTCAGGCTTTTTGTTCTACTCAGGCCTTCAACTAATTGGATGAGGGCCACCCACATTGCCCAATCGGCTTTACTCAGTCCACCCGTTCAAAAGTTAATCTCTTCCTGAAACACCCTCACCAACACACTCAGCATAATGTCTTGGCATCCCATGGCTCAAACTGACACATAAAATTAATCATCAAAACATCTTTTTGCCTAAATTTAAGATCATTTCACAAGGCTTCTGGACAATGTAGTTTTTATTACCAAAGAGTACTTATATTCCTTTATTAATTTAAAAAAGTGCTTGAATTCCTCCATAAAAATTAATGTAGTACTAACAGAGAAGAAAACTCTTTAAAAATTGACACTAATCTTTAAAAAAGTTTTTTTTGTAAATATTCTATTACTAACTAGTTTTGTGACCTTGGATCAATTAATTTCTTGATCTGAAAATAGGAGAGCATTGGAAAGGACGATTGTGATCCCATCCAGCTCTAGAGGTCTGTAATCTTTGATGTTTTCATCAGTATATGGATGTTGGAATGTGACTGGCATTGGTATGTCTATGCTACCTGCTACCATCCAAATGAACTCAAGTTGCTTTCTTAGGTGGATTGTGGAATGTAGTGGAATGTAGTCTCAGTTATTTACAGTTCTACTTCATACTTAATCTCCTTGGTGCGTATAATGACTAGTTAGAAGTAAGTGAATTTCACCTATGAGGCCTAGACTCCAAGCAGAGCTGATGTCATGAGATTCCAGCACATTTATTAAGTGCTAGGTGAACTCACCTTATGGAAGAGCAATTTCCATAGGAAAAAGGAGTGATTTTAAAGAATGTACTATCTACATAGTCAATACTATTGGATTTTCAGGTGGAGTTTTTGGCCTCTATTTTTAGAGCATCATGTACCATAGCTTTGGGGGTAATTTTTCACTAACATACATTACTTAGGAATGTTTAAATTTAGTGATTAACTGATCCAGTGACTGGCAATCATTAGATTGCCAAATAAATAAAATTTGGCTCTGTGATGAGCTATATTTTCAACTGTTCTAGGTCAGATTTTATTATTGGAGATGTTTGAGTTATTATCAGAAAAACTGTATCCAGAGACATAGTGCTTGACCAAATCATGTGGACAGTGGGTCAAAACCATTTTGGCATTTCACAAAATCTTGTGAGGATAAGTTAGAACATGCTAAAGTAATTTTCACTAGTGAGTATTCTATCAACCTTGTGAATAATTTCAGAAAATATTAGCTGGCTACAGAAATGTTGAACGGTTTATAGACTTTTTTTCCTGGACCCTCCCAAGCCTAGCAATACTACCTTCCATTTTCTAGCCAAGTTCATTCCTTACTGTTACACATATCCCCAGACTAACAGAATGCAAGCATATCTGGGCCCCAAACACAGTTATCTAGAAATGCGTTTTTTTACATTAATGGCATAGATTCTTGAGAAAGAAAAAATGTAAAATATAAAGCAAGCATTTCAAACAAATGTATGTCTGTGTGGAGAGAAGAAAAATGAAATAAGAAAAAGAAAAAAACATAGGAAAATAAGAGAGAAACCTAGAGGAGACACCATAGAACCTGATGTGTTGGAAGGGAAATCACTGAAATTCCTGGGCTTGTGGCCTGGCTTATTTTAAGTCTGGCCTGATTTCTTTTAATGTGCATGTTGTGTTCATTTGCATGGTTGCAATCTTTAAGCAAAGAATATTTTCAGGATTTTGGAATAATCTGAGAGCCCCTGATAAAATGAGTGCAGAAAAAATTTAATGACTGTGATTAGTCACAAAAAGAGCAAAGGGAATCTCATTATTTCAGTTTCTGAATTTCAGTTAGATGTTTTCCTTAAAACCAAGAAAGGTTGTCTAATGGGCAAAAACATTGTTATTCTTCATGGATTCATAGTTCCTGTGATGCTCTCTGAAAAAGCAGCTATATCAGATTAATTTTCTTTTTCACACTCTTCCCTCTCATTTTTGTAAAGAAAAAGACAGCCAATCTGTAGCTTCCTTGGGGGGCATTAGACAGCTTAGAAAAGTGGCAAAATAAACAAGATTTATTCTCATCAGATGTATCATGAGAAAATTGGAGGCGTGCTGTGAGGTAATGACAAAATAATCTTGAAAATTTCCAAGCACTTCTTCCAAGTGGAATGGAAGGAAATTTAAAGTCAGCTTTCATCTATTTATAGCTGAAACAAGATGTGTGCATAAATGTATGGGCATATATATTTTTTCTAACAATACTATTGGTTTCCTCTCCTAAAAAAGAGGAAACCAAACTTAAGGTCTTAGAGTTCTAGAAAGGTGTCCTCTGGAAAAGTTGACCACAGCGGGATTTTAGTTTCTCTATGGAATAAGGTAGTGGGAATAGTAACATGAAATGGTAGTGTGTTTTTTCCTCTCTGTCCATCTTCTCCCATTTCTCTTACTTATATTAACCTTTGAAGGTATTGTTCCAGAAAATGCACAGTGCCAATGGGACCTTAATTTATTTCAGTGGTCATTTGCAGAAAACAATATTTTTGCCTCTGCTTACCCATTGGAGCTGATATATACTCTTTTATGTAGCATCTGTAAGTACATGAGGATTCATTGAATGCCTTTGATGGGCTAAGCTTTGTGGCCATATTAGAGATACTGGGCTTGCTTTTAGAACAGGACTTGGGAAGAACTTAGGGTCTCTCACACTTCGCTGCAGGTTTTGCTCACAGAATTTGGGACCTCTATGAGGGTAAGTGTTGGAAAGCAGGAAACGATGCTTTATTGTTTGTTCTTAAGCATGCCTTCTTTCCATCCAGTTGCTGGCTGAGCCCTACGAGGGTCCTGGCTTGGCTTTGATATATTTCATATAAGCTCTTGGGAGAATAAGTGTTTGTTTGTTTCTCTTTGTGGATGAATATCCAAAGTAAATCACAGAGAACTTAAGTTGGTTTTTATGTCTCTTATTTTTAACTCAAGGTGGGATTTCTACAGGGTAGGCTGCAGAATCAAGGCTATCCGTGAATCATTTTGCCTTTTCCTAGGAGAGACTGTTCAAAAACCTGACTCTCAGGCACCAATAATAAATGTGCTTTAAAAACACACATACACTCCCTTCAGTTCAATTATGGAGAATCCAATTTATCCCCGTTCTCTAAGGCATTTACCAGAAGAAAAAGAGAGTCCTTGGGCATTATTCTGTGTAATTAGATTTTTACACCTCTGTATTGTGAATTGGGATTTCCAATTTCTCCACCCTAAGGTGTAAAGTGATGGTGCTTAGCAACCTAAGACCATAGCTGATGTTATAATTCATCAGGACTTTTAGACTGTTATAATTTGAGAAACTCTGGTGAAAATAAACAATAGTGGATATTGTAATTTCTTTTATAAATATTAAATCTATTTTATTTTTTAGAACCATTTGTCTTATTTCTCAAAATTAATCTTCACCTGAAACCTCAACAGTTTTTAAGAAACTGTGCCAATGGCCTGATTAATCTTCTCATATGTGGATTTTCCTCAGTTGCCAGGAAATAACCACCTGGTTAAAATAAACTTATTTTTATTTATTTCTGTATGTTTCACCTTCATAGTAACAGTAAAAATGCAATATCTGAAAGTCGTGATTTTTTTTTTTGCAATTTTATAGGAAAAACCAAAGCTAAAATGTGGATATAAAACATAACAGTCTCAACTATTTTTAAAAAGAATTGAAAAAAGATTAGCAGAAAATGTATAAAAAACAGTGTTTGGATTTTTGTATCTTTTTGCACTTAATCAGTACATTTTTGTGCTTTTCTAAAAGTAATTGAAATAGGAAGCTACATATTTCAGAGAAGATTATAGAATGTATCATAGTTGTGATGACACAGAATGTTGGGGGAACGAGGCATAATCTGCTATAAATAGTATCTTCCAAGAAAGACTGCTGATAAACAGTAGATTTGAGTTGATCTGCTTCAGGACTGGGAACTGGTTTTAGAAGAACCTTCTAGAATGAGAAAATATACAGATTTGTCAGGCTCTTCAGACTTCATAAAAGTTTTACCCAGAGCCTTGTATTTGCTGTGGTTTCAGACTGGTTAAGGAAAACAGATAAGCCAAGAAAGGATTTTGTTTGTAAATTATTTCCCACAAATAATTTCATGGACAAAACTCATTTAAAAGCTTGAAAAGAATTAACTTGTAAGAGTCTGATTTATTATTATTATTATTATTTTCTTTTTTGAGATGGAGTTTCACTCTTGTTACCCAGGCTACAGTGCAGTGGCACAATCTCAGCTCACCGCAACCTCCGCCTCCCTGATTCAAGCTATTCTCCTTCCTCAGCCTCCCGAGTAGCTGGGATTACAGGCATGCGCCACCACGCCTGGCTAATTTTGTATTTTTAGTAGGGACGGGGTTTCTCCATGTTAGTCAGGCTGGTCTAGAACTTCTGACCTCAGGTGATCCACCCGCCTCGGCCTCCCAAAGTGCTAGGATTACAGGTGTGAGCCACCGCGCCCAGCCAAGAGTCTGATATTTTATAAACAGATATGAATTGAATTTCAAATGTGTGTGTGTGTGTGCATGTGTGTGTGTGTGTGTGTTCATTTATTTTGAGACAGGATCTTGCTCTGTCAGCCAGGATGGAGTGCAGTGGTGTGATCACAGCTCACTGCAGCCTCGAATTCCTGGGCTCAAGCAATACTCTGCCTCACCCTCACCCCACCCCCACCACTGCTGAGTAGCTGCAACTACAGGTGTGCATCACCACACTTGGCTAATTTTTTAATTTTTTTTTGTAGAGTCAAGGTCTCTCTATGTTGTCCAGGCTAGTTTCAAACTCCTGCACTCAGGTGATCCTCCCATCTCGGCCTCCCCAAGTGCTGGGATTACAGGCATGAGCCACCATGCCTGGCCAAGAGTGTATATTTTTGGTAATTAATATTCAAGCTGAAAACTGTACCTTTCTCCTTTCCTGGGGCATTGGCATGGGTTTTGTTGATAGAATGCATTGTAATTTGGTTTACTCTTGAATATTTACTCAGCCATTCTTTCATTCATTCAACAAATATTTGCTGAGTATATAAACACAATATACCCTTGGAGGAGAGATAAGCTATATTTGAACAGCTGCAGTAGAAGTGGTACACAATCTTGGGAGAATGCCAAAGAAGGTGTGATTGCTTCCAGCTGGGGAGATCCAAAGAGGTTTCTACTCGGGTTGGGACTGTCATGTGGGCTTGAAGGGTCTGAAAGTGGCTAGCAGGGGACTTAGGGGGAGAAAGGAGGAGAGAAGGCACATGTATGCACAGGGGCAAGAAGGCTTAAGTTGAGTGAAAGAAGTGGGAAATAAAGACAGTTGAGGTGAGATCCCAGGCCCGTGGTACTAGGACGAGGGGTTACTACCCTAGGCAATAGGGAAACATTGAAGATTTTTTTTTTCTTACAAAGATAGTGATATGATCTTGCAGCAGCATGTTAAATGAAAGCTGCCAGTCCAGGACAAGTCAGAAGGTTGTGCCCCTATGACTAATGAGGTGTGACCCTTATGACTTTCAAAAGAGTGTCTTAGTAACATCAGTGCCAAGATTTGGTTCTGAAATACAGTTCCCACCTCTAACATCTGGGCCTTTTTGTAACTCATGCTACCTTTGAGTGGGACCAAGGTGGTCAGCTTTGATTTAGCCTCTCCTGTTCTGCCCCATCAGCCCTGGACTCCGGCCACTTCTCAGAACCAGCCTCTGCCACACACACCAAGCTTTGGCTCATTCCCCATAATCCTCCAGGATCAGCCCTGGCACTCCCCCTCCCACTCTGGTTTTCACTTTTTTGTTCCTGTTTAAGAGCTGAGAGTTCCTGTTTTTGTTTTTCTCCTCTGTCTCTGCTGTGATGCTGAAGTAGGGTAGATACAGAGAATTTTTTTTTTTTGAGACAGATCTCGCTCTGTCACCTAGGGTGCAGTGGTGCGATCTTGGCTCACTGCAACCTCTGCCTCCCAGGCTCAAGTGATTCTCCTGCCTCAGCCTCCCAAGTAGCTGGGATTACAGGTGTGCACCACCACACCCGGCTAATTTTTGTATTTTTGGTAGAGACAGGGTTTCATCATGTTGGCCAGGCTGGTCTTGAACTCTTGACCTCAAGTGATCCACCCACCTTGGCCTCCCAAAATGCTGGGATTGTGTGAGCTACTGCGCCCAGCCCAAGAGACTTTTATAATGTCGTTGAGAGATAGTAGAGGCTTGATTGAAGGTGTGGTGGTTGGGATGGGGAAAAGGAAATGGAATCAAGAAATTTCTGGAAATAAAAGTGGCAAGATCTGATGATTGGATCTGGGAATGGGAGAGAAGGAGTCAAATGAATGCTGAGTTTTTGAGCCTGTATAGAGTTAATGGCTTCAAAGGGGCCAGCAGATATTTTTCTTAATTTTACAAAGGTGAACTGAAGCTAAGTTATATGGACAGAGTTGTCAAAGAGGTGTGTTAGTTTCCTTCCGTTGCTATAAGGAAATATCTGAGGCTGGGTAATTTATAAAGAAAAAAAATTTAGGGTGGGTGTGATGGCTCATGCCTGTAATCCCAGCACTATGGGAGTCGAGGCGGGTGGATCATGAGTCTAGGGATTCGAAACCAGCCTGGGCAACATGGTGAAACCCTGTCTCTACAAAAAATACAAAAATTGGCTGGGTGCAGTGATCCACTCCTGTAATCCCAGCACTTTGGGAGGCCGAGGCGGGTGGATCACTTGAGGTCAGAAGTTTGAGACCAGCCTGACTAACATGGTGAAACCCTGTCTCTGCTAAAAATACAAAATTAGCCAGGTGTGGTGGTGCATGCCTGTAATCTCAGCTACTTGGGAGGCTGAGGCAGGAGAATCACTAGAACCTGGGAGGCGGAGGTTGCAGTGAGCCAAGATGGCACCACTGCACTACAGCCTGGGGGATAAGAGTGAAACTGTGTCTAAAAAAAAAAAAATAATAAGTGTGGTGGCACGCTCCTGTGGTCCCAACTACTCAGGAGGCTGAGATGGGAGGATTGCTTAAGACTGGGAGGTCAAGGCTGCAGTGAGCTGTGATTGCAGCACTGCACTCCAAGCCTGGGTGACAGATTGAGACTATCTCAAAAAAAAAAAAAAAAAAAAAAGGTTTAATCGGCTCATGGTTCTTGGTTCTACAGCCTGTACAGGAAGCATAATGCTGGCATCTACTTCTGGTGAGGGCCTCAGGAAGCTTACAATCATAGCAGAAGGCAAAGGGGGAGCAGGTGCATCACATGGCAAGAGCTGAGCAAGAGAGAGGAGAAGGTGCCAGGCTCCCTTCAAACAACCAGCTCTCATGTGAACTAAGGGAACAAGAACACACCTATCCCAAGGGGATGGCACTAAGCCATTAATGAGAGATCCGCCCCCATGACCCAAACACCTCCCACCAGGCCACACCTCCAACATTGGGGATTACATCTCAACATGAGATTTGCAGGGGACAAAAGATCCAAACTATATCAAGTGGCTTCTTTTAGCATCAGTGATGATTACCTTGAAGGGTGTTATGAGCAGCTTAGGGTCAAGTGAATTGTACTAACGCAATGCCCAGCACAAGCTGTAATAAACAAGTAGGATTAGAGATACATACCTGTGCCAAAAATGGTGGTATATCAAAATGTGGAAGAATCCCTTCCATTGCTTTTAGTCCTTCCATTATTGAGTAATCTCCTTTCAGTATAAGACCTGGCACTGTGTTTTATAAACAATTTAGGAAAGAGAATGTGATACTAAATTTGGTGACAGGGATATGAAAGGAATTCAGTGCTCAAGAATCTTGAAAACGGTGATGAATAATGTAGTTTCAGCTGAGGTTATTTTGTGTGGCCCCTGTGGGCTGATCACTTGTTTGAATGTTTTCATTGTGGAATATTAAATAGTCAAAATTGATTGATCAACTAATATGTGTCAGGCACTGTCCTAGATAGTTTTCAATATACAGAATATTTTATTTGCTCCTCATGAAACCCTGTGATATGGGCATCTTATTATCCTCATTTTGCAGGTGAGAAAATTGAGGCTCAGAGAGAGAAGCTCAATGAAACACAGCCCCTAACTTACACTTTTTCTTCAGTTCATTAATGTTGATGTTTTATTTAGTTGGTTTTAATTCAGGAATGCACTGAGGGTCTTCTATGCTGAACCTTTGTGAAAATGTAGGTTGTATTTGTTTGGAGCCTGCAATGGGTGGGGCAGCTCTTCTGTATACAGCAGGGCAGGATGGCCCTAGTGCAAGAGTTACAGTAAACAGCCGGCTTTTTTCTTCTCCTTAATTCCTTAGTTCAGCTTGAGGACTTTATCCTGGTGCTTGCCTAAGGGACACCCACATCACCATTATCATCATCATTTTAATTATGATCAATTATGGAACATTTTCTATGTGCCAGCTATCATGCTGAGCACTTTACTGCATTAGTTCATGGAATCATTAGAATAACCTTATGAGGCTGCTACTCTTGTTTTCTTCATTTAACATGTGAGCAGAAAGAAGTAACTCACATGAGATCTCACAGCTGGCAAGTAGTAGAGATGGGATTTGAACCTGTCTGATTCCTAACCACAGTGGTATTTTGCTCCAACATCAGACTATTTTTTTTTAAATTAGAGGTGGGGTCTTGCTCTGTTTCCCAGGCTGGAGTACAGTGGTGCAATCATAGCTCATCACAACCTCAAACTCCTGGCTTCAAGCAATGTTCCTGCCTCAGCTTCCCAAAGTGCTAGCTTACAAGCAAGAGCCACCAAGCCAGACCGTCCCCTGCCTCAACACCAGACTTTGCTCTCAGTCTTAGGATCCCTACATTGGGTACTTATTTATTTGGATTTAGATAGGCTTAATCTAAAGTCCAGATACACTTGCCAAATAACTTTAGGTTCCCCCCACCCCAGAACATATGATATTGTTAGCTATATCATACATAGTTTGAACTAGTTATTAGATTAATTACCTAAAGAAGCTGCAATTGCTTCTTTATAAGCGCTACCTGGTGGATGATGTGTTAATGGGACAGTATGCAGATATTCAAATTACAGAAGCATTTTTCTCATATATCAGAAGAGAGCATTATGGCACCTCACCAGAAGCAGGGCGTCCCTGGGGAGGCTTGGTGATGTGGCAGAAAATCAGCTTTCAAAGCTTTATAGAGTTCATCATAAAATGACATTCACCTCCTTTCATTTCAATCCAAGTGCTTTCAAGAGTACAAAAATAAACATTAGAAATTAACAGGCTGCTTTTCTGATAGACCAAACAGTGGCTACTTGGACCTAAAGGGCAAATTTTGTTCATCATTTATATGTTTTAGTAAAGTGAGATTCGTTCTCATTGTGGGAATTCCCACACTGTCCCACTCCTATGTAAGAAAATTATAGACAAGCATAGAGAATTACACTGCATAAAAGCTGATAGCATAATAACCAATTAGATGATTATAAAGCCTGAGTATATTAAAGTATTATGCAAATACTGATTAATAGTAATACCATAAATGCACAGAGCAAGCAAAAGCATGCCTGATTCAAATTATAGGAGCTTTTATTTGCATTTCTACAGAATCTATTATTAGTGGGTCTCAAAGCACCTTACAAGTAATAATTATTAAAGCTCACATGACCAGTAAATGCCATGTTATGAAGTGAATATGAAAGAATTCCTCTTTACCTCATTTATAGTATAAGACCTAAATTCCCAAACAAAAGTAGGATTCTCTGCATATGGAGAGTATTCATACATTATGGGTGTTTTTGGCTATGGTTCTATAGGCTTAGAAACGGGTTGCTATGGATTCAAGGCTTTCCTATTGAGTACCTCAATCTATGTAGTTAGAACTCTTCACTTATTTTTGAAATTTAACCCACATGATAGCTCTAAACAAATCTTGCCAGTATATTTTAATATCTCTTTATTGACTATAATATCAAATTTTAAAAGCAAAAATGATGTCAAGTTCATATGAAAGTACTTTAAAATATTTTGGAATATTACAGCAAGTTTATTTTTCCTCAAGCTGTACCCTGTTCTGCGGACTCATCGCTTACGAGCACAATCAGTGAAGCCTGTGTTTCTTTCTGTACCCTGCAGCAAGTAGTTGAAATGTTGTAAGGGTTTCTAATCTGCATGAGAATGCTCCTACACCCACCCTTTCCCCTCTATTCCTCCTTCTCTCTTCCCTCCTTTGCAATTTCCATACTCTCTAAAGCTAAGCACAGATTGGAAAGGCAAGAATGTTTCAGGTGTCTGACTCTCCCTGTCCCTCCATCTCAAGTCCTCAAGCTTCCCCCACATGGTTCATACTCAGTTTGATTTACTTTCGGTGCTGAGAGACTATTTAATATATTGCAGTTTCTGGTCATTGTGAGGCAGCTGGACTTTCGTACTGTACTTATATTTCAATGGCATGCAGATCCAAAGAAATGTGTAGACTAGTGAGCACCTTCCTTTATAGTTAGGATTCTGGAGCCTTGAGAGTCGAATGACTTGACTGAGGTTGTACAGCTGGTTTCTGCCTCACAGAATCGAGACCAGAGCTCAGGTCTCTAGGCTCTTAAACCAAAGTTTCCCCCTCTGTCTCGTGGTGGTTATATACTGCTTTGAATCACACACAAAAATTTTAAACCAGAAATATTGGAGCAGAGTGAGAGGAAACACTTGTTGATTTTATCCAGGACTGTGAGTCACAAGACTAGAGGTGGAGCCTCAGGGATCTGAAGAAAAAGGGAGTGATGGCCAGGTGTGGTGGCTCACGCCTATAATCCCAGCACTTTGGGAGGCCGAGGCGGGCAGATCATCTGAGGTTGGGAGTTCGAGACCAGCCTGACCAACATGGAGAAACCCCATCTCTACTAAAAATACAAAATTAGCTGAGCATGGTGGCACATACATGTAATCCCAGCTACTCAGGAGGCTGAGGCGGGAGAATCGCTTGAACCCGGGAGGTGAAAGTTGTGGTGAGCCAAGATTGTGCCATTGCACTCCAGCCTGGGCAGCAAGATGGACACTCTGTCTCAAGAAAAAAAAAAAAAAAAAAAAAAAGAGAGTGATGTGCTTGCAGAATTGAAGGCATAGACCTGGGATTATCATTTGGAGGGAGGAGCTGAATGACTGGAGGTCGAGGAGAATAAAGAACAAGTAGAAGTGGAGAGAGGGCGAGGTAGAAGAACAGTCTTAGGAGGATTAGAAGGATGGTTGAGTTTATGGTCATGGCGATAGTCTATTGATAGAAAATAAAGCAAAACTCAATAGGTTACGGGATTTAGTCCTTAGGGTCAATTTAGTCCTTAGGGTCTGTGAAGCCTCTCAGGATGATGCCAGAAGGAGAGGGAGAGATGGGGCATGTGCAGCAGGTAGCAAAGTTCTCCGGGAAGACAGACTACTGGCAAATATCTGGGAAACAGGGGTGACTGGAGGGATAGAAACAGGGGTGACTGGAGGGATAGAAACAGAGAGACTGGAGGGATGGTTTTTGGAACTCTGTAGATAGGTGTATATTCTGTGCTATACTTAAGAATTCTAATTTTCATATTTTTCTAGGGAAAACTGAGGCTGCCATCAAAAACTTCAGTCCCTACTACAGTCGTCAGTACTCTGTGGCTTTCTGCAATCACGTGCGCACTGAAGTAGAACAGCAAAGAGATTTAACGTCACAGTTTTTGAAGACCAAGGTAAGCCATGGATATTTGGTTTACATGTATTTCCCCTTGAAGAAGGCTATATAGCACAGCCGTATTTCTGAAATAAACAATAATTTGAATGGCAGTTTTAAAAACTCTGCTCTGAAGTCGTTTCATGCTCAAAAAACTCTATTTGCCTGGAAGTTAGAATGTATGATTTCTTGTTGCTGATATAATCCATAGAAAAAGGAAATTAGCTTGAATCCAATATTGTTATGTATTTTTCCCACATGGATGCTTTGTTTGTCTAAGAAAATTTGACTTTCTGTAGTGAAGTTTTGGTCATTGATCAAATATGATTTTCTCTTTGAATCCCCTAATTTATTCTTACTCCTTTGCTCCATTATAATAAGTAACCACCACCTCGACAAATGTTTGTTAGCACCTACTATGTGCTAGGCTATAGTCCAAGAACTGGGGAATTAAGACAAGTTCTCTGCCTTCCTGGAGTTTATATTCACACACAGGAAACGGGTAATAAACAAATTAATATCAGGTGACATCAGATAATAATAAATGCTAAAAAGAAATAAAGCGAGTCTTATTTTATTTTTGAGATAGAGTCGTGCTCTGTGGTTCAGGCTGGAGTGCAGTGATACAATCGCGGCTCACTGCAACCTCTGCTTCCTGGGTTCAAGTGATTCTCCTGCCTCAGCCTCCTGAGTGGCTGGGATTACAGGTGCGCACCACCACACCCAGCTAATTTTTGTATTTTTAGTAGAGACAGGATATTCACCATGTTGGCCAGGCTGGTCTTGAACTCCTGACCTCAAGTGATCCACCTGCCTCGGCCTCCCAAAGTGCTGGGATTACAGGTGTGAGCCACCACGCCCAGCCTAGAGCCTTATTTTAGAGAAGATGGTTAGGGAAGCCCTCTGTGGAGATAACATTTAAGCAGAAACTGGAGTGCAATGAGAGTAGGCTGTGTGAATATTCGTGGGAAGAGTATTCCAGGTCTATGGAACAGCAAGTGTGAAGACCCTGCCACACAGAGGGAAGGTCGGTCTGCTGGGAGCACTGTGAGCAAGGGAGGAGGGAGGAACAATGACAGCAGAGAGACAGATCGGGAGCACATCATGTCAACCTGTGGGTCACAACAGGGTTTTGATTTTGTTTTGTAATGGGAAGTCTCCCACTGGAGGGTATTGAATACAGAGTGGCATATAATTTTAGATGATCTGTCTGGCCTCTGTGTAAAGAATAGACTATGGGGCGAGAGGGGAGAATGGAAACTGGGGAGCAGGATACTGTAGCATCTGAGGGAAGAATGATGCCAAATTGGACTGGGGTGGTGATGGTCATGGTTGTGAGGAGAGGTGCTTATGATAGAGCTGACAGAACATACTGTTGGGTTGGGTGTGAGATAATAGAAGAAGAGAGAAATCAGTGATGACTTCTTGGTTTTTAACCAGAGCAAATAAGTGGATGGAGTTGCCTTTTACTTAGAAGGAAGAGTCGGAGTGAATGGGATCACGAGTTCCCTTTTGGCCATGTTAAGTTTGAGATGCTAGTGTGGAAATGTTGAATAGGCCATTAGATGTTTTCATTTGGAGCTCAGCAGAGTGATTGAGCCTGGAGAATAGAAATTTGGAAGATGTTAGCTTATAACTAGTATTAAGGCCATGGGCCATAAAACAGGGAAAGACTATAGACAGAGAAAAGAAACAGTACACTGGCCCCTTCAGCATTTGGAGATCAGAAAAAGGAGAAGGATCCAGCAAAATGGACTAAGAAGAAACGGTCTATGGAGTAGGAGAAAAATCAGAAAAGCATAATGTCCCAGAAGGCAAATAAAAAAGGGGTTTCAAAATTAAGAACTCAATCCCATTTATAATAGCCACCCCCACCCACCACACACACACACACACACACACACACACACACACACACACTTAGGAGTACATTTAACCAAGGAGATGAAAGATCTCTACAAGGACTACAAAACACGGATGAAAGAAATTGTAGGCAACACAAACTAATGGAAACACATCCCATGCTCACAGATTGGAAAAATCACTATCATTAAAATGACCATGTTCCCCAAAGCAATATACAGCTCCAATTCAATTGCTATCAAATTACCAATGTCATCTTACACAAAATTAGAAAAATTAATCCTAAAGTTCATAGGGAACAAATAAAAGCCTGAATAGCCAAAGCACGCCCAAGCAAGGGAACAAATCTGGAGACATCACATTGCCTGACTTCAAATTATACTACAAGGCTATACTAACTAAATCAGCATGGTACTGGTACAAAAATAGACACATAGACCAATGGAACAGAATGGAGAACCCAGAAATAAAGCCACATACCTACAACCAACTGATCTTTGATAAAATCAACAAAAATAAATAATGAAGAAAGGATACCCCATTCAATAAAAGGTGCTGAGAAAACTGGCTAGTCATATGCAGAAGAATGAAACTGGACCCCTATCTCTCATTATATACAAAAATTAACTTCAGATGGATTAAAAACCTAAGTGTAAGTCCTGAAACTATAGAAATCTTAAAAGAAAACTTAGGAAAAACTCTTCTGGACATTTGCCCAGGAAAAGAATTTGTGATGAAGACCCCAAAAACAAATGCAACAAAAACAAAAATAGAGAAATGGGACTTAGTTATGCTAAAAAGCCTATACACAAAAAAGAAATAGTCAACAAAATAAACAGATAACCTACAAAATGGGAGAAATATTTGCAAATTATGCCCCTAACAAAGGACTAATATCCAGAATCTACAAGAAACTCAACAAGAAAAAACAACCCCATTAAAAACTGGGCAAAGGACATGAACAGACATTTCTCAAAAGAAGACATACAAGTGGACAACAAACACATGAAAATATGCTCAATATCACCAATCATCAGAGAAATGTATATTAAAACCACACCAAGATATCATCTTACAGCAGTAAGAATGAATGTCATTAAAAAGTCAAAAAATAACAGATGATGTGGATGTGGAGAAAAGGAAATGCTCATACACTGTTAGTGGGAATGTAAATTAGTTCAACCCCTACGGAAAATAGTATGGAGATATCACAAATAACTAAAAAAGAACTATCATTCGACTCAGCAATCCTACTACTGGGTATCTACCCAAAGGAAAATAAATCATTATATAAAAAGACTCCTGTATGTGTGTGTTTATCACAGCACTATTTTTAATAGCAAAGCCATGGAACCAACCTAAGTGTGCACCAGCGGTTGATTGGATAAAAAAAATGTGGTATATATACACCACAGGATGCTACACAGTCATAAAAAAGAACAAAATCATACCCTTTGCAACAACATGGATGGAGCTGGAGGCCATTATCCTAAGTGAACTAACTCAGAAACAGAAAATCAAATACCACATGTTTTCAGTTATAAGCAGGAGCTAAATAATGGGTACACATGGACATAAAGATGGAGAGAATAGACTCTGGAGACTCCAAAAGTGGGGAAGGTGGGAGGGGAGTAAGGGTTGAAAAATTACCTATTGGGTACAATGCTCAAGATTTGGGTAATGGGTACACTAGGAGCCCAGTCCCCACCGTTACACGTAATACCCATGTAAGAAACACACGTACCCCTTGAATATAAAATTTAAAAAACTAAAAATAAAAAAGAAGGGGTTTCAAGAGAGAATAAGTGATAAGTGAGTCACATAATGCTGAGAAGTTAACCAATATATTTAGCAGCATGAGTACATAGGGATAAGTGATTGCTTTCCCTCATAAAACAGTGATCTCAAAATTTAGGGAGCTTGTTAAAATGCACATTATGGCCCACAGCTCCAGAGATTCTGATATAGTAAGTCTATCGTGAGGCCCCATTTTTAACAAGCTTATCAGTTGATTAAGTGGTCCAGGTTTTAAGAAAAGCTGCACATAAGAACTATGAAGTTCAGCTTATGCCATGGTTTCAGTTTCATTTAAAGAGAAGAGATTCTCTCTTACCTTTTAATGAGGCAAGATAGGGGACTGCCGCATTATCTGTCTCCTATCTTGCCTCATTAAGCACTGGAATTTGGAAGGGAATTTGTTTCATCCCTTAGATTATTCTTAAAAGAGATTGGCATATCTATTTTTTTTCTGTATAGCTCATTTAAAATTTTACTTGAAAGTAGAGGGGTAAGTTTCTGAAGGCACTATGATTTTTTAATAAAGGGAAAATAGATGTAAACTCAGTGACATGTAAAAGAAAAGAGGCCCATTTGTATATTTTGAAATAATATGAAAATTACACAATGAAGCCGGATGGGAATTATCCTTACACAGTTAATCCAATGGAAGATGTAACTAGGAATCTAATGGAAATGCCCGCACAGCACATATATCACCACAGTTAATAAGAAATCCTCAAACTTTTCAGTAGAAGCGGTGGAACTCAGGTGTTCTGGCTTGATACCTGCTTGTTCTTTAACCAAATAGCAAACATGATCTCCTTGAGTAGCATGGAGAGGGGTCCCCATGGCTTTGGGTTTAGGAAAACCATTGAGAATTGGAGGCAGCATCGGCAGGTGTAATGGATAGGGGAACGGTCTGTTAATTCTCCCGCTTTGCGGGGATTAACCCTGAGTCATGTTCAGGGTGTCCAGGTAGGTATCCACACTTACACTTTCCTGCCTCACTCCCTCTCTCCCATAGAGTTTATCAAGCATTTATTGAGTGCCACATGCATGCAAGGCATAATAACCTTATTACTATAATTCCTTCTACCATATGCTTCTGTTCCTATAGCATAATAGAGGGAAATGAAAATCATAAAAATACCAATAAGACAAATATTTACATTGGGTCAAGTGGAGTAGGAAAGGGAAATTGTGGGGGGAGAGGAGGAAGCAACAGTTTCCCCAGGATCTCAGTGGAAGATAGTTTCCTAAACTATTCCTTGAAATAGCATGGATAACTTTGTGGTAACAAGGTGTGTTATCTTTTGTTGTGATAGTTAATTGTATTCATCTTCTTTAAGCCACCATTGGCGCCTGGAACTATTTTGTATGAAGCAGAGCTATCACAATTTTCTGAAGACATAAAGAAGTGGAAGGAGAGATACGTTGTAGTTAAAAATGATTATGCTGTGGAGAGCTATGAGAATAAAGAGGTAAGACACTTCTTTGTTACTACTGATTCTTACACTGTTCTTAAAAGTTTGGCTCGGTTGATTGGTGTGCCCTCTCCTTCCTACAAGGCTATACTAACAAAATCAGCATGGTACTGGTACAAAAATAGAGACTGATTCATTCAATAAGCACTCATTCATGTAGGTATCTATTTCAGCTAACAGATACTGATTGAATGCCTACTGCATACCAAGTGTTATACAAGGTTCTGGGTATACAGCAGTTGATAAGACAGATGCTTGCCGTCTAGTGGCAAGATAGACTTTGAACAAGTGATTGCAAGTGAGTATGAAGACAGAAGGACCAGTATTTGGCATGGGAGCCTTTCCTATGATCATTCAGCCTTGAGGTCTTTCTCAGCCACCATCCTGACATCTCTGCTCTATGTCTCTGTCTTCCCACTCTGAAGCCCTGTGCATGACAGGTGGCTCAGGAGTTATTTCATAGGTTGCTATTAAATTTGAATCTGCCTGGGTTTTCCTGGGTTCCTAGGAATTCAGAATGCCTCACATACTTTATTTCCATGGAGGTATTTTTTTTTCATTTAACTTTTTTCTGGTTATTTCACTATTTTCCTTGTCTGTAAAATGTGGAGAAAGTGAGATAATGGGTGTAAAGCATTCAGCCCCTGGGAGGACTTTAGTTTTTATTGGTTCCCATTTCTTTCCTTATGTAGGAAGGTAGTGTGGTATAGGGGAAAGAATAGCAGGCAGTGAATTTGGCAAACTAAAGGTTAGGTCAAGTTGTGCCATTAACTAGAAATGAACCTGTTGACAAGTGACTTCTTGCCTTCAGTCCTCAATTAAGCTAAACAGTTAGGTCAAATGATCCCACTATCCTCCCAGATCTCATACTGTACACATTTTTTAGTCTGCATAGACCCTCAAGCTCCCTTTGAAATGAACAGCTACTATTTATCAGTGAACGACAGTAACAGATTTAAAACTCTGCTCTCTGGCCTCTAAGCTCAAGAATAGTCAAGATGGCGAGGTGCAGTAGCTCATGCCTGTAATCCCAGCACTTTGGGAGGCCAAGGCAGGTGGATCACCCGAGGTCAGGAGTTAGAGACCAGCATGGCCAACATGATGAAACCTCATCTCTACTAAAAATACAAAAATTAGCTGGGCATGCTGGTGCATGCCTGTAGTCTCAGATACTCAAGAGGGTGAGGCAGGAGAATCACTTGAACTCGGGAGGTTGAGGTTGCAGTGAGCTGAGATCACCCCAATGCACTCCAGCCTGGGTGACAGAGTGAGACTCTATCTCAAAAAAAATAAAAAAAGAGTAGTCAAGATAGTCTTCACAGAGCACTGTGAGGACTACACCTGATGCTAGGAAGAGGCTTCAGACTGACAGACCAATCTGTTTCCTTCCCATTTCTGATGGAAAATAGAAATAAAATATACTACAAACTTATTTCACAGGCTACCAGGCAAAGCTCAAGTGCTCTCTTGGGTAGACTTACTCTTTTCAACATTTATTAAGCTAATATTTTCTCTGCTTATCAATATTAGGATTTTATTCAACACTTAATTTGTACTCAGCAACAAAGTATCAATACACTACAAATAGTGATGATAATAACAAGACACCTTATGTTTTGTATGACTCATTACAACGTCCTTTCAGAGGAGCTTGAGGAGGGACAGTGTAGCATAATATGGTTCATACTATGGGCTTTGACTCATACCTTTACCACTTACTAGATAGGCGCCCTTGCCTAAGCTATAAATCTTGAGCCTCAGTTTTCTCATCTGTAAAATGAGATCTGCGTGATTTCTTTGCCATGGTGTTGAGAGGAGTAAGTGAATGAATGTACGGAAGCATTTAGCATATGGCTGGGCCTGTGGTAAAGCTAGAGCTGGGTGTGGAGCAGTTGCTGGTATGATTACTACTAACCCATTGGGAAGAAACAGCCCTAGATCTTGTTCTTGGATTTATTAAAGTTTTTCACTGCATTTAACACTAACTGAGGTTTCATTTTGAATCAAATGTTGGTGTTTTTCCTCTTTTCACTTATTTCAGCTTGCTCTCTCAGCTTGCAGTTTGTACATTGCACTGCTTTTTCTTTGTTCATCGTTTTTAACTGAACCTGTTCAAATTGTTAAGATATGGTGACTTAATTTGGTAATAACCAAGTGTTTTTTGAAACTTGGAATTCTTTTAAAGTCCACGCAGTTTGTCATAATTTCTTGAAGTTTTAATAATATCTTCTTTTTTTAATTTATGGAAGTATCTTATAAAATTATATCTAAGAATTATGCATTAAGTACCTGTAAGTCATCTATTATTTTATTTAGAGTCCAATTCTGGCTGGCAATTAAACAGGAAAAGTAAAACATTCTCACTTGATAATCAGTTTCTATTTTGTGTGCACTGGGGCTGGACAGGCATGAATATAAATCCTGGATGTGTCACCTACTCACTGCTGGGCCATGGGCAAGTTATTCAGTCTCTTTGAGCTTCATGTTTCCCATTTGAAAAATGGAGATAACATGTAATGCATAGTACTGTTTTGAGGATTAAGTGGTATAATGCTTATAAAAGCCAATATTGGGGCCTGTTATAACTAGTAATACAATTCACTTTTGAGTCCAGTCTAAATCAAATTGCTTGTAAATCTTCTTAATATCATACAAGTTTAGATTCTTCTCTCAACATTATTGTTTCACTATAATGTAGCTCTGTGGGAGTTCTTAGAGCTGTAAGGTATTATTTCATGGGGAGCCCTCAATTATGTATAGATCCTCCTTCCTGGGTTAATCATTTATTCAGAAGAGTCCTCCAATCGTCTTTCTTAGGATGAATAGGTCAGGCTGCCAGAATTCTGTGTTAGTGGGTATATTCTGGTTCCCTCACATGCTTAAGCAGTTGATTAGTCGTTGTTACAAGTAATTTAGATATCTGAGAGTTTGTTTCATTTGGATCTCTTCACTATCTTATTGCTGCAGAACGTGTTATCGTTACTCTGATTATGTTGGTCAGATCAACATTATTTAGTCATTTCCAAGAGTAAATTCTAGATTTTGGGTCTCAAACTTTCTTAGTTTCAATTCTCAACTTGCCTTTAGATTACTAGTTTCAGAATTTTGCCTTGACTTAAGCCCTCCCGTCAGATGCACATACTTAAATGTTATCTTATCTGCATGTCCTTGTGGGCATAGGTGCTTACCAAACTGCTTTGGCAATGCCCTGTGCCTCTTTTCTGTGTCTCAAATAGCAGAGCTTCTTGTCTGCTGGCCAGCATTTGTTCTGATGTCACAGTGCTGTACTTCCATCTCAACCATTTTGCTGCAAAACAGTTTCACATCTGAGGGCAAAATAGTGGCATATTTTATGCCAACATTTTCATGTTTTGATGAAAATCCATGGTAACTATCATTGCAGCTACGTGTTCCACAGTCTCATTAGTCATCCTATGTGGCCCACATCAGTCACCAAGCATTCTGTGCAGTATTTGTGTGATCGTCACCTTTGTGGTTATTATCAGAATGATTTAGTTGTTAGCATCTGAAATGGCAAATGTGGTGCAGACTTTCAGGGTTACTGAGATTATGTTTTCCACATTCGAGAACATACCTAGGGTAAATCTCCCTGAGATTAGGGACTCTGATTTACCATGTTGTGACTGTCACATGAAAGTATTAAAATATTACCTTGCCATTAGCAGGTATTCAAAACATATTTTTTGAGTAAATGACTATAACTCAATAACATAGTATGGGGATTGCTATCTCTGAATGTCTGAATCTGTCTATTTGTTATATCCCTGATATTTTCCAAAAATCAAATGGGGAAAAAGATATCATTCCTGTGTGCCTTTCCCTCCCCAGGCCTATCAGAGAGGAGCTGCTCCTAAATGTCGAATTCTTCCAGCCGGTGGCAAGGTGTTAACCTCAGAAGATGAATATAATCTGTTGTCTGACAGGCATTTCCCAGACCCTCTTGGTGAGTTGCTGATCATTCTTTTCCAAGGCAAAATGACTAAGCTTCTTTGTTTAGCTGGAGCAGTGTTTCTCTGTGAAGGAGAGGGATTTCCCTCCAGGGACATTTGGCAGCATCTGGAGACATTTTTGTTTGTCACAATTGGAATCGGGGTGCTATGGCATTTAGTGAATAGAGGCCAGGGATGCTACAAAACATCCTACCATGCACAGGACAGACCCTAACAAGGAAGAGTTATCTGGTACAAAGTATCAGTAGTGCCAAGGTTGAGAAACCCTGGGCTAGTCACTCATGTCCCATAGACAAGTGGAAGATGTGATTTCTCTAGTTGAGGAAAACATTTTACCACTTCCATTATTTCTAATCCCATTCAATAATACACAGTCAGTCTCTGTGTTTCTAGCACATGGAAAATGTGCTGTCAGCCAGGTATCTTGAAGCTTTTGGAATATATTGCAGGCTTTGATAGCACTCCACAAGGCAGCAGAAATAAACAGGTAGGGCCCAGTCCATGAAATATACAATCCCATCTTCTAGTAAGCAAGCCTGGACCTGTCAGGGAATACTATTTTTCTAATTTTAGGATGATATGCAACTAAATACCCTAAATAGACAAAAAACCTTTTAATAAGTGTTACAGTAACTCATAGCTACTGTGAAAAAAAAAAGCATTGCATTAATTTGCATATCTATAAATAAAGCTGGGATGCTGCCATGGAAAGATAATTGGGAGATTGGATTTTTATCTAGTTCTGGCTGTGCCACTTACCAAATGCTTTAGCTTAGCCGGCTGCTGAACAGCTCTGGTTTCTGTTTCTCCAACTCAAAAACAGGGCTTTGAACTTAAAAACCTAGAAGGGTCTTTCTAGGTCTAACCTTCTTTGATTCTCATTCATTCCACTTTTTACATGTGGAGAAATGATGGATAATATATAGACTAAATAAGGCAATTCATAGAGATTCATGAAGTGTGGATAATGTAATAACTCCATTTGGCTTTGCATAAATCATACTACATAGTAATTACTTGGTTCTTGAAGAGAGCCCTGGTTCTTATTAACGGACATAATAATTTCATTAGAATTTATGGAGAAAAACATAATCATTTTATCAATTGTTATTTCGGTGCTGAGTGCTTAACATAGTGTTTTTAATAACACAATTACAGGATTGGTACATGGACCATAAACTAAGATTAACAAATTATTACTAAGTAATTCATGCTAAAACAACACTTTATGTGCACTATGCATATTATTATATTTTCTTTTACATCTACTTATATGCCCTTGGCAGTGGAGCTGCAGCTAGAAATGGGAATACCAACATGTTGACTCATCCAAATCTCTCTAAAACTTTCCAATGAAATCAGCCAGAAGAGACAATATGTTTATTGATTTATTGCTGTAATCATATTGGAGGGAATGAAAAGGACTAAAAAACACAAGTCCTGTGTGATTAATCCCAGTTGGCCCAAGGCTTCAGATTGGGGCATTTTAATGACTTTTTAAAATTGTGTGTTGTGACCTTCTGACTTTTAAAATAGAATATTCTACAGTAGATCAGTTGTGATATTCTTGTAACTCAGAAAAAATTCACTGATGGCATCTGGAAAATTGTTGTAAAAGGTTGAGAGATAACTAGAGGCTAAAAGGAATGAATTTTATGGGTTTGTTGAGGCTTTTTAAATGCAAAGGATCAATGTTGCTTTTGGTTGCTTGTACAAAATTATGACATTCTTGGAGAGGGCAAGGAGGATTGTTTGATAGAACCATGTCAGTCAAGAAGACTGACTCTGTGATATTATTTCTACCAGAAAGAATAAAGGCATAATAAAGATGGGATGCTTATGAATAAGTGCATTTCTTGGAAAAAGCACTAGAGGCTTATGAATAAGTGCATTTCTTTTTCTTTTTTCTTTTGAGACAGAGTCTCACTCTGTTGCCCAGGCTGGAATGCAGTGATGTGATCATGGCTCACTGTAGCCTCGACCTCCTGGGCTCAAGTAATCCTCCCACCTCAGACTCTCGAGTTGCTGGGACCACAGCTACATGCCACTATGCCCAGAAAAACAAAACAAGCAAAAAAACAAACAAAGAACTGCAGAGACAATGGTCTCACTCTGTTACCCAAGTTGGTCTTCAACTCCTGAGCTCAAGTGACCCTCCTGCCTTGGCCTCCCAAAGTGCTGGGATTATAGGCATAAGCCACCATGCCTGGCCAATAAGTGTATTCTTTACAGAGTGTTCAGCTAAGTTGATACAGAAAAAAATGCCCCCGTGTTTTGTTAAAGTAATTCACTTGTTTGGCATTTTACTGGTTAGAATCTCATTTACTGCATACAATAAAAAACTCAAAGTTTTATTATCTCACTAAAGATATTTCGATATTAGTTCAGGGCTGGTGTGGACTAAATTTGTCTGAAGCTCAGGCTCTTTCTTGCTTTCTCCCCCTTTATTTCTAGGTTGTGGCCCCTTTTGGCAGGGTCCAGGGTGGCTGCTGAGCTCCTACCATAGCATTCTCATTCCAGATAATAGGGAGGAGAAAAGGAAAGGAGGAGGGTACATTCACTTTCTTTAGAGATACCTCCAGGAAGTTTCATATGCCACTTCAGCTTATATCTTACTGGACAGATCTTAGTAGCTGTGGGCTCACCAAGCTGCAAAGGAGGCTGGAAATGTAGTCTTATTTTATGTAGTCACTTGCCCAACTAAAAATCAGGGGCCTTATTCTCCCCAGAAAGGGAAATAGATACTGTGTTACAACTACAGGTGTCTCTATAGCATTCAATCATTCATTCATTTGCTCGTTTTCATGTTGATTCATTCCCAGCATTGTGCTAGGTCCTGGTGGGCCATGGCTTGTGCTGGTGGTGCATTCTCCTCTGTTACCTTCAGATTCCAGGACACTGGAACAGGGCTCCCATATATCCCCAGAAATTTATTCTTTATTTAAACCAATACGGATTGATTGATTGACTGATTGATTTTGAGATGGAGTTTCGCTCTGTCACCCAGGCTGGAGTGCAGTGGCATGATCTCGGCTCACTGCAACCTCTGCCTCCCGGGTTCAAGTGATTCTCCTGCCTCAGCCTCCTGAATAGCTGGGATTACAGGTGCATGCCACCACTCCCGGCTAATTTTTGTATTTTTAGTAGAGATGGGTTTTCACTATGTTGGTCAGGCTGGTCTTGAACTCCTGACCTCATGATCTACCCTCCTTGGCCTCCCAAAGTGCTGGGATTACAGGCATGAGCAATCCTGATTTATTAATTTGCCAGAACTGATGCGGTTCTGTAGACTCCCATGTGGTCATGATTCATTTCCTTGTATTCCCAGTGCTTTCAATGGCCTCTTAGAGAGACCTTCTTCCTTACCTTTCCCTGAGATTGGTGCTTAATACATATGCAGGAAGCACAGAACTAACATTTTCTTCTGCTTATTTTCTGTGACTCTGGAAAAAGTTGGAACTCATTTAACCAAGTGCAATATCATGTAATAGGAATGCATGGAAAGGAGTAAAGTTTAGGTAGGGGTTCTGAATAGTAGTCGGTTTAAAATGAGTTGCTTGGAATTGATTTTGAGGGAAGAGGTAAAAGTCCCATTGTCTAGGGCTTTAAAAAAATATCCTAGGCCAACAAAGCACATTTTTCACTCAACAAACTGAAGTTGAACATCTGCTATGTTCCATGACTGTGCTGTGGGCTAAGGATACAAAGCTATGGAAGATGCAGTCTGCATCTCTAGACGTTCACAGTGGGTAGCAGTGGTTCTGCTCCTTGCGGAGGGGAACAGCACGGGAATCCATCTCATTCCCCTCCCCCGCCTCCCTACCCTGAGTGTGGGCGCTGGGCATGAAAACAGGTCATTGCAGTATTTGGGGAGAACAGGGTAGGAAGCACCTAACTCTGTCTCTGGTGGCAGTGGGATGTGCCAGCAAAGGCATCCCAGAGGAGTGGCTTTTGAACTGACTTTTGAAGGATGAATGAGAATTTTTTTATGGGAAAGCATGATGGAAAGGAGGGAAGAGAGGGTTCTATGGACTGTAGGAACAATATAAAAAGTCACGGAATGGGTGAACACACCCTGGGAGGGTACAGACTGAGAGTGGAGGGGAAGCCAGCACAGAACAGGGCAGGCACCGATGCTTAGCGAGGAGATGGAGAGAGTCAGCAGAGGAACCAATAAAGGTGATAAAGAAGAAACAAAATTCTACAAAGCATGAAGGAAACCAGGAGAGAGGCACTCCTGGAAGTCATGGGGAGATAATGTTTTCAAAAGAAGGGGTTGTTAGCAGCAGCAAATATTCCAGGTCAGATGAAAAGAAGCAGCCATAGGCTGGCAGTCAGGATGACATAAATGGCTTCAGCAGTTGGGTTTCAGGAGCTGGTGGGGACAGGAATCAGACTGAGGTGAGAATAAGGTTGATGGCATAAAAACAGCAAGTGGTGTTTGGCAGTGACAGGGAGGAGGGAGAGAGTGCAGGGCAGAGAGCTGCCCTGTTGGAGCTGGAGCCTGCAGGGCCAGTAGAGTGAGGGGGTGCACAGGTTGTCAGTGGCCTGCAGAGGGGCAGGAGGGCAGAGGAAGCTCCGTTTGTGGGTCTTTAGACATAAGGAAGTTGAGAAAGATTGTGCCCAGGCTGGGCGCGGTGGCTCATGCCTGTAATCCCAGCACTTTGGGAGGCAAAGTCAGGTGGCTCGCTTGAGCTCAGGAGTTTGAGATCAGCCTGGGCAACATGGCAAAACCCTGTCTCTACAAATAATACAAAAAAACTAGCCGGGTGCGGTGGCTTATGCCTGTAATCCCAGCTACTCGAGAGGCTGAGGCGGGCAGATCACTTGAGGTCAGGAGCCTGGCCAACAAGGTGAAACCCTGTCTCTACTAAAAAGACAAAAATTAGCTGGAGGTGGTGGTATGCGCCTATAATCCCAGCTACTCAGGAGGCTGAGGCAGGAGAATCATTTGAATCTGGGAGGTGGAGGTTGCAGTGAGCAAAGATTGTGCCACTGTACTCCAGCCTGGGTGACAGAGCGAGACTCTGTCTCAAAAAAGAGAAAAAATTGTGTTCCTGGTATCCTCACTGTCCCTGTGATGTTGGGTAGGAGGCCAGGCAGACCGCAGTGGGACAGGGGAAGCTGGTGGAGGGATGCCAGAGGAGCCAGTGCTCCCAGTTTCCCTATCCTGTGAAAATATCTCACCAACTTTCCATCCCATGGCCTGCCCCAGATAGTCACCCTCACGACCTGAAACACACATTTGAAATAAAAGATACATGTTTTAAAAGGTATTTGTGTTTTCAATATTTCTTTAGCCTCCAGTGAGAAGGAGAACACTCAGCCCTTTGTGGTCCTGCCCAAGGAATTCCCAGTGTACCTGTGGCAGCCCTTCTTCAGACACGGCTACTTCTGCTTCCACGAGGCTGCTGACCAGAAGAGGTTTAGTGCCCTCCTGAGTGACTGCGTCAGGCATCTCAATCATGGTATGGCGCGGCTCCCCTCTCATCCCCGGGGCGGGAAGTGGGGCAGCCCTCGCTGAGTTGTTCTGGTCCATCATCTATTGCAGTGATTCTTAGAAAGAGCCACAGATGAGCCAAGTGCGGTGGCTCATGCCTGTAATCCCAGCACTTTGGGAAGCTGAGGCCAGCAAATCACAAGGTCAGGAGTTCGAGACCAGCCTGACCAATATGGTGAAATCCCATCTCTACTAAAAATACAAAAAAATATAGCTGGACGTGGTGGTGGGCACCTGTAATCCCAGCTACTTGGGAGGCTGAGGCAGGAGAATTACTTGAACCCGGGAGGCAGAGGCTGTGGTGAGCCGAGATCGCGCCACTGCACTCCAGCCCAGATGACAGTGCAAGACTCCATCTCAAAAAAAAAAAAAAAAAAAAAAAAAAGAGCCACAGATGGTGCTGCCCAGGGAAGAAGAGGGAAACAGGTAAAGGGAGAGTTCTGTGCACAAGGAGCCTCACCTGCTTGCTGGTTTTCAGGCAGGCCTGGGAGGCCCCGGTGAAGCAGAACATGGGGCAGTTATCTGGCTGCAAGTTGGGGGGTGTCACATTCTGACTGTCCTGAGTTTATTCATGTAGACCATTTTGCATATACTTCACTCTCCTTCTTCCTGATTTAAAAAAATCTAAATGCCAGCAAGAACATGCCAGTTTTCCCTGGCAAATGCTAGTCTTTTTGACATTTCCTTTTTATTTTCACCTTTATTTCTGAATAACAGTTACTCAGTTAAGATGAGTGGCACGGTCCGTGGTAATCTAGTATTTGTTTCTGGATCAGTGTTTCTTAAAACTTTAGGGCTCATAAGAATCACCAGGAGAACTTAATTAAAACACACATTCTTAGGCTTCACCCCCAGATATTCTGACTCACTGGGTACACCGTGGGGCCTGGACTTGGCTTTTCTAGCACACGGCCGAGTGGCACTGATGCTGCTGGTTCGCGAACCACCCTTGGGGTGGTGTTGCTTCAGGCCACTTTGCCTCCAGGCATGGACTTAAGCAATGTGACATCAATAGTAAAAGAGACTTCTCATTCCAATATGTGATGTTTTTGATATACTGAGGTGAATGCTGGTTTTTCTGGACTCCACAAAGTCTTCAGTTACAGATAACTGCGCTCTTTGTTCTTGGCACTTGGAAAGGCAGCCAGTCTAAGAGTACTGAGGGCTTACTCTGTGCCAGCCTCTACGTAGGTGTTAGGAAGAGAGTAATGAAGCATACAGAGTTCCTGTCTCTGGGAGTTGAAATTCAAACAGGGAGGATGGATAAACACCCACCAATTATCATTTGAAAGTTATCACAGTTAATGGGTTAAAGAGCAACGAGAGGTTACTAACTAGTGAAGAAAGGAGTGCCGAACTTTCAGCTCTCCAGGGGAGTCCTGTATGAGCAGGTGACATTTGAGCTGAGTCACCTCACCCATTGTGCCTTTATTTCCTAATATGGTTAATTTCACTGTATACTTATTTTAAAATTCAGAGGTTTCCCTGAGAGTGTCAGTCCCACAGAGTGAGAGTCACTAGTGATGCATCTCAACTAACTCTTGGTTTTAGCTGTGTATTGATGGGGACTCACGGAAAAAGATAAGGTCAGTCTGTTTTGCCACAGCAACCCTGAGTAACATTCATCATCATACTGGATCATAACTAGTTAGGAACTTTTTTAAAAAAATGATACCCTTATTAAAATCTTGCCTTGTGTTTTTGATGTTCTAGAGACAAAAAATTGCCCAGCACTGACTGCACCCTTTAGCTCATTTTCCACTACACTTGCCCGTCTGTGTTTAGGGCCTCGGTCTAGTAGGAACATGCAGTTGGCACTCAGCACAGGAACTGCGAAGTTTCACTGAGTGCAGAATGCTCCCTGCCCAGCCAAATGGGACTTACTGCATTCCCCCTTTCATGTACATAATAGGACTTTCTCTGAGGAGTTTTTGGATGTTATGTAGCCTGCATTTAGACTCCATTTATGGAAGATTTCAGCCCATTCAAAACCCCACTCTGCTCTCCAGTATGTTATCAAAGGCACCAAGATAATGAGGTCTAGTCATATTTCCTTGGTTCTGTGTCACATTCCTCTGCCCAGAAACTGTTTTATCCTCGCTGAGGCTTTATGTGGACTTAATTTGGCATAACTTCCAGTAGCTCCAGTCAGAACCAGAAGCTGTGATAACATTGTAGGGAACAGTCCTTGACTATCATGGGCCAAGGAGCAGACCTTTCTTTTCTCGCCTCTTTTTCTGTTTTTGACAGCATGATGTACCACTCATCTTTATTGTGTCACATTTTCTGTTCTAGTCTCTGCCTGTTACTCATTGTATTATTTTGAGTAAACCAGAAACAGGCTTTCACAAGCTGCCACTTAACCACTTTTTCCCATAATTACCCAAAAAGTTAAGAAATATAGTTAAAATTAGGGCTGGGATAAGGGCCAGAAACCCTGAGGTGGCTGCTGGGAGCCTGCTATCCTCTACCCGCATGCAGATGAGGAAGGGCTGTCAGCCTGCTGTGGCCATTGTTTCATTGACTCTCAGGCCACCGTGCTTCTCTGTTGAGAACCGGGTCCTAGGCATTCTAGTATCAGAGGCGTGTGAACCAGAGCAACTCCATCTTAAACAGGAGCTGGAAATGAGGCTGAAACTTACTGGGCTGCATTCCCAGATGGTTAAGGCATTCTAAGTCACAGGATGAGATAGGTCAGCACAAAATGCAGGTCATAAACACCTTGTTAATAAAACAGGTTGCAGTAAAGGAGCCAGCCCAAACCCACCAAAACTAAAATTGCAATGAGAGTGACCTCTGGTCATCCTCACTGCTACACTCCCACCAGTGCCATGACAGTTTACAAATACCATGGCAACGTCAGGAAGTTACCCTACATGGTCTAAAAAGGGGAGGCGTAAATAATCCACCCCTTGTTTAGCATATCATCAAGAAATAACCATAAAAATGGGCAACCAGCAGCCCTCTGGGCTGCTCTGTCTATGGAGCAGCCATTCTTTTATTCCTTAATAAACTTGCTTTCCCTTTGCACTGTGCACTCGCCCTGAATTCTTTCTTGCGCGAGATCCAAGAACCCTCTCTTGGGATCTGGATCGGGACCCCTTTCCTGTAACGCTAGCAGCTGATGCTAGGCATGTTGATCTCGCTTGGGGTTCCAGGACATGTCTCCTAGCACTCAAATTCCACCACAACCTAGCCCACTTGCGCCAGAAGTGTTGGGTCTGAATTTGGCTACATTTTCATGTTCATTCATTCTGAATCTAGAACCCCCTTGTCCTGCTTTTCCTTATAGGGTGGGCGTTTCCTATTTAACCCTGATGAAGGGCCTGATTATGCCCTGTTCTCCAACAGTAAGGCTAGCTCCTAAGGTAGGTAAGGGCCAGTAGAGAGCTCTATGTTTCTCCCTCCTTCAAAAGAGAGAGCAGCCTTTAGGAGCCTCAAAGATTATTTTGTATCCTAAGGAGAATAAAGGTTGTGTGTGTGTGTGTGTGTGTGTGTGCATGCTCACATGTGCACTTTCATGGGTGTTTTGCTTTTATTTAGTTTTGGCACCTCTTCATTGGGCAGGCATAAGAAAATCCCACAAGATTAATCCTTAGTAAAACATCCCACTCCACCTCACTGGACTAAATGTCAAGCCAACTGTATAGTATGATCCTAGAATAGTAGCTGCTGTCCTCTGTCCCTTTTGGAGTCACACTGTAATCCCTTGTCTCTGATCAGGGAAGGCTGTGGTTCTGAATGTCTGCTGCCACAAACTGAGACTTATATAAAGCCAAGATGTTCTGAGACAGTCCTGTTGTCCAAAATGCAATCCTATTCTTCAGAACTTTAGTTTGCAAAATACGATTGTAGTTATGGGTTATAGTTAAAGCTCCTGACAATACAGAGGGCTGAACACATGCGATATGGAATAATGATCATTATCGATGCAAGTCTGTTCTTCCAGCTCAGGATAATCATTTCTTGGCATGTAAATGTGCAGGAAGAAGAAAAAGTGTTCCTGGAGGAGGAATAGGATATGGGAGGGCCAGGAAGTAAGATAGAGTATGGACCATTAAAGGAACAGGAAGAATTTTGTGTGACTGGTGCTTAGAGAGGAGAGAGGAAGATGGGCAGGATCCATGCTATAAGGGGCTTTGTGATGCATATTAGGAACTTGGACTCTATTATAACAGCAATAGGAAGCCATTAGGATTTTAAGTAAATGAGCAACTTCATCAGATATTCACTTCAGAAAGGTCACAATGGCTGCAGTGTAGGCAGTGGATGAGAGGGTAGCATGGTGGGTGGCCAGGAGGCCACTTAAAAAGCTTTGGCTGGCAACAGATGGCAGTAGCTTGCACCAGAGTGAGGGAAGGCATTTGTCAATATCAACCCATGGTACTCAGACTAAAGGATTTGGGGGAACAGAGGAACTGGATGTTAGAAGGCAGCCATCACTGGATGAATGGTGATTCTGGAAAGGAGGTGTAATGCTGGCAAAGTTTTGTTCAACAGTGCTGTGCTAGCTTGAAGGACAGCCAGGACTGCCACTAAACAGATGCCAGTGTTCACATCGTCATGAACACAAAGAAAGAGAGGACAGTAGACTATCTGGGAAGCATGTGTGCACACGGGTTGAAAACGGTAGTATCAAAGAAAAGCCCATAGAATTTTGGTGAAAAGACCACAACAATATAAAGACACTCTGCAAATCAGTGCTTCAAGTTGGACTAGTTCAATCACTTATGACAATGGTAACATCCAACATTGCTTGTATGGAGTGAGTCAGGTGGAATGTGGAGCTATAACAGTGATTATGTGTTGGAATTGGTTACTCTGTCAGTATTACATGCCTTAAGCTCTTACCCCAGAAATCCCATGCCTTTATTAGATTTGATTTTGATACTTGCAAGTTTTAGGTGTTCAATAAATGTTGTGGAATTAAATTGAAATTTAGAACAACAAAGGACCTTACAATTCAAATCAGACAGAGCAAATCCTTTTTGGTGTGTTTATTTGAACATGATCTTCTTGCTGTGCAACACTCAGCAGCAAATCTCAGCTCTATTTTCCCCAGCTTATTGCTTCCTGGTCACCTACGAAGCAAGTTCATTACTTGAGAGACTATGCATCTAGTGTGGAGATCAATCAATTATAACTGAAAATATACAATGAATTTTAGTTTGTAATATGTGAAAACATACTTTTGAATTTTGTGGCACATGCTTATGTTTATGGACATGCACATATCTATGAGTTGGAAAATTCTAACTTTTACTTAGGCTCCTTTGGGCACTTTAGTACAAACTAATAATGTTTAGAGATAGATAAGGAAGAATACAATTGTCATGAACATATCTTTGAATGCTTTTACTTATAAAAATATTCTATAGTATACATGTGTTGAAATGCATACATAAAACCCTCTATGCACTGCAAGCAAAATGCTTGCTAGTTACTGTTAATAAATAAGTAGATATTAATTTCCTGTTTTCCTAGGAATATCCCAAGCAAAATTCTTTAAAAGTGTTCTCTCTGCTTGAGCTACATTCTCTTCTGGAGTTTAGCCTGTGCTCTTTGCCTCACATAGTTAGTACTCTACAATTAGAAATATTTCTCTCTGTCTCCTTGTGAGTATGTGGTTTTTACTTAGGAAGTAGTCATTCCCTTCCCTCCCCAACTTCCCCTCACCCCTGGTCCATGAAACTCTAAATTTGGGAGGGACTTTCATGGTCACCTATTCCAGTCCCTCAGGGTTTAATTATGATAAGGCTCAAATAGGTCACAGCTAGTTAGTGGCTGAGAACCAGTTGTCCCAATACCTGGCCTTTGACGTCTGTTTCAGTTGTAGATATCATGTTGTCTTCTCAGTGTTACTTTCTAAAAGACTCATCTCTTGGGCATTTTAAACATGCTGCTATTAAATCAATCTATTCTTTGCATGATATGTTTGCATGATCCAGAGTGAAGCAAATCCAGAGCTATTCACTTAAGATCACCTGAGACCTGGAGTATATCTGGCTTCTCGATAAATTGTATGATCTGTGTTTAACTTGGTATTTTGTCCACAGGCTAACCATGACTATATCTTTTAGTTTAGAAGTGCTCTGAAGATAAAATATTTGATAGCATAGCTTCTCTACTGGTTTAGTGTAGTTTAAAATGCAAACCATGTATGATTTCATGCAATTTAAGTAAAAACTCTAATTTGTAAAGGAAGATTGCACTGCTTGTGAGGGCATGGGTTGGAATACTTTAAAAATAGTACATCTAAAATATGCCTTTATATTATTTATACTTAACAGATTTACTTAAATTACTTGAAGCTCTCAAAGCAATTTAAGAGTTGGAACTAGAAGAACAGGTTTCCATCACAGACTAGAATAAACAGAACTGCTCTCTATTAGCCATTCAGTGTTTCTCCCCAGCAGTATATGGGTTATATAGTCCTGGGTTCACTGTTGTCTAAAGCAGTGTTGCCAAGAACTACATTTAAATACTTCTTTTGGCCCATCAAACATGGTGCTCTTTCAGTGCAATCACAGACTTCCACCCCATCTCCCTCAGTTCCAATGAACCAAATAGTTATTTGGTATGAAGGTCTAAAAATTGTATGGTTATGATAGTTCAGGATGACAAATTGGAACAATCATTAAAAAAATTACATAAGCAGAGTTAAAGTTCATTTAAGCAAAAAAAAAAAATTGTTTTGTTCGTGCTATTTAGATTGGGTAGATTCCAAAATCACTGGACAGTTTTTGATATTACTATAATCAACTGTGGCAAAGCCTGAATAGCTTTCAAGTTTTGGGTTTGTTTTTCTTCTTTTACTTATAGACAGGATATATTACAATTGAAACATACTTATTAGAATGACATAGTAAATGCAATGGCTGTTTTAATATGTGGTTAGATAATCAACATTATGAAAGGACTCTATTTGGCATGCATATAGCCCAGGATTTCTTTTAAATATAAATATCCTGGAGAATTTGGATAAAATTCTCATCTGTTGTTATTGAACAGTGAGCCACATTCATTCTTCCCATACCATGAACAAGCTTAGAGAACGTGATACGGGAGGGAATCATGCTTGGAGCTATTGTTTACTCTATTAGTTGTTTTGAGTTTTTAAAATTAAATATTGAGTAGATTTAGAAGAATGTTTGTAAAGTATGTATAGAGTATAAAGAACGTTATCGTTACCTCTGAAATTTCTTATGTGTCTTTCCCTGATCCTATAGCCTTCTTTTTCCTTTGAGAAAGCTCCATACTAGATTTTATGTTTGGCTTTTCTTTACAGCTTTATCACATATGCTTAATCATTTTGTGTGTTTTTAACTTTATCCATATGGAATTTTACTACACTTCCTCCCATGACTTCTTTTTGTTCAGTATTATATTCCAGTGCTTCATCCATGTTATTGCTTGTAGCTGCAATTTATTGACTTTCAAAGCTAAACATATTCTATTACATTAATATACCATAATTTCTAATATCTGTGTTACTCTAGATAGACATTTGGGTTGTTTCCACTATTTATTATTGACAGTGCTGCTGTGAACACTTACTGTTTGTTGCTGGTTTAAAGGTATTTAGTTTTGATTGGGTTTACTAATATCTAAAGGAATGTTCACATCTGTGTTAATGAGTGTATTTGCATGTAATTTTCCTATTTTTCAGTGCATTTTTGGATTTTTGCACCAAGGTTATTTTTGCTTCATAAAATGATGCATCTTTTCTTTTCCTTTGCTATAATCTGAAATAGTTTGTGTAAAACTGGAATTATTTGCATGTTTTAATATTTGGCAGAGCGTGCCTGTAAAATCATCTTAGGTGTTCTCTTTGTGAGAAGATCTTAAACTACTAAGTTAAATTTTAAAAATGTTACAGGATTATTCAGTTTTTCAATTTCTTTTTTTTTTTTGAGATGGAGTCTTGGCTGGAGTGCAGTGGTGCTATCTGGGCGCACTGCAACCTCTGCCTCCCTGGCTCAAGAGGTTCTCCTGCCTCAGCCTCTAGAGTAGCTGGGATTACAAGCGCACACTACCACACCTGGGTAATTTTTTTTGCATTTTTAGAAGAGACAGAGTTTCACCATGTTGGCTGGGCTGGTCTCGAACTCCTGACCTCAAGTGATCCTCCCACTTTGGCATCCCAAAGTGCTGGAATTACAGGCATTAGCCACCATGCCCGGCCCCAGTTTTTCCATTTCTTAACTCAGTTTTAGTAGGTTACACTTTTCTAGAAAGTTGTCCATTCTGTTTATGTTTGAAGTTTGGTGGCATAATATCCTCTCACTTTTTAAGGATATATTCATGATGCCCTCTTTATTCTCTGTAGTGCCTGTAGCTGTTTCCTCTTTCTTGTTTGCTTGTGCCTCCTCTCTTGTTTCCTTGATGAATTTTATCAACTTCCTCTTTTCTTTTTTTTTTTTTCTGGAGACGAAGTTTCACTCTTATTACCCAAGCTGGAATGCAATGGCGCGATCTTGGCTCACTGCAACTTCTGCCTCCCAGGTTCAAGCGATTCTCCTGCCTCAGCCTTCTGAGTAGCTGGGATTACAGGCATGCGCCACCATGCCCGGCTAATTTTGTATTTTTAGCAGAGACAACGTTTCTCCATGTTGGTCAGGCTGGTCTCAAACTCCTGACCTCAGGTGATCCACCCGCCTTGGCCTCCCAAAGTGCTGGGATTATAGGCATGAGCCATCGTGCCTGGCCTTATCAACTCCTTAAAAAAACACAGATTTGGACTGGGGAGATTATTGTATATTTGTTTTCTATTATGTTAATTTCTGATGTTTTAAAAATTGTCTTTCTTCTATTTTCTTGGGCTTTATTTCGCTGGCTTTGTTTTCTCATCTCTCCAGGTAGATGCTTAGCTCATTGTGATGATTTTAAAGCACTTGCAAATTCTTTAACATTCTTTCCTTCAAAAAATGGAGTCAAATTTTCCTCCACTTGAATGTTGGCCAGACATAGTGACTTCTTATGAACAGCCTGTGGCAGAAGTGATGGTATGTGACTTTCAAGAATAGGTCACCAAAAAGAATCATTTCTGCCTGACTTTCTCTTGGATCACTTATTTGGGAGAACCTAGTCGTCACGTGAGAATACATGAGCGTCCCTCTGGAGAGGCCCATGTAGAGAAGACAACCATGTGAGTAAACTTCCTGGGAAGTGGATGCTTCTATTCTGTCAAACCTTCAAACGATTGCAGCTTTGGCCAACATGTGACTGCAGCTTCATGAGAGACCTCAAGCCAGAACTATCCAGCCAAGCTATTTTTGAATTCCTGACCCATAAAAACTATGAGAGATAATAAATATTTGTTGTTTCAAGCCACTAACTTTAGGGGTAATTTGTTTTACAGCACTAGAAAGCTAATATACTCATTAGTCATCGGCCATTTTTCTGCTCTAATACAAGCATTTAAATGCTATAGATTTCTCTCTACATTAGCTGAATCTCACAAGTTTGGATATGCAGGATCATTTGGATTTAAATATTTTCTGATTTCTATTATTATTATTTTTAACTTACGAGTTACTTAGAATTGTGTTTCTTAATTTCCAAATATATACTCTATGTCAATTATTGATTTCTAGCTTAATTGCACTGTGGACAGAAAATCTGATTTGTATGATATCGTCCTTTAAAATTTGCTACACCTTGCTTTGTGTCCCTGCATATGGTCAATTTTTATAAAAGCTCATAGGCCCTTGAAAACAATATATATTCTATAGCCTTATATGTCCATTAGCTTAGGTGTGTTAATAGTGTCATTCAAATCTATATCCTTACTTTTGTTTTTATTTATTTATTTATTTTCTGTAGACCTCCTCTGTGGATTTTTTGCTATGCTAAATTTTTCAGTTATTGAGAGAAGTACATTCAAATCTGCCACTGTGATGATTGACTGATTTTACTATTTGCATTTCTATTGTTGAATTATATGTTTTGAGTTATATATGTATATATACACATCTACACATGTATATGTGTGTATATATAAGCACACACATATACATACACATATATATGTAATGTTACTAGATAGATTCATGCTTAGAATTATATCTTCCTAGTGAATTAAATTTTTATCATTATGAAATGGCACATTTTATTGCTATTAATGCTATTTGCCTTAAAGTTTAAAAACATCTGACAGTCTTTAAATGATGTGTATCATTTAAGAGATGTTTATCACTTAAATGGTACATATACATCATTTAAAGGATATATCATCATCGTTAAATGAGCATTTAGTTTTTTTACATGTGTTATAATTACTCATATTTTTGTTTGTAAATTTACTATCTTACTTTGTGTTTTCTACATATCCCACCTTTTCTGTTTCCTTTCTTCTACTTTCTTGACTTCTGGATTGATTATTATTAAAACTTTATTATTAGCAATAATAATAAACACAATATATTTTATATTCTATTTTTATTTCGTATATTCTATTTTTATTTTGTTAGTGGGTATCCTAGAAATTTTAACTTGCAGAACTTATCAAAGCCAAAGATTAATCAACATCCTTAAGTTTCTCTCAAAAAATATAGATAACTTAGAATGCTTTAGCTCCTTTAACACCCCTCTCCACTTATAGGTTGTTGTGGACTTAAACTTTAATTACATTTTTCAATTTTTAACCAATCAATATATTATTATTGCTGTTTTATAAAATTGTAATATTTACTGCATTTTTACCACTGTAGAGGAGGAAAAACTTTTACTATACTCTCTTAGGTTCTGCTGGAATCGGTGAATTAAGCTGATAAAAGACAGATTAACAGGAGGAAAGCATACACATTTTATTTAATGTCATTATTTACATGGCAAAAGGGGTTTCACAGAAAACAAAGAGAAAATTTCCAAAGAAGCAGTTAGACTTGGGGGCTTATATACCAATTTAACAAAAGTAATAAATTGTGGAGAAGTGGCTCAACAAAGGAAAGAGATTTGAGTTCCTAAGAGTGCAAAATTGTGGGAAAATGGGAACTCTGGGCAATCTAGTGGAAGATAAGGGTTATTTTACTAAGGTATATTTGTGCAGATTCATCTTGGCATTGACTCCTTAACTCTGGTGATAAGAATATTCTCTTCTTCCTGGTACCAGGAGGGCACGTTTCTCATGGAAAATTTATGCCTTGCTTTTAAGCAAAAAGGACAAGGGCGGGGAGCTCTTCTTGCATCTGTTGTTTCTCAATTGCCTTTGGCTCAAAATAATCAATATGCCAATGCAGTATATTCTGAGATGGCATGTTCTGATCTCCTTCACTGCTTTCTTTGCTCATAATTTTTTCTTGCATCTCAGACTGTCCATCTGGAAACATTTTCCTTTTGCCTGAAGTACATCTTGTAGAATTTTCTTTAAGTTTGTTCAAAAGATGTTTCTAATCTTTTTCTCAGTTTTTGTTTATCTCATTCTCTCATGAGAAAATGTCTTTATCTCATTCGTATTCTTGAAAGATACTTTCACTGCATATGAAATTTTGGTGCAGCAATTATTTTCCTGTCACCACATTGAATATTTTGTTTCATGATCTTCTGGCTTCCATTACTGAAGTTGAGGAATATGCTATCAGCCTAATTCTTGTTCCTTTCAAGGTAATTTGATTGCTTTCTTTCCTATTTTTTTCTAAAAACATCTTTTTTTGTCTTTGGTATTCTGCAGTTTCACAAGAATGTGTCTTACCTACAGATTTCCTATTTATTTATACTGCTTGAAATTTGTTGGTCTTCCTGAATCTGTGGGTTATTGTTTAAGCAACTTTGGAAAATTCTCAGCCATTATTTCCTCTTTTCCTCTATTCCCTGTCTCTTTTCAGAAATCTGATTACATGTACATTAGATAGTCTATCTTCCTCACCTCTTAACCTTTTTTTTTTTTTAATTTGATACAGAGTTTCCCTCTTGTTGCCCAAGCTGGAGTGCAATAGCACGATCTTGGCTTACTGCAACCTCCACCTCCTGGGTTCAAGCGATTCTCCTGTCTCAGCCTCCCAAGTTGCTAGGATTACAGGGGTATACCACCATGCCCAGCTAATTTTTTGTATTTTTAGTAGAGATGGGGTTTCACCATGTTGGTCAGGCTGGTCTCGAACTCCTAACCTCAAGTGATCTACCTGCCTCAGCCTCCCAAAATGCTGGCATTACAGGCGTGAGCCTTCATGCCCAGCCTACTTGTTAACTTTTAATTTTATATTTTCTATCTTTTTTCTCTCTTTTTTTTTCCCTGAACAGTTTCTGTGCTCTGTCATTCAGTTCTCTACTTCTCTCTTCATCTGTATTTAATCCATTACTAACCTTATCTACGGAGTTTAAATTTTAATTTTTTTATTTTTCATTTCTATTAATTATTTTCGTTCTTTTTCTAATCTGGTCATTTAAAATAATCTCTTTTTACTTATATTTCCAATTTTTAAAAATATTTTTAAACATGTCAAACAATATATTTTATATTCCGTGTTTGCTAATTTTAATATCCAAGATCCCTGTGGGTTGTATTCTGCTGTTATTTGTGCTGGCTCTTACTCATGGTACCTTATTAACTTGCTTATTTTGTGATTTTTTTGATGATGAGTTCATATTTCACTGAAGCCAGTTGAAGGTGAGTTCCTGAGAGGATTTGTGTTTCCTCTTACTAGATGCTTGAGGACACTACCAGATATTTGGACCATGTAGCTAATGTGCATTTAGGCCATAAAGATTGTGGGGACATCCTTCTGATTATGATTTCTCAAGAGAAATATTTATCTCTTTCACTCAATGCCTAGGTTTGAGACAGACAATTTTCCTTAGAATGGGCTAAGACCGTGTGTATGTGGGTGGTTTCTGCAATTTAATTTGGCACATTATATGCATTGGTTCTTTGATTCTGGTATTCAGCATCCTGGGAGGCTAGAAAAAGGTAGCTTAAGGTCACTAGGTTCTATCAGTGTCTTCAAAGTGAAAACTAGCTTCAAGACTTGCCTTATGTTTTTGGGTTTTGTATTAGTTTGCTAGGGCTGTTGTAACAAAACACCTCAAACTTAGTGACTTAAACACCAGAAGTGTATTGTCTCAAAGTTCAAAATCCAGATGATGGCAGGGTTGGTTCCTTCTGAGGGCAATGAGAAAAGGATCCATTCCAGGCTTCTCTCCTTGGCTTATATAAGCATCACTCTGATCCATGCCTTCATCCTCCCATGACATTTTCCCTATGTATGTGTCTGTGTCCACATTTTCCTCTTTTTTTTTTTTTTTTTTTTTTTTTTGAGATAGAGTTTTGATCTTGTAACCCAGGCTGGAGTGTAATGACATGATCTCAGCTCATTGCACCCTCCACCTCCCAGGTTCAAGTGATTCTCCAGCCTCAGCCTCCCAAGCAGCTGGGATTACAGGCACACACCACCATGCTTGGCTAATTTTTGTATTTTTAGTAGAGACGGGGTTTCACCATGTTGGCCAGGCTAGTCTTGAACTCCTGACCTCAGGTGATTTGCCCACCTTGGCCTCCCAAAATACTGGGATTACAGGCATGAGCCACTGCACCCAGCTAGCACATTTTCCTCTTTTATAAGGACACCAGTCATATTGGATTGGGGGCTTATCCTATTCCAGAATGATCTCATCTAAACTAATTACATATGCAATGACCGTATTTCCAAACAAGGACACTTTCTGAGATTTGGGGGAATCAAGATTTCAACGTATGAATTTGGGGGGTATACAATTCAATCTATAACAGGTCTTACGTTGTTGCCAGTTCATTGAGGTATTCAAAAGAACTTTTGGAAGTGCAATTTATCCACTATGTCTTTTCTTCAGTAAGAGGGTTGGTTACGGTATAGAGTATGCTATGCTGCTGAACACCATAGGTTTTTGCATGGTGTTAACAAAAATTGTATGATGTTGAAAAGTTAACTGTCACTAAGGCAGTTTTACAAAGGCTGCTTCCATCTTTGGAGCAACCATTCATTTTGCAGCTCTGTCGCATTATCCTTGAGGTTCTGAGGCTGCACATTTACCACCTTGACCTTGCGGGAAATGACTCAAAAGCCACCTTCTTGGGCTATATATTTGCCACCTTGACAGCGGGGGAAATGACTCAAAAGCTAAACCTGACGTTCAGAACTTTTTCGAGTTGTAGAGCCATTTTAGGGATCCATGTTTCAGTCAACTCTGTTGAATGCTCCCGGCAACTATAGCACATATCAATCATAACAATAATAAACAAACCTCAGTCATCAAGAGTAAATTATATCCTACGTGTTATGTGTTAGATGATAGAGAAATGTGGAATACATTTTAGGAAGCTTTCTATCAAAGAGAGTTTAAACCTTTCCCATGTATAAAGGATTAGCTCTTAGCTCTGAAGACTTTGCTTAATCAGAAGATATTACTCATTTAAGGTTATTTAAAGATAAAAACTTTTAGCATATTGTAATCTATCAACCACTGCTTCTGAATGACTTGGTGTGGAATCAGAGTTGGGGGGAAGAGACTTTTAAAATTTCAGAGTCCCTGGCATTATTCCAGACCTACGAATTAGAATCTCTGAGGAAAGGAGCCCAGAAACGTACATTTTAAACAGCATCCCTTCAGAGTTAGAGAATCGTTGTTGCCTAGGGTCTTCCTTTTAAACATAAGGTATTTTGCTTCAGCAACTTAATTTTTATTTTTCTCAAATTGTATTACTGGTAAAGATTCATGATTTTTATAATATGAATTTAATGTTTGAAGTGATATTCAACAGCACAATAAAAAAGTGGTGAATGGTGGGCCGAGCGCAGTGGCTCACGCCCGTAATCCTAGCACGTTGGGAGGCCAAGGTGGGTGGGTCATTTGAGGTCAGGAGTTTGAGACTAGCCTGGCCAACATGGTGAAAACCCATCTCTACTAAAAATACAAAAATTAGCCGGGCATGGTGGCGCACAACTGTAATCCCAGCTACTCAGGAGGCTGAGGCAGGAGAATCGCTTGAACATGGGAGGTGGAGTTGCAGTGAGCCGAGATGGAGCCACTGCACTCCGGCTTGGGAAACAGAGTGAAACTCTGTCTCAAAAAAAAAAAAAGTAGTGAATGCAAATAAAAGTAGTGAATGGTCACAATGTGCTTAGCAATTGTAAGATAAAATTAAACTCTTTATAATATTTTAGTGAGAGGACCACAACTAGACTCTTCATGGGATTTCCTTTTTGAAAATAATCCTGAATCTAATAGCAAGCACAACTGAGATACATTTTCTTTACTGAGTTTTGCATTTCCAGTGTGACCCTTTCGCTTTTTATACTGGACGATCTAATTTTACGTAAGAGCTCACTCTGGTAAGCTGTACCGTGTGTAGGTGTACATGGATGATCTCCACTAGTAAGATAAAATACCTCTCTTCTCTTCTACTTTTATCCCCTTCTTCTGTCCGAGTGAGAGGCAATGTACCACCTTTCCCTTAGACATGACCATAAAATCCCAGAGGAAAGCAATATGCCTAAAATTATTTAGTCTGTTTCCCTTGCTTGAATATGCACTGGAATTCCCTGGCCTGGGGTGGGTCCTAAGAATTTGCATTTCTGACATGTTCTCAGGTAATGCTGATGCTGATACTACTGGCCTGGGGACCCTACTTGGAAAGCCACTGTATTAACTCATTTAATCCTCACAGCAGTCCTGTGAGGTAGGCACTATTATTGTCATCATGCCCATTTTATAGACGAGGGTTCTGGGGCAGCTGGTAAGACAGCTGGTGATCAGGACAAGATTTTAAAGCCAAGCAGGCCGACTTCAAGCCCGTGTTCTAAACTACTGTACCATGTGTCTTCTCAGTCAGCAGGTACTTATTAAACGCATACTGTGTGCCCTGTGTTTGACTAGCTGATATTTTTAAAAAAAATCTAATCTCATTCCTTATTCAGGAACAGATGATTTGAGGATACTCACTTCCTACTGAACTTGACATGGATAATTTCTTGATATCTACTTGAGAGGGACATGAGCTGCTACATCAATTGAAACTCAGGTGACAATTGAGATGCAGAAGTTAAGTCTTTTCTCTGCTTTTAAACATGAAGTTGTGCCTTAACCCAAAAGGGTGTTCCTGTGGTAAACTGTGTACTCTATAAATGTTCTCCAAAGCTAGAATTTTCTTGGTTTATGCAAATGTACAGCTGAGAATAATTTTGTGGGATATGTTGCAGGGGTGGGGTTGAAAAATTCATGGTACTTATCTATTACCAGTTCTTTGTGTTTTAAGTACTTAGCCTTTATTTTTTTTTCCTTTCAGCATTTTCTTTTGTTAACTGGATTCCCATACTGGCTGTTGCTGAGGGGGTTGGGGAAGTCCTGATCTGACCTGAATTTTTTAAAACAATTTTTTAGCATTTTCTTTTGGAGACCACAAATCATATTGCAAGTCAACAACGTCTGGGTGTTAGTGGGACATTTCTATTTTAAGAGGCTTAGAAAAGGAGGTAAAAAAGAAGGAAGTTGGAAGTTAGGAAGGAGCAATGAAAGCAAAGCACCCATTTTCACATCTTACCAGACAAAGCCCCTCCCTGCCAAGTTCCTTTCTGGTGGGAGATCAGGGCATGGCTCATGCAATCACCAGCTAAGAAAGGAACTGAGACTTCTCTTCATTTGTTGTTTTTTCCTTCCCCACCTTTCCCTAGAAACTATTAGACTGCCACACTGTCCCGTTGTGTGACACGGGACACTTTAAGTGACGGGGTAGACAAAAGCTGGAACAAAAGAGCCTCTATTAAGGTAAGGGTCTACTGTGTCCAGAACATTGTCTTAGATGCTGGGGGCAAAACAAACCGAAAACACAGTCATTGCTTATAAACCAAACTCAATTTGTAAGGCTATCCCACTCAGTTAACAGAGGAGAGTTTGAGGATGATTTCCTCCTGACTTTCCAGGATAAGTGGAATAAAAGAAATAGAAAATAGATCAGGAACATCATTTTGCCTCATTCCATCTCACTTTAAGTGAACTCGGGCCCAAGCCCAAGTGGTTCTGTTCCAGGAAACACGGTGGGTCAAGCAGGATGTAACCTTATCACACACCTTAGCCATTGTCCTTTCCTTCTTAAATCCCTAGTGAGGAGGATAATAGTTGAAGATATCCTTCTTTTTTTCTTCTCCAGGCTTTAGGATATCAGATTAGGTATTTTCAAGTTGAGAACAAAAAGCCTTACCACAAAGTTGTATTCTCCTTGTGCCAATAATAATGAGTCATTCTTGCTAAGAACATAGGTGGTTTGTATCTTTCTAGTGCTTCTTGTCAGAAGAAGCTTAACATGCACAGAGGGAGATATTTTTCCTGGCACAATAGACCCTAGTCACAAACCACAAAGTTTTGCAATAAGGCTATTCGTTAAGTGAATGCAATATTATAGCTGAGACACTTTTGGGGTGTGTGTGTGTGTGTGTTTGTGTGTAGGGGTGTGTGTGTGTGAGAGAGAGAGAGAGAGAGACCGAGAGAGAGTGTCTGTGTGTGATGGGGGCTATACCTCAGCTTCCTGTTTGGCCTTGCTGATGTCACCGCATTAGTATCGGTACTGCACTTCAGATTTTTGTACAGATGTAAGTCATCATATTTAGTATTTGACTTTAAAATGAATTGGTTTTTGCACATCTGTGCTCATAAATGAATAACAATAGAAGGGGGAAGAAATTTTGAATTTTGATTAGATGAAAGGGGTGCAAAACTTCCACTCTTTCTTTCATAGATACCTTGCAAGCCAAAAGCTTTCTAGAATTGCTAGGTGAAGTTCTAAATATCACTAATTTTGAGATAGGCTGATTGACATTTATGATTGGGTTTGGTCAGGATGAAGGGTAGTGAAATTACCAGCATAGATGAGTGAGTTGCCATTGGTCTAAATTTTGCCATCTCTGGTTTTCTTCTGATTTCTAGTTCCATATTTGGTGGCTTTAAATGAACACAGTACTGTTCTCTTCATACCATGTATATTTTTTACCAGGTCAGGAATCTAAGAAACTTATGATCTAATTTAGATGTCTCTGGAAATGTGAATTTCATAACTTAAGAGAAGGGAACAGATTTGAAATTGAAATATTATTATAGGGAGCTGACAGTTGGGTTAAGTGGATTGTTACACATTATCATCTTAAAATTACATTTCGTGTCTTCTTAACTTTCCTCCAAAGAACACATCCTAGAATTATAACACTATTTTCAATTCCCTCTGCATCTTTCAGCCCTTAGAACTAAATCCTAAGCCAATAGCTCACTTTTGGACTCCTAAATTTGATTTTCTGAAGGCCTTAGGTTAAATGTCATTTCCACCAGAACACCTTTCTTAATCTTTCAGGTAGGTGAAAGCCCCACAATTTTCTTCTATCTGTCCATTCATCTGTCCTTCCTTCTCTCGTACCTGTCCTTACTTCCATCACAGTTCTAATCACATCATGTCATCATTGACTATTTATTTATCTGACTCCTAAAACTAGGAGTTCCTAGAAGCCAAGTCTATGCCCATCTACTATTACATCTCAGCCATTAGTACTGAGTGTAGGGGTGTAGTAAGCACATACTCATTTTTTTTTAACTGAATAAAGGAGCATGGGAAGTAGGTCATCATTTGAAAAAGCATCTGGAAATGATAAGAATAGTTAATAAAGCATTCCGGATTGTTTAGGAGAAAGGTCTATTTTACTTGTTAACAGCAAAGGCAATTTCTTTGGAAGATTTTGCTTTCTTTTTTGACTATCTGTGCAGTTACTTGTTTATTTTTCATTTTCCATCAGCTTTACAACTTTTTTTCTCATGCTCCTCATCGCCTACTATCATTTGTGTTTAAGCCTTCCTTTACATAAAACAGTATTTTTGGCTTATTATTTGGATGATTAATGAAAATCAATCTTAGCAGTTAGATTTCTGACTGAGACTGACCAGACAAAGTGAAATGTGTTGCATGATGCCATTATTTAAGTCACTGTTTTGTTGGCTGTGACCCATTAAGCATCCTTTCTTTTTGTTTAAAAATTATTTTTTTTCAGCTTGTTTTAGATTTGGGGGTACGTGTGCAGATTTGTTACATTGGTATACTGTGTGATGCTGAGGTTTGGGGTATGAATGGTCTCGTTACCCAAGTACTGAGCATAGTATACAATAGTTAGGTTTTTCAACTCTGTACCCTTCCCCCACCTCTATAGTCCCGTGTATTGTTGCCATCTATATGTCCATTGGTACTCAATGTGTGGCTCCCACTTATAAGTGAGAACATGAGGTATTTGGTTTTCTGCTCCTGTGTTAATTTGCTTATAATGGCCTTCAGCTTCCTCCATGTTGCTACAAAGGACATGATTTTGTTCTTTTTTTAATAGCTGTGTAGTATCCCATTGTGTATATATACCACATTTTCTTTGCCCAGCCCACTGTTGATGGGCACCAAGGCTGATTCCAGACTGCTTTCCACAGTGGCTGAACTAACTTACATTCCTATCTACCATGTATAAGCATTCCCTTTTCTCTGCACCTCACCAGCATCTGTTATTTTTTGACTTTTTAGTAATAGCCATTCTGACTGGTGTGAGATGGTATCACATTGTGATTTTGATTTGCATTTCTCTGATGATTAGTGATACTGAGCATTCTTTTTTTTTTTTTTTTTGACCTCTTTAGTTTTATATTGTTTCAGCTAAAACCTGTGATGAGGTCATTCTTAGTGAACTACTTATAACTAGTTAGTTCTTATAAATGCTGCCAATGTTTTTTTTTTCTTTTATTATTATTATACTTTAAGTTTTAGGGTACATATGCATTCTTAAAATATGTTTGTTGGCCGTTTGTATGTCTTCTTCTGAGAATTGTCTATTCATGTCTTTTGCCCATTTTTAATGCGATTATTTGTTTTTTGCTTGTTCAATTAAGTTCCTTAAAGGTTCTGAATATTAGACCTTTGTTAGATGTCTAGTTTGTGAATAAAATATTATTTTTTAATGCATCTATTTTCATTTTACGTATTTTTTTTTACAGTCACCTTGGTGACTGTAACACTTACCATCACTTTTGAAGAAGTGACTTAACAAAAGAACCCAAACAACATTTCTTCACCTCTGCAGACTCTTCCTCTCACAATGAAGTGGCTTCCGTTACTGGAATAATGTCAGGGAAGATAACAGCTTCCTCTAAATTCACCCTATTCAAATGTGTAATTCACACTTGTTCACAGACTAGAATAATGTACCTATAAAGTGTTTATTGGCTGTTATATAGCTCCTAGAGGAAGAAAATAAAAATGAAATGGTTTGTACGTTATAGTTTGTCAGAAGTATGATTGCCAATTATAATGATAAAATACTAATGATAGCTCACATTGCTAATATTTATTGAGCACTTACCGTGTGCCAAGCACTGTGTGAAGGCTGACAACAATCCTTTTAGTTAAACAGCATTATTGTCCGTAGGAAACCAAGATTTAGATAGCTAAAGGAGATTGCCTAGAGGTAGGCAGTTATCAAGTGGTGGACTCAGAATTCAATCCTGAATGTTTAACTCCAAAGCTCAAGCTCGTAATTGTTGTGTATTAAAGAGCCTGACAACTAAAGGATTATATATTCAGTTTCTCCTGCTACATTTGAAGAGGGATTTTAGAAAGTAACAATACTAGCAACCAATTATTGAATGCCAGGTAATACACTGAGTGTTTAATGTATGCTCTTTCGATCCCTATGACAATACTAAGGAGGAACAAATTTTATCTCCATTTTTCAGATGACACTGAGGTTCATGGAAATTAAGAAGTATATTTAAAGTCACAAAGCTATTTAAGGTCACAATAGCTAATTAAGCTATTAAACCAATGAATACCTAGATCTCTGCTCTTACTGCTTATTGCTGGTCATACTAGAGTATGTCCAGTGCTTGAATAGTAAGAGGTCTGGCAACCAGGTCATATGACTGAGAAAACTGGGTTATGTTTAACCTGACAGTGGTTGAAGGGAGGAAAAAAATCTTCAAATATCTTTTGTCACGTAGAGGAAGGATCAGACATATTTTGTTTTGCTCCAGAAGGTAAAAGTGTCTCTTGTAAATGTAGGCAATCTAGATTCTGAAATTGCAATTGCAGTTGCTTGCTTCTGGGAATTTTATTTAATTGAAAATAGAAATTGAATCTGTAAACCAAAAATACATAAACAAACAAACAAAAAAAACTAATTTGAACTCAGTTAAAGTCCCCAGGTGGCATCTATTACATGCATCTTCTGAAGACACCGTTGCATTTTTATTGTATTAGAAGAAACAACATTTCCAGAATATCAGAGGTGAAGCCTCAAGTCAGTTCTGTGTCTGCCAGAATAAAAACAAAAATAAACTTATCTTTCTTCTTGTTGTCCTAAGAATAAGGTATCAGTAGTTCCAGAGGAAGATAAGACCAACTGAGAGTGTGGGAAAGAGAATAACCTTAGTGTTCAAAGCTTCATAGGGCAGAGAACATTGGACAGGTCAACTAGTAATGCCTACCGCATCGTGTGGTGATGAGGAGGGAGAGAATGAACTGCTACACGTGAGGTTCTCAGAACTCTTTTAAGGAGGACGTAATGTTAAACTAATAAAACCTGGTGAGAAACAACACACAGGGGTGCCTCCGGAGGCTGGAGGGTGGGAAAAAGGAGAGGATCAGAAAACATAAATACCAGATACTGGGCTTAATACCTGGGTGATGAAATAATCTGTACAACAAACACCTATGACACAAGTTTACCTGTGTAACAACCTGCACTTTTACCCCTGAACTTAAAATAAAAGTTATTAAAAAAAAAAAGAAAAGAAAAACTGTGGGATAGCTTGGCTATACAATTATCAATATTCTGATATTTTCCAATTAATGCTGCTGTTTCTCATATGACCACAAAAGGGAGATTTGTTTCTTTTCTGTGTTTGAGATGGGCATATGGAATTCTTTAAAAACAAAAAGGGGAAATACCAAGAAATAAAATCAGGCAACTGAAGATATGCCTTCTGCCATGGAAGCTCAAAATTTTAGGATCTTTCAAGTTCTTCATTTGCACCTGGGACTTCAGATGCTTGGTATTGCTAAAAAATGTGTTCATTTTCTATTTCAAATAAATATGGAGATAATTATTTTAACAAAACAAAACAAAAACCTGGTAAGAGGGCTGAGCATGGTGGCATACCACTGTAGTCCCAGCTGCTCTCGAAGCTGAGGCAGGAGGATCGCTTGAGCCCAGGAATTCAAGGCTGTACTGCACAATGATTGCGCCTGTGAATAGCCACAGCACTCCAGCCTGGGCAACATAGTGAGATCTCACCTTAAAAAAAAAAAAGTATGAAAAACCTGTTGAGAAATGGAGCATCGACTAGGAAGCTGACCTGAGGAGGATCAAGAGACCCAGTGTTAGCTAGCCACTTCCATCACGGGACAGTGGCTGCTGTTAACCGGGCAGGGGGAGCATTCGGAGATAAACAAGGGAAGGTCTGCAGGTGCCAGGGAAGGTCTGCGGGCGATTTTTCTAATATGTACTTTGGCATGGTCTAATGTTGACTTTTTGCAAGGAAAAGGCCAGGTCAATCTTATTGTTCTTTCCTTTCTTTGAACTGTGGAATAATAGTGAGTGCCCTTGAACCTGTGGAGAAAAGGATAGAAAATTTGTTTTTCTTTCACATAAAAGGACATTGGGGCATGCCTTAGTCCCTAGCTGACAGTACTAGTCACTGTGCAGGGGAAGATGGCTTTCTGGAGCACACTAATTCCACTTCAGAACACAGAGCAAGATTAATTATGAAGAACTGATAACTCCCTACCTCCCTACTTCCCTCCCTCCTTCTCTCTCTTCTTCCCTCCCTTCTTCTTTCCTTCTTTCCTCCCTCCCTCCTTTCTTCTTTCCTCCCTTCCTCCCTCCCCTTCTCCTTCTCTCCTTTTCCCCTTCCTTCCTTCTTTCCTTCCCTCACTCCTTCCCTCCCTCCCTTCCTCCTTCCTTCCTTCCTTTTCCTTCTCCTTTTCTCTTTCCTTCCTTCATTCTCCTTTCCTTCCTTCCTTCCCTCCTTCCTTCCCTCCTTCCTTCCTTCTCTCCTTCTTTCCCTTCCTCCCTCCCTTCCTCCCTTCCTCCCTCCTCTTCCCCCCTTCCTGTCTTCTTTCCTCTTGTCCCTTCCTTCTGCCAACAAATACTTATCAGCACCTTTTGTATGCTGAGCCCTTGCTAAGTGCTGACAGTCCAGTGCTATAGAAAACAGACATGATCCCTGCCTTCTTAGAAGTTACAAACTAGTAATAATAAAGAAAAAAATATTTAATTACAAATTGAGATACGTGTGTAAAGGATGCACCAAGAAATTATAAGAGGGACTTGATTTAGATTGGTTCAAGGAAAGGAATCTGTGAACGTGGCAAATTAGCCCTGAAGAACATATGGTCTGGAGCAAGAGCTGGCAAGTCTGGCTGCCACCTGTTTGTGTGTGGAACACAGCCACACCATTTGCCTAGGTATTTTGGGCTGCTTCTGCAATAGAATGGCAGAGTTGACTAGTGGCAACAGAGACTGAATGGCTCACAAAGCCTACAATGTTTACTATTTTGCCTTTTACAGAAAAAGTTTGCTGACCCCTGGTCTAGAAAATACTTGAAAATAAGAGCTACAATATTTCATTTGATCCATGCCTTTTCAGGTAGGGTGGGCCGTGGACTTTGTATGACTGAAACATGTGTGGGCACAAATTACTTGGGTGTGATAATGTGTGTCTCATCATGAAGTAGACTCTAAGCAGACAAGAAACTTTCTCCAAAACTTGAGATTGCATATTTCAAATGAATTTCCTGTTTGTGGAAAGAGGTATTATGGTGTGGTGTTTGTAAGCTTAGTATTTGGAATTTGATTTTGAAAGACTATTTTGGATTCAGATCTTGGCTCCACCACTTAGGATCTGTGTTACTCACTCTCATTACTCTTCAATTTTCTCATCAGTGGGACAGAGGTATTGTCAGTGCCCATTCATATAGTTATTGTGAAAATTACCTGAGATAATGAAAAGACAGTACTTAGTACAATGACTGACATACAGTAAATACTTAATATATATACACTGTTAGGATTTTTAAGATACAAAATATTTTCATAAAATAACACATCAATTTTTGTGATGCTACTCCATAAATAATATTCAGTTTTTGTTTTTTATCCTAATAGAACAATTTTTTTCACAATGTCTGAGGATAAATAAAAGCAATGACTTCTAAGTCACAATTATACAATTTTTGGAAGCTAATTTTATAATATTTTGAATTTTTTTGCATGTTTACAAAATTAATTTTTGTTTTACTCTGGAAGTTTGAGGTAGATCTGCCCCCGTCTCCCTGGCCCCCCGCCCCCGCCGCAGTGCTATATTTAGCATGCTTCCTCCCACCTGCCTACAGCTTTGCATACCCTAAAATGCCCATTAAACTCCTTTTCATTCCTTCTGTCTACAGTCTGGGCCTATATTAGTCCTATGGCTTTGATTCCAACCCCACTCACACCATAGTTCTCTGGTTCATTTTCAGCTAGTTCATGAGTGGGTCTATTCTTCCAGCCTTTTCTTACTTTCCCTTTGTGGTCTACGGTCCTTGCATGGACATGACCACTTCCCAATGCCTCCCCACAGTCCTTCGTTCCCTGAAGTTCTGGCTTTGGTTCCACTTTCCCATGGCTCTGACTTGCAGGAGTGCTTGGTTGTAGGCTAACTGCCTTGCACACACCCTCATCAGCTGTCCGCTTTCCTGATGCAGACCTCAGCTCCTTGCTGAGCAATGGCATCCTCACCATGCTGCCCATGAAACCCCCACCCAGCCCTTCCCTTAAAATATCTACTGGGTAGCCACCAGTCACTCACAGTAATCTGGTGAGCATGGCAGAGCGAACCAGCAAGGCACAGCAGATAGGACTGCTTATATACCATAATGATGACTTCATAGCACCATGAAAATAAGCACTGGCCTAGTTACCTGGTCAAGAAAAAAAAAATCAGAACTCTTACAACAGAAATCAGGTAGTGGGATATATTCTGCTTCTGCTTTCAGATCCTTTTTGGTTTGTTTCCATTGGCTACATGGTTACTGGGGAAATACAGATCAAACTTGTGTTCTCTGAACCCAGTGACACGGAAAGCAGAGGTATCAAATAATGATGCCAGAGCTGGAAAGTACCTTAGAGATCCTATGTCCCACTGCCATCATTGTGGTAGATAAGGACACAGGGAGGTTGAGCACTTTACCCAGGATCACATGGAAGAAATGTGATATTGATCAACGTGGGTAGGCTGAGGATGTATTTGCTGGACAGATGTATTCCACTGCCCAGCAAATGATTGAGCCAAATAATGAATGAAAGGACCAAATAATTCCTTGAGTCAAATATTCTTCTCTTTGTTTTACATTATTTTAAAACCTCATATATATATATTTATTTATTTATTTAAAACCGCACATATATATACATACACACAATTTTATATAAATGCATAAATTGGATCATATCATAAATGTTAGGGTTTTTCTTTTTTTGCTTCTCTTTTCATTCTTTTAATTCCTCCATAGAGGAATTAGAACTCCTGTAGGAATTAAAATTCCTGTATGTATCTTTCCATATTTTTCTCAATATACCTACATATATTATAGGGGTTTTTGGTCACTGTTTTTTGTTTTTTGTTTTTTTAAGGTGACCATGTGATACACTTTTCTCTATTTTTCTTTTTTTCACTCAACAGGGTCTCATGGAAATCCCTCCAAGTCAATTGATACTGTTTTAACTCCTTTATTAGCAGCTATATAATATTCTGTGGTTTGCACCCTACATGATTCAACCATTCTCTTCCTGATGGCCTTTACTCTGTTCCCAGGTTTACCACTATCACCCATGATTAAATACGTGTCCTTGTACATATATCCTCATGTTCTTATTTCTATGAGGCAGTGCCCGTGAAGAGAGATTGCTGGGTAAATGTATTTTTAACTTAATAGATGTTGCCAGATTAATTTTCTGATAGACTATAAAATTTCATATTTCTACAGTGTATGAGAGTGCCCTTTTTCCAGCAGCCCTGCCAATCATAGGTATTTCGGCTCTTGCTTTGTTTTTTTTTGACAAGCTGATGGATAAGAAGTGAATTTGCTTTTTATTTTGAGTGGCCTTTCCCGGATTGGCCATGAGTCTGAGATCTTATCTCATGTTTATCAGCCATTTAGATGCACTTTCATGTGAATTGTCCGTTGATGTTCTTTGCCATTTTCATTTTCATTCATTTATTCATTCTTTTTCTTCTTCTTCCTTTTGTTTTGTAATATTCTTGTAAGAACTCTGAACATTTAGATATTAACCCTTTTTATATCTTTTCATTGTCATTCATTCCTTCCTTCTTTTTCTTGTTCTCTTGTTGGTAATTTTCTTATAAGAACTCTGAACATTTAGATATTAACTCTTTTTTATATCTCCATTAAAAATGTTTTTCTCAAATTCATTGCTCATGTGTTATTATAAACTAATTATGTTATTATTAACCTTTAATTATGATATATTTTGCCATGCAAAGGTGTCTATTTTTATGCAGTCAAATATATTAATCTTTATTTTTATGGCTTTTGGATTTTCTGCCTGTGTTTAGAAGATTCCCCTTAACCCAAGATTATATTTCTAATTTCCTCAATTTTTCTTGAAGGTTTTATATTGCTATTTTTTTTTTAACATTTGAGTTTCCAGTCTGTGTGGAAATCATGTTTATATATGATGTATATGAGTGGTCTAACATTTTCCCTTTAAATGGAAAATCAGTTGCGCCAGCACCATTTATTAAATAATCTAACCTTCCCACTGAATTAAGCTACAATTTTTGCCATATATTAAAATTATATATATACACACATATACATATGAAAAGAGAAAAGAATACCTAGATAACCTCAAGACACATATGTATATGTATATCTATTTGTTTATTCTCATGTTAATGCAATTTTAATTTGATTGCAGATTTTTGTTGCATATTCTTTAATAAGAACATTTTCCACTTACAATTCAGTCGTATAATACTTTTCTTGATCATTTTAGGCATATATTCTCATTGTGAATTTACATTCATTGTAGCTAATTATTCCCTAATGCCTGCTGGGTTTCTAATTACAATCAATTTATAAATTATTTTAGAAAATATTATTAAATGTTTACATGTCATATTCAATGGGGGATCCAAAACATTCATTTTGAAGGCCCACTCACACTCACGGGAATAGATTAAATGTTGTAGTGTGCTTTTCCCATCTGTACTAAGCTCAAGGCTGCCATTAGGACACAGCAAAGGAGAAGAAGGAAGGTCACTGGAAGCTAGAGAACTCACCAAGTGCAGGCTCTGTCCTTAGGCCTTTGTTCATGGTGTCTTGCCTTACACAATAGCATCTTGATCCCAGTTAGGAAGCCCCTAAGCCTTGCAGACTCCAGAACCCATCACCTTGCACTCTATCTGTTGGAAGGCTTTATAACCACATAGTTTTATGTCTGCACCTAATATAAATTAAGAACTCTTTCTAGGATAGGCTTGAAGATTTCATAGGTTGGGTGTTTGAAAAAGGAAATGCTGTGTGATGAGGACACTGTGCTCTGTGGCTTTCCTCTGTGCTTTGGGTCACGCTCTTCCTTTGCCTTGAGAACCTGCCACCTGCCACAGTTCAGCCCACCCATGTCTACTTAGCTCCCTGTTCCATGAAAACATCCATATTCCAAACCAGACTCCCATGGCCCATTGCTTTCACTAGTAGCATTTATCACACTCGCTGTTGTGTTACAGATCATTATGCCTTCTTTTGCCAAACACTTACCAGGCACCTGCCTTGTGATTGTTCAGAGTGCCGGGGATCCAATGGGGAACAGGTGGTGGATTTATTATTCTTTCCCACTCAAACTTTATGCCCATGAACCAAATCTTGTTCCCTTATATTCAGAGAATCCCTCACAGTGACTCATACATAGAATATGTTCAACCAGTGTTAGGGGAGTGAGTGAATATATAATAATGATTAGGTGATAGGAGGAATAATTTGGTTGAATTATGATTTTCTCATTTCTGCATCAATTAGTTATCACCTTTTTTCCAGCTTAAAATTTTTCCCCATGTTTTGAATGTGTCACCTTTGTTGCTTTCTTCCTAAATGTCCATGGTCAAATTTTCAAAGTTTGCCAGAATGAATTTTTCATTAAATAAATAAAGATTTTTTAGAACCCTTACTGTATGTTAGGTACTACAATAAGCATTAGGGAGAAAATACCGATCAAAAATAGACCCATATGAATAAGATTGCCATTTTACAAAATGAAAACTGGGTCATTTTTCTCCAGAAGGCATGTAGGCACAATATTTTAAAAATCTAAGCCCACAAAATCTGACTTATAAAACAAATAATGATGTCAATCAGGAGCCTAAAATAGATTTGATATTTAATACTTATATTTAAATTGAGAAGTGGGTGAACATGATTGAACATTCTAGACTTGTGGATTCAGCATTTATAACTAGAAAAATATGGGAATAAGTCAGAAGTAATCAGTATCCCCAATCTTTGATACTGAAGAATAACACTTTTTAAAGAGCAGTATTACTACGTAACCCATTTGCTTTCATTTATATTGTAACACAATAAATGTTTATTTTTAGTTTAGACGTGTACTTTTGTCTTGCTCAATGTACTTACCAATCGGCTAGAAACATGGGTCTAGATGAATACTTATACATTAATTTAAGCTTAATTAGAAACTGGCAATCTACACTGATCAGATCTACATTCATTTATTCAACAAATATTTATTGAGTATATAGTGTGTGCCAAGTTCTATTCTAGGTTCTCAGGATACAGCAATGAGCAAAACAAAGATGCCTGTTCTTGTGACACTTATATTCTAGTTCGGGGCCAATGGTGGAAACAGAAAATAGACCATGAACACAGTAAAGAAATTATGTAGCATGACAGAATGTAGCAAGTGCTGTGGAAAAATAGTAGAGTGGACTAAGGGGATCCAGGAGTGCTGGGGTTGAAGGGGGAGAGGTCAGGCAACATATAAAATAAATTGTATTAGAGAAGCACAGAATTAGAGAGAACTATGCCCAGCCTAGAACTGAAGAGAAATGTGGAGATAGAGAATGCTATCAGAGAGATTAAAAAAAAAATAAGTATGGGATTAACAAACAAAACCTATAAGGAATACTAGCAATAATTGTATCATTCAGCTTGAAAGAAAAGCTCTGGGAAGACACGATAGTGATTTTTCAATGTTATTTTATTCAATGTTATGCCCAGCTGCTAAGGATGCTACCTGTAGAAATGTTCTTGATTGTAACGTAAACCCACACTATTTAATAAACATTAGCTTTTTACAGTTGTTAATAATTATAATTGGTCTGGAATATTTTATATGCTGTTACAACTATTTAATAACTAGTAACTAGTTACAACTATTTAATAAATAAATATTGCCTTATTCGTAGGGAAATGGATTGGACATTTAAAGTCCATTTTAGTTCTATGATTCCATCATGCCTTCCACAATCACAAAATGCAATTAGGATCTATGAATGCCCAAGAGGGATTTACTTACTTATCATTAACACACCAACATAGGAAATGTGCACACACACATACACACTCATTCCTGCAAAAGCTTTGACATTTCTGACACAAGAATTGAGGTTTTGTTTTTATTTCCTCTTTTTTCTATTTTACTATAAGGGAATTAGATCATTGGACCAATTCTTTCAAATAGTTCCATGGATTGAGTTAATTACAATACGTGATCCAAGTCTGTACCCACTATTGAGATTGTCTACAATAGAAACAGGGGGCATCTAAATCCATCAAGCATTTTAGCTGTTGGTTCTTTTTGGTGGAAAGTAGAGGCAGGGTGAACAATCTGTTACTATAAATATAGTGGATTGTTGCAAGGCTGTATCCTGTTTGGAAATGATCTCATCTGTCTGTTGCTGGTTAGCAGTTTTCTACCAAACTGAGCAGGAATATTACCATATGGCATTGTTGTTAGAGAGCCCTCAAAGTTAAAGCCACAAGGATTCCTCATTGCCCATGAGGTAGGGTTTATGAGTGAGATATAATTGTCAAGGGTCTTGAATTTGAACTAACCTTAATCCACATAGGGACTTGTTACAAGTTTATTTTATTCCTTAATTTTGTGCATTATTCCGATCCTGGGATTGTTCTATTGGATAAGCTGTGCTATGTATGTAATTGATGAATTATAGAAAAAGTCAAGTTTCTCCCTTCTTTATTGATATAAAACAGATCCCTTTGTAATGAGGCTGTTTGAACATGGGCAGGTGTGCAGTGGCATGCTCTCTTTCATTGCCTCCTCCTCTGCCCCAACTCAAATAAACAACATACTCTTAAACCACAAGCATCTAGAGTGTGCTGTCCAATATGGCAGCCATAGCCCCATGTGGTTAATAATCACTTAAAATGTCCTGAATCCAAACTCAAATGTGCTGTAGGTATAAAAGGCACATCAGATTTCAAAGACTTAGTACTAAAAAAAGAATGCAAAATATCTCATTAATAATTTTTATATTGATCACATATTTCAGATATTTGGGGTTAAATAAAACATTATCATTAATCTTACTTGTGTCTTTTTTTGATATGGCTACTATAAAATTTAAAATTGCATACATGGCTTTCATTATATCTCATTATATGAAATGTATTTCATTATATTTCTCTTGAATAGCACCAGTCTAGAGTCTTAATGGGAAAGCAAAGAGACTTCCCATTTCCCTTTCTCTTACCCTGGGAGAGGGCTTTAAGACAAAGTATTGATTACTTTCTACAGCCCAGAGAAAGATGTGTGTGTTTGTGTGTATGCACATGTGTATATGTGTATTTTTGTGTGTGCGCACAGGTGTGTGTATGTATGTGTGTGTGTTGAGGGTGGGAGAAGATTCAGTGGGAAGGATAAGGAGCATGGAAAGGGAAGAAAAGTGAGCATTTTCAACCAGTTGGTCTGAGATGCCATCTACTCTCACTGGAAGTAAGGAACAAAGAATAGCTGAGCACAAGTTAGTTCTTAAAAGGCAAATTTGCTTTTTGTTTTAAAAATAGGATGAATCAGTGGAACATCAGACTCATTTGAATTCAAATGTAAATGCAAATTAAGCTTCCTTAACATCAGTACAGAAGCAAATATGAAGTTTTAAGAATTATTATCATCACTTTATCCATTGTTAGCAAGGATAGTCAAGAACTGACCTGTATTCCATTGTATAGTCTTGATTTATACAAAGGGTATGATTTATTTTGTTCTGAAGCATTTTATGAAAGAAAAATTTCTGGTTGAGATAGAATCACTTAATGACCTTACAGTTTATATTCAAATAAACACCCGAAATAGTAAGGTAGCTTTTCTGGATAACTGGATGATTTTGTATATCACAATGCTTTTGGTAAATGGTAAATTAAGGGGTTTAGGAAGAACCTACTTTTTCAAATAAAAAGAAAGATATAAGTTAATGATGTAATATTTCATAGTTTTGCTATAATCTTTTCATTGACCATGAAATGGCAAATTTGAATTTTTTTATTTGAATATTTTCACTATTTTATTAGGTTAATTAATTAGATATTCCATGTGGTAAGTCCAATGGAAATAACCATGAAATGGACTGTTATTTAGGGGAGTAGAAGGGGAAATGAGGAGGTCAAAGAGACCCTAGACAAGCGCTGTCCAACAGAAATATAATGAAAGACACATGCCATTTAATATCTTCCAGTAGCCACATTGATGCCTTTCTGCAGCCCAGAGAAAGATGAGTGAGAGAGAGAGACAGGCAGACGGAGAGAAAGAGAGAATGTTTAGCGGGAAGAAAAGGAGAAGGTAGCCTTGAAGACGGAACTTTATGTCCCTAAGTTGAACTACTATCATGGAAAGCACCAACCAAATGTCAATACAACTGACGGTACTTTCAGTTGATCATAGAATTACATTGTTTCATAGCTGAGAAAGCAGACATGATGGTCAGCCTTCCACTTGAAATGAGAGATTAGGCCCAGAGAAGCAAAGTAACTCACCTCGAGTCACACAGGAGATGAAGCAGAAGTGGAAATAGTGGCCAGTTTTGATTCTCACTAGACACTGTGCTATGGCCTGAGGATACAGTGATAAATATGACAGTCCTTGTCCATAAGGACATTCTAGTGCAGTGGGGCACCAGTCCATCTGGGTGTGGCACAGATGACATCACCTATGACACAGGCACACTTGTGTTGTCCCCTGACCATGCCCAGTTTTGGTGGCAAGCAGGGGATAGTAATATTACTTTCAAGGACATTCGTGACAAACCTCAAAAGTGTTCCAGGCTGTAAGGATTTTCCCTCCATTCCTGAAAAGCAGAACATTTGAAGGAGGCAGTGGAGATCTCTTCTGAGTAAACCACACCAAACAATATCTTTCAGGAGAAGAAAAAAGAATGTCCTCTTCAATTGACATCACACTGGAGACTGCTTGGTGGACTGGGTCAGGAGCTGGGCTTGAGCTCTGCCCGTCCTAAGGGAGAGAGAGGCTCGCTTCCATGTGAGTCTCTGCTCACCGAAGTTCTTTACAAACACCTTGGATTGGACCCCGCGTGGTGGGACTGTGGCGCGTGCTGGGCTTTGGAAGCTGCCAGCGCTCACGGGAGCTCTCTGAGATTCTAAGAGGCAAACTGCCCAGGACCATTTTGACTCTGGAAAGGCAAATATCAACCATGGTCATAAGAGGATTAGTTAAAAAAAAAAAAAAAGTCGTTAGATCAGCCTGTATATTCCTAAGGATAATTAACAGTGTAACATTTCATAAACTTTGAGCCACAAGTACAAAATCCCCCATAACTCACCTTTTATTTCTTATGCATTCCCTTTTCATCCTCATGTTTTGCATTACTTAATCAGGATATATATGTAATGTATAATCTGGTTCTTTTTAAAATTTTTTTTTTTAATTTTTTTTTTTTTTATTATACTCTAAGTTTTAGGGTACATGTGCACATTGTGCAGGTTAGTTACATATGTATACATGTGCCATGCTGGTGCGCTGCACCCACTAACGTGTCATCTAGCATTAGGTATATCTCCAATGCTATCCCTCCCCCCTCCCCCGACCCCACCACAGTCCCCAAGTGTGATATTCCCCTTCCTGTGTCCATGTGATCTCATTGTTCAATTCCCACCTATGAGTGAGAATATGCGGTGTTTGGTTTTTTGTTCTTGCGATAGTTTACTGAGAATGATGGTTTCCAATTTCATCCATGTCCCTACAAAGGACATGAACTCATCATTTTTTATGGCTGCATAGTATTCCATGGTGTATATGTGCCACATTTTCTTAATCCAGTCTATCATTGTTGGACATTTGGGTTGGTTCCAAGTCTTTGCTATTGTGAATAGTGCCGCAATAAACATACGTGTGCATGTGTCTTTATAGCAGCATGATTTATAGTCATTTGGGTATATACCCAGTAATGGGATGGCTGGGTCAAATTGTATTTCTAGTTCTAGATCCCTGAGGAATCGCCACACTGACTTCCACAATGGTTGAACTAGTTTACAGTCCCACCAACAGTGTAAAAGTGTTCCTATTTCTCCACATCCTCTCCAGCACCTGTTGTTTCCTGACTTTTTAATGATTGCCATTCTAACTGGTGTGAGATGATATCTCATAGTGGTTTTGATTTGCATTTCTCTGATGGCCAGTGATGATGAGCATTTCTTCATGTGTTTTTTGGCTGCATAAATGTCTTCTTTTGAGAAGTGTCTGTTCATGTCCTTCGCCCACTTTTTGATGGGGTTGTTTGTTTTTTTCTTGTAAATTTGTTTGAGTTCATTGTAGATTCTGGATATTAGCCCTTTGTCAGATGACTAGGTTGTGAAAATTTTCTCCCATGTTGTAGGTTGCCTGTTCACTCTGATGGTAGTTTCTTTTGCTGTGCAGAAGCTCTTTAGTTTAATTAGATCCCATTTGTCAATTTTGGCTTTTGTTGCCATTGCTTTTGGTGTTTTGGACATGAAGTCCTTGCCCATGCCTATGTCCTGAATGGTAATGCCTAGGTTTTCTTCTAGGGTTTTTATGGTTTTAGGTCTAACGTTTAAATCTTTAATCCATCTTGAATTGATTTTTGTATAAGGTGTAAGGAAGGGATCCAGTTTCAGCTTTCTACATATGGCTAGCCAGTTTTCCCAGCACCATTTATTAAATAGGGAATCCTTTCCCCATTGCTTGTTTTTCTCAGGTTTGTCAAAGATCAGATAGTTGTAGACATGCGGCATTATTTCTGAGGGCTCTGTTCTGTTCCATTGATCTATATCTCTGTTTTGGTACCAGTACCATGCTGTTTTGGTTACTGTAGCCTTGTAGTATAGTTTGAAGTCAGGTAGTGTGATGCCTCCAGCTTTGTTCTTTTGGCTTAGGATTGACTTGGCGATGCGGGCTCTTTTTTGGTTCCATATGAACTTTAAAGTAGTTTTTTCCAATTCTGTGAAGAAAGTCATTGGTAGCTTGATGGGGATGGCATTGAATCTGTAAATTACCTTGGGCAATATGGCCATTTTCACGATATTGATTCTTCCTACCCATGAGCATGGAATGTTCTTCCATTTGTTTGTGTCCTCTTTTATTTCCTTGAGCAGTGGTTTGTAGTTCTCCTTGAAGAGGTCCTTCACATCCCTTGTAAGTTGGATTCCTAGGTATTTTATTCTCTTTGAAGCAATTGTGAATGGGAGTTCACTCATGATTTGGCTCTCTGTTTGTCTGTTGTTGGTGTATAAGAATGCTTGTGATTTTTGTACATTGATTTTGTATCCTGAGACTTTGCTGAAGTTGCTTATCAGCTTAAGGAGATTTTGGGCTGAGACGATGGGGTTTTCTAGATAAACAATCATGTCGTCTGCAAACAGGGACAATTTGACTTCCTCTTTTCCTAATTGAATACCCTTTATTTCCTTCTCCTGCCTGATTGCCCTGGCCAGAACTTCCAACACTATGTTGAATAGGAGTGGTGAGAGAGGGCATCCCTGTCTTGTGCCAGTTTTCAAAGGGAATGCTTCCAGTTTTTGCCCATTCAGTATGATATTGGCTGTGGGTTTGTCATAGATAGCTCTTATTATTTTGAAATACGTCCCATTAATACCTAATTTATTGAGAGTTTTTAGCATGAAGGGTTGTTGAATTTTGTCAAAGGCTTTTTCTGCATCTATTGAGATAATCATGTGGTTTTTGTCTTTGGCTCTGTTTATATGCTGGATTACATTTATTGATTTGTGTATATTGAACCAGCCTTTCATCCCAGGGATGAAGCCCACTTGATCATGGTGGATAAGCTTTTTGATGTGCTGCTGGATTCGGTTTGCCAGTATTTTATTGAGGATTTTTGCATCAATGTTCATCAAGGATATTGGTCTAAAATTCTCTTTTTTGGTTGTGTCTCTGCCCGGCTTTGGTATCAGGATGATGCTGGCCTCATAAAATGAGTTAGGGAGGATTCCCTCTTTTTCTATTGATTGGAATAGTTTCAGAAGGAATGGTACCAGTTCCTCCTTGTACCTCTGGTAGAATTCGGCTGTGAATCCATCTGGTCCTGGACTCTTTTTGGTTGGTAAACTATTGATTATTGCCACAATTTCAGAGCCTGTTATTGGTCTATTCAGAGATTCAACTTCTTCCTGGTTTAGTCTTGGGAGAGTGTATGTGTCGAGGAATGTATCCATTTCTTCTAGATTTTCTAGTTTATTTGCGTAGAGGTGTTTGTAGTATTCTCTGATGGTAGTTTGTATTTCTGTGGGATCGGTGGTGATATCCCCTTTATCATTTTTTATTGTGTCTATTTGATTCTTCTCTCTTTTTTTCTTTATTAGTCTTGCTAGCGGTCTATCAATTTTGTTGATCCTTTCAAAAAACCAGCTCCTGGATTCATTGATTTTTTGAAGGGTTTTTTGTGTCTCTATTTCCTTCAGTTCTGCTCTGATTTTAGTTATTTCTTGCCTTCTGCTAGCTTTTGAATGTGTTTGCTCTTGCTTTTCTAGTTCTTTTAATTGTGATGTTAGGGTGTCAATTTTGGATCTTTCCTACTTTCTCTTGTAGGCATTTAGTGCTATAAATTTCCCTCTACACACTGCTTTGAATGCGTCCCAGAGATTCTGGTATGTGGTGTCTTTGTTCTCGTTGGTTTCAAAGAACATCTTTATTTTTGCCTTCATTTCGTTATGTACCCAGTAGTCATTCAGGAGCAGGTTGTTCAGTTTCCATGTAGTTGAGCGGCTTTGAGTGAGATTCTTAATCCTGAGTTCTAGTTTGATTGCACTGTGGTCTGAGAGATAGTTTGTTATAATTTCTGTTCTTTTACATTTGCTGAGGAGAGCTTTACTTCCAACTATGTGGTCAATTTTGGAATAGGTGTGGTGTGGTGCTGAAAAAAATGTATATTCTGTTGATTTGGGGTGGAGAGTTCTGTAGATGTCTATTAGGTCCACTTGGTGCAGAGCTGAGTTCAATTCCTGGGTATCCTTGTTGACTTTCTGTCTCGTTGATCTGTCTAATGTTGACAGTGGGGTGTTAAAGTCTCCCATTATTAATGTGTGGGAGTCTAAGTCTCTTTGTAGGTCACTCAGGACTTGCTTTATGAATCTGGGTGCTCCTGTATTGGGTGCATAAATATTTAGGATAGTTAGCTCCTCTTGTTGAATTGATCCCTTTACCATTATGTAATGGCCTTCTTTGTCTCTTTTGATCTTTGTTGGTTTAAAGTCTGTTTTATCAGAGACTAGGATTGCAACCCCTGCCTTTTTTTGTTTTCCATTTGCTTGGTAGATCTTCCTCCATCCTTTTATTTTGAGCCTATGTGTGTCTCTGCACGTGAGATGGGTTTCCTGAATACAGCACACTGATGGGTCTTGACTCTTTATCCAACTTGCCAGTCTGTGTCTTTTAATTGCAGAATTTAGTCCATTTATATTTAAAGTTAATATTGTTATGTGTGAATTTGACCCTGTCATTATGATGTTAGCTGGTGATTTTGCTCATTAGTTGATGCAGTTTCTTCCTAGTCTCGATGGTCTTTACATTTTGGCATGATTTTGCAGCGGCTGGTACCGGTTGTTCCTTTCCATGTTTAGCGCTTCCTTCAGGAGCTCTTTTAGGGCAGGCCTGGTGGTGACAAAATCTCTCAGCATTTGCTTGTCTGTAAAGTATTTTATTTCTCCTTCACTTATGAAGCTTAGTTTGGCTGGATATGAAATTCTGGGTTGAAAATTCTTTTCTTTAAGAATGTTGAATATTGGCCCCCACTCTCTTCTGGCTTGTAGGGTTTCTGCCGAGAGATCCGCTGTTAAGTCTGATGGGCTTTCCTTTGAGGGTAACCTGACCTTTCTCTCTGGCTGCCCTTAACATTTTTTCCTTCATTTCAACTTTGGTGAATCTGACAATTATGTGTCTTGGAGTTGCTCTTCTCGAGGAGTGTCTTTGTGGCATTCTCTGTATTTCCTGAATCTGAACGTTGGCCTGCCTTGCTAGATTGGGGAAGTTCTCCTGGATAATATCCTGCAGAATGTTTTCCAACTTGGTTCCATTCTCCACATCACTTTCAGGTACACTAATCAGACGTAGATTTGGTCTTTTCACATAGTCCCATATTTCTTGGAGGCTTTGCTCATTTCTTTTTATTCTTTTTTCTCTAAACTTCCCTTCTCGCCTCATTTCATTCATTTCATCTTCCATTGCTGATACCCTTTCTTCCAGTTGATCGCATCAGCTCCTGAGGCTTCTGCATTCTTCACGTAGTTCTCGAGCCTTGGTTTTCAGCTCCATCAGCTCCTTTAAGCACTTCTCTGTATTGGTTATTCTAGTTATACATTCTTCTAAATTTTTTTCAAAGTTTTCAACTTCTTTGCCTTTGGTTTGAATGTCCTCCCGTAGCTCAGAGTAATTTGATCGTCTGAAGCCTTCTTCTCTCAGCTCGTCAAAATCATTCTCCATCCAGCTTTGTTCTGTTGCTGGTGAGGAACTGCGTTCCTTTGGAGGAGGAGAGGCGCTCTGCGTTTTAGAGTTTCCAGTTTTTCTGTTCTGTTTTTTCCCCATCTTTGTGGTTTTATCTACTTTTGGTCTTTGATGATGGTGATGTACAGATGGGTTTTCGGTGTAGATGTCCTTTCTGGTTGTTAGTTTTCCTTCTAACAGACAGGACCCTCAGCTGCAGGTCTGTTGGAATACCCTGCCGTGTGAGGTGTCAGTGTGCCCCTGCTGGGGGGTGCCTCCCAGTTAGGCTGCTCGGGGGTCAGGGGTCAGGGACCCACTTGAGGAGGCAGTCTGCCCGTTCTCAGATCTCCAGCTGCGTGCTGGGAGAACCGCTGCTCTCTTCAAAGCTGTCAGACAGGGACACTTAAGTCTGCAGAGGTTACTGCTGTCTTTTTGTTTGTCTGTGCCCTGCCCCCAGAGGTGGAGCCTACAGAGGCAGGCAGGCCTCCTTGAGCTGTGGTGGGCTCCACCCAGTTCGAGCTTCCTGGCTGCTTTGTTTACCTAAGCAAGCCTGGGCAATGGCGGGTGCCCCTCCCCCAGCCTCGCTGCCGCCTTGCAGTTTGATCTCAGACTGCTGTGCTAGCAATCAGCGAGATTCCGTGGGCGTAGGACCCTCTGAGCCAGGTGTGGGATATAGTCTCGTGGTGCGCCGTTTCTTAAGCTGGTCTGAAAAGCGCAATATTCGGGTGGGAGTGACCCGATTTTCCAGGTGCGTCCGTCACCCCTTTCTTTGACTCGGAAAGGGAACTCCCTGACCCCTTGCGCTTCCCAGGTGAGGCAATGCCTCGCCCTGCTTCGGCTCGCGCACGGTGCGCACACACACTGGCCTGCGCCCACTGTCTGGCACTCCCTAGTGAGATGAACCCGGTACCTCAGATGGAAATGCAGAAATCACCCGTCTTCTGCGTCGCTTACGCTGGGATCTGTAGACCGGAGCTGTTCCTATTCGGCCATCTTGGCTCCACATTCCCTTTTTAAAATTTTTGTAGAGACGGGGGTCTCACTATGTTGCCCAAGCTAGTCTTGAACTCCTGGCCTCAAGCAATCCTCCTTGGCCTCCCAAAGTATTAAAATTACAGGCATGAACCATCATACTTGGCCTATAATCTGCTTTTTGCAGTTAAAGTTATCCCCAAACTACTTTTTCATAATGTCATCATAATTGTTATTTTAATTTGTGGAAAAGAAAAAAATATTATTTTAGTGACTGCATAATATTCCATTCAGTAATCCCATCTTATTTTGTTTAAGCTTGTTGTTAGCCAAGTTATTAAACAAGATGCTCCTTGAACTTTACTGAAAATAATTGTAAATGCTTAGCGTTTTCACAATGAAATCACCTATTTACCCTAAGTGTAAAGCTCTGTTAAATGGATCCCTTAGTGAGACAACTCATGCTGATGATGCACAGGATCCCAGGCCTTTGGCCACCCCAATGGGAAAATGCTTTCCTAGTGTCTTTTAGCTTAAAGCAATTATTCAAAATTGGTACACATTGTGGGCTCAGATAACCCAGAAATTAAAGAGAACTCTGTTGGCGGTACTGGTTCTTCTTGTAATAGGTCAGGAATGTAGACATTATCTTTATTGGTACATGACTACTGAAGTTCTACTTTTTTTAAAACAATTATCTGGTCTCTAAGAGGACTAAATTGTATACTGCCCCTCCAAATCTAAGGAGAGGGCCATGAAATTAGCCAGTGTTCTCACCTTTCTGATCAGGGCAGGGTGATGGGTTTGCAGGAGTATGTGGCTGCCATCCCTCCTTCTTAGGAAGAAAATGGATCATGGGTCAGTTTAATTTCTTAGGTCTTTGGAAAAAGGTTACGAATAATGAAGCTGGGATGTATTGTCCTAGACAAGGGTAAACTGCAGTAGTTAAAAGTTTTAAGTAAGGTTAGCTCCTTTTTGGAGCTGAATCTGCATGGGACTAGAAATCTATATTGTGCCTATTATTTTTATTCTTATTTTCCGACCTGATAAAATGAGTTATTTATTCATATGACCTTGGGCAATGACATAAACTTCTTCGATTTCAGTTTTTTCCATTTTCTACCAGAAATGATTACATCTGGCTTACCTGTCTCATGAGATTGCAGTGAGAATCAAATGAAATGTTGTAAATTGTAAAAGCCTCTGACAAGTTCAAGGTAGATGCTATTATTAATCATTGGTAATGATGATGAGTAGAATATTCCCAGATAGCATCATCAGACAGTGCTACACTCTGTAGGTGTGTTAGGCTAGGACATGATGAGTGATGCCAATTAATGCCAGTGATTTGTTCTCTCATGTAAAGCTAGCCAAGTTATTTTACTGTCTGCCTTTACTTGTAGAAAGTGTGCTCTCACAGATGTTGGTAAGACTAAGGTGTTCTGATTTCACAAGATGCAGGTAATCCATAGAATCAGTCAGGAAGAATGTCCCTAGTATTTTTATGTGCTACAGTGATAAATTATACCAAGACCCGTTTGTCAACAGCATTTCCAGAAATAAGAGAAAGTGTCATCAAAAATGAAGGACAAGTCGTGACTAAAGAAGCATCTTCCCTATTTGTTTGAACAGTCAAGCTTGCTTTAAATCGTATCCAAGTTGTGTAGTAAACTTGCCTGCAGAGAGTAAGCCACACAGATGCCCACAACGTCACTGAGAGGCACGTGACCCAGTTTCTGTGGTCTGAGCTGAAAGATAACCCGGGTGTGTGATGGCCACACCTGCCTGTAAAACATTATATGGTGGGCACTTTTTCAAATTCACATTTTTAAAGAGGGAATTAGATGGTTTTCATTTGTTTTGCTTAGGTTTTGTGGTGTAATTTTTTTCTCCAGAGGTCATCTCAGCAGCATCTCCATAAATAATTATCAAGGGATTGGGAGATAGTTTTGCACTCACTGTCTTAGAATACAAATCTTCCCATACAAAGCCATATAGATTTGTCCAGGGAAGATAGGAAATAATTGATTGTGTCATTGTTCTCTTGGCCTGACTTTGCTCCGGTGGCTATGGCACACGGGGTGATAGATTAACTCTTTCAGGTGTATGGAAAGCATGTTCAATGAATCACAACTTCAGCACACAGAGTATTTTGATGGTATTTGGAAAGAAGCAAATATTCTCTCTTTTTTTTTGCGGGGGGGAAAGTGTCTGATGACACCATCCATACTTTTTAGAAAAGACTGGAGTGTGGGTCATTTTCATATCTGTAAGGCTTTGAAAAAAAACTTATGGTAAAGAAACAGATCATTCATGCTAGGGAAAGAAAGCTATCACAGACAAGCTATAATCCACATATCCACTGAGTGCCAGAAAAGAGAAAATGAGATCAATCAGGGTTACATCTGGGGATTTACATCCAGACAATGATGACTGCTTCCGAAGGGAGGAGGAAGGGGTTCCACCATGGGTAGAGTTCTAGTTGTTTGGAATGGCGTCCTCATGAACCCACCTGAAGTGTTGATTCCTTATCCACATATTTTTTGATAAAGCTTCATTGTGGTACTATTTTTAACCATCACTTTGACTAAATGCGAGGGTTCATTTGTGTTAAGTGGGTGAGCAGTTGACAGAGTAGACCTTTTGTAACCTGCTAAGGAGGGAACAAGGTCATCAAGACGCTAAGCATTCAAGAACCATGGTCTTCTACTATCACCTTTGCTTTTGTGTCATTTTTTTTTTCTCAAACGTGATGTGTAAATCAACTGCAACAGAATTACCTGAAGAGCTTGTTTAAATACAGATTCCTGGATCCAATTCCAGGTCTGTTGAATCAGAATATCTATGGCAAAACCAAGAATGGATTTTTTTTTTTTTTTTTTGAGACAGAGTTTCACTTTTGTCGCCCAGGCTGCAATGGCACGATCGTGCAAAGGCACAATCTCGGCTCACTGCAACCTCCGCCTCCCGGGTTCAAGTGATTCTCCTGCCTCAGCTTCTAGAGTAGCTAGGATTACAGGCGCCCGCCACCACGCCCGGCTAATTTTTCATTTTTAGTAGAGACGGGGCTTCACCATGTTGGCCAGGCTGGTCTCAAACTCCTGACCCCAGGTAATCCGCCTGCCTCGGCCTCCCAAAGTACTGGGATTACAGGCGTGAGCCACCATGCCCGGCCTTACCACAAGTGATTCTGATTTGAGAACCACTCTCCTAATGCTGGGTAGAGGAGTGGTTCTCAAAGTGTGTTCCTGGACCTGTAGCATCAGCATCACCTCGGGAGCTTCTTAGAAATGCAAATTCTTGGGCCCTGCCCCAGACCTATTGAATCAGAAACTCTGGGAGTGGGGGCCAGCTATCTGTTTTAGCAAGCCTGCTAGGTGATGTTGATGCTCACCAAAATCTGAGAAGCACTGGGGTAGAGTACATCAGTTCCCTTCAGTATCTCTTTACAACAGTAGGGAAGGCAATCGTTAAGACAATGTGAATCATTTGCAACCTGGGTTTGTTTGTAACCATGAAATTTCAAATTTAGAAGAACTTTATAGGAGATTTAAACCAGCACCCCTTCTAGTGCTGGTTTTCTTTCTTCTCCTCCCACGTTCCCTCCTTTCTTTCCTTCTTTGAACACTTAATAAGTACTATGTACTAGGGAGTAGGGATGCAGGGGTGAATATGAATGGCAGCACCCTATCCTTTTGGAGTTTACAGTCTTGGGGAAAGACATATCTCACATGATTACACTAATAACTGTAACATTATAACTGCTGTAAGTACAGTGGTGGGAGGCACATGATGCCATGAGACTATATAATAGAGATTTGAGCAAATCTGTACACCTGTTACAAGGTAACTCAGCCCAGATGGAGTACTTCCTTTCTAGGGGAAATTTTGACATCCTGTTGGAGCCTATTTGACTTTAAGATAAGCCCATATGTTAGAAATTTGCTCCTTATATTGAGTCAAAATCTGCCACACTCTAAATGACACAACCCTGGTTCTAGTATCTGAATCTCCATGAAACGAATCCAGCCCTCTGTTCCATTGAAGATCTTCGTATAGATAAAGATCTCTTTCTTCTAGGTTTTTCCTTTCCAAGGCTGTGAGATTCCTCATTCACTTGGTCTTCTTCAGAAGTACTCCACTTTTTTCTTTATTTTAAAAAATGTTTGTAAAATATTCTGGTATCCAGCATGAGCTAGAGCCATGGAATGATGAGCTCAGAGGAGCATACCTCAGAATACATCTGTGACCATTCTTGTTCCTGTTATATTTCGCATTTATGAGGCTCAACCTTACATGCTTTGTGGACAATTGTATCACACCCCTGACTGACTTGCACTGAGCTTGCAACTAAATGAAACCCCAGGGTTTGGGGTTTTTTTTCTTCAAACTTCGTACCTTTATTCATTCAATTTATTCACCAATTTTTTATTCATGCCTACTATGTATCAGGCACATATTGTTTACTTATATGGATGTGTTTTTGGACTTAAGTGCAAGATTCATTTATCCGTATTGTACCCCATTTTGGATCCTGGTTCTGTCATCCACTAAACTGTGAGGAACTTGAAGTTAAAAGCCATATTTTTTTCAGCTTTGTATCCTCAGAGCCTAACTCAGTGTCTCATATGTAGTTGGTAAAGAAAATTTAATAACTATAATACACATACACACACACACACACACACACTCACACTCTTTTCTAAGTAATTGAACATGTTTTAAGGCAATGCCCTGGAGATTTCCCTCCAGGATGTCAATAACCTCAGCCCTTTACCCAGCACCCATGATTTGGGTGGTTTTAACTATTTGATTGTGTCTATTTGCATCATCAGCCAGTCTAAGTTTCTTTACTGTGCCAATCAAAATCATGCAAGATGTTATAGTTGCCTAGGTACAGGATGTCTCCGACAGCCTTCTAATCTACCAATCTAGTATGTCTATCTGAAGGAAATGAGGTTAGTCTGTCTTCACTTGTTCTAGTAGTCACCACTTCCTTTTCGCTGTTGACAAATAGTCTTTTAATATTTATTGACAAGTCAAGAATTCAAGAGATGGACTGCCTTTAGCTGGACAAGGTAGGCAGTATTTTTCTCTGCAGCCAAAAATTTATCTCAGAACAATGTCTTTACTAGAAACACCATTCTTCCATTTGTTTGAGAAGTGTTTTATATTCTCAGGGTGAGTTCTTATATTTTTATACTTTCAACTAGACCAACACCACTGTAACTCATCCTTGGGTCCCTGGATCTCCATGGGGTATACATGTATTCTTGACATATTCCTCCTCTCCTTCTGATAGGGCTGTGTCCACTAATACAGATATGATTTGGTCAGTAGATTAATATTTTGGTATTATAGTTTATAAAATATAATTGAGGGAGCTCTGATAATTTACTGATTTCTTCTAAGTAATGGGGCTGGTTCTCGTAAGAATTATCATTTATGATATGGTGATAAGCATTTGCTTAGGTTGGTCATGTATAAATGTGTTTTAAAATAAAAATTAAAACTTTTATTACCATTTCATTAGAATGAGCACCATTCATTGTTAATTCCAGGGAAGTTTTGTTTTGCTTTATTTTTAGTAATGCCATATCACACCCTATGTGGCCCTCAGTCTGTTCAATTGTAAAATGAAAGATTTGGACTAAGTGATCTCTAATCTATGATCAAACTCTAGAATTATATTATTCTAAACTTTGAGAAGAAAAGTCTCTTTTAAAATAACCTTAAAATTAAATGGAACAGGCCAGGCTCGGTGGCTCACACCTATAATCCCAGCGCTTTAGGAGGCCAAGGCGGGTGGATCACATGAGGTCAGGAGTTCGAGACCAGCCTGGCCAATATGGCAAAACCCCGTCTATACTAAAAAATACAAAAATTAGCTGGGCGTGGTGGTGGGCACCTGTAATCCCAGCTACTCAGGAGACTGAGGCAGGATAATCGCTTGAACCCGGGAGGTGGAGGTTGCAGTGAACCAAGATCGTGCCATTGCACTCCAGCCTGGGCAACAAGAGTGAAACTACGTCTCAAAAAAAAAAAATTAAATGGAACAACACACACACACACGCGCGCGTGCACACACACACACACACACAGGAATGCATGTAAAACTGGTGAAATCTGAATAAAAATGTTGGACTGCAGCAATGTCAATTTCATGGTTGTGGTATATCGTACTATAGGGTTGCAAGATGCTCCCTTTTGGGAAACCCGAGTGAAGGGTGTATATAGGGTATCTCTATATTATTTCTTATAACAGCATGTGAGAAATAAGAACTAATAATTTGAGATAATCTCAAATTTGAGATCTTATTTGAGATAATCTAAAATTATCTCAAAATAAAAAGTTTTTAAAAATTACATGATAAACTGTTATAACAGGACTTTAGAGGTAAGTGGCCATTGCTTGACCACATGCTAGCTTAAAGAAACTATTTAGCCTTCCCAAAACTCCATTTTCTTGTCTTCTGTAAAGTGGGGATATTAATTCCTGCCTGATGGGATTGTTGGAAGGATTATAGAGACTGTGTGTGTGTAAGCATCTCTCATGGTCCATACTCCATGGTAGGGACTCAGTAAGTGTTGATTACCTTCCCCTGTTCCCCTTCTTTGTTCTAGAAAGAAACTGGGGCACACAGCCTCACTGCATCTCCCATAGGAAAGATGACATCTGACCTGAAGCAAAAGACAGTTTAGAAGTGTAACTCAGTGAGATGAGCCCCGTAGCAGCATAGTGAGTAATGCTGTTACATAACTTTCACAAATCACCCGGCAGATCAGCTAACAGGGCTTGGCACAGTTTACTGATGAAATAAAATAACAAGGCAGCTTCCAAACCCAGCCTGAGTCAGGGAGTCCCAACACCACAGCCAGAGGCAGAATCTAGAATGACTCCACAGGCCTTGGAGCTTTGGTGTTTCAGTTGATTCAGATGTGTTATAAATCTGTATAAGTGGAAAAAAATAAAAGCAGCTCCTCTCTGGCTGGCCCCATGAATAACTGTCCCCAAGAGGCCTAGAGAAGTTTTCCTTTCCTTGCAGAATCCTTAATCATGTCTACCAAATATGAGTTTTCCATGCAGCTGCATGAATGAGGAAGTAGAGAGAGACTAAAGAGAATAGTGCATTCCTACACAGTTCTTGGTCGTGAGGATGTGATTGTTGAATGAATGGCCAAAATGTGTCTCCCCTCTATCTCCCCAAATGCTTATCGTTTCTCAGGGCTCTTTCCTCACTCCTGATCTGGTGAATGTTTTTGTATCGTTGAGTTGGCCAGAAACATAGAAGGCAAACTTACCAGGTTTTCAGATGATACTGTGGTATAAGAGACTCAGGGGACAGAATCACAGTTTTTAAATGATTTCAGCAGGTTCGGGGCTCTGGGCCGAGCACAGTAAGTTGTAATGTAATAGAGATAATGTTAAAAATCTGTCCTTCGAAGTCAAAAGCAGAAATACAGGCTAGGAGAGGCTTATATTGGCAAGAGTTTTATATGAAAAAGGTATAAGGATTTATAACTCTAGAAAGACAGGAGTCAACAGTGTGACGTGGTTGTATTAAAAAAGAGGTTAGAGATCAGAAAAAGAAAGTATCCTTTGACTTGGTATAATTTGCACCAGTCGGACAATACCTAGTCTATTGTATTCAGTTGTAGAGGTCAAGTTTAAGGAAGATATAGATAAATTTGAATGGATCACTGAGGGAAAGAAGGAAAAGGGAAGGTCAAATTAAAAAGATTCAAAAGATACGCTGTTTAAAGAACAGTTGAAGAGAAATAAGGATATTCAGCTGATTACTGTTTTTTTCTCGGGTTACCATATGGAAGAAGAGTAAACTTGTCTATTTTGTTCTGAAAGGGAGAAATGAGATTAATGGGAGAGAGAGTCCATGGAAACAGACTTTGGCTCAATAGAAGGAAAATTTGGAGCAGTTCAGTGATGGAAAGAACTATTTTCATTAAATTGTGAGCTTCCTGTCACTGGAAATAATCAAGCCGGGGCCAAACCAGTGTCTGTCTGGGATTCTGAAGGATCCCAACATTGAATGAGAGCTTGGGGTAGGTGACCTTTAAGATCACTTCCAACTCTCATAGTCTATTATTTAAGTTAGCATGAATGCCAGGGCCACTTACAACATGCCAGAGCCACTTTTTCAACTTTTGGCTCTGCTACTGACCAGCTGTGTGACCTTCAGCTAGGAAATTAACCATTTCTTGTTCCAGTTTCCTCATCCATTAAATGAGAGAGCTGAATGTAGTGATGTCTAAGTTACTCCCCAGCACTCTGTCTCCCTAGGCCTTCTCATAATTATAGCACGCTGGAAGAGTAGAGTTTGGGCTGATAGCTGCCATTTGTTTCTAAGTTGGCTTGCCAGGAGACTGCTTAAAAGCCAAAAACCATTTTGATTCTGAGGGCCACAGAACGAAACTCTCAATTTGCTTATTGGCAGGAGAGTAGGTGATTGTGAACCTGGAATTTGTTCCCATGAGATCTGTGGCAGGAAGTTCATAAAATAACTGCTAATCTGGTTTCTCTTGAACACCTGTACATTCTGACTGAGCTCAGCAATGCCTTCTCAAACAACTTAGAATAAATGAAGCTTTTATATTACCATTGCAGCACAGTGTTATCTTTTACAAAGCAAACCTTTGTCGTTTATTTGCTTAATGATCTGTCAGTTGCTATTGACCTGTGCTTATAATCTTAAGAACAAATGTATATAAAGCAACTTACAATGTAGCAGATTTGTTCTAAAAGTTTTACATATATTAATTTAACAGTTTATTAGCTGAAAATACAATGATGAATCAGTAGATTAGATCTTTTTTCCTTTATGGAAAGGAAGTATTTAAAATCTAGTTTAAGTCTGCCTGAATGGTAGAGTCCAGAATTCAGATCCAGGCCCTCATTCTCTGAGGCTTCGTTGTTGGATGACTATAATTTCTCTTGTGGCTCATTTGATTATTAATACTTTTCTTCTCTTCTGTATTAAGATGCTTCACTTCCACCACTATTACATTGGAGCTCTCCTTCTGGTTCCTTCTTTGACTTCTGTCTGACATCCACATCTCCAAATCCCATTTCTTCAGTTACTTTTTCCAAAGATCTTTGAAACACAGCCATCAGTGGGAGTGTCATTGTTTGCTTTGATATAGATACAGAAGGTAATGGACAAGATTTCAAGTGTCTCCTGCAGTTACTGAGGTCAGTAGAGGAGGAAATATGTAAATTTATGCTTCTTATAAGGATGTGAAGAATTTAAAACTTCATTCCCTGGCTTGCAGATCTGGCCATACTCACTGCATCCAGACACAGTACCATATTTTCTTCCATCTCTTTGTTTTCTTAGGTTGAAAATGAAAACAGCTGTTAAAAATAAGAGCACATGAGTCAATCTTGAATCCCAATGTAATAATTACAGTTTCCATCTCAGTTGGTAAAGTCCCTCCCAGTGTACTAAGCCCCATATCACAATCCCCTTGTGGAGAGAACGCTGCCAATGGTATTGTCAATTTTATAGCAAGACTTTAATTTTTGTTTTTCAAACCTCTAAGATTAAACATTAAATCACTTGCCAAGCCAAGAAAAATAATGAGGAAAAAATACTTCGATTTAAAAACTTGATTCTTCATATCTCAAAATAATAAGAGCTATTTATGACAAACCCACAGCCAATATCATACTGAATGGGCAAAAACTGGAAGCATTCCCTTTGAAAACGGGCACAAGACAGGGATGCCCTCTCTCACCACTCCCATTCAACATAGTGTTGGAAGTTCTGCCCAGGGCAGTCAGGCAAAAGAAAGAAATAAAAGGTATTCAATTAGGAAAAGAGGAAGTCAAATTGTCCCTGTTTGCAGATGACATGATTGTATATTTAGAAAACCCCATTGTCTCAGCCCCAAATCTCCTTAAGCTGATAAGCAACTTCAGCAAAGTCTCAGGATACAAAATCAATGTGCAAAAATCACAAGCATTCCTATACACCAATAACAGACAAACAGAGAGCCAAATCGTGAGTGAACTCCCATTCACAATTGCTACAAAGAGAATAAAATGCCTAGGAATCCAACTTACAAGGGATGTGAAGGACCTCTTTAAGGAGAACTACAAACCACTGCTCAGTGAAATAAAAGAGGACACAAACAAATGGAAGAACATTCCATGCTCACAGATAGAAAGAAAGAATATCATGAAAATGGCCTACTGCCCAAGGTAATTTATAGATTCAATGCCATCTCCATCAAGCTACCAATAACTTTCTTCACAGAATTGGAAAAAAACTACTTTAAAGTTCATATGGAACCAAAAACGAGCCCACATTGCCAAGACAATCCTAAGCAAAAAGAACAAAGCTGGAGGCGTCACGCTACCTGACTTCAAACTATACTACAAGGGTACAGTAATCAAAACAGCATGGTACTGGTACCAAAACAGAGATACAGCTCAATGGAACAGAACAGAGGCCTCAGAACTAACACCACACATCTACAACCATCTGATCTTTGACAAACCTGACAAAAACAAGAAATGGGGAAAAGATTCCCTATTTAATAAATGGTGCTGGGAAAACTGGCTAGCCATATGTAGAAAGCTGAAACTGGATCCCCTCCTTACACCTTATAGAAAAATTAATTCAAGATGGATTAAAGACTTAAATGTTTGACCTAAAACCATAAAAACCCTGGAAGAAAACCTAGGCAATACTATTCAGGACAAAGACTTCATGACTGAAACACCAAAAGCAATGGCAACAAAAGCCAAAATAGACAAATGGGACCTAATTAAACTAAAGAGCTTCTGCACAGGAAAAGAAACTACCATCAGAGTGAACAGGCAACCTACAGAATGGGAGAAAATTTTTGCAATCTACCCATCTGGCAAAGGGCTAATATCCAGAATCTACAAAGAACTTAAATAAATTTACAAGAAAAAAAACAACCCCATCAAAAAGTGGGCAAAGGACATGAACAGACACTTCTCAAGAGAAGACATTTATGCAGCCAACAGACACATGAAAAAATGCTCATCATCACTGGTCATCAGAGAAACACAAATCACAACCACAGTGAGATACCACCTCATACCAGTTAGAATGGCGATCACTAAAAAGTCAGGAAATAACAGATGCTGGAGAGGATGTGGAGAAATAGGGATGCTTTTACACTGTTGGTGGGAGTGTAAACTAGTTCAACCATTATGGAAGACTGTGGTGATTCCTCAAGGATCTAGAACTAGGAATACCATTTGACCCAGCCATCCCATTACTGGGTATATACCCAAAGGATTATAAATCATGTTACTGTAAAGACACATGCACACATATGTTTATTGTGGCACTATTCACAATAGCAAAGACTTGGAACCCACCCAAATGTCCACCAATGATAGACTGGATTAAGAAAATGTGGCACATATACACCATGGAATACTATGCAGCCATAAAAAAGGATGAGTTCATGTCCTTTGCAGGGACATGGATGAAGCTGGAAACTGTCATTCTGAGCAAACTATCACAAGGACAGAAAACCAAACACTGCATGTTCTCACTCATAGGTGGGAATTGAACAATGAGAACACTTGCACACAGGGTGGGGAACATCACACACTGGGGCCTGTTGTGGGGTGGGGGGCAGGGGGAGGGATAACATTAGGAGAAATACCTAATGTAAATAATGAGTTAATGGGTGCAGCAAACCTGCATGGCACATGTATACCTATGTAACAAACCTGCACATTGTGCACATGTACCCTAGAACTTAAAGTATAATCGAAAAAAAAAAAAAGAAAAAATTTTCAAAAAACCTTGATTCTTGAAACATGCTCTTTTTTCAAAATTTAATTTAGATTTTGACCAAATCTCTATGTTACTATTGGAAATGTCAGTTACTGTTCCATATTCGTTTCTTTTCTTTTTATTTATTTATCTATTTATTTTTTTGAGACAGGGTCTCACTCTATTGCCCTGGATAGGGTGCAATTGTGCAGTTATAGCTCACTGCAGCCTCAAACTCCTGGGTTCAAGTGATCCTCCTGCCTCAGCCTCCTGAGGGGCTGGGACTATGGGCATGTGCCACCGTGCTCAGCTAATTTTTTTTGTAGACATGTGGTCTCACTATGTTGCCCAGGCTCGTCTTGAACTCCTATCATCAAGTGATCCTCCATCCTTGGCCTCCCAAAGTGTTGGAATTACAGGTGCGAGCCACCACCATGCCTGGCCACTGTTCCACATTTTTTAAAATGCAGCTTCGAATGGACTTCGTGGTATCCTCACTGTGAATAGTTTTGCTTGAACTCTTGTAGAGGCTAAGCCTTGAATTCTTTTCTCTTTTCTCAGTTCCTGAGGTTTATGATCTAGTAAGCCAATCTCAAAAGAGTCATCTACCACCTATTAATTGATTGTTACCTTTGAGAGCAGATTGATCCTTTTTTAGTTCTGCTTAGTTCCCCATATCAACTATTTAGTCTCTTACTGAATAATCCCACTGTCTAAAGCTGTGATGGTTCCTCCTCACCCCCCAAATCAGCTGCCTCCAAATCACCAATGTAATGTTGCCCTATAAATGTGCTATTGGCAGGAGAGCTTTGTGCCTTATAGGAGGAGAGTCAGGGAACTTGGCCTTTTCACTCACTTCACTTTGCCCTTTTATTTCCCCTTTCTAAGGCTTGATTATTTATTATTTGATTAGATTATTTCTGAAGTTCATTTCCTCATGAAGATTTCTATAATTTTGTAATCATTGTGTCCCCCAAGAGCCAATTTTATGTGCTGGAAATGAAGACACTGCATGCCTAGCATGACTTATGGAACTCTGAGAAGGCCGTTCAGCCCAGCTCCCTCTATACACCTTAAGTTCCACCATTAGATATTCATTCCTTGTGGTAGGATAGTACCTCTCAGATATGACACCATTTAAAATCCAGTATGTTTAGAAGGGCAAACCCGTAAAACTAGTATGTAAGACAATATAGCATCATGGTTAGAGGCAAGCTCTGAGGTCAGACTACATTTCACACCTGGGCTGTGCCACTCACTAGCTATATGATCTAGGCAATTAATTCATCTTTCTGTGCCTCAGTCTCCTCATCTGTAAAATGAGGATAATTATACTCTCCTCGAGGGTTTTTGTGAGGTCTCAATGAAATCTGTAAAGTGCTTAGATGAACATTATCCTGCTTTGTAAGTGTTAGCAATTATTATCTTCATTTGCATAAATTGGCATGTTGTGTTGATGCATATTGTATTGAAAGCTGATACCGAGTCACAGAGAAATTGTTTTGTTGGGAAACTGGAAGGAGATACTTTGAACACAAGAGGCACTGTTAAGGGACGGCCTTTCTGAGTAAGGTGTCACAGCTGGTAGCGTAAAGGCGCTGGGTGCCTGTGGGTGGATAGGGGAGCATGTATAAGAGAGGGTAAAGGAGACGGGCCTCCTTCTAGTCCTAACCACTATGCTCAGTAACTGATAGAATTCATCAGCTAGGACGATGAACAAGTAGTGTGATGTACACCTGCAAATTAACTTTGAATTCAGTACTTGCTTAACTTTCTCTGTGTCTTATAATCCCATGCCTTGTCATTTTCAGATAATGCTAGGTCTCTGAGCCATTACACTTGAAGAGCTATGGGGAAATCTAGAGTGTTTTATCTTGCTGAATGCCCTTTCTTCTTTTCTTTAGATTACATGAAGCAGATGACATTTGAAGCCCAAGCCTTTTTAGAAGCTGTGCAATTCTTCCGACAGGAGAAGGGTCACTATGGTTCCTGGGAAATGATCACTGGGGATGAAATCCAGGTAATATGGGGTTCAAAATTTTGGATTCTCTCTGTGTTTGGGTATTTGGGTGATACGAAGTCAGGGTCATTTTATTAAACAATCAAACAGAAAAGTTGCAAGTATGGAAGATGTGGTTCCAAAGACCATCTCTCTCATGTCTGCAAGCATTGGTCAGGAAACTACTGGGCACCTACTACAAAGACCACCAGACTGGGCATGAAATAGGGCAGCCAAAAACATGACAACTACAGTGGAAAGAGCTGCCTCCACTGTTTTCTATGAAAAGAATTACTCTTTCAAATGACCTCGTGCTTCCAGACTAGAATCAAGTGTGAGTACCGAGGAATAGTGCGAAGTGCATGACAGGGCTTTAGCTAGGGTCCGCAAACTTGGACTTCAGTCATGCCAACTTATTTAACCTCTTTTAGTCTTAGATTACTCCTCTGGAAAAAATAAGAATAATAATGTTTACCTTGCATCATCGTGACAAGTGAAGTGCAGTTGGGGAAGTATTTGGTACGCAGCTGTCTTTATTGAATTATATGTAAATGAAGTAATGAAAAAAACAAATTCAAAAAGCATTAGACAGTTTTCTATATATTTAATTTATCTTTTCTAGTTTTCTGTGCCCTGTGGTACATTATAATTCCTCATGATCCTGACTAGATGCCAATCATGGCCTAAGCACTTCAGTGGGCTTGGTCCCAGGGACAGTATTATAAATCTAAGGAAACTGCTTTGTGATGTGACCCCAGCCTCCATGATGACACCAGTCACATGGCTGCTTCACCCAAGAAGAGGAGGCTGGGTACGGGCATATTTACATAAAGTAACACGGTATTTAAGAATGCTATTTTTTTTTTTTTGAGAGGAGTCTCGCTCTGTGGCCCAGGCTGGAGTACAGTGGCGCAATCTCAGCTCACTGCAACCTCCGCCTCCTTAGTTCAAGCGATTCTTCTGCCTCAGCCTCCCGAGTAGCTGGGACTACAGATGCATGCCACCACTCCTGCTAACTTTTGTATTTTTAGTAGAGATGGGGTTTCACCATGTTGGCCAGGCTAGTCTCAAACTCCTGACCTCGTGATTCCCCCTGCCTCGGGCTCCCAAAGTGCTGGGATTATAGGCATGAGCCACCACGCCTGGCCCCACTATTTTTTTTTTCCACATCTCCTAGGGTACCTCTTTTGGGAGCTAGTGAAATTCATTATTAGAGAACAATATTTGGAGGATGCTGAATGGTGCCTTGCCTCTGTGTGGTCATTAAACAGCTAATGCTGAAAACTCATGAGGGAGCTCTTCTTTATTGTTTCACCATATGAAAACATGTGTTTACCATCAGAATCTTCTCTTTCTCTCTCTCTCTTTTTTTTTCTGTCTGGTAGATTCTAAACTCATCTATTTCCCAACCTGAGACTTGCTTCTTTCAGAATTTTAAACAAGTCTTGGTTTCTGATATTTTGGGGAAGCACAGCCATTCATAAGTGTGAGAGAACTAAATAGTTATGTACTTATGCCATTAAGAAAAACAAAAGTGTCAGAAGGGGAGGCTGAAGCACTTGACACTGGCTGGCCTGCCATGTAAGCCAACATAGTTAATAGATAGATGAGTAGTCAAATGCTTTTGTGTGATACTTGACAATGTTCGAAACCTAATGGTGTTTGTCTTGCCAATCTTATGAGATGGGTAAGGCAGTTATTGTTATTTCAATTTTGTAAATGAGAAAACTGAGGGAAGCATATAACAGCTAAGTGACTTGCCTAGTCTCATTCATTCAACTACTATTTACTGAGCACTGACTCTATGCCGGGCAATGTGCTGGGGGCTAGTGACCCAGAGATGGACAAGACAGAATGGTCCTGGCCCTGTGGAGCTGATAGTTTCAGAGTTACATGCTAAGTGGACAAATGCAAAGGCAATGATGGCTTCTGATCCTGGCCGAGTGAAAGACCAACACCAACCATGGGAATATACTAAGTTACACATTTATTTTTTAATAGCTCCTTGAGTTCAGCTATGCCACTTGCTTCACTTTTTTCTTTCACTTGGAAACTAATGTGAACTTACATTCCTCCATGATGCCATTGAAAATAGATATTTAGGCCAGGCGCAGTGGCTCACGCTTGTAATCTTAGCACTTTGGGAGGCCAAGGCGGGCAGATCACAAGACCAGGAGTTCGAGACCAGCCTGGCCAACACAGTGAAACCCTGTCTCTACTAAAAATAGAAAAAAATTAGCTGGGCATGGTGGCGGTCCTGTAATCCCAGCTGCTTGGGAGGCTGAGGCAAGGAGAATTGCTTAAACCTGGGAGGCGGAGGTTGCAGTGAGCCAAGATCATGCCACCCTACTCCAGCCCAGGTGACAGTATGAAACTCCATCTCAAAAAAAAAAAAAAAAAAAAGAATATATGTATTTAATAAATCCTTTCTGGGAGTTGAGTTTGAGTTTGTTTTGGCTTCAGGCTGATTATGTGCTAAGTGGTGTAAGTTGGAAGAGAGAGAAATGACTCGTCCCTTGCCATCATGGTGAGGCGAGACACACATAGAAAACATGCAGAAGACAAGGCACATATGTGTGTGGGGTATATGTATATGGGTCTCTATATAGATGGAGATTGTAAAGCATTTGTGCAAGTGGTCATAGTAAGCTCCTAGTTTTGCAGGATAAAAAACATTTTAAGTGGGAAAGCAAAACAAAACAAAAAAAGCAGAAAAGAGATCAGAAATCACTGGAGGTATCAAGTGTCCCACTAAGAAGTTTCACAGGGGCTGGGTGTGGTGGCTCATACCTGTAATCTTAGCACTTTGGAAGGCCAAGTTGGGAGGACTGCTTGAATCCGGGAGTTCGAGATTAGCCTGGGCAACATAGCAAGACCCTATCTCTTCAAAAAGTTTTGTACAAATTAGCTGGGAACAGTGGTATGTGCAGGTAGTCCCAGCTATTTGGGAAACCAAGACAGTAGGATCATTTGAGCCCATGAGGTCAAGGATGCAGTGAGCTGTGATTGTGCCACTACACTGGGCAACAGAGAGACCCTGTCTCAAAAAAAAAAAAAATGGTTTTGCTTCTCTCAGAATTTAAGTGTTTTGGTAAAATAACAGACTAATAAAATGTGAATGCTGGAGGGGCATTTCAGGATTATTTGTCCAGCACCCTACAGGTAAGAGAAAGAACATTCAGAGCAGTTGGCTGAAGTCAGAAAACTAGTCTGTTACAGAAATGCATTTTAAACCGGCTTGGAGAAGCTGGTAAAAGGAAATGGCCTCTAAAGCTTACTGTGTGAGGCCAGGTAAGGATTATAGTTCCCCTCAGACTCTAAGACATGGTGCATAACAGTAAAGCAGTGTCTACCCTAAGACTCATAGAAAAAAGAGGCCAGGGGCCCGGAGAAGCTACCAAGTGGTTAAAGAAAATGGCATAGCATAACTGAGTTTGAGAAAATGACATCTTTTGTTTAAAGTGCTGGGTTTATTTGCATTTTTTCTTCCTGTCTGCTAAGACCTTAATCTTAACCCTGTCCTGAACCCCTCTACCCTAGGGGCCTGCATTCAGACTTCCAGCCTTGCTCCATTACCTTCATAGTAATGACTCACACAGCAAGAATGGAAGGCCCTCATAGCGATGGTTATTTTAGGCAAGTGCTCAGGCAAAGCAACTATCTCAGAATAACTTGCCTGGCAGACTGTTAAGGTGAAAATATTTGTATGCCAGTAAAAACATCAACATATTTTCTACTTGTCAATATAAATATATCAAATGAGATCATGAGGGAAAGGGCTTTGCAACTGTAAAGTATCTCTAGCTATGTGATATATTTATTATTTGCTTTTAAAATACCAAGATGGGCTAGAGAACAGCTCATAATTCCCACAGAACAGTTTCAAGACGGAAAAAAAAAAAAAAAACAAAAAACAAAACTACCCGCATTTTTAGGCCTTGTCCACGTGCTCCAGAGTTGTCTTTTGCTGAAAGATCTTAAGTGTGACTCCTTTTGACTGGATTTTTTCACCCACGGCCACTCAGTAATGCAAGGGGCCTGGACCAGCAGCCTGGTGAGACTGCGGGGCCTGCTTCAGGAAGGAGGGTGGTCTCTCTGGACCCCACACCTTCCTGACAGCTCAGCATCTGAAAGGAAGCACTGTGGTGTGGCCTTCAAGGGGCGATCCCGGGTTTGTTGGTTTTGATCAACCTAGTGACATGCTTAGTTTCTTGTAGGAGTGATAGAATTTTTAAATCTCCAAGTCCTAGCAGTTAAGTATACAAAACACTGCCCTTGCCAACACCCCCCATTAAAAAAAAAAAAAACTGAAGTATTTTTAGGTCACTTATGTTAAAATTCAGTGGATACTGTTCTGAGGGGAAGAGGCTAGGGAATTCCTTCATTATTACAATTTATTTATTAGATTAGCTACTTTCTCTAGAAAAGCCCAAGACCTTAAGACTCTGCTTGTGGAAGGCAGACCATGGTAGGGAATGCCAGAGTGGGCTCTGGGGAGGTGACAGGCAGCACTCGATCAGGGCAGGGTGGGGCTGAAAGTCGGAGGATGAGGATGGTGGTTGGGATGCGATGCACTTGAGCTTCAGCACCCACAGGCTCTGCTGCCCTGTGGCTATTCCCTGAGCCCCACTCCCCCACTGTATTAGTCCGTTTTCATGCTGCTGATAAAGACATAACCGAGACTGGGTAATTTATAAAGAAAAAGGGTTTTAATGGACTCTCAGTTCCATGTTACTGGTGAGGCCTCACAATCATGGAGGAAGGTGAAAGGCGCATCTTACATGGCAGCAGACAAGAGAGAATGAGAGCCAAATGAAAGGGGAAACCCCTTATAAAATCATCAGATCTGGTGAGACTTATTCACTACCACTAGAACAGTATGGGGGAAACAGCCCCTAGGATTCAATTATCTCCCACCAGGTCCCCCACACAACACATGGGAATTATAGGAGCTACAATTCAAGATGAGATTTAGGTGGGGACACAGCCAAACCATATCACCCCCCCGCCACTCGTAACCCACTCCCACCCTCTCTTTTTCCTCGCAGACATATTTCCTTTAATTCCCTAAGTTGTAACATAGAGCCAAATTTCTTGGAACATTGTGTGGGAAAGACTAAACAAAACTATAAGCCCACCCAAATGGAACATTATTTTTCTTTGGCCTTTATATATAGCATTTTCATATTTTCAAACCCATTTCACACTTATGCTAAAATTCTGACCAGTCTCTGCAAAAGGATGAATTGGGACAATTCTTATGACCCTTGAGTTTCATAATGTCAACCCACTGATTTTAAATTCTGGCATTGGTCTCTCTTCCTCTTGGCTCACTCTTCCCATACCACACTTTCGGCAGATGTGTTCCAAACAAGAACTTATCCCATTGAGCAGGGTGGGCTGGTGGATTATTAATTACCCACTGAATCTATTAGGTTGGTGCAAAAGTAATTGCGGTTCTTGCCATTACTTTCAATAATTGTTGGACCTGCTAATTTCCATGGAGTTTTGTGCATGTTAGGTTACTCTTAAACACCACAGAAAATGGTGATTCATCTCTTGACTGCCCCCAGAGAAGGCTGAAGAAAGGTCAAAAACATCCCCACCAGTGAATTACCAGGGCTAGTGGAAACTCTGTCCCCATCATAACTTTTGTCACGCCAGGCAGATCCACTTGGCAGATGACAGGAGCCCCACTTGCTGCCCAGAGCTAAGCACCTTCTCTGCCAGCAACCCACAGGCACAGTGGGACTGGATAGCTCGTCCACCTCCACCCTGAGAGTGTTTCTATTTGCTTCAGTGAAAGCGTTACACCTTGCTGCGACAGAGCCCTGATTAAAGGCAAGATCAAATGAGCTCACGGGCATTTCCACTAGTGACCAGTGACCTCAGAGCAAATCTTCCTTAATTCCCAAAGCATAATTTGAATTTTTATGAGAAGTGAAAGGAGGAGGTCAGTTATTTTGGACAAATATTATTTCAAACTCATAGAACAGATGTTTCAAGTGATTCCCTACTTTTCTGCCTGCTTCCCTTCCTAAAACTGTGCTTCCCCTTTTGTAAATCTTAGTGTGCAGCCTATGATTGCAAGCTGAGCTGTGGGCCTTGAAAGACTCGTGGTGAAAGTGAATCTGAACAGCAAAGCTGCTGCAATTCAGGAGCAGGGGTAAAGAAGGAAGGGCCAGTAGCATGAGTGGATGTGTAGAATACTGCTCAGATTCACAAGAAATAGTTTAATTGAGCCAAGCAAAATTTTAGGAGTGATGTGGGAACACATTTTTTAAAAACACTTGAAAAATTTAGACACTCCCTCCCATATTCTTTTTTTATTTTTTCCTTTTTCTTTGTTTCAGTCCCATTAATTATCTCATACCCTCCCATAAATGTTCCAAATATTTGTTTGTTCCAAAATATTGGTTATTGCCTTCTTTTTCCTTTTTCAAACTGTATCCAGTCTTATTAAAGATGCTTTTTGTAAGCAATCATCGTATATTAGACAGGCCATGAGCAGACAATTGCTAACAGTATACAACAACTTCCAAACTCTCTTCTTCAATGAACCAAAATCAGACAGCTGTATAAAACCCAGTGAAATCTTCATTTGCTTAGACTCTCGATTGCAGTGAGGGTTGACATTTCACATGTAGCATGTTGTTTAACAACTTTTCATGAGCCAATCTTGACTTTCAGGAAATGAAATGAAAATGGCAGAATCATCAGTCTGGAGATCCACAATCTAAAAAAGGAACTGCTGTTGTTTTGAGAGCTGCCCTCTCAATAGGGGTCACTGGAAGGTCCAGATGGCCACCTGACTGCTAATTAATTTTAGGTGTCAGGTCCCAACAGGTCTCTGGGTTTAAGGAAGTTGAGACCATACTAAAGGCAGAGAGGGAGAAGAAGAAATAATGAATTTTAGTTTTCCCACACCATAAGGTGTTTGTGCCAAGGTAGCTATGTGTGTCAATGCCAGGAATCCCCCTCCTGGGAGCCAAGAGGAAGTTTCTCAAAACTGGAAGAAAAGGTGTTTCCCCACATTAATCCAGCTTCGGAGACATTCTATTAGTGACATATGCCCCTTCCCCCCGAAAAAATGAAATGTTCTGTGTAATAATAACATAGCTTTAAGAAAAGTAAGACAACATTCTACATTTTTATAAAACTCCATTTAAAAAAAAATAGTATTTCCAATTGTATGGTTACCAGAAGTACACAGTTATCAAAAACGCACACACTTCCCCTGGCATCTCCAGCATCGTCAGCTTTCTGTGCCTGGTCTGTTCTGGCATCTCCATTTTCTGCAGGATTATTTCCCTCTTTGCCAGTGCCAGCCTTTCCCTTTTTTCCTTCTGCGTACCTTCTCTTCCTTCTTAGCAGGGGCCTTTTGGGGCTTGGGTTCTGGCTGTGGAGAAGCAGGTCAAGCAGACAACCTTGCTGATCTTCTCTGTGGTTTATCCTTCAATGTGGCTGTATCTCTTGGAGCATCCCCTCAGACTTTCTCCAGTGCTGGATGAAGGCACTGCATGGTGGGATGCAGTGGTACCTGGGCTCTGGTCGGTCTAGACGTCATTCTCACTTCTTCACACTGCTCCTCCCTTCGTTTACTAAACATTAAAGAGGATGACAATGGGGCTTGGGGGACAGTGGGGACGAAGAGCATGGAGATACTTTGATACCTTGATCATGAAGGGCTTAGGAGGAATGATAGTCCCAGGGGACACAGACTAAGATGCAAGCCACCAAAACCAAGCCTTGCAATTCCTTCACAATTTTGCTGAAGATGTCCTTATCCATTATTGAACTCTTTCATTTTACTGTATGCCCTAAGTTCTTCTAGTTTGAATATGTGAAGTTCGAATTTGGGGAATTTGTTATTTACATTGGGAAAACAACAAGGTGAGAATATCAGCAGATGTTACTGTTCCTTGCGGATGTTTAAGAATGTTCAGCCTCTAAGATTGTCTTAGTTGAGATTTCTGTGGCCTCTGTAGTAGGTTAAACTATTAACCTACTACAGAGTTCATCTGGTCCGGGACAGGGACAGCCAATCAGGACATTTTTAGTTGGCCTGATGCTCAGATGTAGCCATCACCGACTGACCGACTCTGGGCTGTCTTCTGCTGCGCAGATCCTGAGTAACCTGGTGATGGAGGAGCTCCTGCCCACTCTTCAGACAGACCTGCTGCCTAAGATGAAGGGGAAGAAGAATGACAGAAAGAGGACGTGGCTTGGTGTAAGCAATGGTTTTGCTCTACAACTGAGCTACTCAAAATGGGAACATTCTCTTCCCTTTTCTTTTAGGGCATTTGTTGTTGTTGTTGATATTCCCTTCCCTGGGTGTAGAAATGCCTACTTCGAACCTGCTGAGTCTCACTTACAAGAAGACTGTTCCAAACAGACTCCAACTTTGAAAGAAAAATTACAATGTGTGTGCAGTTCTGTTTGTTATGATGGCCTGTGATGAAGGCTCCTCCCTCCACTTGACTCCATCAGTGCTTACACGTGACAGAGCCCTGATTTATGTGTTATTCCTTGTTGCAGCTCCTCGAGGAGGCCTACACCCTGGTTCAGCATCAAGTTTCAGAAGGATTAAGTGCCTTGAAGGAGGAATGCAGAGCTCTGACAAAGGGCCTGGAAGGAACGATCCGTTCTGACATGGATCAGATTGTGAACTCAAAGAACTATTTAATTGGAAAGATCAAAGGTCAGTAGAGATAATCCATGCTCTTACTAATTAAATAAGCTGTACATGCAGGGATCCACCACATAGCAGGAATGCATGGTTTCAGAGGATAATTACACTTAAGAAATTGGGAGGAGGTGATCACAGCTGCAACAGGAACATGCTGGAGGTACCATTAGGGGCCTGGGCCTTCCCGTGGAAGCTTCATGGACACAAGGCAGAGGAAAGTTTGTTTCTTGCCTTTGGCAGTGCCTGTGTATTTGATACTGCCTGCACCCCCAACCCCCATTGTAGCACCCTTGACACTGAATTAGACTGGCTTCTGCTCCACCTCCTCTCTGCCGTAAGCTCTCAAAGAGCAGAGCCATGTCACCCTGGTTTACTCAAGTACACCCAGGGCCTGGTGTCACGCCTGGCATATACAGACTCAGCAAATATTCAAATCAATTAATATATGGATTTTCCTCTAACATGAAAGCCCAAAATTTTGGCTTGGAGTCATACCCAGTCACCCTACAAACCCAATAAATGTAGGTTTGTAGCCCCAACTCCAATATTAGGCAGTCCATGCATAATTGGGGAGGTCACTCACCTTCTGTTTAGCTCAGTGTCCTCCTCTGAAATTAGGAGGACCCACAGGAGTGGGATTGGCAAACTGAAGCCCTTGAGCCATATTGGGCCACCACCTGTTTTTGTAAATAATGTTTTCTTGGCACACAGCCAGGCACATTCATTTATGTATTGTCTGTGGCTGCTTTTGTGCTACAACAGAAGTGAATAGTTGGAACTGAGACCTTACGGACCACAAAGGCACAAATATTTACTATTTGGTCCTTTACAGAAAACAGTTTGCCTATTCCCATACAAGAGACCTTAGATGGCCTCTAAGGAATCCTACAGAATGAAATTCTATGGTTCTCCATTCTATCTGGGGCCTCTACAACCCAACAAACACACCCGTACCTAGTGACCTAGTGTCACTTCAGAGGAGAAGCTTGCAGGCTCATCTGTGATTGTTTATTGACAGTCTTCCTAGAAAGTTCTCAGATTATTCCCTCACTCACTCATTCATTCATTAGAAACTGTGGACTAAGTGCTTTCCAAGCGAGACAATGGAGCTTTAGCAGTGACCGAGGAACACCCTATTCCTGTGCTCAGGAGGCTTAGAGTCTCGGGGCTGTCGGCTTTGTGGATTAGCCTCTGCAGTTCAGGCCCCCTTTCCACTGCAGCCCAGCTTGCTTCAGGGTTCTTAGCACAGGTCCTGCTGAGAGGAGGTTTGAGGAGGCACAGCTCCAGCACTGGTGTGTGTGTCTGTGTATCTCTGGGTGTCTATTTACGCCATCCTTTCCAAAGCCAGCTCTACATTAACCTCAGAGTATTTGATGTTTTCTACTATCTGTGTCTCTTATTCCTCCATTAGTACAACTAATCTAGAGTTGACTATATATTGAAATACTTTGTACTACTTAAAACTACCAGTGCTCAACTTCTGTGCCAAAATTTCTGCTATCTGGAGCTAAGTTGGGCCTAACTGTAGCCGTTCTCATGGCTGAAACTAAATTGTCATCCTTTGCTTAAATCTCTGTGGCTCCGGTGTATCCACATATGATGGAAAAAGATTTTGCCCTGAATTAGTATTTATTTCCTAAAAGAAGCCGTAAAAGGAAGTAATGATCAAGTCTTTTTAAAATGGAATATCAGTGTTACAGCTCTTTTAGAATTTGTCTAGCAGGCTTTCCAGTTTTTGCTGGAAAGCCCAAAAAATGAAAAATAAATAAAATGAAATATCAGAAACACATTTTAACTAGGCATCCAGTGCTCCACCTTTAAAACAAGGAAGTGCGCTTTCGGCTGCATTAATAAAGGGCTTTGTATTTCTAAAAAAAAACCTGGGGAGTATTAAATGGTGATCTGTCTATTTCCTCCCATATGACTCTTGGGAGTAAAGCCCCTGAGCTTTAGTTCTGCTGCACAATTATTTATTCATTCAATAAGTATTTATTCTACTTCTGCTGAGTACAATGGCTGGAATGACTCAAAGAAGACAACGTGATTTTACAAGGAGAGGAGGATACAAAGCATGTCACAGATGCTGAGACAGAAGGAAAAACATCTTCCTACCAGCGGTAGAACAAAGAGCACAGTGGTTCCCAATGTGAGCATAGATCCCATTTCAACCTCAAGAAGCTATGTGGGCCCCTCATAATGAGAGCACAGGTCTAGTGTCGGGGGACTGGAAAAAACGATAATGCCAACAGGTACAATAAGAGCTAACAGTTACTGAGTTCTTCCAAGGGGCCACTTCCAGAGTTGTAAGCACTTGTAATATAGTAAACTCATTTAATCCTCACCATAATTGCTTTTATGATCTCCATTTTACAGATGATAATACTGAGGCAGAAATTCGGTAACTTGCTGAGATTCCAGAGCTAGTTGTGGTAGAGTCGGGCTCCAAACCCAGGCCCTCTGGCCCTCGCCTTTCAGGCATCATCGCTCTGTTCAGCTCCTTCCTTCACTTCAGTAAGGCTTATGAATTAATGTATCAAACACATATGCATCACAGCGGCATCTCTGCATGCTTGAAAAATAGCAGTGCATACACGAATGGGACATGGAACTTATCCAGCCCATAAGGAAACACCTGCAGACCCCAGCTCAGGAAGCTGTGTGGGAGTTCCAGGACATTAGGGTGAAATTTGAACTGGGCCTTGAAGAGAGGAGTAGGATGTTTATGAGCAGAGGTAGAGGAAGGAAGGCAAGGTAAAGGAACATTGAATAAAGGTGCAGAGAGGGGGCGGAAGCACATTGTGGTAAGTAGGCACAGAGGGAGAGTGGGCAGAGAGGAATATACCCTCCCACGGCCCTCCTGTGCCTATCTTGGCCCCACCCAGATCTGCCATCTGCTGCTAGATCTTTATTGCATATTACCCATGTTCAGCATTGTTCTGAAATTTCCATTAGATGCTTTTCAAATACTTCCTCTCTTTAAAGTTAATTAACTAATAATTAATTTATCTCCTGACAAACAGTTTTACACTTTAGTGTCAAGCAAGTCATTTTTAGAAGACTCTTAGATTGTGTCATATTTGGATCATACAATTGAAAGGGTTTTTTCTTAATAATTCTATGACTTGTGTAATATTTTACATCCCAAATATTTCTGAGTGATTTGTAATATTAATAATATTAGTCATTTTGGATTATCAGAATAAGAGGCCATGATCTGGTCCTGCACAACTCTGTGAAATATTTCCGCCAGTTGAAATAAGAACGAGGCCATTCATCTCACTGTAAGCAAATTCCCAAGAAGAACTTAAGAAAGACACTTGAATGTTAGCCCTGCTCCTGAAAATTAGGGTCTGATGTTTGTCCAGTCATCAAACATCTCCAGGCCTCATTTTTTTCATCTGTAAAGTGGAGAGATTGGATACCAGCTCCACTTGTGCTTCTGTTCTCAGTTCTGTGATTCTATGACAAGGCTCTGTGACCTGCCTCAATCCACAAGGCTAGCCTTCTAGTCCACGGAGCAAGCTCAGGCTTCTTCTAGCTCCGGCCTCCTTCACTCCATTGCGTCTTCCTAGCTGATCATGAGAGTTACCTCTGCTCTGAAAACAATGCAGGTTTCCATGTCCTACCCAGACTGCACCAGGAGCTTCACTGTGCTCTCCCTCTTCTAAATCAAAGAGGAGTACTTTCCTCTGGGGAGTGGAATTATAGTGGCATTTTTTCATTCTTCTTCGTGATCAAAATGTATTCTACATTTTTGTCACTAAGCATGTCATCTTGGTCAGAAAAACCTATTGTGATTTTGTTTTGTCTTGTTTTAATCAGGGATGGGGACAGGAGGTAGGGTGGCAAACTGAATGGAATTTGGTTCCATTGGCCCAAGAAAAGAATGTACTGGAGTTCTTAAAAAGTATTTTGGTGGGGAGAGGAGGATGGAATTATACTGAGTGATTAACTCCTAGAGAAATGAATTAAAACAATAAATTGTGTTTTTAGAAGACAAACTGTGCATATTTAATGATAGTGATTGACAGTAGATAGGTGGATCACCAGCCTTTTCTTCTTCATATGAAGAGTTGCATGTTCAGAGGGACCAAGCAGAAAAATGCATTTTATCCCAGGGCAGAGGAAAGCTTGGGGAGTGGATAGGTTTGGTCCAGTTCTGAAAGGGTCCAGTGGTTTTCCTTTCTTGTGACCATGGGCACCAGGCTCATTGTGCTAGTCTGTCATGGCCTCTTGAGCTTGCCTTGGCTGTTAAATGGCTCCGTGGGGCACCATTCAGCTCTGGTCTGGCTCCAGTGCCCACAAACCCAGTTTTGCCATATGTCACGGTTTTTTGGCTATTTCCTACCTCAGCGATGGTGGCCCAGCCGGCGGAGAAAAGCTGCTTGGAGAGTGTGCAGCCATTCCTGGCATCCATCCTGGAGGAGCTCATGGGACCAGTGAGCTCGGGATTCAGTGAAGTACGTGTACTCTTTGAGAAAGAGGTGAATGAAGTCAGCCAGAACTTCCAGACCACCAAAGACAGTGTCCAGCTAAAGGAGGTAGGATACAAAGCTGAGGAGCTGGGTGTGAATGGTCTGCCTGGCTGTGTTTTCCATGGGGCTTTATCTGCCATTTCTCCCTCCCTTCCTCCCTTCTTTCCTTCCTTCCATTCTTCTGCCCTTCCCTCCATTCATCCAGCCTTTCTTCCGTTCATTCAGACCCACCATTCATCTGTCTATTCATCCATCCACCCATCTGATAGTTTTACTGATGGTTTTCAAGTTAGAAAAATAATAACCTGTGTGTACAAGTGAAGCAACATACTCAAATATATTAAAGGCAAACTTAGTCACCATCACTGATACCCACTAATCCTAGTCCACCCCAGACTCCTAGGCTACCCCCATTCCAAACTCCTTGAATTAACTAATAGAAATAGCTTGGTATATATTTTTCCTATAGTTTTTATTTATTCATACAAGTATATATCCTCATTTGTAGAACATTGTTGGTTTGTTTTCAAAAATATAGACTTATGATATGAAATTTGATTAAAAAAAAAACTTCAGCCAAATTAAATCTAAAGGAGTTTAATTGAGCAACAAACCATTTGTGAATCGGGCAGCCCCTAGAATCACAACAGATTCACAGACACTCCAGGGGTGCCTCACGGTCAGAACAAATTTATAGACAAAAAAGATCAAGTGACATACAGGAATTGGAAGTGAGGTACAGAAACAGTGAAATTGGTTACAGCTCGGCATTTGCCTTATTTGAACGCAGTTTGAACATTCAGCAGTCTATGAGTGGTTGAAGTATGGCCGCTGGGATTGGCCAAAACTCAACTATTGTTATAGGTGCATACTACTAAGTTAGGTTTTCAATTTTGTCTGACTATTAAGCTAGGTTACAGTTCATCCACAAGGACTTATATATATAAGAAAGGAGTCCTTCTTAGGCCATAGTTAGTTTGCATTAACAATTCCCCCCTTTTTGCAAAGGATATGAACAGCCACTTCTCAAAAGAAGACATTTATGTAGCCAACAGACACATGAAATAATGCTCATCAACACTGGTCATCAGATAAATGCAAATCAAAACCACAGTGAGATATCACCTCATGCCAGTTAGAATGGCAATCATTAAAAAGTCAAGAAACAACAGATGCTGGAGAGGATGTGAAGAAATAGGAATGCTTTTACACTGTCGGCGGGAGTGTAAACTTGTTCAACCATTGTGGAAGACAGTGTGGCGATTCCTCAGGGATCTAGAACTAGAAATACCATTTGACCCAGCCATCCCATTACTGGGTATATACCCAAAGGATTATAAATCATGCTACTATAAAGACACATGCACACATATGTTAATTGCGGCACTATTCACAATAGCAAAGACTTGGAACCAACCCAAATGTCCATCAATGATAGACTGGATTAAGAAAATGTGGCATGTACACCATGGAATACTATGCAGCCATAAAAAAGGATGAGTTCATGTCCTTTGCAGGGACATGGATGAAGCTGGAAACCATCATTTTCAGCCAACTATCACAAGGACAGAAAACCAAACACTGCATGTTCTCACTCATAGGTGGGAATTGAACAATGAGAACACGTGGACATGGCAGGGAACATCACACATGGGGTCCTGTTGCAGGGTGAGGGGCAGGTGGAGGGATAGCATTAGGAGAAATACCTAATGTAAATGACAACTTGATGGATGCAGCAGACCAACATGGCACATGTATACCTATGTAACAAACCTGCACGTTGTGCACATTTACCCTAGAACTTAAAGTATAATAAAAATAAAATAATAATAATAATAATAATTCCCCCCTTTTGGTCATTTTCTCAATTTTGAGAAAATGACCAAAACCTTAGTCATTGATGTTACTAGCACTATTGTAAATGTACTTATATGGTTTTGAAACCCACTGGGAAACAGTAGAACAGTGGGTTTTGCAAGGAGGGAATAAGGACTGAGTAGAGAGTACCTTCTTATGCTGGAACATCCTATTTACAGGAGAAAAACAAAACCTGGTATGTTCTAGGATCTATGTGTTTTCTTAAAGCCCTAGCTTGATTATGTCACATTTAGCATAAGTGGCTCTATTTTAGCTTGGTTTGGTTTGTTGGGGCCTAGTGCATGAGCTTAGTCCCAAATAATGGCCTCCCATTTAAAATTTTGTTTAAAAATAATTCCCCCTCTTGGGCCAGGTTTTCACTTAGGTGAGAGTGTGACCAAAACTTAGGGCCTTAGTGCCACTTTCAGTTACCATCATTTTGGGTTTCTGGTCTCAGCATGTCATTCATATAGGTTATGGAGTCCTCATGGTCACATGTTTCTTTCAGCTTTTGTCATTTCAGTTGAAGGGGGACCATTTGACATCCTAGAGATGGCTACATGCAAACATTTAAAACCTTTGAGAGAATACAGCACACCAGGAAGACTATTATTATGACTATTGGGAGGATAATATCAAGAGTTTGGAGTATGCTCCTTACCCAGGGTCCCCATAAACCAAATCACCTAAAATTAAATAGATTAAAGAATGAGCTAGATGAAGAGTCTACTCGCTTGACTAAGTGGTCTTTTCATTAATCCCCTACAGCTGGATTTTTATAATCTACATATGATGTATTTCTCCATAGGCCACAAGTGTCAGCAGCTGCATAGGTACTTTTCTGTTTAGCCAATTTTATTATTTAGCATAACTTTCACAAGAGAATTTAAAGTATGTTGTGTAACGACAGCCTTTAAAGTAGAATTTACTGTAGGGCCTATTATGAGGGAGACATTTCTAATTATTGCCTTTTAGTCTAAACCATGGAAAAAGGACCTAACAAATGATGTCCTTCTAGAAGAGTGAAGGCCTCCTGGCAGTGTTCTCTTTAATCCATGATGCGGATTAAGAAGAGTTTTGACTGATTATGAGGCAACGTGTGTACCACTAAAGTTTCTCACCTACACTGGGCCTTCATTTTTTATCTATTAAAGTATAAGGCTATTCATGTATAAGGCTGGCTGCAAAATCCTTCACAAATAAAATTATACCCTATAAGTGCACATAATAGACCTCCTTTTCATTTATACTGCTCATAGAGGCATACACAAGGAAAAAATATTCAAAGATCAGAGTCTTGTGATAGCAGAAGTCTTGATCCATGATCTTGGGAAAAACTGTTCACATCAAGGATGTCATCTTCTTCTGGGGAGAAACTGTCCTGGTTAGATTAGCTTAAGGGGTCCAATGGGTGTACAGTTCCAGGAGTGTGAAGGAACCCTTCTCAGTTGTGAGATTATGGACCCAAAGTTCAAGTCTCCAAAGTTTTGCTGTAGTGTGGAGGGCAATGACAGTCTTTCTCTGATGTTTTCAGAAGATCTAATCTTCAGGTTCTAGATTATGAAGGGATTGTCCTCAGTGAACCATAAAAAGCTTTCTTTACCTGGGGAAAATACATTGTAGCATAATAATCTACTGTTATAACATCAGCCCTCTTGCATGGGAAAGCTTTTATACAACTAGAAAACATGCATTGAAAATGACAATTGAATGAAATCCCTTTATAAATGTTTAAATGGCCCATCAGATAGCCAAATGTACCTGACGCTTTAATTTTTTCCCCAGGAATATGGAAGTGAATATTGGTTCTAAACTGTTTCCACAATTTATAAGTCACCATATCAATATATTCAATTTGGATTATTTTATCTTTTCCATGATGAGTCATGGAATGCAGAACCTTTAATAACAAAAGCTTAAGGATTCAGGAAGGACAAGGTGGCTGTCCTAGTTCTTCATGAGTCCATGCTTAACACTGGACTTACGTCCTCTTGAATACCAGTTGTTTCTCCAATTTAGGTGCACAGCACTGATAACTAATGGTTTATCATAGGTAATTTGACTTAGACCATGGAGTTCATTCAAATTGTATATTTAAACAATTTCAGTATTGGCTGATTTAGCATGATAATCTAGAGCTTGGTTTTGAAAGGTTTGTCAAATACCACAGGTTTAAAACATTGGATATTACAAAATAGAATCTTAGGTTACCATAAGTCATTCATTTAGCCAAAATGATGATACAAAAATTTTTAAAAGGATGAAACATGACTCTGATGGAGAGGGGAACAGCTTTCCAAATAAGACCCAATGAATGTAGCATGAGGCCAACTGACTGTCTCCTTGCCTTCCCTTTTGTAGTTTACTTAAAAGGTAAACAAAAACCTTTCATTATCTTTTAATATTATATAAAAATCATTTTTAAAAGAGAAAACCAAATTTTATGTTTCCATTAGTGTATTTTTAATGTTAAAGCTAGTTTTTAATATTTCATAAATATATTCAGTTTTAATTACTTTGACCATAAGGTAAGATTTTTATAAACCTTTTATAACTCATTAGAATTTTTTTTCTCAGAACAGAACAATGTTCCAAGAAAACTTTGTTATGCTTTTATTCCCATGTCCAATTTAGGGAAAAAGCAATAATGCCATTTTATTTAGCCAATATATTCACACATAGAATCTCTTACAGTTAATTTTTTATAAACCTTCCACAACCTGTTCAAACCTTTAGCTTTGTATAATTTAAAACAATCCTTTAACCCTCTAACCTAGGCAAAAATTTACATTTCCATATGTTCTTATAATCTCTTACAAAAAATACATTTAATTCTCCTTACATACCTTGCATGTAAACCTATTTTTTTCAGTAGGCTCAATTACATATTACAGTGTTAACTCATAGCAACTTTTACTTTTGGTAAAAACCTTGGTGAGTAAGGGATTTTAATTATGTACTAGGTGTGGAGCCTAGGACCCAGATAGAAATGCAGATAAGGTATGACTTATTCCAGCATCGAACTCCATGTGTCCCAGGCCTTAGCTAGCTGTAAAGCCAGCAAGCTGTACAGTGAAAAGTCATAGTGGCAGCTTATGAAGCACCTTCAAATTATACAACATTTCTGGCATAAATTCCTTTTAATAAATTATTTCACAACTTACACAGACCATGTACGACATGTTTAGACTTTCTGACTTGCTTAAACATCCCTCTTTTTAAACAACCAGTCATTTTACTTTAGGACAATAATTTACCATACAACATCCTCTCTTATATAAAATCTCTTTTCTTTATAACCTTCTTTATATAGCTAGGGGGCATGGTTAATTCCATATATCCCCAGGCCTTATTTAGAATTTAATGTCTCCAAAATAAATTGAACAATTTTCAAAAGTCAAAGCAGTTAGCAAACCTATTATCTGACCTGCATAATTTAGACAAAATGTCTTTATTTTAACAATAATTTTTAAAGCTGTTTTCATTTCCCAAAAATTACTGAAGTTAATGAACTAAAAGGTATTATAGTTTTTATTTTGCTTTCAAAATATTTGATGTAAGTGCTTATTTTTGTTTAAGCCAATTAGAGTTCTTTTATATAAACATTACACACAACACATATATAATTACATAGACAGACAGACAGAAGAACATTACACAGTAGTTGTAAGATTTTTCATTTGCTAGATTTTTAATTTCTTAATTGGTTATTGGCTTTATGGTGGAGTCCTTGGAAGAACAGGGCCAGGAAAGGGGTCTCTGGTGCCTCCAGACTGTTAGAGCTTGATATTCACTTTTAATTAAGTGGACTTTTAATCATAGCACTCTTTAATAAAGTATTTTTAAAATTTCTTATTAACCAATTTTAGCCAGGCCAAATGACTGATGTTTCTGGCTTTTGAACTTTACCAAAGTAGGTAATCTCCCAGATGCTCAGAGAAAGGAAAATTTAAGATAGTCCATGGAGGAGAAGAGACTAGACAGGGTCATGCAGATATTCAACCAGAAAGAACTTGCTTCCTAAGCAGGGAATTGCACCTGGACCACCAGTGTGAAAGGGCAAAACCTTAGCTACTGAGCTACAGCATGGAGCAATCTCTACTGCCCTTCCCAGAAGGCATCTAGAGTAGTTAACTTTGAGTTTGCAAAGGCTTTAACTACTCAAGATAATTTTTAGAGCTAACTATGACATAAACTCTAAAATTCCATTCCCTGGAAGGCAGAGACCAAGAGAAAGTACTGCTATGTGGTTACAAAGTCAAGCTCCCAAGGACATAAAACAAGATGGAGATAAGCAGTGATTTTTACCATTCATTCGACTGTTTTTATATATAGAGAGAAGCCAGAAATCTGACTGGTAAGAAATTCTTACCTTTTGGCCGGCATGCCAGGCTCTGGGCTCCCTTTCCCTGAGTGGCTCTAGTGACCCAGCTTGCTGCACCATCCTGCTGGGGGCCAAGCCACGTCATAAAGGAAAATTATTATTTTTTTCATTCTGGCTAGAGCAAAATATGTATGATAAAACATATACATTAGCCACTCTGCTTAGCACCCAATATCAAACTGGCAAAGCTTAAATTTGCCCTCAGATGGCCCTCCTCATCTTTAATCAAACCTCCGACTAGGAGTTTCAACTTGTGGTCTCTGGGCAAGATGGTTGCCCTGAGTAACAGAAAAGATAGGAAAGGAAAATAAGATGAAGGAAAGTATTGCCTGTGGGAGGGTGCATAAGGTGAAGAGCTCAGGGAGGCCAGAGCAAGACCCATTCATTTCAGCGACACTGAAAAGTTCTGATGGCCACTAGTTAGTAGCGAAAGGATCTTTTCCAGCAGTCTCATCAGCTCTCAGGTTTCTCCCTTTTCCGGGAGGGAGGAAAAAGCTCCCCATGTCCCACAATCCTGTACATGCCTAATCCTGTCACCCACAGCCATCAGCAAAGAGTGCAAGTCAGATTATTCCAAAGGGAATAGCAGTTGACATCCTGTAGTGCCAAAACCGTTCCTAGCCAAAAGGGACTTTACTGAGAGCCCTCATTTTAAAAATGTACTTCAATGCAGCCGGGCGCAGTGGCTCAGGCCTGTAATCCTGGCACTTTGGGAGGCCGAGGCGGGCGGATCGTGAGGTCGGGAAATCGAGACCATCCTGGCTAACATGGTGAAACCCTGTCTCTACTAAAAATACCAAAAATTAGCCGGGCGTGGTGGCGGGGTGCCTGTAGTCCCAGCTGAGGCAAGAGAATGGCATGAACCCAGGAGGTGGAACTTTCAGTGAGCCAAGATCGCGCCTGCACTCTAGTTGGGAGACAGAGTGAGACTCCGTCTCAAAAAAAAAAACAAAAAAAAAAAGGAAGAAAGTACCTCAATGCATTGTTGTTCTTTCGGAACATTCCACTGTAAATTATCTTCAGTAAGATTTTGCTGTTTCTGTAAGACTTCACTGCCTCCCAGGCCTAATGTATAAGCCAGAAGGAACTCAGTTTTCCAGAAATTAAGGAGCCCATTTTAACCTAAAATATTGGCTTTACTCCCAGGTTCTCTTAACTTAGCCAATGATTTTTCCTACCTAAGCACACAAGAAAAATGAAAAAAGGGGTAGAACACAGAAATCCCTGTGAATTTTCAAAAGCCAAATTTTATAACCCCTGCAATATTACTGCTTACTACCAGTTCCTTTCTGACCCAGTCAGATATACGAGGCCTCTGACTGGGTCCAAGCCAGTTAATTCCTGGATCAAATCTGTTCCTGGACCCAGTCCAGTTTCTGTCATGACTACAAACCCAGTTTGGATCAGAAACTTGCTCGAAGAAACTCAGAGAGCTCAAAACACAAATCTATGGAGCTTCAAATTCCGAGAGGGAGCTTACCGCGATCCCCAGCCGCTCTGAGAGATCAATGGACACAGGTGGGACCTGCAGGTACCTTGTGTGTTCACTCAGCGCTCCTGGGAGTCACTAGAAGCTCCACTTCGGATCCTGCTTCTGACACCATCTGATAAAAGAAAAACTTCAGCCAAATTAAATTTAAAGGAGTTTACCTGAGCAATGAATGATTCGCAAATCGGGCAGTCCCTAGAATCACAGCAGATTCACAAATTCTCCGGGGGTGCCTCACAGTCAGAATAAATTTACAGACAAAAAAGGTAAGGTGACGTACAGGAATCAGAAGTGAGGAACAGAAATAGTGAGACTGGTTACAACTCAGCATTTGCCTTATTTGAACATTTAGCAGTCTATGAGTAGTTGAAGTATGGCTGCTGGGACTGGTCAACACTCAGTTATTGTTACAGGTGCATACTACTAAGTTAGGTTTTCAATTTTATCTGACTCTTACAGTTCATCCACAAGGACTAAAATATGGAAGTATGGAGTCCTTCTCAGGCTGTATTTAGTTTGCTTTAACAGATCAATATTTCTGAAAGTATGGTCCCCAGACCAGCAGTGTCATCATCACCTGGTTGTTAAAAATGCAAATTCTCGGGCCCCACCAATGATCTACTAAATCAGAAAATCTAGGGGTAGTGCCCAGGAGTCTGTTTTAACAAGACCTCCAGAGGTTCTGGTGTACCCTACAGTTTAAGAATCACTGAAAAAGATATAAATTGGCAGCTTGGTTTTATACTTGACATATCATGATGAACATCCTTACAAGTCAGTAGATAAAACCAGATGTCTCTATTTCTTTTCCTTTATTCTTTATGCATATATACACATATATAATTGTGCATTAACAGGATCATTTTAGAAATGTTTTGGGGTTTCTTATTGCAGCCTGTTTTGTTTTACTTGTCTTCACTCTTCCCCTTCCCCAATGCCACCTCCTCCCCTCAAGCAACTCGTGTTAACAACTTAGCATATGCCATTCTGTATTTTCCCCATTCTTATCTAGCACATAAAACACACCCTTAGAGGCTAGACTTTAGATTGTCTGCTTTAAGAAAAATGGGATTATATTTTATACATTACTCTGCTTATCAGTTTCTCTTCCAAAAATACCCCATGAAACTGTTTCCAAGGTAACTGTTTTAGCTCTAAATCTTTCTTTGTAATGGCTGCATGATGTTTCATGTATGGATACACCATGATTTATTCATTCATCTCAATATTGCTGGCATTATGAATAAAGCATAATAAATTAATATTTTTATGTATACACATATATATGTATATATATATACACACACACATATATATGTGTATATATATATACACACACACATATATATGTGTATATATATATATACACACACATATACCCTGATGTATTTATTTCTATAGTATATTCTCCTAAGACAAGATAGCCAGGTTGAAAGTACATTTCTCATGTTAAAAAATGTTTCCATTGCATTTCAAAAAAAAGGATTTAAATTTTACATTTCCACTAATTGTGTATGATAAGGGCTTTCTCCCCCATACTGCTATCAGCTATAGGTGTTATCATTTGATTAAACTTTTGCCAATCTGATAGGAGCAAAGTGGGAACCCATTTTTCCTCTTCTGTCTGCTTAATTGATATTTTTTAAAAATAGACACATTCCATTTGGTGAGGAGCTGCAAGTTCCACAGCATGCTTTTGATCCTTACTTCACTTCAGTGGACCTCTCCATAACTCACTTCATAAAGGGAGCAGTATTTTCCCTTTAAAGCATAATGAGAGTGGGCCCTCTTAAAATTCCTGTTTAGAGAAATCTAGAAATCTAGATTATCTCTTCTGCGTGAGCTGAAAGTCGGACAGTGCATCTTATATTATTCATATGTAACCTGCCTCACTCCCCAGTTCTCTCTAGAGCCTCCATTTTCAGAACCTTTCTTTCTGCCTTCTTCTGCTCCACCCATTCCCCTGTTTATTTTAAACCTCCAGTATTTCCTTTAAAAAATGATTTTAAACTAAGCTTGGAAAACAGAATGCATTCTGTTGCAACAACATTTGTTGATAACACTTTAGGGCTTTAGCAGGTGAGGTATGATGCTGGAAGCCCAATGGCCTCATTGACTGAGTGCAAACTAGAGTAGGAGGGACCCCAGTTCTTCAAACTGGATACCTCTCCCAGTACAGGGCTCTGCCTATCCACTTCCCATCCACTAGCACCTAAAGCAACCTATAGCAGAGAGAAGCCCTGTGGGCCCTGGCAGATCCTCATAGAATTGTGAGGAACTCTGGCTTCCCTTCCAAAGTCCAGGAGTCCAGGGAGCATCCTGACCTCCCTGGCGTTTTTTGAGAGGAGTGTCACTCACTAAAGAAGATTTTGGAAGCCTGGGGGCCCAGCAGCAACCACGTATCAGAGCCTACCTGTCTGGTTCTTGAGCTCTGGAAGTGGGAGATTAGAGTCCATCAACAGCTTACAAAGACTGGAGTCCCCGTGGGTGCACCGCTGGGTCTTCCTCTCATCCAGTTGGTGTTTCTGCTGGTTTCTGTCCTAGCATTACAGCTACCCTAGGAACCCACTGCAGGAGGAAAATAAGACAGTTGAAGGTGTCACAGATGTAGGGATCCAAGTAGTGATTCACTTTAACAACTTGCATTTGATTGCTTAGAATGTATGTAATATGCAATATATATGCAATACCGCTCCTCATTCTGAGGGTGTTTAATGTTTCCCTTCACCAAAATGCAGCATCTAGACCGGCTTATGAATCTTCCGCTGCATTCCGTGAAGATGGAACCTTGTTATACTAAAGTCAACCTGCTTCACGAGCGCCTGCAGGATCTCAAGAGCCGCTTCAGATTCCCCCACATTGATCTGGTGGTTCAGAGGACACAGAACTACATGCAGGAGGTGGGTGTGGCAGGGGCATCCGTGGTGGATGAGGGTAAAGAGAGAGCAGAGAAATGGGTGCTGGCCAGTGAGACCAGCTGCTAGTGTAGCTCAGGGAAATACGTCGCGTCTCTTTAGCCATCATGTTGCGGGAGGACACGTTCTGTCCCTCCACTGGCTTCATCTTCCATCCATGTGGATGAACATCATAGACAAGACATAGCTCAGAAAAATAAAGTAGCATTAATTGATAACTACTTGATTTGTCAAATCAGTGCTGTAACCTTGGCTACACATTGGAATCACCTGGGGGAAATACTGATGTCCAGGCTGGCGTGCAGTGGCATGATCTTGGCTCACTGCATGCAACCTTTGCCTCCCGGGTTCAAGTGATTGTCTTGCCTCAACTTCCTGAGTAGCTGGGACTACAGGCATGTGCCACCATGTCTGGCTAATTTTTGTATTTTTAGTAGAGATGGGGTTTTTACTGTGTTGGCCAGGCTGGTCTCAAACTCTTGACCTCAAGTGAACTGCCCACCTCGGCCTCCCAAAGTGCTGGGATTACAGGCATAAGCCACCACACCCAGCCTATATGGCTACTTTTTGATAGAACTTCCCTACCCTGATTCCTACTGTTTCTAATATGCAGCCAGGATTGAGAGCCACTGGCTTAAATTAATTCCCTAACGTAATTAAGAGTAAACCAATCAATCAATCACAGCTTCATATTTGAATTTCTTGAGTCTACTTGACAGGTTTCTTTTTTTTTTTTTTCATAAGGAACCTTTTCCCCAGTAACAGGAATGAATAGCACAAACTCCTTCCGTATTATAGTGTTTCCTAAATGAATAAGGGGTACGGTCACCAAAGCTCTAAAGGACACCATGCCATTTCACACAGATATTCTGAGGAGAGATTACTGTGGGCCGGACACTGTACCAGATCCCACTTCAGGGAGCTTGAGTGAGACAAATTCTTAGATAAATTCACTACAATGTTGAAGGTATGATAAAGGTATATATTGTGGCCAGGCACAGTGGCTCACGCCTGTAATCCCAGCATTTTGGGAGACCGAGGCGGGTGGATCACTTGAAGTCAGGAGTTTAAGACCAGCCTGGCCAACATGGTGAAACCCCATCTCTACTAAAAATACAAAAAAATTAGCTGGGCATGGTGGTGCACACCTGTAGTCCCAGCTACTTGGAGGCTGAAGCACGAGACTCGCTTGAACCCTGGAGGCAGAGGTTGCAGTGAACCAAGAGTGTGCCACTGCACTACTCCAGCCTGGATGACAAAGTGAAACCGTGTCTCAAAAAAAAAAAAAAAAAAAAAGGTATATATTGGATGCTTTGGGACCACGGGCTTGGGGAAGAAAGGAGAACTTTTTTTTTCATAAAGGTTATGGGCAGGATTAAGTGATACATTTTAGCTAACTAACCCTTGAGTTGTGAGGGATGAAAGAGGAACGAGGAACAAAATTGGGCAACAGTTTAGCAGAAGTCTCTTTCGTAATACTGGACCCTGGTGACGGGAACACAGGCAAAGGTGCAGAGAATAAGATACCTGAACTACTTCTGCTTTCTGACCCATGAACATGTCAGCCACTGTCCCCACCCATCCCTGACCCTGCCTCTCTTCCCAGCCCTGCAGAGAGAGGGAGAGATAAGCTGTGGAGCGGTTTACATCTACTTAAAGTGGAGGTGCCACCAAAAACTAGTTGAAGAAGGCTCCAGCCTCATCCCTTAATCAGTGGCTGCAGGTATCAAAGAATAGGAGTGCCCACGGGAGATGACAGAATGCTTGCTCAGTCCCATGGCCTTGGGTTTTCCAACTTCTTCCTGCTCCCACTGTGACCACGTGACCATTTGTTTCACAGCCCTGGTGATGGGGTGATGTTGCCTTGGGTACCCCCACCGAATAGCAGCCGAGGGGACTCATCTCTGATGGCCCCTACTCTGCAGTCCCACTTAGCCAGGCCTGTGGGTGGTGATCCCAGCCCCTGACTGTTGTCTGTTTCTGTGTCGCTTCTGGTTTCTAGCTAATGGAGAATGCAGTGTTCACTTTTGAGCAGTTGCTTTCCCCACATCTCCAAGGAGAGGCCTCCAAAACTGCAGTTGCCATTGAGAAGGTTAAACTCCGAGTCTTAAAGGTAAAACCGTTCTCTTGTTTGTGGGAAGCATAAAAAGAGAACGTGACCCCTGTTTCTTTTGTAAAGTGGAAAATACCAAGTTCTCTCCTTGGCTCTAATCTTTCCCCACTCCTTTCTCTCCCAAGTCCAGTGACTGTCAGTCCGCTGCAGTTTCTCCAGTGTGACTTCCATGCCTCTTCTGCCATCTAGCGGCCACTGCTGGTCCTCAGCATCATTACCCACAGCTACAGGCCCCGCGTCCCAGCCTTCATAGAGATCCAACTCGACAAACACGTATTAGCTGTCCACTATAAGCACTGCATGGGATGTAAAAGTAGGCAAGGCACAGCCTCTTTCTTCAAAGAGGTTACAATATAGTAAAATCCATTAAACTGGCGAATAATTTATTGATTTTGAAAAATCAGAACCTCATGGCAAAGGAAATACTCCAAAGAAAAGAAATCTACCATATGAAATTGTTTTAAATGTACTTCAGAGTGTTTATTAAAATAGTTTTAATAATAGGAGCTTTCACATATATGTTATATTTTAAAGCCTCTTACCTGATCCCCACAAGAACTTGTGCATTAACTAGAATATTCCCCCATTGTACAGATGAGGAACTGATTCTGTAAAAGCTAATGTGACTTAATTAAGCTCAACAGGCTGATCAATGGTGAGCTTAAGGATAAACGATCATACACCTAGTCCACTAATTTTTTTTACTGCCTTCTAGTTCCCCTAAACATTGCCTTGGAACAGAAGATCAAAGTCCCACAGAGCCTAGGGGTGGTCTCTGAATTTCAGACTTGATCTTGATGCCTCACAGGCAAGAGGAAACTCTAGCAACTAAATCATTGATATTAAAAACAATATTGGGGCCGGGCACAGTGGCTCACGCCTGTAATCCCAGCACTTTGGGAGGCCGAGGCGGGCAGATCACGAGGTCAGGAGATCGAGACCATCCTGGCTAACACGGTGAAACCCCGTCTCTACTAAAAATACAAAAAACTAGCCGGGTGTGGTGGTGGGCACCTGTAGTCCTAGCTACTCGGGAGGCTGAGACAGGAGAATGGCGTGAACCTGGGAGGTGGAGCTTGCAGTGAGCGGAGATTGTGCCACTATACTCCAGCTCTGGGTGGCAGAGTGAGACTCTATCTCAAAAAACAAAAAACAAAAAAACAAAAAAAAAAACACCAATATTGCTCATGATAACACACATAATGATGAAATTGCAATGCAACTAAAAAAAAAAAGATAGTGTCAGTGTCAAATGCTTTAGCGTACAGAAAGAAAGGAAGAAAAAATGTAGAAAGGTGTTGAAATATTAGGACCTCAGGTTTCAAAGAGATTTTGAGTGCCTTTAGTTCAACTTCATATTCAGTGTTCAGCAGGTTCCCTCAAGGGGTGGTCCCACTAGTGCTCCGACACCTGCACTGGCAGGATACTTTCTACCTCTCAGGATAGCCCATTTTAGTTCTTGACAGCAAGAACATGCTTTCTCATGTTAGGCCAAAGTTCTCACCACTGGTTATTCCAGTTCTACCCCCTTCATTCATAACCTTCTTCCACGTGGCAGCCTTTGGTTGTTTGAATAGAGTTATAACTTGCCCTAACTTATTATCTCCAGTATAAACACCTTCATCTCTTTAACTATTCTTCACTTGGCCTGACCATTCTTCTCGCTGCCTATGACTATACTCTTATTTATCTGTGATCCCCTTGAAGTGAGATCCACAATTAAATCCTGGTCTCCATGTTGGGATGTCCAATGCAGAACAGACAGAATCGTCATCTTTCTTGTTCTGGATACTGAACTTCTTTGGTTAACATGTCACAGTGTTAATGGAGCCACTAGCCAGGCCTTCTCTTCCCTTGTTCAAATCATTACAACCCACTGACCCTGGTTTGAAGATGTGGAGTAATAGATGATCATGGTTTCCATGGACCTACCTGGGACAGGAGTAATAAAATACAAACTCACCCCCCAGTTCTATCCCCAACTTCTTTATAATGCAGAACTCACCATTCTGTTTTGATCTTGCCTCAGTTTCCATACCTGTAAAAGGTAAGAGTGAGATGGGTCATTATCAGTTATAACCTGTGCCTGCAGTGTGAGGGAATTACATGGAAAGATCTCTGAGGCCTTGGAAATACAAGAGTTCTCAGACATTAGGAGGAAAAGAGAGGTGAAGTGGGTGGCTGAGTTTTTTGAGTAAACATAAGTCAACAGATTGTAATGTTACTATTTAACATATGTTTCTTTATTGACAGCAATATGATTATGACAGCAGCACCATCCGAAAGAAGATATTTCAAGAGGCACTAGTTCAAATCACACTTCCCACTGTGCAGAAGGCACTGGCGTCCACATGCAAACCAGTAAGGGGATGAGTTACCCTAAAGAGCTTGCTCTTCTTACCTCTGAAGTTCAAACAAGTTCTTTTGTGATGTGTACTGGCAAACAGCAGACTAGACCAGGGAGGGATTGGCAGACATTTTTGTAAATGGTCAGATAGTAAATATTTTAAGCTTCATGGACTGCACTATTTCTGTTGCAACTATTCAGCTCTGCTGTTGTAGCACACAAACAGCCATTGACTATATATAAACAGACTTTATTTGCAAAAACAAGATGCTAGCCAGATATGCTGACCCCTGGACTAGACAAAATCTCAAAGGGCAGTGATCTGAATTTGAGCCAAACTAGGGGTTGACATAGAATACCTAAGGATACCAGGTGTTTCTCATTATAGTATGACTCATAGGTCCAACGTGTCCTCTGAAACTTGACCACTGTATCCAAAAAAGATATTAGCTAACATAATTACAGGATATTTGTTCTGTTAAATCCAGCAATGTTGTTTAATGAAATCAATGAAACCACTTAAAACCTCTACAAACATTGAGCATCCAGTGAGAACCATGATTGCGAGGGTGTGACTTCATCTGTAGAGCAGAGCAATGGGCCAGCAGAGACTGAAAACAGCTCTGGGAGGAGGTATTATTTATATCCTCATGGTACAAATGAGGAAACCTGAGTGGTTAAGCCACTGAGCCGAGGCCACAGACCTGGTGACCACCAGAGTGTGAACCCAGTTCTTGCTTACCTAAAACATGATAGGCACTCAGAAAATGGTATCAAGTACTACTACCACTATTATTATTACTACTTCTACATTTCAAAAATAATCTATTAACCTGAAGCAAGGCCTGCTCCGTTTTGGAGCAAATGATAAAGAGGTTTTTGGAATTTAAAAAAGGGCTTTTTGGCAGCTCGGAGAGTCTCCAAGCACTGGAACGTTAAAATCCTTTGCATAAGTTATTTTACTGCAACATGTCATTGGTCATTTTTATAGTCTGTAAGTGCTGTTTTCCTTCACATCCTCATAGCGTATTAGATATATTTGGCATTTATTTGTGGGGCATATTTCTTTCATAGGAAAGGATTTGATTAAGCCAAGGGATTGACCTTTGGCCTTACATGGCAGAACAGTTCAGCAGCCAAATGATGATGGTGTCCACTGCTAGGTGGGTTTGCACACAGATGTTCTGCTTAGGATTTTTTTTTTCAATCACAAAGGCAGTTTGGGGGCCTCAGATCCACCTTCTCTCAGGAGAAAGGTAAGGAGAGTTCTCCTTCTCATCGGCTCCCCTCTTTCCAAGCATCAACATAGTGTGCTGTGCCCAATCTGTAAGAGGCTCTTGTAATTTTTTAATCAGGAGGCATTGATTTCAAAAGAGCCTGTGACCCAGAGGTTTTGGTAATGGAGGATATTATATCAGCATCAAGAGCTTTTTAAAAATCTGGATTTGCAGAATAGATGAATGAGGGGATTATCTGCTTCCTAGAAGGAGTCTTTATTTTGCTAAAGTGCATTTCCCTTGGTTCTATAAGTAGCAGCTTCCTAGATCTGTGGTACTCAGCCTCAGCCCAAGCTGTGTATTAGAATTGTCTGGGGAACTGTGAAAAAAATGATTCTGACTCCCCAACACCTACCTTCAGAGATACCAAATTAATTGGCCCAGGGAAGTAAACCTATGGCCCTGTTCAATCAATTCAATATAAAACACCTGTTTTGTAAAGTTGGTCACTTCATGACAGTATATATGTCCATAGAAAGTACTCCTTCCCACAGAATTATTTAGCTGGTTGAAAATTTAAAGGTCTACTGTTTATTGAGTCAGCAAATATGTATTAGATTTGTATCACATGTGATCCAGGCATTGTGCCAGCCCAGCATCCCTGAAGTCCTGGAGTTCACAGTAGAGAGCAGGAGACAGGCAAACAGGATGCCATGTGAGGAACACAGCAGTTGCCTCATGGGGAAGAGTTCCAAGGAAAGTGCCAAACTCTGCTTATACAGCCAGGAAGGACTTCCAGAGTCATGCTTTCACCCAGTCCTGAGGGATGAATGCCAATCAGGGGAATAGGAATGGGGGACCACGTGGGAAGGATGAAAGGGTGTTGCAGGCATGAATCTGTGCCTCTCATTTAGCAGAGGAAGAGACAGAGGCACAGAGCAGTGATATGGCTCACCAAGGTCCCATGTCTAGTCCAGGGCAGTCTCCAGTCTCCTGGGCAATGCTTTTCTCAAATCTGTGCAACAGTCCTGCCTCTAGACCCTCTAGGGGTCTTTGAAGCTCATGTCTCTTCAATCCTTTGCCTTTCTTCTTGGTTGGGTATAAAGGAACCCATTATTACCCGCTGTGATCTGGGCTACAGTGCCCCAAAGTCCCAGCACTGAGAGTTGTCTGAGGTGGTGCTTCTGATCACCTGCTGTAAATACTGTCCTTCCAGGCAAGAGACCGCAAATCCCATGGCTAAGTCCCTGATTCTCTAAGAGCCACATGTGGGAAGCCTTCCCCCAGCACCACCAGGTGCAAGGATTACTGAGTTAATCATGGGATATGATTTGGTACATTTTGATCCCTGCCCTGTCCTCATGCCGATAAAAGGCAAGCCATTTGGAAACCCTTGGAAAGGAGAGAGAGTTAAGGGATGCACCATGCCTGAGCTATCCTAGAAGGAATCAATGAATGTCAGGGCCAGCTGAAGAGAAAGAGAATGTTTCTGAAGAGCCCTTGACTACAGAGTCTCCCAACCCCCAAAGTGGCCCCATTCTGATAAAGTTAAGCATACATCTACCCTATGACCCAACAACTTCACTTTTAGGTATATGCCCAACATAAACAAGCCCTTAAATCCACAAAAACATATGTACAAGAATGTTCACAGCAGTTATATTTATGATTATTATATGGCGTAGATATAGTTGCGCCATATATCTACAACTATCTGATCTTTGACAAACCTGAGAAAAACAAGCAATGGGGAAAGGATTCCCTATTTAATAAATGGTGCTGGGAAAACTGGCTAGCCATATGTAGAAAGCTGAAACTGGATCCCTTCCTTACACCTTATACAAAAATCAATTCAAGATGGATTAAAGACTTAAATGTTAGACCTAAAACCATAAAAACCCTAGAAGAAAACCTAGGCATTACCATTCAGGACATAGGCATGGGCAAGGACTTCATGTCTAAAACGCCAAAAGCAATGGCAACAAAAGCCAAAATTGACAAATGGGATCTAATTAAACTAAAGAGCTTCTGCACAGCAAAAGAAACTACCATCAGAGTGAACAGGCAACCCACAAAATGGGAGAAAATTTTCACAACCTACTCATCTGACAAAGGGCTAATATCCAGAATCTACAATGAACTCAAACAAATTTACAAGAAAAAAACAAACAACCCCATCAAAAAGTGGGCAAAGGACATGAGCAGACACTTCTCAAAAGAAGACATTTATGCAGCCAAAAAACACATGAAAAAATGCTCACCATCACTGGCCATCAGAGAAATGCAAATCAAAACCACAATGAGATACCATCTCACACCAGTTAGAATGGCAATCATGGCCGGGCGCGGTGGCTCACGCCTGTAATCCCAGCACTTTGGGAGGCCGAGGCGGGCGGATCACGAGGTCAGGAGATCGAGACCATCCTGGCTAACACGGTGAAACCCCGTCTCTACTAAAAATACAAAAAATTAGCTGGGCGTGGTAGCGGGCGCCTGTAGTCCCAGCTACTCGGGAGGCTGAGGCAGGAGAATGGCTTGAACCCGGGAGGCGGAGCTTGCAGTGAGCCTAGATCGCGCCACTGCACTCCAGCCTGGGCGACAGAGCGAGACTCCGTCTCAAAAAAAAAAAAAAAAAAAAAAAAAAAAGAATGGCAATCATTAAAAAGTCAGGAAACAACAGGTGCTGGAGAGGATGTGGAGAAATAGGAACACTTTTACTTTGTTGGTGGGACTGTAAACTAGTTCAACCATTGTGGAAGTCAGTGTGGCGATTCCTCAGGGATCTAGAACTAGAAATACCATTTGACCCAGCCATCCCATTACTGGGTATATACCCAAAGGACTATAAATCATGCTGCTATAAAGACACATGCACACATATGTTTATTGTGGCACTATTCACAATAGCAAAGTCTTGGAACCAACCCAAATGTCCAACAATGATAGACTGGATTAAGAAAATGTGGCACATATACACCATGGAATACTATGTAGCCATAAAAAATGATGAGTTCATGTCCTTTGTAGGGACATGGATGAAATTGGAAATCATCATTCTCAGTAAACTATCGCAAGAACAAAAAACCAAACACCGCATATTCTCACTCATAGGTGGGAATTGAACAATGAGAACACATGGACACAGGAAGGGGAACATCACACTCTGGGGACTGTTGTGGGGTGGGGGGAGAGGGGAGGGATAGCACTGGGAGATATACCTAATGCTAGATGACGAGTAAGTGGGTGCAGCGCACCAGCATGGCACATGTATACATATGTAACTAACCTGCACATTGTGCACATGTACCCTAAAACTTAAAGTATAATAATAATAAAAAATAAAATAAAACAAAAATTATATTTATGGTTGAAAATTGAAAAAAAATCTCAATTTTTATCAACCTGAGTGCAGATAAACAATTTTTGTTTATCCATATAATGAATACTACTTAACAATAAAAAGGAATGAGCTACTGATAGATGCAGCAACATGGATGAATCTCAAAAACAAATGCAAAATAATTATGATTTCATTTCTATAAAGTTCAAGAACAAGCAAAAACTATCATGATAGGTATAAAATCAGTGCTCATATCTTGGGAGGTGCAGACTGGAAAGTGGGGTGGGGGAACTTTGGGGGTGATGGAAATGTTCTCCTTGATCTGGGTTATGGTTACATAAGTATATTTACATATTTAAAATCATTGAGCTGAACTTATCTGTACATTTTACTATATATAACTTACCTTGGTAAAGTGCTATTGTGATTAAACAAAAAAGAAAGAAGGAAACATCTTGGTGATGAGGGGAAAAAAGGAGGCTCCAAACCTGCTAATGAGGCCTTGAGATGATAAAAAAAAATCACTGCTGTCTTCTCCCATGAAGTGCATAAAATGCGTGGCCAGTACAAGGAAAGGGAAAGGAACCACCAATGGCTGAGTGAGTTCCACACCTTATCATGGACAGTAATAGATGTGTCGAGGTCAGGCATGGTGCCTAGACAGTGAATTGAATTGAAGGGAACCCAATAAAATATTATTGAATTGAGTAATTTGCCCCTGGGCCAACATGGTCCTTCTCTTATGCCCTCCAAGAAGAGAATCATGAGTGGGAATCGTCCTTTCTGTATCTCCTCTAAGAACAGGCATCTCATGCCTTTTCATCTTTATCTTCTAATCTCTTGCTCTCCAGGAGCTTCAGAAATACGAGCAGTTCATCTTTGCAGATCATACCAATATGATTCACGTTGAAAATGTCTATGAGGAGATTTTACATCAGATCCTGCTTGATGAAACTCTGAAAGGTAAGAAAGGTTACCTGGTGCTGCAGGGACACTCCATAGAGGGGAGCATCCCTGAAATAGGACTCTGTAAGGCCAGTCAGGGAGGAAAAGAGAAGAGGAAATGGACATTGGTGAGGGAGGGAGACAGACAGTGAGGAGAGGGAAGGAAAGAAGGAAGGATACTAACCTTGATTGAGTGTTATGATTAAGCACACACAAAGCTGGCACTTTAGATGTTATTTTCCCTTTTTAATACACAAATATGAATGCTGTGAGATGGGAATTTTAAGTTTCATTTTACAGATGAGAAAGTTGAGGCTTAGTGAGATTAAATCTCGGGTCTCTCATGAAGAGCTGTCTTCCTCTTGCTATTCCAGACAGAACAAAGGGAAAAGGGCTTTTCTTAGGCACAGGCTTGTAACTGCCCCTGCCCCCCACCCACCAAAGCTGAGAAGAGGCAATTCCAGCAGCAAGGCTTATTAATGGCTCTCTCAACACATTCCCAGACTCCACTCAGCCAGACAGAAAAAGGTGCAGGGTGATGATGCAGTGCCACGCAAGTCTCGGTGGGACTCCGGCATCCAGTATCCTCAGGAATCATGCCTTGCCTGGGATTGGATTGTGGATAGGAAAACTTTGTTTAAAATATGCTGGAGAGGGCTGGGCACAGTGGGTCACACCTGTAATCCCAGCACTTTGGGAGACCAAGATGGGCAGATCACTTGAGGTCAGGAGTTCAAGACCAGCCTGGCCAACATGGTGAAACTCCATCTCTACTAAAAATATTAAAAAATTAGCTGGGCATGGTGGTGTACACCTGTAATCCCAGCTACTCCAGAAGGTGAGGTAGGAGAATCGCTTGAATCCAGGAGGCAGAGGTTCCAGTGAGCCAAGATTGTGCCATTGCACTCCAGCCTGGGTGACAGAGTGAGACTCGGTCTCAAAAAAAAAAAAAAAAAAAAGCTGGAGAAGGCCACCATCAAACTGTGGACCTGAAACATATCTGGTCTCCTTTTGGAAGGTCTTGAGTATCACAAAAGACCTTCCTCAATGAAAACTGGCCAAGGACAAGCCCAAGGTCCTAGTAGCTAATTCTAGGGAATCCAGTGAGACCAGCAATATGAAGATGTCAGCACAGTGTCTACACAAAGGAAGGGCTCGGTCAAGGCCACTGCCAGCCCACCATGGGCACTTTTGGGTGATTTAGAAAAAGACTCCTTTCCTCCAGACACTTTATTGCTGTCTGTTAGAAAATTGTCACAATATATTGATTTTGTTAGAGAAGGAAACTCTGCAGCTAGATGCTGAAAAGTTATGCCGAATACACAAATCTGTTCTGTCTTTGATATGAATGGCACCCCTGAGATGTGATATTTTTGGGCACTACAGCCCCTGCACAGCCATAAGTAGGAGGCCTGTGGTCAAAAATGTCACCTGCTGTTGTTGTTGTTGTTATTGGATTTGCCCCTCTGGAGGCCTTTGAAACTGAGCTAGATGCACATGGATCTTCATTTTGGCCCTCTCCTCTGCATGTGCAGTACCGAGTACCTATTACACATTCAGGACTGTACTGCAAGGTAAAGCAGATAAGTGTAAGGCCTGGCCCTGCCCTAGAGGATTTCAGTCCAGGTGGACAAACTGGAGCCACCCATCTTAGCAGCTAATAAAATGTGCTGGGGCCTCCCTGAGGGATACAGGTGACACTACTGCAGACCCTGAGTGTCTTGAAAACAAAGGCTATAGTTTATTCATCTCTGGATTCCCAGGGCCTGTCCCATGTTAAATGTCCTGCAAATGTTTGCTGTTTGAATAAATGAATGAATGAATGCTACAGAGGCTCAGAGTTTGGAAAGAGTTTATAGACTTTGGTCATCAGGGAAGGCTCCCTGGATGTAAGCTGGGTCTTGAAATGGAGAAATTTGGATAGCCAGAGAGGCTGAAAGGGGACTTTGGCTTCTCAATAAAATCAGAAAATCATGTTTTGTTTTCTGATATCTCTCAGTGATAAAGGAAGCTGCTATCTTGAAGAAACACAACTTATTTGAAGATAACATGGCCTTGCCCAGTGAAAGTGTGTCCAGCTTAACAGATCTAAAGCCCCCCACAGGGTCAAACCAGGCCAGCCCTGCCAGGAGAGCTTCTGCCATTCTGCCAGGAGTTCTGGGTAGTGAGACCCTCAGTAACGAAGTATTCCAGGAGTCAGAGGAAGAGAAGCAGCCTGAGGTCCCTAGCTCGTTGGCCAAAGGAGAAAGCCTTTCTCTCCCTGGGCCAAGCCCACCCCCAGATGGGACTGAGCAGGTGATTATTTCAAGAGTGGATGACCCCGTGGTGAATCCTGTGGCAACAGAGGACACAGCAGGACTCCCGGGCACATGCTCATCAGAGCTGGAGTTTGGAGGGACCCTTGAGGATGAAGAACCCGCCCAGGAAGAGCCAGAACCCATCACTGCCTCGGGTTCTTTGAAGGCGCTCAGAAAGTTGCTGACAGCGTCCGTGGAAGTACCAGTGGACTCTGCTCCAGTGATGGAAGAAGATACGAATGGGGAGAGCCACGTTCCCCAAGAAAATGAAGAAGAAGAGGAAAAAGAGCCCAGTCAGGCAGCTGCCATCCACCCCGACAACTGTGAAGAAAGTGAAGTCAGCGAGAGGGAGGCCCAACCTCCCTGTCCCGAGGCCCATGGGGAGGAGTTGGGGGGATTTCCAGAGGTAGGCAGCCCAGCCTCTCCGCCAGCCAGTGGAGGGCTCACCGAGGAGCCCCTGGGGCCCATGGAGGGGGAGCTCCCAGGAGAGGCCTGCACACTCACTGCCCATGAAGGAAGAGGGGGCAAGTGTACCGAGGAAGGGGATGCCTCACAGCAAGAGGGCTGCACCTTAGGTTCTGACCCCATCTGCCTCAGTGAGAGCCAGGTTTCTGAGGAACAAGAAGAGATGGGAGGGCAAAGCAGCGCGGCCCAGGCCACGGCCAGTGTGAATGCAGAGGAGATCAAGGTAGCCCGTATTCATGAGTGTCAGTGGGTGGTGGAGGATGCTCCAAACCCGGATGTCCTGCTGTCACACAAAGATGACGTGAAGGAGGGAGAAGGTGGTCAGGAGAGTTTCCCAGAGCTGCCCTCAGAGGAGTGAAAGGGACAATTTGGCTGAAGTCTTTCTCTGAAAAAAGCCAAAGGGTTATAGGGGTACACTTAGGGGTTGCATGCAAGCTGTTACCAAAAAATTTTTAAGTATTTTCTTAATTTGAATAATAAAACCAGAGGAAATGCATACAGGGCATGAGCAACTGAGGCAAACCTTTGTGGACATGAATTGTTCTACGATGAATTTTTGCTTTAGTATTTTAATAAGAATTACAAAGACAATGGCATACTTGGGGTGAGAGGGAGCTGAGGATGTCTGAGGAGGGAATAGTATTGCAGGGAAGACTGAGAAAACAGTAGGATGACAGTTTTGAGTATACTCTGCACTTTTCAATTGTGCAATCTTCTTGTGCACTTTAAGGCTTTTTAATTTTGTTTGAGAATGCAAATGTATACTGTAAGTCTACCTTTACTATCTACTATGCCTACTTCACCATCTCTTAAGGACTCGGCATTTGTCCACAGTCAGACTGCAAGAGAGGGTAGGTCATGAACAGTCACCCGTGCTGGCTGTAGCCCCCACAGAGGCAATCATGCCCAATAGATTCAAGAGAAGCTAAGCGGAAATGGAGGGTGGAAGGTGTGATCTGTGGGACTGTCTGGGCCTGTTACTCATCCTGCTATCAATTTCTTATTAATTAATCTTGATGATTCTTATTAATTAATCACATTTGCAGGAAATTCAGATGAGGCAAGAAAATTTTATTGGCCTGGGTAAGACTGAAAGCATTCCAAATTAGGCTTAGACTGTGCAAAGGGCTTAGCTAAGTTATCGAGCTTAAAACCCGTCAATTAAACAAACATTATTTGAACAGTTACTGCATGCCACGCACTGTGTTGGGCTTAGTAATAAAAAAAAGAAAAGATAAGTGCTTGTTCTAGCATAAATTAAAAGGTCCAAGGGAATTTAATCTGGAAGAGAACATATGCCAATTTTTAAACTATGACAGCTTTTTTTTTTCTCTTTCCATTCAAATAGTCCTGGTTCATTCCCAGAAGGGCACAAAATGAATGAATAAATAAATAAATGAATAAAGACAAAAGCCAAGGTGTATGCTCTCAAGTTCCAAAGATGTTATCAAAAGCTGAAATCATTTGTTTGGTCATTCAGCAAGCTAATTGAGTCTCTGTTATATACCAAGCACTGGGGATACCATGGCGAAAAACAACTTTGTTCCTTCCTCCTAGAACTTACATTTTAATGGAAATAGACAAAACACATCTTCTTAACGGATGGTGACCTATAACCATTAATGTTGAAAATGGAAGAGACTTGCTTCCAAAAGATTAAAAGGAGTTGTTCTTTTCTCCTTCAGAAAAATACCAGATCATTTCCTAAAATCTCCAGTCCCAAGTATTACATCGTGGTTTCCCTCCCCGACTTTTTATTTTATTTTATTCTATTTTTTTGAGATGGAGTCTCACTCTGTCGCCAAGGCTGGAGTGCAGTGGTGTGATCTCGGCTCACTGCAACCTCCGCCTCCTGGGTTCAGGAGATTCTCCTCTGTCAGCGTCCCAAGTAGCTGGAATTACAGCCATGCGGCACCATTCCCGGCTAATTTTTGTATTTTTGGTAGAGATGGGTTTTCACCATGTTGGCCAGGCTGGTCTCAAACTCCTGATTTCAAGCGATCCACCCACCTCGACTTCCCAAAGTGCTGGGATTACAGCGTGAGCTACCTGGCCCCTCCCCAAATTTTAACATCAGATCTCAACATATTTGTTGAGAACTTGTTTAGATCATCACTATCGAGTAAATTTATGTCAGTTCTTTAGAGCATTTGCTTCACACACAGTTCAACCATTTAACCAGAAATTAAAATATCACCCTTTTCAGCCCTCCCATGAAGAATTTCTAGGTCATAAACATGAATAATACTCAGTATATGTATAATATCATATTTAATTGTTGCAACTTTTCTTGGCGTGTTTAAATCCTCATGTCTTTGAGGGATCCCACCACAGGTGAAGGAAGTAAAGACCACTTCTCCCCCAGTCTCTGCTTTCTGCAGTGCTCACTCATATCCTGGCATTTAGCATGGTGTGTTGAAATTAGGTTTACTTCTTGTCTCTCCAAGTGGCTCCTCTCTTAAAAGACAGAAACTAGGGTTTAGTCATCATTTGTGCTTCCTGCTAGAAACCCACAGCCTTGAATAATGGCTTCCTGCCTCCTTGAGTCACTTTAATATCCCTGGTGCATAGGACCTGGCATGCGTCAGGCTGCTCGGGAAATGTGGGAACTGGACACCCAGAACACTGCTGTGCTGGGGCTATTTGGGGCCTGCTGTCAGGCAGAAAGACGTTTTGAATTGGGCTTTCTGCCCTTGTTGAGTTTTCTCTTAAGTAAAGTCCAAAGTCCAAGGGGCAGATGGCCAGATGCACTGCCCAGTAAGGCAGGAAGCCAAAGAGGCAGTGCCCAGCCCCACAAAGGCTGCCCGACTCCCTGGGACAGTAGTGTGGAGTCCCAGCCCAGGCTGACCTCACACCGGAGCTTCCTAGCTTCCTTTCTTTGCTCAATGCAGGGCTTCTTGCACCCCCTGGAAAGCTAAGAGATTTTTTTCAACCCTAAAAGAGAGTACCTTTCACTGCATTGGATGGATGAACATCAGTGCCCTAACTTTATCCATCATGTAGGTCAGGGAGGACTGGGCACTATTTGGCAGGATGTACTCCAGAATATAATCAAAGAATTTTCTGTACATATTTCACTAAAGACAAGTTTTTGGGCTGGATGTGGTAGCTTACACCTATAATCCCAGCACTTTGGGAGGCTGAGGTGAGAGGGTCACTTGAGCCCAGGAGTTCTAGACAAGCCTGGGAAACATAGCAAGATCTCATCCTTACAAAAAATAATAATGGTGTGTGCCTGCAGTCCTAGCTACTTGGGTGGTTGAGGCAGGAGGATTGTTTGAGCGAGGGAAGTTGAGGCTGCAGTGAACTATGATTTTACCACTGCACTCCAGCTTGGGCAACAAAATGAGACCCTGTCTCAAAAAAAAAAAAAAAGTTTTCTAGAATAAGCAGGATGATTGTTTAATTTGAAGATGGAACAGGAAACTAGAGTGCATTTAAAATACTCTGTCTTCATTTTAACATGTTGAATGGAATAACTGCATATCACCATGAGTTTGTTTTGCTTTTCATACAGACTTGTATGTGTCATTTGAGTGGTTTCCAGATTGGAGCGAGGTTATTCTGATCTAAATGAACAGCATTTTTTTCCTTAGCCTCTGTTTGCCACTCTGGGTATCTCTCCTATGGGCAAAGCCATTAGAAATGCATAAAACCTCGAGACATGGTTTTTGGCAAAAACTCCATGACTTTAAACTAGCTCTTTTACTACTGACCTTTCACAGAGAAAAAATATTTCCCTTGAAAAAAACTGGGCTTGTCATTTTTTCCCTTGTAGCTTTAAGCAGAGACATAAGTGCCTTGCATTACACATAGTAAACTTTCTTTAAAAAAAAAAAAAAAAGATTTTGGAGACTACCAGGGTAAGATTCCAACTTGTCCAAAAGCTTTCTGGCCTTACATATTTTATTATAAAAATTCTCAAGTCTGGTAATCTTCTATGTCAGAGCTAGTGATTTCAAAAGGTTTCACAATTCCCCAAGACAAAAGTGATTTTCGTTCATTATAATAAGGTTAAGTGATATGTGATTCATAGCAATTTTGATGTGAAGAAGGGAAGGACATCATTGACTTAATAATAGTATCAGTCGGTGCAACAGTTGGCAACATGTGCCTTCACACTTTACCATAAAGAGACGGGTTTGAGGGTTTGCCTTCTAAAGTCTGCAACTTCAAGAAAAAAAATCGACACTGTGGATTGACTTTCCCGGTCACTATATAAAGCAAATAAACTTAAAACACTTTGTAACCATGTATTTACTCTGCCAGGTGCCTATATTCCAATAAAATGTTCATCCTTGAAGAGCTGACCAGATGTCATTTATTTGGAAGGAGGCTGGTTTCATCTTTTAAGCAGATGTCACATTTGAATTGTGAGGTACAGCCCTCTGAAACGAAAAGGCGAGTCATTCTTGCTGTATCATGGACCTTTTACTTTTCTGTTGTCACGAAGGAATCTGCAGGGAAACCACTTAATGTCAGGTGTAATTATGCTTTGATAATGCATATGCTTACGTCTCCAGGAATTGGATCACATTCATAATACAGCAGTGGGCAATTATTCTTGATGTAATTGAACTGCTGTTCAAACTTAAATTTATTTTCAATGGGTAACATTGAGCAAAACATTCATTCTTTCTGTAATTATATATACAACAGTATTTATTTGCCATGTCCACAGTTGCTCATTTATCCGTGGATTCATTCATCAAAAAAATAATGACTGGTCACCTCCTATAAGCAGGCACTCCAGTGGGTGGTGGAGAAACAAGTGAACACAGTAGACATGATCCCTGACATCAGCAAACGCAAATTCCCAGGGTGGACCTGGCCAGGGAGAACCCCAAATGAGTATTTACTTCCTCACCTGGCCTACATCTTGTCTATAATCTCACCTTTAACTCTAGTCACACCAACAGCTTCAGGCGAGAGAGGAAGAAACATTGGAGAAATCAAGTTCACCAGTGAGGGGGACACTTGGTGTGGCATAAAATTAATCATTCCTTCTCCCCCTTCCATACCAAACTTCCAGGATGCAAGAATCACTTCCAGAGTGGCCCCCTCAGACCTTCTTCCACTTAGAGCCAAAATTCAGATTAGAATTAAGGGACAGGGAGTTGATTTGAAACTGTTTGCAGAGTTTTTTCTGAGGTCATATGTTTATTGGGTGTGGCTTGGACAGGATCCGTGAGTCTTGGGAGGGTCAATTAAAGCTATTCTCTCCTCAGCCACACTTGGAGCCACCCCTGCTTGAACACCACTGAATCTTTGCCACATTCTTCCTTTTGCTAAAAACATCTGGCTCTCTCATCTCCATCTGGCCAATTCCCACTTCTCCTGTAAACGTCAGGATAAGTCAGGCTAAATCCACCCTGCCCCCACAGCCAGTAACACTTTTATGAACTCTCACCCTAATTTTCTTGCCCCCTTCTGGTCATCCTCTCTCACTCTACTGCAGCATTTACCTTGCCTGTGCCTTTGGGACAGGTACCCTGTCTGTAATCTTTGTAATCACAGCAAAGGAATACAAAGCTCAATAGCAAATGTTTAATGCATGTTGAAGGGACCAGACACGGTGGTTCACACCTGTAATCCCAACACTTTGGGAGGCCAAGATGGGCAGATCACTTGAGGTCAGGAGTTGGAGACCAGCCTGACCAACATGGCGAAACCCCGTCTCTACTAAAATACAAAAATTAGCCAGTTGTGGTGGGATGCCCCTGTAATCCAGCTACTCAGGAGGCTGAGACAGGAGAATCACTTGAACCCGGGAGGCAGAGGTTGTAGTGAGCCAAGATCATGCCGCTGCACTCCAGCCTGTGTGACAGAGCGAGACTCTGTATCAAAAAAAAAGTTGAAGGAATAGATGAATAGCATCCATCCATTCCAGAAGTAGGAGACAAATGGAGATATAGCTGATGATTCCTCAGCATGCCATAAGTGGCTGTGAAGCTGGTAACTTCATTTACCCTCAGCCTACTGGGAGAGTTCCATTTCAGTGATGAAAACTGACCATCATTTGTGCATACCCACAGCTCTGGGAGGGAGCTTCAGAGCCAAGTTACCCCCAAGTCAAGCTACCTATCAATACTATGAACCGCTTCCTAGTTCTCAGGGCAGTGGCTGCCACTGGATTTTCTTAAGGTCTCTATGATGCAATCAATGCAAAAAGTTACGAAGGTCACCCTTGAATTGCACCCAAGTCTGCAAAACACAAGCAAATGCCCAAGAGTTCATGGACAGCATCTACCTCTGGCAAGCTCTTCTCCTGTGGATGGGCAGGGAACAGAGAGAAACAGATATGGTCCCTGCATTTTAGGGAGCTCAGTCCATTTGGGAAGATTGAGAAGCAAATGATGGTTCTGCAAGAAGCGGAGGAAGGGTTCTGGCAGCACAAATGTAGGGCAGCTCCTGAGTCTACTCAAAAAATGTCAAGTTTGGTTGTTGAGCTTTTTTTTTTTTTTTAAGTTCTAGGGTACATGTGCACAACTTGCAGGTTTGTTACATAGGTATACATGTGCCATGTTGGTTTGCTGCACCTATCAACTCGTCATTTACATTAGGTATTTCTCCTAATGCTATCCCTCCCCCAGCTCCCCACCCCCCGAAAAAACACATGGACACAGGGCAGTTGTTGAACTTCTTAAGCCTGCTCTTTATTTCTTGCCTCCTTTATCTCTTCTCTATCATAAACCAACAACCAAAATCCAGCTGCCTACCCTGAAGGAGACTTTTACCAAGACCCCTTTATGGCAGCCCCACACACTCTTTTCAGGAATCGGGGTCCTCTGGGAATGCTGCTCCAGACCTCCTGCAGATTCTGTTGTGTTTCTCCACTTCTGGACTCCACACAAAGCAGTATACATGTATAGTAGCAAGAACTCCCTTTGTGTTAGCAATTCCAAATTGGGGTGAGGGAGTAACAGGACACAGTTGGGATGGGAAAATGGAGGAATTCCTACAGGACGCTGAGGTGATTTTGAAGCTAAGAAGTGGCTTCTCCTGGTGAGACTTCAACTTTCCCCTCCTTGCTCTCTCCTTATTCTGTGCTATTGCCTGGACCATGTAGGGAACAGCTTTTGTGCACACTGGTTTGAGAAAGGTCATATGAAGGAAAAAAGGAAGGTGTTTCTATTTCCATCTATTGGAGGCTTCAAGTTTTTTTTTTTATTTGTGTGACTGGTTTATTGAATAATATTAATTCCATGGGATAACAGGCATGAAACAGTTTTATCTTTCTGCAATTACTAATCCTGCATATGCCCTGCCGAATCTCTTTGCATTGGTAGCAGACCCCTTTATAATATCTTGGGCAGGTATCATAATTTCCTGGTCCCCCTTTCTTTCTAAAAACTTAAAAAATAAACCAAAAGCAACTCAGCATATTCTAGTTGGAAATTTCCATCTCATTTCCATGTCAAGGCCAAGCTTTCATCTAAGAACTTGGGGTTGGGAGGCAGACTTTAGTTCTTTCATCCCCCTATCTCTGCCCATTTATCACACGGAGGGACTTAGGGGTGTGATCTGTCTGTCACTGCCCTTTCTTAAGTTTTGAGTCATTAAATTTTGTATTCAGTTGTTAGAATAGATGGTGTTCTCCATGTACCATTTGTCAGTCAGGATTCATTCATGGATTCATTAGTAGACATCAATAAATATTTTAATATCAAATAATATTTATTGATATATACTAATGTGCTGCAGACTGCTAGGCCCTGGGAGTAGAGTGGCAAACAAAACAATCAGCCCTTGCCTTCACCACACTCAGACTTCTGAGTTATCTTTTCTGCACTAAAATTTTTGATTATTCTACTTAAGGGAGATACTCTTAATATAAATGAGCCTCTCTCACTTTTCAAATTGCATTTTGGAATTCTTCACTAAATCACCTACAAACTTGGTTTACTTTCTTTGAGATTCTTTATGAGAAAGTTGTATGGCTGTCAACTCACTGTGTTACCTCGGGCTAATCACGTAACCTTTACAAGAATTCGTTTCTTTGTAGAACGAGAATAATGGCACCCACATCACAGAATTATTATGAGTATTAAAAGAGATAATGTGTAATAGACATTTAAGCACAGATGAATAAAGAGCACCTCAGAGAAGTTAAGCCACTTCCTGAAGGTGACATAGCTAGTAACTAATGGAACCAGGCGTGTCATATTGCAATTGCTACAAAACAAAACCACTCCAAAACTCAGTACCTCCAAACAGTAAACTCAGACGACTATAGGTCAAGCATCAGGTGCCTGGCTTGCTCTCTCAACATGTTTGGGAGTTGGCTGGCTGTATGTTGGTCTAGTCTTGCCCCAACTGGGACAACTGGGCTCTACTCCATGTGGTATCCCAGATTTCAGCAGGCTAGTCCAGGCTTCTTTTGGTAGAAGCAAGGTTCAGAGAGAGAGAGAGAGAGAGAGAGAGAGAGAGAGAGAGATTGACAGAGAAAGAGGAAGTAAAAGGGTTTTTGAGAGCTGGGCTCAGAACTAGGGCACTGTCACTTCCTCCATGTTCTATTGGCCAAAGCAAGTCACAAGGCTGACCGAGGTTCAAGGGATGGGAAGAGGTGCAAAGTCATATTGCACTGGGCATGAGTCCAGGGAAGGCATTGGCTGGGGCCATCAGTGCAATCTGTCTACCTCACCAGGATTCAAAGGACTCCTGTTTGACTCTAAAACCCATACTCTTGTTTCCATACTGTACTAACTATAAACACTCACACAGCCAACCTTGGTCACTCTCACACACTTCCCCAGTGCCTATTCGCTGCTCTAGTCAGACTCACCATGAGGTGAACAAAACATAATTGTTTCCAACTCCAAGCCTTTGACCTATTAAAGAATCAATTTTTGTATTGGTTTTGGAATTAAATTTTCTATTGAAAATAACTTTAAAAACTGATAAACCTTGTAAGAAGAAAGATCTAAAGAGATTTTTCCTCCCTAAGTTAGCAACAGAATTCACATCACTTATATACTGCTTCAGTTCATTATAACGAGATCAGTGGTCATGGTCAAAATGTTCATTATCTCAAGGTCAGTGAGAAAATTTGACCTGTGACAAACATAGTTTATAACTTCAAGTAAAGAAGCACAGTTTTATCCGAGAAACATGCTAATGACAGATGCAGTGTTCTATAGCAAACAATTGTAATGTTTGGAAAAGTTTACAGTCCTTGGGTGATAACTATAAACATAAACCCAATTTTGAAGGAAAACTCTTGTCTCCAAAGTAAAGCAAAACAAAACAAAACAAAACAAAAACTAGCTAGAAACTCAATTTCCTGCCACCAAACAAATAACGACCTTACATACAACCTTTATCTTGCCTGGTTAATAATCTTTATTTTTTTGTAATCCTAAGAACTGATTTGTAAGTATCCCTCACTCCTCTCCTTCACCTGTTAAAATATAACTCCTAGGATATAATATTCTTAAAAGCGCTTTACCAGATTTTGCCCTTCTGGTTTTCTCACTAGAATATTGTTGTCCTAGTGACCTACTTCTTTTAAAATTTTACTTAAGGCTGAATACAAGATTTTGAGGCTTGATAATTTTATTTTGTTAGAACAATTTTATTCCTCCTCTTGTAATATGCCATCTCAGCAAGAATGCTTTTTCCTTTACCTGTCTGCCCAACACATAGACCACATCAGGACTCATATTCTGTTCCTGGCATCATTTCAAGCCTCCTTTCTATGAATCCCATTGACTATTATATCTGACAACATTGATTTTGGCATTTATGTACCACCAAGAAATTTTTAATAATTTCCCATGTGTTTTGACACCTGACCAGATCGTAAGCTTTTGGAGGAGAGGGAGTTTTCCCTGCATGTCTTGACACTCAATGTATTCATAGAATCATAAACTCTTAGAGTTGAGAGATATTCTAAATTTCATCCAATGCAAATGCATTCATTGTACTTGCATTTCTCCTTTAAAATTTTCCTGCTAAGTGGTCATTGCCAAGAATGGGGAATTTACTATCCCCCTAAGGAGGAGCACATCCCATTTTCAGACAAATTTAATAGAGAGCAAAAATATTGCCCTCCCATTCTCCGCTCTACCTCCACCACCATTTCTGACCATAATTTTCATTCCATAGATCCAATTCTGTCCAACAGGGTTGTACACAACATTTGAATGAGAGCTTTCAAACATCTCCAAACAACTGAGACCCCTTCTCCAGGATCAATATTCCAAAGACCTTCCCTTTTTTTATGTGGCATGGCTTTCAGTCCCCATGTTGAGTGTTTTTACAAACTAATTCCTTGTTTATTCTTTTCTTCCTTGAAGCAGGTCCCTCAAATTACCCCTCCTCTCCTTCAATAACCTCTACATCATAGTCTAACACATTTTCTCTTGAGGATCTTCTCTCCCCAAACCCAACCCAGAGTAAGGCACCTTTTTTCACTTCCTTCCTTGCTGTCTTCAAAGGAAAGCAAGGAGCACTTTTTTTTTGGCAAAGCTTTTGCTTCCAAGCACTATAGGAAAATAAATGAGATAAAATAATAAAAACTCTACAAGTTACAAAAAATGAAAAGTTCTTATATTTAAGTTTCCAGGTCTACCATATTTTACTCCTTCTGAGGAGATAAAAGGAAGACTTGGTTGTCAGTTTGCTACTTATTTGTAAAGGTGGGGCTCACCAACATTCCCTCTACTTCCGACCCCAGCTTGTAAAAGGCCATATGAACCCATTCCTTCAAGAAAACACCTTACCCACAGAATGCAGTTCAGGAAAAACAAGTGCTTCAATGGTTAAATGGTTAAATGTTATAGATATGGGCTTCTAGGCTGCAAGCTCCACTGGATTATCTTACCTAGGAACAAGCTTAACATTTTATTCTTCCTCTTAGAAAGCTTTTTGTTGTCTTCAGGGCATTTATTAATCTAATTTTCACCAAAACCAAAATGGATATATATCGGGGGAACCCACCCTCAATATTTCAATGTAGGTTCTTTCTATTTTCCCTAAGTGTCGGCCGGCTGAGAAATAAAGAGAAAGAGTACAAAGAGAGGAATTTTATAGTTAGGCCTCTGGGGGTGACATCACTTATTGGTAGGACCATGATGCTCACCTGAGCTGCAAAACCAGCAGGTTTTTATTAAGGACTTCAAAACGGGAGGGGGTGTATGAACAGAGATCACATGCTTCAAAGGGCAAAAAAGGAGAACAAAGATCACAAGGCAAAGGGCGAAATCAAAAACTTCTGATAAGGGTCTATGTTCAGATGTGCATGTATTGTCTTGATAAACATCTTAAAAAACAGAAAACAGAGTTCGAGAGCAGAGAACCAGTCTGACCTCAAATTCACCAGGGTGGGGTTTTTTCCCCACCCTAATAAACCTGAGGGTACTGCAGGAGACCAAGGCGTATTTCAGTCCTTATCTCAACCGCATAAGACAGACACTTCCAGAGTGGCCCTTTATAGACCTCCCCCCAGGAATGCATTCCTTTCCCAGGGTCTTAATTATTAATATTCCTTGCTAGGAAAAGAATTCAGTGATATCCTCCCTACTTGCATGTCCATTTATAGGCTCTCTGCAAGAAGAAAAATATGGCTCTATTCTGCCCAACCCCACAGGCAATCAGATCTTATGGTTGTCTTCCCTTCTTCCCTGAAAATCGCTGTTATTCTGTTCTTTTTCAAGGTGCACTGATTTCATATTGTTCAAACACACATGTTTTACAATCAATTTGTACAGTTCAACACAATAGTGGTCCTGAGGTGATGTACATTCTCAGCTTACGAAGATAGCAGGATTAAGAGATTAAAGTAAAGACAGGCATAAGAAATTATAAGAGTATTATTTGGGAACTGATAAATGTCCATAAAATCTTCAAAATTTATGTTCAGAGATTGCAGTAAAGATAGGTGTAAGAAATTATAAAAGTATTAATTTGGGGAACTGATAAATGTCCATAAAATCTTCACAATTTATGTTGCTGTGCCGTGGCGCCAGCCAGTCCCTCCATTTGGGGTCCCTGACTCCTGCAACAGATATATAAAACAAGATCTCAAAAAATGTCAAGGATAGAAATAAGGATTTGGAAGTCAATGGCATATATATTGATAGTTAAAGCTGTGGGGGTGGATACAATATCTCCCTTGGCTGGGCATGGGGGCTCTCACCTGTAATCCCAACACATGGGGAGGCTGAGGCAGGAGGATTGCTTGAGCCCAGGAGTTCGAGACCAGCCAGGGCAACATCTCTATGTAGAAAAATTAGCCAAGTGTGGTGGTGTGCACCTATAGTCCCAGCTACTTGGGAGCTTGAGGTGGGAGGATCACCTCAGCCAGGGGAGGTCAAGGGTACAGTGGGCCATGATTGCACCACTGCACTCCAGCCTGGGCAACAGAGTGAGACCCTGTGTGTAAAAAAGAATATCTCCCTAGGAGAATCCATAGAAAAGTGAGCTAGCAAACTTAGGGAACATCTATGTTTGTGGAGCAGGAGGAGAAAAAGTCAAGGGCAGAAAAGTAGTTAAAAAAAATTAAGAGTATAAATGATGAAAGAGAAATCAAAGAAGACAACTTGAAGAAGGGAATGGCCAATGTGTCAAATGCAGCAGAGGTCAGGTAAAAGGCATGAAATGGGTCCACTGGCTTACAAAAAAGTCATCAGTACCTTGGTAAGACAAACCACGTTGCAATGAGATGTGAATGTAAACACACTCCAGTTTGTCTGCTGTAGAGTGTGTTACCCCAAACTGAATCTGATGTTCTAAGTGTGGTCTGACTGATGGAGTAAAGTGGGATCCTCTTCACTTTGGTCAATCTACTCTGTGTCTACCAAGGTAACTTCAGACCAAATTAAGGTTGTGGAGTTTGATTTGTTTTGTTTTTTGGCAATCCCACTTACTGCACCACTCCAATAACTCATATGAAATGCAATCTGCTTAAACCTTATGTCATTTCCATATGAAGCAGGGGTAACCATGACTTCCAACTCTGTGCTTGTACAGTTGAGTTTTAAAACTAAATTCGGAATTCCATTCAGCTACAATTTACATTGTTAGCTTCAGTTCTTTGTTCCAGCCTATGGAAAGCTCTATTCTAATTCTGCCAACATTAGTTATTCTCCTGGCTTTGTGTCATCCATAAATTTTATTTACTCATCATCAGTGTTTCCATCTAAGTTATGAATAATGTCAAGTCCCACGCATTCAGGCAAGAGTTGGGTGAAAATTGGAAGATATGGCTGGGTCTGAAGCCAACAACAATTGTCAAAATGCTGACACTAGTAGGTCTGAAGCCAGGGGAATTAGTGAGTTTGGTACTAAGAGTTGTTCAAGGATGGATGGGCAGTAGATAAGGGATGATATAGAATCCAGGAACTCAGCCAAATCACAACCCAGAGGAGCAGATTCAATACAATGGGCAAATCTGGAAGCTAAAGAAATTGAAGCAACACCTGAAGTCATAACACACTCAATGAAGGAAATGCATATATGAATACTAACTTTTATTTCCTCCCTTCCATATGCAAGTGTATCTTTCCTTCAAAATTTCAAAGACTTTAATAAATAAAAATATGATAAAGGTAGGTCTTCTAGCTCTTTTCTTAGGACCTTCTTCTATGTGGAACATTTTTGGATTGGCCAGGTGACCAACTACTAATTCACCTAACAACTATCTTCTACTTCATTCATATTTTCTTCCTGTCTCCAAGGAGATGAGATTTTATGAGTGTTTTCCATTTTCTGTTTCTATAACAGAATATCAAAGACTGAGTAATTTCAAAAGAAAGGAAGTTTATTTAGCTCATGGTTCTGCAGGCTGGGAAGTCCAAGATGGGTAACTGTACCTGGTGAGGGCCTCATGCTGCTTCATAGCCAAGTAGAAAAGTGGAAGGGGAAGCCCACATGTATGAAAAAGGAGACCAAACACAAGAGGCAGCCTTGCTTTGTAACAACTCGTGGGAACTGATCCAGTCCTGCAAGAGTGAGAACTCACTCATTCACGGGAGAGGGTGTTCATCCATTCCTGAGGTATGTGCCTCCCTAACCCAAATACTTACAAACTAGGCCCCACTCCCAACACTGCCTCATTGAGGACCAGGCCTCCAACACATAAACTTTTGGAGGATACACTCAAACCACAGCAGGGAGAACAGGAAAAGAGCATGGCTTTTCACTGGGATTCCCATGTTTTATTCCACAATTTTTTCTGTCTTGGAATTTCATCAAGGATTAGCATTATTATTATTATTATTATTATTATTATTATTATTATTATTTGAGATGAAGTCTTGCTGTCTCCCAAGCTGGAGTGCAGTGGCACAATCTTGGCTCACTGCAACCTCCGCCTCCAAGGTTCAAGTGATTCTCGTGCCTCAGCCTCCCAAGTAGCTGGGATTACAGATGCCCACCATTACACCCAGCTAATTTTTGTATCTTTAGTAGAGACAGGTTTTCGCCAAGTTGACCAGGCTGGTCTTCAACTCCTGACCTCAAGTGATCCATCTGCCTTGGCTCCCAAAGTGCTGGGATTACAGGCGTGAGCCACCACACCCAGCCAGCATCAATATTATTTTTAACATATTAGCATAGCTAAAATGAAAACAAAATTGAATGCTGGTGAAAATGCAACTGGAACTTTCATACATTGCTGGTGGAGATGCGAAATGGTATGGCCACTTTGGAAAACAATTTGGCAGTTTCTGATAAAGTTAAACATACCTTTACCATATGACCTAGTAATATTACTTCTAGGTGTTTACTGAAGAGAAATGAAGACTTTTGTTCACACAAAATCTTCTGCAGATGTCTATAGTTGTTTTTATAATTGTCAAAAACTAGAAACAACGCAAATGTCCTTCTGATGAATGGATAAACAAACTGTGTTACATCCATATGATGGAATACTATTCAACAATAAAAAGAAATGCTCTGCTGATATGTACAGTAACATGGGTGAATCTCAAAATAATTAGGCAGAGTGAAAAAAGCAAGACAAAAAAAGGTGACATACTATATTATTCCTTTTATGACATTCTGAAAAAGGAAAAAACTATAGGGACAAAAAATAGACCATTGGTTGCTAGTAGCTAGGGATGGGGGAGGGATTGACTATGGAGGAGCATGTTAGAGAATTTTGGGGGATGATGGGCCTGTTCTGTATCTCGACTATGATGGTTACTCCATGATTGTATATGTCAGTGCTCATATTATGTCGTTGCAGAAGTAATTGCGGTTTTTGCCATTAAAGGTAATGGCCCTTTGCCTTTAATGGCAAAAACCGCAATTACTTTTGCAACAACCTAATAAAACCATATACTGGAGTGACTGAACCATATAAAGGTGTAAGTTTTACTTATTTGTAAATTATACTTGATAACCTGATTAAAAGAATATTTTTTAAATGGCCCAAATTTTCAATAATAAAGGAATCATTAAATATATTATGAAACATTTATACAGTAAAGCATTACATAGTTGCATTGGACTTTGTTATACTTTCTGTCTGCCTGGCAGCTTAGAAATAGCCTTCCTATATGTGGGAAATTTCTCCCCTTATAAGTCTACCTGTTCCTGAATTAGAAGTCATCAGCTTCCTTTTCCACTCTCCCTGCAGGTATGGTACGGGTAGTCAAACTCACTCTTACAAAATTTCAGTTCAACAGTCTGATAAGAAGAAGGAGGTGTCTATGAAAAATTTATTCTGCTGAGGGTGGTAGGTGATGATAAATAGATATCCAGCTCTCAATGTGGCAGTAACAAAGGTTCTAGCAGAGTAGGACCCTCCAGAGTCAGTGGTACAGATTCTTCAAGCCTGGTTCTTGGGCCCTCCATGAGATGAGCACATTTGCATTAATTTAAATTTTAAAATTAATTACTTAAATTATTAAGAGCGTTGTCTACAACCAAAAACTGGAACTGATAGAATAGTCATTGAATATTATGCTTATGACCAGAATCTTACCAATGTGGGCTACGACTACACCATGAATTCAATGGTTTAGACCATCATTGAAAAACGTGGCTTGTGCCTGTCCATGATTTCTACAACTCTAGTGCATGTAGGAGGTGAATGCCATCATCCCCAGCAAGATACAGCCTGTGTCAGTCACCTAATGAAGTAGATTTTGAGTCTCCGAAACTGCAGGAAGAAAAGAAAGGAAAGATAACTGTTTTCTCCCACTACATGTCTCCAAACTCACAGCTGCAGCTGTGATGAATTTCAAAACACCAACAAGAGCCATTTGAATCTCTCTGCTGTGCAATTTATTTTCAATATATCTGGGTGTAGCAACCTTGAAAATAATTGTTTACAAATTATAATAATGTGGGAAAGTCTTAGCTATGGTTTTGAGTTTTAAAAAATAGTCACAAGAAGATTAAATATATATACATAGGCAAGAAATCCTGGAAGAATATTTGCTGGAATGGTAGGAGTTGCTTGGGATGGTGAGATTGTAAACAGTTATGATTGTCATCTGTTTCTCCTCCCTGCCCTCATGTTACACAATGAAGATGTATTACTATCAAAATCAGAAGAACATGTTCTTGGGCAGGGCGCAGTGGCTCACGCCTGTAATCCCAGCACTTTGGGAGGCCGAGGCAGGCAGATCACGAGGTCGGGAGTTCAAGACCAGCCTGGCCAACATGGTGAAACCCCATCTCTATTAAAAATAACAAAAATTAGCCGGGCATGGTGGTGTATGTCTGTAATCCCAGCTACTTGGGAGGCTGAGGCAGGAGAATTGCTTGAACCCAGGAAGCAGAGGTTGCAGTGAGCCAAGACTGTGCCACTGCACTCCAGCCTAGTGACAGAGCGAGACTCTGTCTCAAAAAAAAAAAAAAAAGAAGAACATGTTCTTAAAAATATTTTTAATTTGCATTTAAATTTGGTAAAAGGGTCCTCTGTGTTCTCAGAATCCCATAGGCTAAGGGATTCTCTGGGTGCACTTACTCTGATCCTTAGGCTCTTCAGCAGTGATATATAACTGGGAGTGACATATAAATGGAAAGGAAGACATCACCAGAAATTTTTGCCAAGTTAAAATTGGCTCCCTAAAATAACCATTTGATGAGTACTGTTCTGAAGGACTCTGCTACTCTCTGAAGTTCTGACCTTGACTCAGATCTTCACCAGATTTCCTATGGTAATGCCCTGGCTGTGGTTTTTTTTTTTTTTTTTTTTTGGCAGAGCGGGGCAGGTGGGGGTGACTTTTTTCCCACCATGGTAACCTGGGCACCTGGGCATGGTGAGATGTGACAGACTGCCCAGTTGGAAGTTAGCAACGCACAGGTTATATATACTTTCAGCTGTGTATTACTGAGGAATCCCCCAAGAGGCCTAACATGAAAGGCTACTTAATTTAAGCCCATTTCTACTTGCCTGATATGCCTTAAGAAATTACAAATACAAAAGAGACCATACTTATTAAAGCCCAACATGACATGCTGTGAAAAACACAACATATGGTTATTTGAAGTCTGAAAAGCCTACTGAGTTTTAAATTTTTCATTAGAATATCCTTTGATGTATAAAGGTGTCCTTTTTGATTTTTTTTCACAATAGTGGTTTCTAGATCAAAACCACATATAGAAACTTTCTCTTGGTAGGGAAAAATTACCTGAGATAAAATTGCTAGACTCTCTTAAAGAGTTGAGATTAAACACATGAGCACAAAGCATTTTAAACACATCATGAACAAGACAACCTCAAGATTACCCTTTAAAGTTTAGTAAACCCATAGAAATTGGAGAGACACTTCTTTAAATATTTTTTCTTCGTAGTTATATATTACAGTTATCATGGAAGTAGCTACTTTGTTCCACTTAATTAAAACTGATGACCCATCCGGGCCTGGTGGCTCATACCTGTAGTTCCAACATCTTGGGAGGCCAACAGGCAGATTGCTTGAGCCCAGGAGTTAGAGACCAGCCTGGGCAGCATGGTGAAACCCCATCTGTACAAAAAATACAAAGATTAGCCAGGCATGGTGGCACACACCTGTAGTCCTCACTACATGAGAGGTTGAGGCAGGAGGATCACCTGGAGATCGAGGCTGCAGTGAGCTGTGATCTCACCACTGCACTCCAGCCTGGGCAACAAAGCGAGATCCTGTCACAAACAAACAAACACACACACACACACACACACACAAACAACCAAAAAACCTGATGACTTTTTATAAGTTATACACAACTACTATCAAGAAATATATATTTTAAAAAGGAGAGGCTGGGTGCGGTGGCTTACGCCTGCAATCCCAGCACTTTGGGAGGCTGAGGCGGGCGGATCACTCGAGGTCAGAAGTTGGAGACCAGCCTGGCTAACATGGTGAAAACTCAACTCTACTAAAAAAAAAAAAAAAAAAAAAAGGCAAAAATTAGCTAGGCTTGGTGGCACATGTCTGTAGTCCCAGCTACTTGGGAGGCTGAGGCAGGATAATCACTTGAACCCAGGAAGAGGAGGTTGTGGTAAGCTGAGATCACGCCACTGCACTCCAGCCTGGGTGACATAGTGAGACTCCATCTCAAAAAATAAAAATTAAAATAAAAAAATTTTTTGAAAAAAATTTGTTTGACTTGGCAATGTTGTAGTTAAATCCTTGAGAATAGGGATTATGCACTAAATTTTATTTCCCGCTATCAAAACCAGTGTTAAGATGTGAATGATGAAGGTCTTGTGAAGTATGTAAAGTTTGCTTTCTCCTTTTCTATTACCTGCTTGGTCCTTTAACTCTCAACCCTAGGACTTCAGCTAGTGTTTCCCAGTTCTTTTCTCTGTTATATTTTAGATGGACCAATAAGACGTTAGCTATCAAGGGCTAATCTTCCTGTCTCAGTTAATGCTATTTTGGATGCAAGTAACCAAACTTTACTTACACTAGCTTAGGCAAAAAAAAAGAAAGTTCATTTTATGGTTATAAAAGTATCTCATGAAGACTGAAGAACCCCAAATCCATCTGGCATAATTCCCACATCTTTCACTGTGTCTGAGGCTGTCTCATCTCCTATTTGTTTCTCTCCACATATCTCTCCATTCTCACCTGACTGCAGTGTAGCTTTCTCTACTTTTCTGTGCATAGCCCCTGAGTTTATTTATCCTTATTTCTAGGAACTAGGAAAGACTAACTATAATTTCTGAATCTCAATTCAAAATTCCTGAGAGAGAGATTCTCTGAAATCTAATTTGGGTCAGTATCTACATCTGGTCCAAATCAGCTGTAGTCAGGGGATTAGGCGACATAGTATATATCTGGCCCAGCATTTCCCAAAGTTATTTGAACACAGAACTTTATCCACCCCCATCCCTGGCTCTGATGGTTGTGGTCAGGGGCGTGTTATAGGGCACACCCATTCATATCCTTCAAAACAGAATTTCTCAAAATGTCATTTTGGGATCTTCTGATCTAATTTACCACTTTAATATTACAAATGACTAAACTTAGACCAAAAGAGGCAGAATAATTTGCTTAAATTACCAAGATAGTGGCAGAGTAGAGATTTTGATTTTGAGCTGAGGAACTTGACATTTTATGCCTTCAGTTGAACCTGGATATCAAGAAGAAGGATAATGGCTACCCGGTCCCCAAAAAAGTCCAAAATCAAGATGTCAGCAGGGCCGTGCACCTTCTGAATGCTTTAGTGGCAAATCCTTCCTTATCTCTTCCAGATTCTGGTGGCTGTAGGCTTTCCTTGTATGTAGCTGCATAAATCCAATCTCTGCCTTAGTCTTCATGTGGCCTAGTCTTCTATGTCTGTCTTCTCCTCTTTCATTTCCTTTAAAAAAAAATTTGTCATTATCTTTCAGCCTCACCTAGATAATCCAGGATTATCTCATCTTGAGAGCTTTAACTTAATTACTCTGCAAAGAGCTTTTATCAAGGTAAGATCACATTTATAGGCTACAGGGATGAGGTCATGGGCATAACTTTTGGGGGCAATTATTCAAACCACTGCAAAAGCCTTATGAGGTATCATAAGGTACTTGAAAGGAATTTGTTTTTTTTTTTTTTTTTGAGATGGAGTCTCACTCTGTCACCCAGGCTGGAGTGCAGTGGCGCGATCTCGGCTCACTGTGGCTCACTGCAAGCTCCGCCTCCCAGGTTCACGCCATTCTCCTGCCTCAGCCCCCCTAGTAGCTGGGACTACAGGTGCCCGCCACCACGCCTGGCGAAATTTTTTTGTATTTTTTTAGTAGAGACGGGGTTTTCACCGTATTAGCCAGGATGGTCTCAATCTCCTGACCTCGGGATCCACCCGCCTTGGCCTCCCAAAGTGCTGGGATTACAGGCATGAGCCACCACGCCCAGCCTTATAAGGATTAAGAGTGGTAAGAGGGAGTGGATGGAAGAATAATGGGTTGGAATTTTTCTTCTTAAAAATAAAGGATGCAGGATTGATAAAATGTAGTAGCATCCAAGAAAATGCAGTATCTTAGTTTCCAAGAAATTTACATTCCTATCTATTCCTTGCTCATCGATTCCAATGATTCCATTGATCACTTGATTCATTCATCTAACATTTTCTAACAAATATGTATTGAATTAACTAAAGAAAAGTAATCAGGGGGCAAAACTTGGAAAGATTAATATTGTCAACAAAAAGAGTCAAACTCTGTAACATATTTGAAGAGATTTATTCTGAGCCAAATATGAGTGACCATGGCCCATGACACAGCCCTCAGGAGGTCTTGAGAACATGTGCCCAAGGTGGCTGGGGTGCAGCTTGGTTTTATACATTTTAGGGAGGCATGAGACATCAATCAAATACATTTAAGAAATACATTGGTTTGGTCCACAAAGGCGGGACAACTCAAAGTAGGGGGTGGGAGGGCTTCCAGAATAGGAAAATTTAAACATTTTCTGGTTGACAATTGGTTGAGTTTGTCTATAAGACCTGAGATCAAACAGAAAGGAATATCTGGGTTAAGATAAGAGGTTGTGGAGACCAAAGTTTTATCATGCAGATGAAGCTTTTAGCTAGCAGGCTTCAGAGAGAATAGGTTTCAAAATGTTTCCTATCAGACTTAAAGTCTGTGTTGAGTTAATGCTGGAGAGGTATAATGAGGCATGTTTGAACCCCACTTTCCATCATGGCCTGAAACAGACTCTCAGGTTAAATTTTAAGAGTCCTGGCTGTCCATTCAGATGGTTGGGATGCCTTAGAATTTTATTTTTTGTTTACAATATCAAGCATAAAACTAAAGTTTGAGAGATAAACGCATAGGTTAATAATGTCCTAGTGGGGTCAAGTCTCCTGCAGAGGTAATAACTTTGTAGGAGGTGAGGGAATTAGCAAGTGAATATCTTAGGTAAGAACATGCTAGGCAGAGGGAAAAGCTAGAATAAAGTCCCGAAGGCAGGACTGACCTTGGCACGTTCAAGGCACAGAAAGGAGGCCACGTGGTTAGAGTGTCTAAGAGGGTGACACAGGACAGAGGTCATAGAGATAACAGAGTAGAAGGAAGTTGATTATGAAAAAATGAAAATGTTGGCTTTCATTTCACTTGTGCACTAATCTTAGAATGAACAAAGAGCTGAATCAAGTTCTCAAAGTTATCTACTGCTACATACCCAACCACCCCAAAATGTAACAGTGCAAAATAACAACTTTTTCATTTCTCACAATTGTGGGTCAACCATGTGACTGCAACCAGCTGGCAGCTTAACAGGTTGGAGGGTCTCAGGTGGCCTCACTCACAGGTCTAGGATGTTGGTGCTATTTTTCAGCGGGACCATTCTTTCCATGTAGTTGCCCACCATCCAGTAGAATAGCTTAGGCTTCCTTGACCATAGCAGGAACATTCGGAGAGCCCAAAAGGGAAAACTGCAAGGGATCTTGAGGCCAGAGCTCTGGACTTATACATTGTCATTTTCATCACATTCTATCAGCCAAAGCGAATCACAAGACCAGGCCAGATTCACAGGGTGACCAAGAGACTCCAGATTTTTTTTGGTTTTTTTTGAGACATAGTATCTCTCTGTTGCCCCGGCTGGAGTGCAGTGGTGAGATCTCAGCTCATTGCAACCTCCACCTCCTGGGTTCAAGAGATTCTCTTGCCTCAGCCTCCTGAGTAGCTGGGATTACAGGCGTGCACCACCATGCTCAGCTAATTTTTGTATTTTTGGTAGAGACGGGTTTTCACTGTGTTGCCCAGGCTGGTCTCAGACTCCTGACTTCGAGTGATCCGCCTGCCTCGGCCTCACAAATTGTTGGGATTACAGGCATGAGCCACCGTGCCTGGCCAAGACTCCAACTTTTGATGAAGTCCATGTTTTTCAGCCTATCACACAAATGTGCTGCTGTTTTGTTTGCCAAAACCTTTCCTGACAAAATTTTTGGAAGTATGATGAGATAATTCACGTCATTTGAATTTTGCTATGCTATCATAAAAATCATTTTTTAAAGGGCTTCATCAATTTTCCCATGGTGCTTCTCAATCCTTTGATATTTAAATCACTCTCTTTGAGAGAATCTGTTATGTCCTAGACACTGGTGTTGAATTGAAAGTAATGTTTGAGGGCAGACTAACTTTTTAGAGGTCAGTTCCTTACTGAATATTTTCATCTTATCATGACTCTTGCCTTCTTCCACAAACTTGTATCTGCAGAATTTTGGAAAATGAATATTCCAATTAAAAAAAAAAACCTAATGACAAATGAGGATGTGTCAAATAAGAGAGAAGAGGCATTATTCTGTTCGCCCTGGGGAGGAGTAGATTTGAGCTGGTGAAGACGGAAGAGGCTGATAGTTGTTGATAGATCCTTACATATTACCTTGTACTTTTTAAATGGATTTAAACAGAAAGACATATGGCAAGGATGAGATATTTTAATTACACTAGAGGAAAAAATCTTAGAAGTTGAAATAACAAAGAGCCAAATTTTTTCCCAGTATGAGAGGAAGGGCTTTCTGATAGTTGGAATTGTCCAGAAATTGAAAGGATCATCATGCAAAGCAGCAGGACATCCATCATTAGAAATTGTTCAGCCCAAGGCTGACGACCCTGGGATACACTACCAGTGATCCTGCATTGACTTGGTGTGTGTGGGAACTTCAGGTAGAAAGGCTGTTGGTTTAAAACTCACATCTGTAATCCCAGGACTTTGGAAGGCAGAAGTGGGAAGATAGCTTTAGACCAGGAGTTCAAGACCAGCCTAGGCAACAAAGCAAGACCTCATCTCTACAAAAAAAAAAAAAAAAAATGAAAAAACAAATTAGCCAGGCATGGTGGCATGCTCCTGTAGTCTCAGCTACTCGGGAGGCTGAAGTGGGAGGATCGCTTGAGTCCATGAGGCTAAGGTTGCAGTGGGCTGTGATCTTGCCACTGCACTACAGCCTGGGTGACAGAGTGCAACCCTGTCTCAAAAACAAAGCAAAACCCACAATAAACAAAAACAACAAACAAAAACAAACAAACAAAAAAACCTCTATAACCTTTGTTCTTAGAATAGGTCAAAAGCTGGGAAAAGAGATCACCTGTTCATTCTATTTAACTTTTTTAAGTCAGCACTGTCCAAGAGAAATGAGTCACAATGTAATATAAAATTTTCCAGTAGCCACATTAAAAAAAGTGAAAAGAAACAGGTAAAATTAGTGTTTATCATATATTTTATTTAACTCAATACATCTAACATAGTATCATTTAAACATGTAATCCACGTTAAAAATCATTATTTTACATTATTTTTTCATAACAAGTCTTTAAAATCCAGTACCTTGAAGAAAATCCAAAAGTCTATTTACACTTTTGTAAATTTACACTCTTGTGAGAGAGAGGGGCATCTGAAAAGGAAAAGCTGTCCTGCTGTAGACTGCAGCAGATTTTATAGGCAGGCTTGAGGAGGCGGTGTCTGATTTATGTAGGGCCCACAGATTGGTTCCACCAGGTGTGACGTTTACACAGGGCCGCAGGGAAGGCTGGTTGCCCCACCCTAATCTTATTATGCAAATGAACTTTTCACTTGGCCAGGCCGTCTCGTTTGCTCCTTATTGTACACGTGGCTGGCACAGAGAAGGGAAGATGGAGCTGCCATTTTGAACATGCCTAGTCCCAGATAGCCTTTTCCTATTGGCACAGCTGCCAGCATTCACCTGTGCAAGCGTCCAGCTTGCTTGTCTATCTATGTCTACAGCTCCATTTTACAGGCTGCTCTTTGTTAGAAAAGAAAATGATTTGGGGGCTGCTTTTCATTAAAAGGAAACCTTACTGAGGACTTCCTTACCCTCACTATCTGCCTAAATAATTTCTTTTTAACTCCTATATCAATACCATTAATAAAATCACTAATAACAGGCTGGGTGCAGTGGCTCATGCCTGTAATCCCAGTACTTTGGGAGGCTGAGGCGGGAGGATCACTTGAGCCCAGGAGTTCAAAACCAGCCTGGCCAACATGGTGAAACTCCGTCTCTACTAAAAATACACAAATTAGCCAGGCTTGGTGGTGCATGCCTCTAATCCTAGCTACTTAGGTGGCTGAGACACAGGAATTGCTTGAACCCGGGAGGTGGAGGTTGCAGTGAGCTGAGATCGTGCCACTGCATTCCAGCCTGGGCAACAGAGCAAGACTCTGTTTCAAAAAAACAAAACAAAACAAAACAAAACAAAAAACAAAAACAAGGAAAAAAAGAAAAAGAAAGAAAAAAACCTTCACAAACGCACAAAAAACAGTTTGTTAAATCCAGGTTCCCTAGCATCCTGGAGGAATGGAAGTGATGGAAAAACACTTCTGTTTAACTGTTATTACATTCTTACTTCCTTGGGCAACATCTCTCATAATTTCCCTGCTTTCTCACCAAAACCCAATATTAAGTAAATTACATAATTTTGCAAACCACTAAATTTTCTTATCAACTTCTAACAGGTTCCACCTCTCCAAAAGTGGAACTGTGAAAAACAGCCCTCTAGTACTTTTATGCTAATCCTGTTACATTTAATTCTTCTTTTATTCCAGGAGCTACTGCAATTACTGATATTATAGCTTTCATTGTTTACTAGCTGTGTCTCTCATCACCACAGGATTTAAGTACTCTCCAGGGAAGCTGCCTTGCACCATTTCCAGTAACATATTATCTCTACACATCTTCTACAGAGGAGAAAGGATAAGGAAAGTCATAAAGATAAACTGGGCTGCCTTTGCAACTGTAAAATTTCCCCAAGGCTCAGTCAAAATAATGAGGTTTTTAAATACCGCTCCAAAGATATCCCACTATTTCTTTACTATTAATACTTTAGTATTAAGAGATTCAATAGACAGACTATATATATAATAAGCAAAATTAAAATGAGACTGATTTTCCACAGTTCACCCTTTGTAGAAATCTATACACATATCAAAATTTCATATTTGCACCATTACTGTAATGATGGCTATAATACACCAAAGCAAGGGTTTGGCACAGACTGCCAAGTGTCTCCCAATATTTGTTATCTGCTTCTCCTTTCTAGTTATAGAATCCCTGAGTTTAAGCTGGGCAAATAGCTACCCACTTAGAGAATAAAACTCTCAACCTTCCTTGCGCTAGATGTGACCAATTGATTCAGTACTTTCCAATAAGATAGGAGCAAAGAGGTGTTCAATTTCCAGGTCACATCCTCCTTAAAGGAACTTGCTTGCCTTCCTCTTTCTCTTTCCACTTTCAGGCAGGCTGGAAGGTTTATGTGATACTGGTGAACCAATGTCTACCATGGAGATGTCTATTGGGGATAGAACAGCAACTTGCGTTCCTAGATTACTGTGAAGGAAAATTGCCTTTCACGTCTGAATCATGCACATGCTTCTGAATACTGTCTGGGAGAAAAATATCTTCTATCTTGTATAAACCATTGTTTGTGGGGGTCTTTTTCTTCCCATACCTTGGCTTGTATCATAACTAAGAGCATCATCATCATTATCATTTGTACTATTATCCTCAAAACCTCTGTTTATTAACTATCTCTCCAGCTATCTATCATCTATCTATCTATCTATCTATCTATCTATCTATCTATCTAATCAGAGACCATCTCGTTAAAAGACTTAGGTGCTTTTTTTTCTCCCTTAAAAGGCTCCTTTGACTACTTGTTTCTTTGGGGGGCATTGTGAGTATTAAATAATATAATAAAGTATTTATAAAATCTTCTTTTTAAACTTAAAAGCATCACAAATAAAAAGGCATTATATTATTCTTGAGCTAACAATCCAAGATCATAGTGGGTTAATAATATTTATGCAAACATTAGCCAGCCAATGTGGCCCACCTCCGAGGTAACATAATCCAGGGGACAAGCGCTTCTTCTAGGATGATTGGTCTTTTAGGCACTGTAATATAGCAGTAGGAGGGATAGTAAAGTATAAGGAAATAGATATATTTTCAATTACTCCATGGAAGTGGCTGCTTATATTACCTGTGAATAAAGTTGGATGTAAGTATTTGAGAGGTTCAGTTCGCCAATTTACACAACTTCATAAAATGACCTAATAAAGTGAAACTGTCTAATTTCATGTGTATTTCATTTATTAATGTAAAGGCAAACCTAATTAAACCTGCCATGAGCATATCATTTTATTGATTTCACCTTTTAACTTCACTCTTCTCAAATGATATAAAGGACATACTTTTTTAGTCCATTAAACATGAACTGAGTGCCTGTTGCATACAGAACCTACCCTGAGGAATGTGCAAGTAAGATAGAGAACTCTGTCCTTATCTTGTTTGACCTCACTGTAGCATAGGACACTATTGGCTACTTTCTCCTTGAAAATATCTCTCCTTTGACTTCTGCGACTCTTTTCCCTGTTTTGCTTCCAAACTTTGTGGTCTTGTTTATCACTCTTCTTCCACTTCTTAAATGTTAGAGATCCCCAGTGTTTCTCCCTGAAACGTGTCTTTTCACACTTATTCTGAGCCTTTTTTCTGGAGACATGAACCTCCTGGAGAATGTGATAAAATTCAGGAATCTTCTGGAGGGAGGGCATGTTCCATCTAATTTTAGGGTTACATGGACATCCTGAAGCAACTGGTAGACCTCCTAAGGGTTCTTACCCCTCAGGTTAAGAATCACTTTTCCATAACTTTAACTACTACCAATGGTGCTTGATGGCTCTCAAATCTTTTATATTTAAAAGCCGACATCTCTCTCATGACCTCCAGACCCACTTATCGAACTGCTTATTTTATTCCTTCACTAGAATGTCAAACAGGCACCTCAAACTCATCATGTTCCAACTAAAGTTATCTATCCCCCCTTCCCAATAGTCCCTTATCCTGTGGTTTCCATTTCGGTGAGTGGCACCACCATTTAACCAATTGCCAAATTATAGCAGCCATCTCCAAGATTTAGACACCTTTTGATTTTGCGGAAGGCATTTTTTTTTCCACGGATGGGGCAGGGGAAGGGTATGATGGTTTCAGAATGAAACTATTCCAACTCAGATCACCAGGCATTAGAATCTCATAAGGAGTGTGCAGCGTAGATCCCTCACATGTGCAGTTTCACAATAGAATTTTTGCTCTTTTGAGAATCTAATTCTGCTGCTGATCTGACAGGAGGTGGAGCTCAGGCGGTAATAGCTAGCTCACCCTCTGCTCACCTCCTGCTGTGCGACCCAGTTCCTAACAGGCCACTGATGGGTACCAGTACCAGCCGGGGGTTAGAGACGCCTGTATAGACAAATAAAGGCAGCAACCCAGACTTCTACTTCTGCACAAATGTTTGTTGAATTACTAAATTAATGGAAGAAGGTAAAGGCAGATCTAATGTGATGAAGACAATAGAGAACATCTGTTGAGAACAATGTAAGGGAGCTTATTTTCAAATGTACACACAGTTGTGTGAGACATCGGGCTGGGCGAGGGTGGCTCATGCCTGTTAATCCCAGCACTTTGGGAAGCCAAGGCAGGCAGATCGCTTGAGGCCAGGAGTTCAAGACCAGCCTGGCCAACATGGTGAAACCCGTCTCTACTAAAAATACAAAAATTAGGCGGGCATGGTGGTGGGGGCCTGTAGTCTCAGCTACTTGGGAGGCTGAGCCAGGAGAATCACTTGAACCCAGAGGTGGAGGTTGCAGTGAGCTGAGGTCACGCCACTGCACTCCAGCCTGGGTGACAGCAAGACTCCGTCTCAAAAAAAAAAAAAAAAAAAGCCTGTTTGTCAGAAAGCAGTAGTAAGAGGATTTCAAGTGGGAGAAATTACTTAAAAAGTTCAATTCATCTTACCTCATGACCAAGAAAGCTAAATTATTAATAGCTTCTCTAGCATCTTGCTCCTTGCTATGGTATCTTCAGAGATTGCATCCTGGTTTATACACAGTAGCGATTACAATGGACACTCAAAAAGGTGCGACACTCTTGAGGGTTTTAGGTCACTAAATTTGGCAGCTTTGCCTCCCTGAACTCCCTTAGCTCTGAATTTACATTTCTCTGCTGACACTTATTTTCTGATTCATTTTATGATGACTTATAGATATCCCGTCTCTCCTATCAGAGAGGTGTTTTTTTGTTTTTTTGTTTTTCCCACAGACTGTACATACTCAATTTTGTGCCTTGTATCCGAGAGGTGAACAGTAAGTTATTCATTATTGAGTTAATGAATATTTGTTTTCTTTTTTTTTTTTTTTGAGATGGAGTCTCACTCTGTTGCCCAGGCTAGAGTGCAGTGGCGCCATGTCAGCTCACTGCAACTTCTGCCTCCTAGGTTCAAACAATTACTCCTGCCTCAGCCCCCCAAGTACCTGTGACTACAGGCACCTGCCACCAGGCCCAGCTAATTTTTGTACATTTAGGAGAGACAGGTTTTGCCACATTGGCCAGGCTGGTTTCGAACTCCTGACCTCTAGTGATCTGCCTGCCTCAGCCTCCCAAAGTGTTGGGATTACAGGCATGAGCCACTGCACTCAGCTGATCTTTCTTAATATTAAAAAAACTCTTTGCATCCACTGAGATACAGAAAAAGAAAAAAATAGAAGAAATAAAATTGAAAAATTAAAAGAAAAAATAATATTAATTAAAAAAATTTTAAACTCATTTGAAGGTAATGTAAATGTCCTGTAAGGTCAAATGTTGTTACAGGGGGTATAAAGTTTGTAATGTTTTCCAATGCAAGTGTGGCACACTGAATATTTAAATACATTACAGATTTTGTTTAGGCAACAAGGTGGTAGGGAGCATGCTAATCCATCTTAGAAAGTTATTTGTGAGGCAGGGCATTGGCTGGTCGAATGCTGTGTCTGTGGCCGGACTGCAGGAGTTTTAAACTTGGCTGTACGACTTAATGACTGAGAGCCTAAGGGCCTCTTGCTGCCTCACCTTCTTCATCTGGGAAATGCAAATCATTCTAGAATTTACCCCAGAGAATTGTTAGAAAATGAAAATAAAGAGTATACACATAAAGCACCCAGAATGCTGTTAGGACTAATTAGACACTAGCTGCCATTTTCTTAACACCTTAATAAGAAGAAGGTGATGGGCAGGTGATACTCATTTATTAGATTAAGAAATAATGGGCTGGGCACGGAGGCTCACGCCTGTAATCCCAGCACTTTGGGAGTCCAAGGCGGGTGGATCACCTGAGGTTAGGAGTTCAAGACCAGCCTGGCCAACATGGCAAAACCCTGTCTCAACTAACAATACAAAAATTAGCCAGGCATGGTGGTGGGGGCCTGTAATACCAGCTACTCGGGAGGCTGAGGCAGGAGAATTGCTTGAACCTGCAGGATGCAGTGAGCTGAGATTGCACCACTGCATTCCAGCCTGGGCAACAGAGTGAAACTACGTCTCAAAAAAAAAAAAAAAAAAAGGAAAGAATGAAACTTTCTTCTTTTGAAAATGCAATAAAGACAACTATCCTATCTTCCCAGCTCAAAACATTCCCATGACCCCCTCCTTGTCCATGACACCACAGATGCCCTGTGGGTATTATCAAAATGTGGGTAAGTGTTAAATATATTTTATTATAAATAGTGGTATGTCTTCTAACATGCTACTAATCTACACGCTGAATTTTTTTTTTTTTTTTTTTTTGAGACAGAGTCTCGCTCTGTTGCCAGGCTGGTGTGCAGTGGCATGATCTCGGCTCACCGCAACCTCTGTCTCCCAGGCTCACTGATCCTCCTGCCTCAGCCTCCCGAGCAGCTGGGATTACAGGCATGTGCCACCAGGCCCAGCTAATTTTTTTTGTATTTTTAGTAGAGATGGGGGTTTCGCCATGTGGGCCAGACTGGTCTTGAACTCCTGACCTTAGGTGATCCGCCTGCCTTGGCCTCCCAAAGTTCTGGGATTACAGGCATGAGCCACCATGCCTGGACCAGAATTAACTTTAATCAGAGAATTCCAGATTGTCTAGTTGGCCGTGCTGACCTCTTCAGATGTTCTTATTCTGCCATTATTGCCAATCACTGTGACAGCCTATCACTGGCAAGACCTCAGGCAATGTTAGAGGTGGCAAAACATTAGTGGCTGCAGCTTAACCTTCTGCAGAAGCTTCAAAGAATAGTAACCGTCAGAGAGGGGCGGCATGGAAAACAATGGAGCAGTAGTCTCTGACTGGCATAAATACAGTATAGATAACCAGTCATGGGCTGATGCAGACAGAAGGCTGCTTTTGCCTACACAATAGCACTTCTTGGTTCTGAAGTTCTGCTCATGGCTGGGTCACAGGGCAGCATGTCTCTGCCATGGTGAACCCTCAGCTGAGAAAAGGCCAGTATTTCCCAACCCATACATAGCCATGGACAGCTGTCTTTATAATTTCAGGAAAAGGTCATGGCAGTGATAAGGGATTTTGGATTTGCCTGGAAAAGGAATGCTCTTTGAGTAAACTTTCAGTGCAAACAAGAGAAGTGCTTTTCAGCTAGTTCCCACAATTGACTAATAAATCTAATTCTATAACACAAGTGTGACTTTTATATTATACCTAAACATGGTAAAATTTGGGTGCAAAACTATTTTCCCCTCTAGTGTTCTAGGGTAAGTATAAATGTAAACAGACACCAAATTTAGTCAATATGAATGTTCTTGGGCAAACATGGTTGGTTGAAAACATAGCTTAATTTCAATATTGCTCTTAATTTTCCTCCTATAATCTTCATTAAGTTTTAGGATAGTCTGTCCAATTTTTTGGTGATTCATCATTATACCTTCCTTTATAATAGAGTAGACTTGTATTTCCTGTAATCAGGACTTGCTTTGCCTAGATTGTGCCACCTAATTATACTGTGTGTTTTTTTTTCTCCCTTATATTCAAAATGGTGTGATGGAGCAAGAAGAGGCCAGGACAGGAACACTACTGTGTCTTGTTCATATGTCTGATAGAGTCTGACATAGTTGGGGGATGAAGGTCCTTGGATTTTGGAGGCAATGTAGTATAATTTGGGTGATCATATTATTTATTGTTTATATTGGGACAGTTTTGAAAATGAAAGGGGGCACTAATCAGGATAATGATATGATTTGGCTGTGTCCCCACCCAAATTTCATCTTGAATTGTAACTCTCGCAACTCCCATGTCGTGGGAGGGACCCAGTGGGAGGTACTTGAATCATGGGGGTGAGTCTTTCTCATACTGTTCTTGCAATAGTGAATAAGTCTCACGAGACCTGATAGTTTTAAAGAGAGGAGTTCTCCTGCACAAGCTCTCTTTCTCTCTTTGCCTGTCACCATCCATGTAAGATGTGACTTGCTCCTCCTTTCCTTCTGCCATTACTGTGAGGCCTCCCCAGCCATGTGGAACTGTAAGTCCATTAAACCTCTTTTTCTTCCCAGTGTTGGGTATGTCTTTATCAGCAGTGTGAAAATGGACTAATACAGATACCATGAAAATGATTTAAATCTGGTCACAAGCAAACCAGAATTTATGGTCATCTTAGTATGGTAGAAATAGTCTGGACTTATATCCAAATTTTACTACCATTTCCCTGCTTTTGACTTGTGACATAACCTCTCTGTGAACTTCATTTACTTACTTTTTTTTTTTTTTTTGAGATAGGGTCTCGCTCTGTCACCCAGGCTGAAGTGCAGTGGTATGATCATAGTTTACTGCAACTTTGAACTCCTGGGCTCAAGCAATCCTCCTGCCTCGACCTCTCAACGTGCTAGATTATAGAAGTAAGCCATTGTGCCTGGCCTGACCTTTATTTTCTACATCTGTAAAACAAGGATATAATTCTCACATGGAGGAGGGGAGAAAGTGCCTCATATGTTCTTTGTAGATATTATTATCAGTATGATGTCTGCCAATATACCCCAAAATTATTCCATATAGACAGTATATCTTGTATGGCTTAGGTTAAATTACAATCAAGGTGCAGTCAGTTGCACTAATCATAAATTCATATTCTAAGATGGCAGGTAGTGGTCTCATCAGGCAGACCCCTATAGAGGTGGGTACTACATCTGTCACTCTTATCTCTTTAATAGCAAAAATCATTCTATAACATATGTCAAAAGTGAATTTTCATTGTCAAAATTAGTGGTTTGTCAGTCATCACAACAGATATGACAAACAGACTCTCATATAATTAGTGATTTCCAAGATACAAGGACTGGCTAAAATATTTTAGAGACACTCTCATTCTTGCATGAACAAGTTACAAAAAGCCAGATGATTAGGGATGGTGTGTGAGTTGAAGGGCTTCCGGTTGCCAGATGCTTATTGTAAGGGTGATGGAATTCTAGCTCTGGAATATTATTCATCTGCTTCCAGTGAATCTTTCATGCAAGGTCATGATTGCAGAACCTAAAAAGACAGAGAACTGGGACCTCATCAAACTCACAGAACAGGTGTATCACCTTGTTTCTGTTTGCTAACACATATTTGTTTAATAAATGTCTGTATGTGTGACAGAAATCAGCCTGATACTTGATTTAATTTTTAACTTGGTTTAATTGTTATGAAATTGTTGGGAAATAATTTTCACCCCAACTCCTATAATTTGACTACTACGTCTGTCTATCTACTAAAAACAAGCCAGTAGTTTTGCATGATTAAACTGTAATAGTTATTTTACTCTTTTAAACCACTAATCTGATTCTACATCTGGAACCTCTGCTCACTTCTCTTGGCCATATGAACTGAGAAAAACAAAACCAAACCTGAATCTTAGAGAAACAGACTTCCATAAAATGGTAACTAGCAGATCTAAATGTAGAACCCAAGTCAGCTGATTCAAAGTTCAATGTTCAGGAATAGGCACAAAGCAAATGTGTGTGTGTTTATGTGTGTGTGTGCACGCACACGCATATGCATGCAGAATGAATTGGAGTAGGAAGGAAGAGGAAGTGATGTGAAGTGATGCAGAGAAAAACCAGGAGAAAACATTAAACATTAGAGTGGGGGCCTTGGGAACCCAGAGATTGCGCTAAAATTGGGTGCAAGTCTCCCAAAAAGGGCTAGGAAGGCTCTGAAGATTATATTTGCTTAAGAGCTACTTCTGTAAATAATAATGTCTATTAATCTCTAGCAATGGATGAAAAATAGTACATTTTGTGCACAATGAAACTATACTTGCCTCATCATCTAGTGCCAAGAAAAATATGGTGATCTTCAAGAAAGCCGTGTATCTAACACCACTCTCTCAAAGTTTTAAGTATAATCATGTATTTGAAGGTTGTATACTGATTTTAAAGTATCACAAAGAGATTGATCTGCAAATAAACCAAGAACTCTTTATTCTACTTCTCATCCATCACAAACCTTTACTACCCCCACTTATTACCTAAAAGCCCTACCTGTAAAAAATCAAGCAAAAAACAATCCCAACCAAAAAAACTCCAAACTTATCAATACATTTGGAGAAGAAACAGAAATAAGCACTGTTTTCATAGAACTTTAAGCTGGAGGCCAGGAAATATTTAATTTCAAATATTTAAGGACTGTCAGCATTTACCTCTGAGGTTAAGAAATGCTGGGGATTGACAAATTTGGACCACTCTGAGGATTACAAGAACAGGAAGAAAGGGTGAAAAGACAGTACTACAAGTATGTGTATACAAATACATACATGTGCAATATATGTATATTGTATATGTGTATATATTTATATATACTCATATACAAAACATATATGTATATGTATGCAAAGGGAGCTCCTAGGAAGAACACAGGGTTTGGATAACAATTCTAGGAAGAATGTCGGATTTGGATAATGAGAAATGATAGGATCATTACAGAAATAACTTATTTTTAATTCTTAAGTGTCCTAATGTTGGGGATTACTCTACCTAATGCTTTTTGACAAGATCAACTGGGCACCTTTCACTTTGATCCTTAATTTCATAATTAGATAACCAGTAAAACTATCTTTCTAAATCCCTTGGAGGTTGGAGGTAAGATGAGCTTTTACAAAAACAAAGTAAAACTGAAGAAAGTCACACAAACAAAAAAGCTGCAAAGATTTTCTGACAACTTTATTCCAGAACGTTTATAACTTCAAATGTCTTACAAATGAAGCCATTATTAATTTTAAGAGGACAGAAAAGTACCTTGTGTTTTTGTGCGTATTTACTCTAATACAGGGATGAGGCGCTATAGCTCATACAAACTGTGCCTGAATTCAACAGTCTCTGGAGTTGCTGGCCTAAAGAGGGCTACATTTTTGGATGGGGAGCCTGCAATGGCAGCACGAAGTAAGCAAGCAAAGGAAGTAGACAAGATTCAGGGCTGGGGCCAGGCATGGTGGCTCATACCTGTAATCCTAGCACTTTGGGAGGCGGAAGTGGGAGGATCGCTTGAGTCCAGGATCTCAAGACCAACCTGGGCAACATGGTGAGACCCTGTCTCTCTTTCTCTCTGTTTTTAAAAAAATAATAATTAAAAAAGAAAAAAAGATTCAGGGCTGAAAATAAAACCAGAGCCATGGGTGCTGTTGGAGCAGCTGCACTCACCCTTGAATCCTACTCTCAACAATGGCGATGTTTTCTCTTTACCTCATAATCATGATATGGATACCTACTATTTATTGAGTTCCTTCAAACTGTACTAAATATTTTACACACACCATCTCATTATCTTCACAACATCCCTAAAAGGAAGGCATAACAATTAAACCATTTAATCTTTCTAAAAATGCTGTGAGGTAGGTATTATTCTTATTCTCATTTTACAAATGAGGAAACAAAAGCACAGAGATTTAGTCATTTGCTTAAGGAAGCCCAGCCAATAATCAGCAGAGCTGTCTCAGAGCCATTGTTCTTGGCCTGAATGGTACCTGTGCAACTGTTGTTGAATGGTGCTCACCTAAATCCTGTGGCCACACTGTACCAATAAGTGGGAACTATGCTGATGGTGAAATGGGGATTTAAGAGAGGGAACAAACACAAAATGTACTCCCTCGAAGAGCCATGTGACTTGGTTTTGCTTCTGATACTTGAAGTAAATGGAAAATGGCCACTAAATAAGTGACCCAACCAAATAATCATGACACATGAGCAAACTTTCTTGCCTGAGAGAGTTGGAGCTAGTGCCAGTGAGAGAAATGGGATAATAATCTGAAGGTGAAGTGATTTTGAAGATCTCAAATCAAGATGGAGAGGTGGAAAAAGCCCTGGGGACATCTTTTGGGGAGGTGAATCATCTGAATCTCTCATTCTCTTTCTTAGAATTTGAAAAAATCAGTCCGACAGCCACGCAGGAAGTCAGTTGACGACATTCACCGAGTATCTTTGTCATGAGGTGCTCTTTCTAAGGCCTCAAAGTCACTAATTGTGAATGCAGAATAATTACTGTCTTTATTTAATGTTTGCAAGATTGGGTTCTCTAGAAGAAAACTGTTGTCAATTCTGCATGCTATCAAAGAATAGGAAAAGCAATTTGAAGAATGACAAAATCACCACTCCCAAATTCCATACTAGTTTCAGGAGTAATTAGAACTGTAGTACTAAAGAATTCAAATCATTTAGGGGCAACTGCTGTTCTATGACCAGTTTTGCACAGCTGGTCCCAGCTTCCTAGGACTATTTCTGAGCCATAATATTAAAATGGAGCCCCTCCCTGTGTTTTTGAATCCATATGGTTCTACCCAGGGCTCCTATCCCTCCCTAACTTCTGACACATCCAAGCAGGAAAGTGAGCATGCATATTTACATAAGCTACAAGGCTGTGCAAACAGATTGTTAACTGGTTAAAGGGCATTTTAGAAATGGCTGTTATTTCTTACCATTTTTAATGGGTTTTATACATAAAAAATCTTTATATCTTTAAAAGTTCTATCCTTATTCTTCTGATGTGCTTTCCACCAGTCTTTTTCCCTCTGTACAACACTAGACTCTCTCAATTAACTCGTACATCCTTTTTATCACTAAGTGTATAGGTTTTAAAATAACGTAAGTGAATTTTTCCTAGTGTTCATAAAGTGCCAATTAGCTGAGAATTTCCATTATTTTCATTACGGGGTTAAATACGTTTTGTTCTGTTTTGTTTTGTTTTTGTTTTTGTTTTTTTTTTGAGACAGGGTTTTGCTCTTGTCACCCAGACTAGAGTGCAATGACATGATCTTGGCTCACTGCAACCTCCGCCTCCTGGGTTCAAGCGATTCTCCTGCCTCAGCCTCCCAAGTAGCTGGGATTACAGAAGCCTGCCACCACACCCGGCTAATTTTTGTATTTTTAGTACAGACAGGGTTTCATGATGTTGGCCAGGCTAGTTTCGAACTCCTGACTTCAGGTGATCCGCCCACCTCGGCCTCCCAAAGTGCTGGGATTACAGGTGTGAGCCACTGCACCCAGCAAAAAAAAAAAGTGTTCTTTTTTGAAATGCATTTTGCGAATATATTTTTCTTTTATTTCCATGGGCTCCACCTTTGATAAGTTTTAGAGCTTTTAGGTCACACTAGATTTTCTACTTAAGGTTGCTGAGATCAGTGAAAAATAGACTCAATCATTGGCTAGAAATTGAGTTTCAACAAGGGAAAAAAAGATACTTATTATTTAGCAGTTCGAAAAAGAATTATGTTCTGGCTTCCCATTATAATCTTTAAATATGCAGCGTTAACTTGAAAACAAACAAATATGCTAGAAAATGTTAAACATTAAAAGCCAGTACTTCTTCTTTAGTATGTTCTTAATGATAGTTCATAGTCAATTTTGACTTCTTATAAAGGGTTGGAACATCAGGAAGGTAAAGAAAACTGTGTTATTGTTAATAATCCACTTCAAATTATTGACTTGACTATATTTCCATATAACTGAATGTCACTGTTTTTCTATTTTATTTGTTCTTAGTTTTCAAATACCATATGATTGGTGTTGACCTTTAGTTTGTAATGTTCTCTATGCAAGAGCCAAGACCAACTCACATGTATTGATTTAGCTAACTTCATTACCAAGGCTGCCAAAGAGGATCCAGGATGAAACCAATGTTGGATTGCAGATCTGTCCAAAGAAAGGATAATATTAAATATTGTACAGAAGTGACCTCATGTGTTTTCATAGCATCTATGTAAGTAGATAAAAGGACTATATTATTCCCACTTTTTAGATAAGGAAACTGAAGGAATACAAAAACAAGTATATTCAACATTTACTGAGCATCTACAGCAGGAGAGGCACAGTGCTAGGTGTTTCAGAATATCCTTATGCTATAATTTGAGTGTGTCCCTCAGAATATCTGTGTTGGAAATGTGGTCCCTGGTATGGTGATCTGGGGAGATGGGGCCTTTAAGAGGTGATTAAGAGGGATTAATGCTGCTCTCTCCGGTCTGGGTTACTTCTTGCTAGAGTGGGTTCTTATTCTCTCAGGACTGGATTAGTCACCGCCAGAATGGGTTGTTATGCAGAGAGGCTGCCCCTCGTGTTTCACCTCTTTCACACGTGCCTGCTTTTCCACCATGTCATGATGCAGCACGAGGCACTCGTCAGAAGCCAACCAGATGCCGGTGCCGGGTTTTTGGATTTCCCAGTCCAGAATCGTAAGAAATAAATTACTTTTCTTTATAAATTACCCACTTTCAGGTATTCCATTATAGCAACAGAGAACGGACTAAGACAACCTACAAATAAGCTAAAGTCAATACTTTTCATGTGGTTAAAATGTAGTGGGTATGCAGACTATGAAAAACACAATAACAAAGACACAGAATACCATGGAGGCACAGAGAGAGGATAACTTCTGCTAACTAGAAGGTTCTGGAAGGGTTTTGTGGAAATGGAATCTGAGCCCAGCCTTAACAGGTGTTGAGTGTTGTACAAAGATGATGGGGTAGCATAGGAGATGGTGTGAGCAAAGGCATGGAAAGGATACAGAATAGGAATTATTTAGTTATCACATAGGATTTGAGGGCAGGGCAGACTAGAAGGAAGAAAGAAGGTATTCAGAGGGTTTGCAGATGTTCTTGAATACCAATTCTGACAGCCATGTATAGAGGAGAGTAGGGCAGCAGGGAGATAATCGGTAACTTCAACATTAATGCTGCCAAAGAGGACTAGGATGGAACCAATGTAGGATTGGAGATCCATGCAAAAAAATAAAGGATATTAAATATTGTACAGAAATGACTTCATGTGTTTTCACAGCATCCACGTTAGTAGATAAAAGCAAGGATCCCCAAGCCTGGGGCAGTGGACTGGTACCAGTCAGTTGCCTCTCAGGAGCAGCAGGCGAGCAAGCATTACCACCTGAGCTCCACCTCCTGTCAGATCAACTGCGTCAGAGTCTCATAGGAGCATGAACCCTATTGTGCACTGCACATGCGAGGGATCTAGGTTGCACGCTCCTTATGAGAATCTAATACCTGAAGATCTGAGATGGAACGGTGTCTCCCCCACCCTGTGGAAAAATTGCCTTCCACAAAAGTGGTCCCTGGTGCCAAAAAAGTTGGGGACTACTGGATAAAAGGACCATATTATTCCCACTTTATAGATAAGAAAACTGCAGGAATAAGGAAGCAAGTATATTTAACATTTATTGAGACACTGCAATAGTTTAGGAGAGAGGTAATGGAAGCTTGAATGGAGCAAAAGTGGGAATAGAAAGAAAGGTAATAATCTGAAAGATAGAAGAGGTAAAATCTATATAATTTGGTAATTAATTGCACGTGGACCCCGAAGGCTAAAGATGAGTTGACAATGATTCCGATGCATTAATTTGAATCAGAAAACATCTTACGTTTGAGCTACCCTTGGGCTAGACATTAGGACATTTCTATTAGGGAGGTGGAAATGTGGGTCTAATGATCAGGACAGATATTGATTTAGAAATCAACCACAGAGATATGTTGGCTGAATCCTTATGAGAAGAAATCACCAAGGAATAATTAGAGTACAGAGAGAAAAAGGACAAAAAGAAAACCTTAAGGGAACACCTGTATTTTAATATAAAGTAGCGAGAGAATGAAGGAAAACGGGTCAGCCAGAGAAGAGGTAAGAGGTTAAGAGGTAAGAGGTAAGGTGATAAAAGTCAAGGAAGAAACGTTTCCAGAAAGACCGCCGAATACTGCTTAAAGGACACGTAAGTAATTTACTGTGGTCACAGAGATCACATCGAAGCTCCTAAACTCCGCACCTATTGAATGACCACACTAGAAAAACAATGTGGTTTTTCAAGAGGAACCGATGTGTCATTTTACCAATAGTTAACCTGGGACTCGGTCATCAAAATTCATTGCAAGTTCCAATCTCCTTCATTAAACCTTCTTTGCAGCCCACACAGCTCTCCTTACATTGAGCTTTTGAGGTAACTATTATTAATCATGTACGAGGACCCACGTGCTCCTTCATCCTTGTAGTACTGCGCGGTGGTTAAATGCAAGGGCTTCCGAATCAGAGGCTGGATGGATTCTAATACAGCAGTGTGACGAGCTCTTGTTAACCAACTTTTCTAAGCCTCTGTTTTCTCGTCTGCAAAAGGGGGATGGTGGTACTTACTCTATCAGAGTTGAGAAGAGTGCATGAGATGATTGCGAGTAAAAACCTTAGCGCAATGCCTTCAAAGGCTCAATTCATTTTGCTGTTACTGTGTTTTGGAATTTCCCTGAGGGTAGACGACTACTCCAACACTATTCCCTAACGCAGCAGCACTGACATGGGGACAGTGCGCCTCATTCAGCCAGCTCTCTGGGAAACAACTTTCTGAGGAAGAGAGATAAACAGCTGACGGGTTTCCCGGGACTCCGCAGCCCACCGAGACAGGGTTGACTGTAGGGCGCCGAGGAAAGGGGGAGGTGGGATCCCAGCAACCACTGGCGACCTCGGAGGACCGCAAGTCCCAGGGTGCAGCGCGCCTACCCCGGGTAGAAGCGAGAGACACGGCTCCGAGTCGGCTCGCGGGAGAGCCGGGGAAGAAGCAGTGCACACTGGGACTGGTAGTCCTCAGGGGGCAACTCCGCGGGTCGGAGGCGGGTCGAAGCGAGAGATCCCTTCCCAGTCCCGCCTTTTGTCCACGTCTCACTTCTCCTGGCCAATGCCCTCTCCAGTCGCCGGAGACAGCCCCTCTCCCATGAGGTCTCCATTGGTCCTGAGGCTCTACGGCTTCGGCCCTACCCGGAAGTAACGTTGGGGAGGCGGTTTCCTAGACTACGACACCGGAAAGCTGGGGGAGGCGCTCCGGGATACTGAGGGCGGAGGGCGGTGGCAGCGCTGGCGCTGGGGACCGGCTTGGTGGCTTCGGGAAACAGTTTGGCGCCGGCGGCCGTCCGTGTTACTCCGCATCCCGCCCCGTCTCGGCACGGCTAGCAGCCCCCTGGCCACCAGCGTCCAGCAATGTGTCTCACCGGCCGGGCGTAGCAGCTGCGCGTGCGCGGAACCGCGGGGCCATGAGCGAAGCCGGCGGCCGGGGCTGTGGGTCCCCGGTTCCCCAGCGAGCGCGATGGAGACTAGTGGCGGCGACGGCCGCGTTCTGCCTGGTGTCGGCCACCTCCGTGTGGACGGCGGGGGCCGAGCCCATGAGTAGGGAGGAGAAACAGAAGCTTGGGTAAGGGTGCTGGCAGCCTGGGGTGGGTTTCTCGGTGAGGCTGACAACAGGAGGGGTGCCTGTCATTGCGACCCGGTCGCGTAGTGGCCTCTCCTGTCGCGATTGGAACGGCTCTTCCCGCGCGAGAACCCTAGAGGGGTGGACAGGGTCCGGGGAGGTGGGAACCGCCGCCCGCGACCTGACCTCGGGGGAGCTGACGGGGTGTCGCCCTGGCCGCCGGTGACATGTGCAGGCTCCTTGAAGCCAGGCGCGGTGTGTCAACGCGGCTGCCATGTCAGTGGCCCAAGAAGGGGGCTACAGCCCGCATCGCTGCGCGCTGGAGTTCTGCGGTTGGCTGCCTGTCGACCGAAGCATGGTTAGCTTTCTCGCGCAAGTGAGCTTCCAACTGGGAAAATGTTGCTGATCTCACAGTAGTTAAGGAAATGATGTTTACACCTGTTACGGAAAAGGGGGCGTTCATTGGAACTTGAACTTTACACATTTTACTATTTCCTTGCAGTGTTTTCTTGCACTGTATTTTCATAATAGAATGTTTGGGGGGAAATTATTCAAAAGTCTCAAGTATACCTATTCAGTAGTTTTTATCCGTCTTGGAAGTGTGTTAAAATTATCAATTCTATTTACACCATTTAATTCAGAGTAATACATACACGAGGTCCTACACATGAATAAGAAAAAAGCGAAGAACCAGTAGGAAATGGGAGAAAGGCATGAACGGTTAAGCCAGAAGAGGAAATGGAAGTGGTAAATAAACATGAAAAGTTACTCAACCTCCATAAACGTAGGAGATGCAGATTAAAACGAGGAGCTAGCTGGTTTTTGCCCATCAGATTAGTAAATATAATACAAAACACAAGGATACGGTTCTGGTTAGTTAAGGAATAGAAAAAAAAGGCTTAGTGAGAGTGTAAATTGCTGTAACTTATTGGTAGTATCTACTAAAATTTAAATTGTGCACACTTTGATTCATCAGTTCTATTTCTGAGAATCTACCCTAAGAAAATAAAAGCACTCTTAATGCAGAGATAGATCCAGCCTGGGCAACAAGAGCGAAACTCTGTCTCGAAAAAAAAAAAAAAAAGTGCATTTTGAAAGAACAGCTCTTCCTTGGAGGAAATGGTTCAATAGGGTACGTTCATATTATGGAATAATATTGAGACATTAAGAAGAAGGAAGTACGTCACTGGAAGCCTATCCAGAATATATTTCCAAAACAAAAAAAAATGCAAGTTGTAGAATAATATGTATAGTATCATCCCATGTTTTTTTTAAAAAAGAAAAAAAAAATCTGAGCTCAGAAAAAAAGTGGAACGAAGATTATCTCATGGGGTTAGGCTGGAGGGGTGGTGGAACCATCAGGTCTTACTTTATGTACTTTAAATCATTGCAAAGAGTCTTGTATTCGTTTCTAAATAGCAATAAAGGTCACTTGATGGAAAAAAGCTGAAGTATCAACCATCAAAATAAAATTACCGGTAAACTCTAATAAATATCTTACATTTTCTCTCATATGAATTTAATGTATCATTGATAAGTTTTACCAAATATCTCACTCTGTGAATACTTTACATATGTTATCTCTGTACTCCTTCCTATTTCCCAATGAATATGATCCACATTTGCAAATGAGGAAGTTGAGACCCAAGGTTGACTTGTTCAGCCACAAAGCTAGTAATTGGTAGAGCCAGCATTCAAACCCAAGCCTGTCTGATCCCAGAGCCAGGCTCTCTCCAGTATGTTGCACGTTCATTAGACTTGGAAGAGAAGTATCAAGTCTGTTAAGAACCACAAGAATCTTATTTGACTATCACTACCCTTTCTTCATTTTTTATTAAAAACTTATTTGTAAAAGAGTCATTGGATAAATCATTTTTGACCAAAATTAGTTTTTAACTGGAAAAGTTCAACCAAATTGGCTTGAAATTTCAGCTCAAATTTTGAGATCATTTATGAAAGTGAAATTACAATTATTTAGGCTTGTTAGATTGCTCTACCCTTGAGTAAGGGTAGGGTAAGAATCTAGAGCTATAAACGACAAATACACAATTATATGACTGCTTTCTCTGGGAATTTTCAGAAAACTGAACTTTGATTCATTAGGTTTACCTGTGCATTTTTTAAAGCCCAAATAATGATTCATGATAAAAAGCAGAAAATGCCCCACCCCTTTCCCTCCCCACCAACAAACCAAATAGTTGATAAAGACTGGAATTGTCATGAATAGTAAGCAATTGCTCAATAACTTACACTTTGTGGAATTACTTAGCTGGTTATATGTAGTCTTATCCTTCATGGAATAAGCTTTTTGGTTTTGTTTTTAAAATTTTGCAACAGGGTATTTTGTTAATGTTATGTTTTCATTAAAAAATGAAGTAGAAAACAATCCAGTTTCTATAGCACGTGGGCAGGAGACGTAACTTTAGAAAAAGCCGACTTGGCCTGGCATGGTGGCTCATGCCTGTAATCCCAGCACTTTGGGAGGCTGAGGCGGGCGAATCACCTGAGGTCGGGAGTTCGAGACCAGCCTGACCAACATGGAGAAACCCCTTCTCTACTAAAAACACAAAATTAGCCAGGTGTGGTGGCGCATGCCCTTAATCCCAGCTACTCGGGAGGCTGAGGCAGGAAGAATCGCTTGAACCTGGAGGCGAAGGTTGCAGCGAGCAGAGATCGTGCCATTGCACTCCAGCCCGGGCAACAAGAGCAAAACTCTGTCTCAAAAAAAGAGAAAAAGCCGACTTACAGAAATTACTGAAGAGTGGTGTAATTTTTGAACTGGGTCTGATTTCCAATACATTTTAATCCAGTTTTTGAATAGATAAAACATTATGGAAATTTTTTTTTCTGTTCAGTATAGTAATTATTATACCATTCTGTATTTAAATGTGACTTTGTTAGGCTTCTATGTGTAAGAGCAATGATATTAAATAGCTCCACTTTGAAATATGTGTTCTAAAATTTGCTCATCATATGCTGCATAAATGTAAGGATTGGAAAATAGTGTATTCTCCTTGTATGCAATCATGATTTACTTACAGTCTTGAAAATTGAATGCTTGTAAAGTTGAGTTAGCAAGTTAAAGCTTATGTCATTTGTAATATACATGTCTAGGCACTACCATTGCCAATTATAGGAATTTCTACTTCTTGGTAATAATCTCGTATTCCATTTCAGGGAAGGAAAAAAAAGAGGACTTCCATCTTCCATTCATTGATATGAGTTCCTGAAAGGGACATTTTAAACTTTTTTTTTTCTGCTTAGGACAGGATAAGAGTCTAGAGCTGTAAACCACAAATATAAAAATTATATATATATAAACATATATATATATGTAAACTTACAAAGAATTAGTGCTTTAGCAAAGTGGTGGTAAGGTCTTTTTTTAAATAATGAAATGTTTTTAAGTGGTTATTATTCATATGTTGTCAGGACTTAATTCGTTCACAAGTTTGAGTGTACTTGATTTTGTTGGTGTTCATAGTCAGGATCTGGAACTGAGGTCTTTTCTGTTTGCTAGCTCTATTATTACCAGTATTTCATAATCTGTGATTATAGTTTTAAAAATGACAATTGCAGTATAACAGGAGGCAAATAAAAATATAGTCAGCAATTTCTTTAACACTTTTTTCAATTCTTGCCATCAGTGATTGGAACTTTGGTAAAAGAAAAGTTAATAGGCCGGGCGTGGTAACTCACACCTGTAATCCCAGCACTTTGGGAGGCTGAGGCGGGTGGATCACATGAGGTCAGGAGTTCGAGACCAGCCTGGCCAACGTGGTAAAACCCTGTCTCTACTGAAAATGCAAAAATTAGCCAGGCATGGTGGCAGACGCCTGTAATCCCAGCTACTCGGGAGGCTGAGGCAGGAGAATCGCTTGAACCTGGGAGGTGAAGGTTGCAGTGAGCTGAGATCGTGCCACTGCACTCTAGCCTAGGTGTGACAGAGTGAGACCCTGTCTCAAAAAAAAAAGAAAAAGTTAATAAAAAATTGTTAAGCTGTGTTTTCCTTTGCTAATTATTTGGCCTTGTCTGGTCATACAATTAACTTGTACTTTTTCCTGTAGTCCTCAAGTCCCTGAACTTGAGAGTGCTTAATTGAAAGGCTGCTTCCTCAGTCGCAACCTTACAGGTTTTGATTTAGTAAAATTCTGGTGTAGTGATCAGACATCTCCATTTTAAACAGTGGTTACGGAGATTTTGTGAAACAGAATTCGCCAAAACACACAACTCTCTTTTTGAGCATTAGTTTTCTCATTTTGGAAGTGAATACTATTTATTTGATTTTTGACAGTTTTTTTAGAGTAGAGCACATCATAAAAAGTATCTTTTGAAAATATGACAAACATTAATAAATATGTACTTAAACTAGGCATTAGTGGTTTATTCAATGTAAGTGCAAAGGCAGAGGCTTCATAAAGCGTTGTTATTTCATGTCACTACACACCTGTGTACCTCTCTCTTAGTAGAACATATAGGGGAAGCAATAAATGGCAATAATAATGGTTTTTTTAAAGGGCTGTCCAGCAAAACCCCCGCTTCAAGACAGATACGTTAAATAATTGTGTTAAGAGGTCATTGTTTTTCTGCATCAGATTTCCTTCTCTGATGATGGCATCTATCATTCATCAGTTTTCTTAGGAAAAATTATAAGATGAATTGTACATAAATTACTAGTAATCATTAAAGTTTGGCTCAGCTCTGTGTGGTGAGTTCATGAAAGCTTGTCTGCTAGCTGTTGTAGTTTCTGATTCTGTTTATGTCCCTTTCTACCTAAATTTTTCTTTTGTTTTTATTGGTATATTTTTTATGAGGAAGAATTAACTTTTTGAAAGATAATAAATAGAATATACTTACCTTTTTTTTTTTTTTTTTCCATTTCTGCTCTTTTAAAATTAGGAATCAAGTACTGGAAATGTTTGATCATGCTTATGGTAACTATATGGTAAGTAGGAAGCTTATCTTTACCTACCATTTATGTGAGTTGATTATTATGTGAGCACAGTCAACTGGGAATTTTGAAACCTACAATACAATTACATTTTTTAAAAGGAAGTTTTTAAAAAACAGGGCAAAAATAGTCTTTCTGGTAGTGGTTTTTAGGGAACCAGTTTATTGAACAGATAAGAATAAATTGAAATTAGATTATGAAACTTCATTATTTAAACAGCTTCCTTGGGTGCCATCAACAATTATCATTGAGTGCTTTATATAGCTAGATATTGTGGATATATACATGAAGATGTTATCTCTGGTCTTAAGGGAGATTATTCTCTTAATTTAAAAAAATGTTTACAATATTTATACACTGAAGAAAACCATTGCTTAAAAGAGAAATTGTTACTTAGCCTCTGTCCTAATTGTATCCTCATGGACTCTGCACTGAATATATTTTGCTTTTTAGTTTGCTGATTCATATTATTTAAAAATGTTTTAGGGCTCACTTAAGATTAAATAGCAGTTTCAGTTTTACAAGATGAAAAGTTCTGGAGATCTGTTGTGCAACAACGTAGATGAAATAGCAAATTCTGGAATTCAAAAAAAATTTTGCACATAAATTGTAATTTGAAAAGAGTTTAAGCATATTATCCTGAAACTTATCCCTTATAACCTTGTTTTTACATTTTAAAATATGTCAGCAGATTTTCTTCTATGATTACAACGTATAAAATGTAGTTGGGAAAGTTTGGCAGAGGACTAGCTTTAGTTCTGCTTAAAATATTTTTCAACTGATTCTGTGAATCCATTTTTTATCATATATTAACCAAATATCTTCATACACTAACATCATTGTTATCTATGAACATCTAAATATATGTAATTTATGCATTTTTAGTTTTAAAACATGTTTTATATTTGACAGTCCTCGTTCTCTTTTATATTGTAAATTTGGAGAGAGCACATTTTGAGTTCTTAATGTTTTTAGGATATGATTTTTTTTGGATACATTTCAACATTAAAAACACAGTTTCAAATTTATTTCTCAAGACCTCAGTCATTCCCTTAATGTTTTTTTTGTTTTTTGTTTTTTGTTTTTTTTTTTGAGACGGAGTTGTGCTCTGTCGCCCAGGCTGTGGAGTATAGCGGCACTATCTCAGCTCACTGCAGCCACCACCTCCCAGGTTCAAGTGATTCTCCTGCCTCAGCCTCCTGAGTAGCTGGGATTACAGGTGTGTGCCACCATGCCTGGCTAATTTTTGTATTTTTGGTAGAGATGGGGTTTCACCATGTTGGCCAGGCTGGTCTCGAACTTCTGACTTCAAGTGATCTGCCCACCTCTGCCTCCCAAAGTGTTGGGATTACAGGTGTGAGCCATTACACCCGTTCTGTTTTTTAATTAATTTTTTTTTGTCACCCACATGTCAACCCTTATTTCTTTCAAAATCATTTATCCCTGGTTAATTCAGTTTGGGCAAAGCATAATTTAACAAATCTAGGCTAATGATTTTGAGATGGCCAAGTGGTTCCATCCTATACCCTCAGACCTTAGCCATCTCATAAATGCGTACTGATGAATGCAGTTCCAAAGTTAAATAAAATAGCATATAGCTGGATAAGTTCAGTTTCTCACAATGAATAGGATCATCTCTTTATAAAGCATGGTATCTTTAATATCTTGTTCTTTTTAGGTAGAACAGTTATATCAATGGCAGAAAGTTATATCAATACATTTTTTCTAACTATAGAATACACTTAGTAGGTTTGTGACAGTGCAGGTACTGAGGGCAGCTTTCAGAGGACTTTCTGGCCTGTGCCTATTGGGACCTAACTGAGTAACTTTCTGCTACAATTAACTACTTAATAAGATTTAAGAGAGAAGGATTTCAGCTTCAAAGACTGGGAACTCTTGAAAGTAACATTGTCTTATATATTTCCAGTGGGACCATACGTGTCCACTGTAATATGTATTTTAAAATGTTCAACTATTTTACAATGTGAGTGACTCTTGCTGTGTACTTCTTCTATATTCAATCTGTGTGAGGTCTGTAACCCAAGATTTAGTCTAGAATTTACACTTCCTCTTTTCAAGTTCTCAACTAACATGACACAGTTCTAAAATATTAACGAGAATACAGTTGCCTTGTATTTGTTATTTGAAGTCAGTTGGAAATTTTTTTCCGGTCCCTACACTCAGAAACACTTTTAGCTTTCTGTAGGGTAAAAGTGTATAGGTTTTGGAGTTAGAAGGGCTTGAGTTCAAATCCTGTCTCAGCTATTTACAGGTTGGACCCTAAACAGGTTATTTAACCCATCTGAGCAGTGTCTTTCTATGTAAAATGAGAATAATTGCAAAGAGTTATTGTAGACTATAGATTTTTTTTTAAAGAACAGGAACCAATTTCTTTAATTTTTAATACATTCACCTTTTTTATATGTCTTGTGCCTGGTACATAAATGCTTAGCAAATTTTTTTGAAAGAACTGAATTGAATTCTTGTGAAGATGAAGTAAAATAATGTTTTTTTTTTTTTGCATTTGATCATTGTGATATATCTTTGTGTTTAAATGCAAAGAAATAATAAACTTAATTAAAAATACAAGTTTAAGGTGAATTTCAGGGCCTGTAAGTCATTTACTTTTTTGTAGTCAGTTGCCTACTATCCTAAAATATAAAATGCCTGGTACATGGCAGGCTTTTAATAAATGTTGAAAGTTTTTCCTCATTTCTCACTAGTTCTTTCTAATACTACTCTCCAGTCTGGTCTACAGTAGAACAATTCCTTTAACCTTCTTGCTTCCCAGGAAAGCAGTGGTGTTTTCCAAAGACAAGCAATATAGTATTATTAAGAGCAAGAACTCTGGACTTGGAGCAGGACACCCTGAGATGGCTCTGCCACCTCTCATCTGGGTTACAATGGGAAAGTTACCTAGTCTTCCTGAGCCTGTTTCTTCATCTCTGCAAAATGAAGACAATGGTTTGCCAGCCTCACAATGTTGTTAGAAGGATTAAGCAAGTTAATATAATGAAAGTGCTTAGAACTAATATCTGGCAAATAGGAAGCATGATGTAAGAATTTACTGCTGCTACTGATAACGACTACTACTATCATTATTATTTATTTCCTGCCTAAATTGAAATTGCCCTCCTAAAATCCACTTAGCCTGTAACTCAGAACTTGTTCTCCAGATAGTACATAGAACTTGCTTAAAGCGCATACATTCTTTCCTGTTCTTGGCATGTGCCCTTTGAACTTACTTTCTATTAATGTAATAGAAGGTTCTATTAATGCTATTTCTTAATAGAAATGTCCTGCCAGCTTTAGGTAGATTACTACAACTCTGCCATCTCTGGACTTAAATCTAGGGATTTTTGGGTTTTTAACACTTATTGGCATGACTATTAATAACGACTATGTTTGACAAATGTCTAGCCCCAGTCAGTCTGCAGTTTACCCACAGTGAATTGCACAGATGGCTTTCTCGTTTACCAAATGACATGAATTTGATGTTTATCTTAGCAGTTCTTGTGTGACCTTATTTAACCCCAGGCCACAGTCACTTTAGGGCTTCTGTTAGCATGTTTTGAGTATTTGTGTTCAGTTTAGTTTGCAGATTAATTTAGATGACAAAATGACATGTATTTGGGCCATCCAAATGTAGAACCTTTTTGGAGCTCCCAGTGTTTTTCCTGTCTGTGTTAGACAACTCAAACTGTTACAAGCAAAAACTATATTCTGGTAAGAGCCCTAAACATTAAAAATAAGCTTGGATAGAGTTGGTAAGCACAATTTCCTTTAGTAGAATCGTACCTAATAACCACTATTAAGCTTGATTTTGTGAAAGCAACAGTAGAATAGTCTTTATTAATCAAACCAAAGGAACTCTTTCAAAATGAACTTCCTGTGCATTTCTAGATTTATGTACATTTTTTTGGAGTGCCTCTCCCCTACCCCCCAATGTTTAAAAAAAATTTTTATTGTTGTAAAATATACATAATATGAAATTTACCATTTTAACCATTTAAGTTTACAGTTTTGTGGCATTAAGTACATTCATATTGTTGTGCATTCATCTCTAGAAATTTTTTCATCTTCCCAATCTGAAACTCTGTACTCGGTGTTTCTCTTTAATGGTTCATTCATCAGAAACAGTAATTCTGTAAACAAAGTATTTTAGGCATGGTACTAATGGGAGTAAGGGAGATATAAATTTATATTTACCTTTTTTTGTGTAGACTGTTGTGGGACTATCATCTATGAGTCATTGTTCCTTGGCCTTTGCTTTCAGAACATCCTAAAACCCTACCAAAATTACACAAGAAATTCTATAGTATCCTCTCAAAACATTTTGTAATCACACTCTGATACTCTACATAGAATTTTAATTCAGTAGAACCAGATCGTTCAGCTAATTCATCTTTTTTAGATATAATTTACAGACAATAAAATTTCAAATTGAGTGCACAATTCTTTTTTGACAATTGTATACAGTTGTTTAACCACCATCACAGTCATGATACAGAACATTTTCATCACCCCAAAAATTTAACTCATAGTTATTTGCAGTAAATTCCTTCTCCCCACCTCTGACGCCTAGCAACCTTGATTTGTGTTTTGTCACTACACCTTTCTCTTTCCTAGGATTTCATATATATGGCATCATACAGTACATAGTCTTTTGATTTACTTTCTTTCATTTAGCATGATGCTTTTGAGATTTATCCATGTTGTTGGAGATATATTGTAATTCCTATTTATTGCTCAGTAGTGTTAGTTGATTTGCTAGAACACAATATTGGAGATATATTGTAATTCTTATTTATTACTCAGTAGTATTAGTTGATTTGATTGAACATAATTTCTTTGTCCATTCACCATTTAATGAGTATTTGACTTATTTTTGGTCTTTGGCTATTATTGTATTAATAAAGCTGCTGTCAACCTGTGAGTGCAAGTTTTTATTTGGGCATACATTTTCATATATTTCCCACCTAGGAATAGGATTACTAGGTCATATGGCAAGTGTAAGTTTAACTTAATAAGAAATGCCAATCTTTTCTAAAATGGCTATAATATTTTGCATTTCCCACCAGCAGTGTATGAGTTTTAATTATTCTGTGTCCTTCCACTTGGTATTTCCAGTCTTACTAATTTCAGCCATTCTGTTGGGTGTATAGTGGTAGTTCATTGTGATTTTAATTTGATTTTTCCTGATGATTAATGACATTGAAAATTTTCCCATATGCTTATTTGCTATTCATATATATATATATATATATATATATATATATATATATATATATTTGTCATTTGTTCTGTTATTACTGAGTTATAAAAGTTAATATGTTCTGGATATTAGTCCCTTATCAAATATATGCTTTGGATATATTTTCTCCCAGTCTGTGCTTTACATTCTAATTTTCTTAACAGGAACTTTTGAAGCACAAATACTTTAAATTATGATCAATCCAGTTTATTATTTTTCTCTTATGATTCATGCCTTTTATAGCCTACCTAAAAAATATTTGCCTAGCCCAATGTCACAAATTTTTTCTTGTTTTTTTTTCCTAGATGTTCTATAATTTTAGCTTGTTCATTAGATCTATAACTGATTTTGAGTTAATTTTTGTATATGATGTGAGGTAAAGGTGGATTTATATATTTTTTTAATGTGGCTGTCTAGTTATTCCAGCACCATTTGTTGAAAATAATATCCTTTCCCTACTGAATTATTTTGAAATATGTGTAAAAAAATTGGTTTATCATGTATACATGGGTGTGTTTCTAGACTCTGTATTTTGTTTTGTTGATCTATCTACCCTTATACAAATATCACATTGTCCTGATTATTGTAGTTTAATAGTGGGTCCTGAACTCAGGCAGTTTAAGTCTTTCAGCTTTGTTGTTCTTTTTTAAAATTGCTGAAGTTACCAGATCTAGGAGCAAAGAGTCAGTTTTTGATGCTGCTTTGACTTGAGTGGTTTAGAGCAGAAGTCTGTTACCTCAAAGCCCTAGTAAATTTAGAGTCTGATATGGAGGGTCTATTATGATTTATTTTATTTTATTTTATTTTATTTTTGCTCTTTCAGCTAGGCACATGTTCTACTTAATTTATATAGGACTCTCATCATCTGAGTTTTATTTCTGAGTGATAATTATTAAATGTTTCTCATGGCTCTGAGTCATATCAATATGAATTACGTATCCCTCAACAATAAACTGTGAAGAGAGAGGAGGTATTACTGTGCCTCAAAAAGCCAGGATGTTTGAAGCTTGATAAGGCTGTTAATTTGCCACGTATGCATTGCTCTGAATTTGTGCAAACTGTCTGTAGTTTGCTTTGTGGTTAACCCAAAGAAAAAGGTGTGGTTGTATTTTTATTCTTAATCTTGAAACAAAGAGACAAAGTATTTTTACACCTGGTTTGAAACTCCCTTATTTGATTATTCTGGGTTGCAATTGCTATTAATATTTTTATTATCTAGATTAATTTCAGGATTTGAATGGCATATTTAATTTAGAGTTTGAATTTATATTAATTTCAGACAGAGGTATGTGTGTGTCTGTGTGTTAGAAAACCCTAAAAAACAGCAGTATGAAGTTTTCTATGCAGTGTTTAAAATAGTAAGGAACTGTTTACAACCTAATTAACATTTGAATGATGTTTTACAAAGATTCTTTCAAAATACATTAGGAATTTTAAAAAATTTTTGTATTTCTTCTAAGTGTTGTTTATATGTGTTAAATATAAAACTATAAAGCAATAAAAATGTACATTCTGGGAAATCAGTTCTGTTGGAATTGACACATAAAAGAGTAGTCAGGAATTTGACACATGAAAAGATACGTGTAAAAGTAATTAGGGGCTGGGCATGGTGGCTCACGCCTGTAATCCCAACACTTTGGGAGGCCGAGGCAGGTGGATCACCTGAGGTCAGGAGTTCAAAACCAGCCTGGCCAACTTGGTGAAACCCCGTCTCTTCAAAAAGACAAAATTAGCCAAGTATGGTGGCGCACACCTGTAATCCCAACTATTCTTGAGGCTGAGGCAGGAGAATTGTTGAACCTGGGAGGCAGAGGTTGCAGTGAGCTGAGATTGCACCACCACACTCCAGCCTGGGTGAAAGAGTGAGACTCCGTTTCAAAAAAAGTAATTAGGAATTTATGCTGAAATATTATATATAATATTAAAATTACATGGTATTGAACTCAGAATTTAGTAGCTGTATGTGGATTCTGATGCTATCAAAACATGTGTTGCCTAGAATCCTCTACCCAGGAATGGATCATTACAGAGCACGCAATTTTCTAAATGTCTGAAAGGTTGCCATCTTCAATGCAAAGTATTCTTTAACCTGCTTTGAAAGTTATTTCCCCCCCTTTCTGTGTGTATTTTTTCCTTCCCTTTCCTATGTGTTTAGTGTTCCTGGCCACTAGTCTGTATTTCTGCTGCTAATTTGCTATGAGTTTGGAATCTAAATAAGTTGACTGAGAGGCAGTAGGAGAGAGTTGGACATGGAATTGGGAGTTTTTTTGCTGAATTTCAAGAACTAAGAATCATATGGACATTCACATAATAAAAACAAGTCATATACAAGATACAAAAGACCACTCTAGTCTTAGAAACTTTGCCATAGCAACACCCAGCAAATGCAAGAAGAGTATAGAACTGTATCTTCAAACTTCTGAAGGAAAAAAAACTGTTCCAGCCATTTTATAACCATTCAAATTTTTCTTCCAATAAGGCAAAAGACAGCCTAACCCAGGAATATCAGAGAACTACAATACCCGTTATACTCTTATTTTAAAACAAATAAGCAATAAAATACCTGAGTATATCAGGCAATCAAGAGATGAACAAAGTAAAAACTAAGAAATTGGAGAAGCCTTAGAAAAATGCTGTGCATCAATTCCACTTGGGTTCTAACACTAGCAACTTGGGGAATTATGGTTCCAGACCAGAATGTAGATGTTATAAACCTTCAAAGTCTTTGTCAAAGCATCAAAACTTTTCTTTCTGATGGTTATAAATATAAGAAAAATGAAAAAAATAGCAAAACTATTATTTACTATATGGTAATTAAAAATATTAGAAACATTGAAATTTAAGGTCATTTCATTTTATTTTTTATTTTTTATTTTTATTTTTTTTTGAGACGGAGTCTCACTCTTGTTGCCCAGGCTGGAGTGCAATGGCGAGATCTCGGCGCAGTGCAGCCTCTGCCTCCCAGGTTCAAGCAATTCTCCTGCCTCAGCCTCCCGAGTAGCTGGGATTACAGATGCCTGCCACCACACCCAGCTAATTTTTTGTATTTTTAGTAGAGATGGGGTTTCACCATGTTGGCCAGGCTAGTCTCGAACTCCTGACTTCAGGTGACTCACCCACCTTGGCCTCCCAAAGTGCTGGGATTACAGGCATGAGCCACCACACCTGGCCTTATTATTATTATTTTTTAAACAAAAGACTCATTAAGAGTAGTTTAAACAGTGCTTTCTTTGCTGCCTTCTCATTGTATAACTTCAGTTACAGAGGAGGCATCTTTTCTATACTTGGTGAATTGGCATACTCCTTTCTAAATTTGGATCAGCTTCAAATATTTTGTCCTTTGCTCTTTCAGTGTCATGAAATATCTGAGGATTTCTTTAATGGGAAGTTTTTTTGTGGGCATAGCTTTTTCTGTGACATCTTCAACCTTTATGTCACAACCACTTTCTTAATGTGTGTCAATAACTTGGCCTTTATTAAGTTTCTGTGGCTGCTTATCTGTAGTCTCTTGAATGGAGAAAGTGTCGACATTCCCATGGTCAGCTAAAATTTGTTGATAACCTCATTTATGTTCAATTCAAATTTCACTTCGTGTTGTCACCTTTTATTTCTTTGCCAGACTCTCATGTTTGTTGGCTAATTCTCCTTTGTTCATTTTTGTAAACTATTACATAGGATTATCACGGGGCGACTAGGAGGCAACATACACTCACCTCTGTGTGAACTGAGTAAACAGAGTGATCATTCACTTGACAGACTTTGAAAGAAGTAATGTGATTGATCACTGATCATGATGAGCATGTTATTTACATAGTGATTTGTGGACTAAAGAGCTAGCATCAAAGTTTGTGTTTTACGTAATTACAGTTAATATATCATGATAACTGAAATTTGAACCATGTTGTTGGGTGTGTAACAAATTTGTAGTAATTGAAACTTGTGTATAGTGAGACCGTACAAAGTGAGACTCCCTCTAATAACATAACTGACAAAAATCCTATATTGAGGGGGAGAATTATGAGTATGTTAATCCTATTATTCTTGGTGCAGGGAGTTAGTATTACCTAAAGTTGAAACATGTACTTAACACGATTCTAACCTCAAAATATTTCTCATAATTATATTTTATTAATTTTAGAGGAATGTTTCAGAAACTGTCTCTTGGTGAAGGAAATATAAAGATCAGCAGGTCTTTATGGTTTTTATTCTTTTCTGTTAAGACCCGTGGCAAGTAGGTAGAAATGTTCTAGTCCAGTTTCACAAAAGCAACCACCCAACTTAAAGAGCCTAGCCCTGGCTCGTGGCCATGTATGCAGGGCCACCAGCATCAACTCCTATGTCCTTTGGGCATTAACATAACTCCCGCTAAAATCTGTCTTTATTCCTAATACCCATGTTGTGGTCAGTGCAGCTTTATCTTCTATACTCCACCGTTTAATTTTGGTACTTGAAAATTTCTTACTCTCAAGCTCAACTATGTGTTAAAAAATAATTTATAACATTTATTTAGCATTTCATTGTGTTTGTAGTGGGTAGGGAAGGAAGATTCCTCCATGTACTTCATTACCATCTACACCAGAAATGATCTGTCATGGTCATTATTAAAATAACAAAAATCCCAGTAATCCAAACTATAAAGTACCTATTAATAAATATTAAGAAATATGTGCAACCTATAGGATGAAACTGAATTCATAAAAGAAGATCTGAATTAATACAGTGACCTACTGTATTCTGAGAAGGGAAGGCTCAGTTGCTAAAGATATCAATTCTCCCCAAATTCAGTTCTTCCAATTAAAATTTCAGTAAAATTTAAGGAAATATCAAAGTTCTCCAGAAGGGTAAACTTAATAAAATAATTTTTATATAATAAAATAATGGTTTATTGATTTTAATGATAAAATAATTAAAATTTAATTTAATTTTTATAATTAATGATTTAAATTATTACTTTTAATCTTAATTATTTTAATGATAAAATAGTTATTTTAATAATTAAAATGAATTTAATTAAAATTAATTTAAATTTAATTATTTTATTAAAATTAAAATAATTTTAATGATAAAATAATTAAAATAATGGTTTTGGAGTAGGAATAGGCAAATAGATCTGTAGAATGAATAAATACTACAGAAATGTGTTCGCAAAAAGTTTAGAACTAATGAACCCAATATTTCAAGCCATTGGGGAAAGGATGGATTGTTTTAAAAGTAGTATTTAGAAAATTATCTATTTTTGGGGAGCAAATGCAGTTACATTCCTATTTCATATTATAAATGAAAATAGATTCCAGATGGAGTAAATATCTAAATATAAAAAAAGTATAACAGTGCTATTTTCAGAGGTTCAGGGTATCCTTTTAAGCATGCTTGAAAGCCAGAAACCATAAGGTGAAAGCAAGATAAAGTTAAAAGCCAAACAAAAGAGAAAAATGTTTACTGTGTGTGACAAACATAATGTATGAGAGTCTCTTGTGGCCAAAAAAAGCAACCAATGGAAAGATGGGCAAAAGATCAACAGACATTTCAAAAAAGAAATAACAATGGATAATACAAAAAGATGTTTATCCTTATTAGTAATGAATCTTTAGATACCATCTTTTACCTAGGAGTTTGGCAAAATGTGAACTATTGATCATTTCCTATGTTAGTGAGAATGTAATTGAGTGTAGATTGGTGTCCTCAATTTGTAGCATTTACCAAAAATTAGTTACACATACCTTTGACCCTAATGGGTCTATTTTTAGGTATCTGATACATAGAAATACTGGCATATGTTCAAAAGATACATGCACATAGGTGTTTATTGCTTCATTGTTTGTATAGAAAAAAATTGAAATCAACCTCCATGTTCATCAGTAAAGGGATACTTTGAGGAATGGGTACTGCTAAGGGGATAGACTCTGGAGTCAGGGTACCTGGCTTTGAATTCTGGATCATTTACTAGATGTGTGATCTAGGCTTACTTAACTTCTCTGGGCCTCAGTTTTTTCATCCATGAATTAGAGATAATTGAATCTACTTCAGAGCATTGTGACAATTAACTAAAATATATAGATAGAATATCACTTAGAATATAAGTACTCATTAAATATTAGCTAATGTTATCAGTTTGTAGTTATTAGAATAGAGTACATCTGTAACATTCTAAAAACGTGGGAAGAAAACTCCATTATTTAAGTGACAAATGTTAGAGCAATATGTGCATATGGCATGAACACCTGTTCATAAATAAAATTTTAGAATAATATATGTGTATGTATTTGAATGTATGTGGGATAAATCTGGAAGGATAAATGCCAGTCTTATCAGTAGTTAGCTCTAGGAAGTGAGATTGGGGAGGGGAGGGGAAGCAGATTATCAGTTTTTTAAAGAAATTTTTTGGTATTGTTTGACTTTTTTCCAAGCATGTATTACATTTGTAATTAAAGATTTTTGAAAAGATTCCACAGGGTGTAAATTTAGTACAACTTTTGACTATTATTTTATTTTTTAACTGTGAAAAAGTTATGTTCTCAAAATGATGTGTGCTTTCGCTTATTTTCCTTAGTAACTTACTAAAGTTTTCCTTGCAGGAACATGCTTACCCTGCTGATGAACTCATGCCTTTAACCTGTAGAGGTCGAGTTAGAGGCCAAGAGCCAAGTCGCGGTGACGTTGATGATGCCTTGGGAAAGTGAGTATTAACACAGGGCATGGCATGGCATCTCAGAGTTCCCAAGTCTTAGACTTTTACAGACAGTTTACATATAATAATATTTCTAGGGATTGGCTAAATTTTAAAGACTGTTTTATGTATTACATTATGCTCCTTTATTCCCTTCTGTTATCATTTATAAAAGATTAATCAGTTTACATCTTGGATCAGAGAAAAGTTAGTTGTTAAGCTGCATATAACTTAAAATATATGTAACTTTTATGTAACTTTTAAAATATTTATAAAGTCATTAGCACATTGGACTGTTGATGTTTTAATATTTTCATTTGTTTTCAGAGCTAGTGAATGTTTCTATGACTCTTGAAGATACGTAGATTCATTGAACATAAATGTAAAGGCTTTTCAGTTTCTTTCAGAGCCTTATAGGTTTCATTGTACTATAGATACATGGAAGTACTAATTTATAGAAACTACCAGTCAATAGAATGTAGATAAGTCTACTTGTACATTCATAAACTATTTAGGATTCTAATGTTTTATATCTTGTTAACGCTTGTTTCTTAGATTTTCTCTGACACTGATTGATTCTTTGGACACTCTTGTGGTAGGTTTGACTCTTCTTGGATTTATTTTATTCATGATATGCACACTTAAGTATTATGAATATGATCATAACACAGTAAGTATGAAATAGAAGCCTTCAGAATTAAAGATGTTCTGATCTTTGCTTCTAAATAAATCTTTTACACTGTTGAGTTGATGATGTCAAATGGAATTATGTAATATAACAGAGATACCCAAATAATTTATGGGGATGTCAGCTTATGTAATGGCACCTTAATTAGGAAGGTCCTTTTTTCCCCCCTTTGGACAAGGAGGTTGAAGCTATTGGAAAAAAGTAACTTTAGAAAATATCATTGATGTTGTTCCATAATGACATGCCAAAATGATATCAAAATTGTTAAATTAGAATCTTTATATTGCTGTGTTCATAAGCAAAAAATTAATTTTTCCCAGCAGTGATTTTTAGCATCAGGTGATCACTTCTTGGTACTCCTTTTCAACCTCATATAGTACAGAAATTTATTTCTGGTTCAGGACTGTTTGTGATGACAGAGGGGAAAGATTGAGTTACAGATGTCATGATTTCTAAATACAGTATCTTTTTAGTTTTTTACTCTTAGATCATTATGGTATAAAAGTAGGCTTTTGTGAGAATTTTCCTTAAGGCATAATTCTCAACTTCCAGTTAATATCCCAAGTGGTGATTAATATTTAAAAAACAAAACAAAAAACCTTTGGGGTATCAGAAATTTTTTGGAACTGGGCTTCTCAATGTTGTTTCTGCATTCTTCTTTCACTGGAGTATTTTTTTTTTAAGAACGAAAATTCTCAACTCTAAAAGCAGCTTAAGAGGTTCACTTGTGATTTAAAAAAAATAGGTCCTCCTAAGTTATTCTGATTCAGTTGTTGTGGAGTGGGACTGGGCATCCCTTCCAAAGCTCTTTGGTTCAAAAAGATGTTATGGTTGAGAAAAATCACGATTGTTAGATCTTTTTAGCTAGTCAGGGTTTGAAAGTCACAGCTTCATTTTTTGGAGATTAATGGAATATGCAAACTATATTACAGTAACTATGAGAAAGAGAAAATACTGTGTGCCTTGTTTTTGGTTTATTGGCCTTAAAGAAAACATATGGAAGAGTCTGATTACAAGCTAGAAGAGTTCAAGAGGCAAAAATTCCCAGGAGATAAACCCAGGGAGAAGAATTAGATTAACAAAGTGATACTAAAATGTATATGTGTATGGAGGGTGGGGATAGTGGAACAGTTATGTCTCATTCCAAAAGTGATAGATGCACTGTATGTGCCTGCATTTATTACTGCCCACTTGATGTGGACTTTGAGATTGAGAAGGGAGAGCTGTCAGTTTAAAATCAGGTTTCATGTTATGTTTTAGTCAGGACTTACCCTAAATTTTACTTTTACTGAATTTAGGGAGATACTCTTATGGAATGTTTTATAAATTAGAATTTTTACGTATCAAATCAAGTGAAAAAGCACAACAAATTATTATCAAACAAGGAGAGATTAAACAGTTAAGTAAAGGAAAACTACTTTTAATGTACTTAGGCTCTAGGTAACATCTCATGGGCGGCCTTAATTTAGACTGAAAAATCATAGCAGCCTGTGTGATGACAGGGACTACTTTTGCTGCTCATTGCAAGAATCTACAAAATTCTTAGTTTAGTCAGGATTCTAGATCTGCATGGTTAATAGTTGTAATTATTTTAAGCACTTAAGTCAGACACTCTACTAAAATCATTTTACATACATTATCTTATTTAAGAAAACAACCCTATAAGAGTAGGTATTTCCTCTTTTTATAGATGAAGGAACAAGCTCAGAAATGGAAGTAAGTTGTCTGAGATCACAAGGGTAGTGAGTGAAACAACCAGAATTCAAATCAGGGCATGACCACAACATTGTATGACCACAACATTGTATAGCCTCCTTAGTGAACAGGGCATCCATGGAGTGAAGCTAGCAGGTGATGTATAGTTTAGGAACAATTGAACATGCCTTGAAGAAAGTGCTTTCTTCTGAGAATAAAAGCAACTTTTAGAATGTATCTGGTGAATAGGATGGGTTTTAATTTTGTTTTGACTTAGAAGCCAAATTCTACTAGAACTCACCTCATGTAGCCTGGGTCATTAAGAATCCAGTTAACAGGTCTGATGATGGTAGCTTCAAAGTCCTCATAATATTTCGGTGTATGCAAAGAAGTGTATAAAGATGCTGTATAATTAGATACTTAATTTTTTTAGTTTTAGACATTATTACATTTTTATAATATACTTAGAAATATTATTTGTGTATGTCACTTTTTAGAGTTTTAAAGTAGACTGACTTTTAATAGCTCATTCTAGGAACGTTTCTCCTTGTCTTGGTAGAAAAGAACTTTATTTCATAATTTTCTTCTCCCAGGTTTTAAATAAAACTAAAGAATTTGAAGATGCAGTGAGAAAAGTTTTAAGAGATGTTAATTTAGATAACGATGTAGTCGTATCAGTCTTTGAAACAAACATCAGAGTTCTTGGGTAAGTATGAAAGACACTAAAGCTATAATTTTATTTTATTTTTATTTATTTATATATATTTTTTGAGACAGAGTCTTGCTCAGTCACCCAGGCTGGAGTGCAGTGACAATCTTGGCTTACTGCAGCCTCCGCCTCCCGGGTTCAAGCGATTCTCCTATCTAAGCCTCCTGAGTAGCTGGGACTACAGGTGCATACCACCAAGCCCAGCTAATTTTTGTATTTTTAATAGAGACGGGGTTTCACCATGATGGCCAGGCTGGTCCCGAATGCCTGACCTTAAGTGATCTGCCTGCCTCGGCCTCCCAGAATGCTGGGATTACAGGCGTGAGCCACCACGCCCAGTCTATAATTTTAATATCAGAAAAGTTTAGGATATACTGTTTATTTCTTGATGGTAATCATGCAAGAAGTTTCCTGTGTTTAAAAGATGTAAGTTGGAACATTATGAAACACAGAGTCTGTGGCATTACCTTGTATTTAATCACTCACAGACGTCTCTAGACTGAAAGGTAATATCTGTATGTTGTTAAAAAGGGAATATAGGTTGAACATTAGTCAGCTTCATCACAGGTTTTTTCACCAGCTTACGTAGTTTGTTAACCATAGCCAAGCACCTCTTCAGGTAAGCCAAAAGAAACTGAATGTATAAGATTACCTCTCAACAAACAGTTTGAAATGCTCTTGGGCCTTTTTTTTTTTTTTTGGAGACAGACTCTCGCTGTGTTGCCAGGCTGGAGTGCAGTGGTGCGATCTTGGCTCACTGCAACCTCTGACTCCCTGGTTCAAGTGATTCTCCTGCCTCAGCCTCCCGAGTAGCTGGGATTACAGGCACCTGCCACCATGCCCAGCTAATTTTTGTATTTTTAGTAGAGACAGGGTTTCACCGTGTTGGCCAGGATGGTCTCGATATCCTGACCTCGTGATCCACCTGCCTCGGCCTCCCAAAGTGCTGGGATTATAGGCGTGAGCCACTGCGCCTGGCCAGGATATTTTGAAAAGATGAAATTACAGGATTTATTAGTTCAAGTTTCAATATTATTTAATTTTTATAGTTTTGATTAAATGTTATTGTAACTCCTCTTTGTCAAAGTGAGTCTACTCTTCAATTAAATGTAAGAAATTGTTATGTAGTTTTACACAGAGTTTATTAATCTAGAGCGAGAGGTTTTTATGTTTTAAATAATATTCTAAGTTAAAGACTTCATGGTGATACAACTAAATTTTTAAATTTAAAGTTTGTTAAAATATTTGTTAGATTTGTTAAATGTAGTATCTCGGATTTTCTTTAAGAAAATTAAAGCTATTTAAGAACGCAGAACACTTCACAACAGGATAGAATATCTAATTTTTTAAAAAATATATTGACTCTGTAATTGTAATGGCTTACCATAAAATGAGCAGTGTTAAGTAAATAATGTTTAAGTAATTTTTGTCTTTCCTTAAATATGTTAAATTGTATAACAAAGTACCCACACCTTTTTAGATGGTAACTTTTAATTGTCTATAAGATATGGATAATGTTTCATCTCTGTGATCCTAGGGGTCTTTTGGGTGGGCACTCCCTGGCAATCATGCTGAAAGAAAAAGGTGAATATATGCAGTGGTACAATGATGAACTTCTCCAAATGGCAAAGCAGTTAGGTTACAAACTTTTACCGGCTTTCAACACTACCAGTGGCCTTCCTTATCCAAGAGTAAGTACTTCTGAAAAATATGAGTCTTTATATACTTTCTTTGCTGTTTTACAAAATGAAGTTTTGTGATCAGAGCCATTGTTCTTCACCAGCTTGAGGCTGAAAAAAAAATGCTTCAAAGCTATATAACAAATTTATATTTTCATTTCAATTAACTGATTATACTTCTAAGTGATGTGATAATTAGATTAGTTTAAGCTTTAAAAAAGTTTTATTTCTGATTTCTGTGGGTACATAGTAGGTATATATTAATGGGGTATGTGAGATATTTTGATACAATCATACAATGCATAATAATCACATCAGGGTAAATGAGGTGGCCATTACCTCGAGCATTTATCATTTCTTTGTGTTACAAACATTCCAATTATACTCTTTTAGTTGTTTTAAAATGTATGATACATTTCTGTTGACTGTAATCGCTCTGTTGTGCTATTAAATACTGTATCTTATTCATTCTGTCTAACCTGTTTCTATACCCGTTAACCATCCCCTCCCTATTCCCCATCCCCACCACCTACCCTTCCCAGCCTCTGATAACCATTGTTCTACTCTCTATCTCCATGAGATCAATTGTTTTAAATTTTAGCTCCCACAAATGAGTAAGAACATTCAAAATTTGTCTTTCTATGCCTGGCTTATTTCTTTTTTTTGGTGGGGGGGAATGGAGTCTCCCACTGTCACCTAGGCTGAAGTGCAGTGGCGCGATCTCGGCTCACTGCAACCTCTGCCTTCCAGGTTCACGCCATTCTCCTGCCTCAGCCTCCCGAGTAGCTGGGACTACAGGCACCCACTACCACGACCGGCTAATTTTTTGTATTTTTAGTAGAGATGGGGTTTCACAGTGTTAGCCAGGATGGTCTTGATCTCCTGACCTTGTGATCCACCTGCCTCGGCCTCCCAAAGTGCTGGGATTACAGGCATGAGCCACCACACCCAGGTGCCTGGCTTATTTCATTTAACATAGTGCCCTCCACTTCCATCCATGTTGTTGTAAATGACAGGATCTCATTTTTTTAATGGCCAAATAGTATTCCATTGTGTATATGTAAAATTTAAGCTTTAATGTGTCATTACATTACAGATTAGATTATGCTGCAGAAGGAAGAACAGATGCTAGACCAGAACTTGGGCACAGAATTATTTGTGTAGAAGATATAATTGAAGCAGTTAGTATGTAGGTGTTAACTGTCCAAAGGAGAGGACAGAGAGAGAACTCACAGGACAGAGGGAGGGCATGAGGAGGAAGGACAGCCAGTGGAAAGTAAAGTACACAGAGATTTAAGAGGAGAACCGTGAAGTAGTGTAGTGTACAGTATTATAAAATCCAAAGAAGGGAACTTCGAAAGGAGGAAATGTTCTAGAAAACTTGAGAATTGGGTGCAAACAGAGCCTTGAAGTTGTAGTGAATAAAGAGGAAAGTATTCAAAGTAGGTGAAAGTAAATAGGAATGAACCACTTATTTTAAGATTTCTTCTGTGTTGATAGTTAAAGGAGAGTTGGCAATAAAGTCAGTTGAAGGAGTTTTATTGGTTTTCCCCTAAGAAAATTTTATATTTAAAGCAGAGGGAAAGAAGCCATTGAAGATGGAAATAGCTCTTCTGATTTATTTCTCATTCTTTATTAACACTATTACTCTCTCCCTCTTATCCAAGACAGATACCTCAGCCATTAGCAAGCTCTGTCAGTTTTTTTCTTTTCTTATGCCTGTCTTATTCTTTCTCTCTTGGTTTATGCTTCAGAGCACTTGAAAAACCAGTATCACTAAAATCTAATTTTTGTCAAATTATCTTCAAAAATTGTATGGCTCTTTTTATTGTATTGAGTGTCCCTTAACTTTCAGCATTTTTTGTAGTTTGGCAGTAGACTTTCTGACATTCTCTCTTATTTCCATATCCCAGTGAAATCATTGTTCCATTTCAGCTAGAACAATCTATAGTGTCCCCAGAGTCTCTAAGTTTTTTTTTTTTTTTCATTCCATGCCTTTAGGCTTACCATCTCTATCACCCGGCATAACTTCTCTACAAATATAAGTCAAATCAAATAAGGCTCATTTCCTCCATCAAGAAGTCATCCTTGACTGGAGATATAGCATGATATAGGGCAATGCTTTACCTATCAATTTAGTGAGTTGTGACTAGCACTTTTTAAAAATTAAACAGACTAGAATGAAATCTCTTCTTGTTTAAATTTCTAGTTGATATTTTAAATAGCTCTCTGGTAAACATTCTTTTTGTTTGTTTGTTTGTTTTGAGATAGTCTCCCTCTATCACCCAGGCTGGAGTTCAGTAGTGTGATCATTGCTCACTGCAGCCTCCAACTCCTGGGCTCAAGTGATCCTCCCACCTCAGCCTCCTGAGTAGCTGAGACTACAGGCACGTGCCACCATGCTCGGCTGATTTTTAAAAAAAATTTTTGTAGAGATGGAGTTCTCACTATGTTGCCCAGGCTAGTCTCAGACTCCTGGGCTTAAGAGATCCTCCCACCTTGGCCTTCTGAAGTACTGGACTCACAGATGTGAGCCATCATGCCCGGCCTCTGTGGACATTCTGATACACATCTTTTTATACATTTTTAGTTTCTTGCTTAGGATAAATTACTCGAAGAGGAAGTAATAAGTCACTGAGTAGGGAATGCTTTTTAAGATATCAGGTACTTGTTGCCCAATTGCTTTTCAGAAAGATTCTTTTTTACTTCTCAGTGTTGTGTAAAAGTACATGTGTCATTTAACCGTTACTGTATATTATTATTTTGCCAACTTAATGAGGAAAAATTGAATTATATTTTAATATGGATTTCTTTGCTTATTAGTACAGTTAAATTTGTTGATCATTTTTTTCTTAGCATATTAAATTAAAAGCAAAGTTTTTTAAACAATATATAAACATTTACTTAATTCAGTTTACTTTTAGTAAATACTTTTAGTTTTTGTTATAAATGGAGGTGTTAGATTTTGAGGAATCTAGCATTTCTTTACTTTTGCCGTAACATGAGAAGCAGGCAAGGAATTAAAACAGAAGATACTATGAGCGTTATGGTAAAACAGAGAAACTTATATTATTTTCTTATACTCTGAAGTGTCAAGAAAATTTTAAAAATGATTTTTTATAATAGGACAATAGAAGAAAAATAACTGCTGTCCCATCCTTTCTTATACATGCTTAGTATGCTTTTGCCCATGAAAATTTGTGTAATCAGTCTCTCTTAGATAAGCATATGTAATTGATAGTATTTGCATTAATGGTTTTAACTCAGAAGAATGTACTGTACAGAAATGGTATTGTAAGAGTTGGTCATTTTTTAAACTCATATATAAACTTTAGAGCTAGTACGTACTTTGTAATGCCATTTCCTCAAAGTTAATTAAAAGCAACTTGCCAGCTTTTCAGATAAGACCTCATTACAAACGTTGAGTAGATGATTATATCCATAAAATATAAGGTTAATAAGAATTCTATTATGATTTATACATATTTTAAGGATTTTCTAGTGTAGCAAAAAGACAGTGTAAACAAGTTTAGTGTAGGTAATTTATGCCTTTACTTTGCAATAAAAAAGTGTCCTTTTTAAAATTGCCTTGTGACTCTCAGGAACACAGAATTAGGAGGAACCAGATTCTAGATTGCCTCATGCTTTATTTTATTCCTACTTTCATCTCTTTTTTTCTTAAACCTCTCAAGAAAGCAGGACAATAAGCTCCTTATTACTAATTTCTGCAGTAATATATACTGCTACCAGTGCCATCTCTAAACCCAGTCATTTGAGTCCTAGTCAGGAGGACAAGAACCTATCTACCAGCCCCTAGATCCACCAGAGGATCCCGTAAGCAAAAAAAGCACTGAACCCTTCTTCCCTGATTTGTGGAAATGGTAGTGCCTCTTGGATGCTGAAATGCATCTTGGTTCTGCATTTAAAAGTTCTTTAATACTGGCTGGGCGCAGTGGCTCACACTTGAAATCCCAGCACTTTGGGAGGCCAAGTCGGGCGGATCACGAGGTCAAGAGATCGAGACCATCTTCACCAACATGGTGAAACCCCATCTCTACTAAACATACAAAAATTAGCTGGATGTAGTGGTGTGTGCCTGTAATTCCAGCTGCTTGGGAGGCTGAGGCAGGATAATTGCTTGAACCCGGGAGGTGGAGGTTGCGGTGAGCCAAGATCGTGCCACTGCACTCCAGCCTAGTGACAGAGTGAGACTCCATCCCCACAAAAAATTAAAAAAAAAAAAAAGTTGTTTAATACCACTTATCTTCAGGAAGGATACAAGATTTAAATGAGCAGATACTATAGATAATTGTGTTAATAAATAGTCCTTTTACAAATTTTATAGCAGTCATCTTGGGGTACAGTTCAATATACAAACATCTTAAGTATTATTGTACTAAAACGCTCATGATTCAAAGTATTTCCATTTTAAGGGAAAAGATACTGAAAGTGGAATACAGAGATGTTTATTCTTTTCTATTTTGCTTTTGCTTTCTTATGACTACTCTTAGACTTTGTCATTCTTAGCTCTCAACTACTCCCAATTCAGTGTTATTTCCTTTTCTGAAATTCACATTTTAGCACTTGTGGCTTCCATTTGTTTGGCACTTAATTTATGACTTTTCATTGTCAGTTATTTTCTCTATTTATATATCTGTCTTATTTGCTCTGTCTGGATTTTAAGCTCCTTGAGGACAAGGATCTATTCCTTTGTATATTATCATAATATCCCCCACATGGTAGGTAAGTAAGCAATAAATATTGATTAGTTGATTGTAGTAATTAATGGAACTGACCAGAAAATATTTTTCACTGTTGATTCTTATTGCAAATATTTGTAAAATTATACTTTACCTTAGTGTAATTCATGTGATTACATCTTTATTTTATTATTAAGGATTGCTTCATTTTAGGTTAATTATTCTTAGTATCAATTTTCAATTTTAGTTCTGTAGATAGGGATACAGGCAGCATAAGGGGGCAGGAGATACTTTTCATTCTTGTTTGTGGTGCAGAACTACCTAAAACTAGCTAATCCTACAAAAGTACAAATGGTAGAGATAATTATAAGTTTGGGAGGGGATGGAGGGGTACTGCTAGACTAATAGCACATGAAAATGTCTCAAGTGGCACTTTACAAAGTAAGATAAATGGCAGTACTGAGAACAACATTAACAGTGATCAAATCCCCATCTCTCACCTACGTTTTACATTTGTTGTTTTTTTGTTGTTGTTGAGGGGGTGTTTGTTTAGAAATGCCTGGAATCTGTTGATTGGACACTGTTAAGGCACTAGGTATACCTAGCAATTGATATCTGCAGATAAGTTGAAATATAAATTTTTTGAGCTTCTCTTTATATAGAGTTTGAATAATAACTGAACCAAGAGTATACCCGTGATGTTTTATGTGTTTTATGTTTGATTTTTTTTGTTTATTTGTTGGCTGAATCCTTGGCATATACCTCCTTTTTTGTTGGTTATTTGGATTGCTGAAAAATATTCTAATTTTAATCAGTGTCTGCTCAGTTTGAGTCTAGTTAATCCAGATTCATATTGTAATAGTAAAGGTCTTGCTCTGTCACACAGGCTGGAGTGCTGTGGCGCTATCTCAGCTCACTGCAACCTCCACCTCCCAAGTTCAAGAGATTCGTGCCTCAGCCTCCCAGGTAGCTGGGATTACAGGCACACGCAACCATGCCTGGCTGATTTTTGTATTTTTAGTAGAGATGGGGTTACGCCATGTTGGTGAGGCTGGTCTCAAACTTCTGGCCTCAAGTGATCCACTCGCCTTGGCCTCACAAAGTGCTGGGATTACAGGCATGAGCTACCGCTCGTGGCCTATTTGGTTGTCTTCCACTTAATAAAGAAATACACCTTTGAAAAAATTTCCCTTGTGTTGTTAGCCTGCCAGCAAGGTGATACACTCTATATTTCCAAACTCTTAAAACCCGTAAATGAAATTTTAATTTCCTTTCAAATGTATACCATAACAATCCGTTTTTTCTCTATGGTGAACTAGTTAATATATAATATAGACTGGTTTTTCACAAATTCTAAACTAACCCTAATTTCTTCTAAGGCTGGTCTACTTCCCTATTCTTGTACTTACTAGTTCAAACTGTCCAGAGAACAAAATTGTTATAAAAGATACCTTCTCTGTGTAATTTCCCTTGGATTATAATCATGTCACTTGTTTACTCCAAGGGAAGTAATTGAGTTTTGATGTCAATGAGGATGGAATGAAATAAAAGCTTACTTACTTCATGAATATTATATGCTTAGAATATATTTCCCTACATGCTAATTGGAAAGTCAGAGATCATCAGATTGAATTTCAGTGTTTAGTTATTTTATGAATTATTTTCATGATTTTATACAAAGACTTGATTGAAAAGTAGTTTCTTATCAGAAGGTCATTGTCTTGATAACTGCTAATGACAATTTTCTAATTGTATTCAGATTAATTTAAAGTTTGGCATCAGAAAACCAGAAGCTCGGACAGGAACTGAGACAGATACCTGTACAGCTTGTGCAGGTACCTTGATCCTTGAATTTGCTGCTTTAAGTCGATTCACAGGAGCAACAATATTTGAGGTTTGCTTTTTACGGTCTTTGATATCCTGGGTATTGGGCATAACTACCTTTATATCTTCTTCATTGGTTAAATATTAGGATTATTAGTTGGAGAATTACTGTTATTTTAGTGAACTTTTTGTCTAAATTCCTTTACATGGTTTTTAATTGTCAAAAACCTAGAACATTGTGAGAGAGCTATGTTAAATCCAACTTTGCATTTTGTTCACCAACTATGAAGTATATGTTTAGGTTTAGTCTTAGAAATTTTTTTAGCCATATTACTTAAATGAATTTGATGTCTCCTTGATATCATAAATGTCTTACGAAATACTATGTCCCTGTGTTTTATTTGTTAGACTTCCATATTGCACTTCTGAAAGTTCTGAAACCTTCACTAATCTTCTAAAACACAGTGAAATTTTTGTTCTTAAGTCTTGATTGAGACTGTAATCTGTAAATTTGTTTACTGCAAGGGAAATGTTATTCATTATCCAAAAGACTTAATATCCCCACATAGTTGTGGGCTAGCTATGTCTCTCATTAAAAAAATCTAATTATTTAAGCATGTCATTGGAGTGCAGTGGTAACACAAAGCACCCTCTTTTTCAAGCATATGACTTAGGTTAATGTTTAAAAATTCAACAAATGGCAAACAGAACAAGCAGAAATAGGGACTGTATAGTAGCATTACAGATACTAGATCTGAATGTAAAGAAAACAAATTGACTTTGTATGTATGTATGCCTTTGAATGTATGTCTGTATGTTCAAATGTCTCAAGGACAGATTTATCATGTTTGGTTGGTTAATCTTTTAAACTTAAGGTTTTGCTCTATATCTTGTTCACTAATATTTTCCCTTCATTAAAAAGTGTGGACACTTTTGCATACTTTAATAACTACACTCTCAGATATTGATGCAGTTACAGGTGAGGAAAATAAGGCTCAAAGAGTATGACAGACCTGCACAGCTGGTAGATGATGCATGGAGTTGGAATTAGAATCCATGTCTTTCTGAATTTGAAACCCATACTCTTTCCAGTGGGCTATTTTGTGTTTATTAATAAATCTGTTGAAAGTCATGATTTAAAAAAAAAAATTCTTGAATACGCAGTAATTTGTTGTCAGAGAAGATGCAGTTGACAAAGCATTGATATAATACAGGGTTGGCAAACTGCAGTCTGTGAGCAAAGTGCAGCCACTGCCTGTTTTTATAAATAAAGCTTTATTGGAACACAGCCATGCTCAATTGTTTGTTTTTATCTGTGCCTACTTTGGTGCTACAGTGACAGAGTTGAGTAATTGTGCCATTTACTGTGTGACCCATAGCGCTTAAAATACCTGGTTCTTGTCCGAAAAGGTTTGCTGACCCTTGGTCTAATATATATAAAGAGATCTGAATTCTCATATTATTTTTTTGTCCTGTAATTCAATTTTAAACTCTAGCTAATCTTGAATTTCACTAGGCCTGTTTTCTTAGCTGTAAAATAAGACTAGGGAAATCTTTTTGAAGTTTCCTGGCTCTGAAATTCTGCCATTTAATTAAAATTATAACCTGCTTTGTGTTTAAGAGAAATCAGCATAGTTTGAGTAAAGAATTATAACTATTTTACACTCTGTAATCTGCCAAGTGACAAATGGGTTTAATGACTTTTTCTTTTATAGAAGTCCTTCTGCAGTGCTAAATAGGTTCATGCTCTGAAATTAATTTAGAAACCTGCCTGTACTTGCCCTTTGCATTTATATTTTGTAACATCTTTTCATCCAAAGCCAAAAATTTGTTCACAACTCATTTTATTTAGTGTCTAGTAGATAAAATAAATGAGAAAAAGACAAACATGTCATAAGGTTACAAGTTTGTTGTTATCAAATATTTGGTAGCCTAATTGATTTAATAGCTTTTTACTAATGAACTTGCTTACCATTTAAAAAGTAGGATCTGAAATGACTTTCAAAGATAGCATACTACCTTTGAAATTCTCTTCCAGTTTTCTAAATAAGAGTATCTAGGGAGATTTTTACTTTGCCTTTAAGTGGTAGAAATTACTTTAACAAGTATATCAATTATGTAAGCAATTAATATAATTTAATAATACATGTGTGTGAATATGAACTTGTGCTACAAGAGTAGATGAAATGAAGAAAAAACAAAAAGAGTAGATGAAAGTGAGCCATCAAAGTGAGCCTTCCTCTGAATAGTGTATTCAGAGTCTTTCCTAACTACACTGATTGGTTGAAAAAGAGCCAAGCTTTGAGTTTTAAGGAAATTTGTTTATAAATAGTTATCTTAGAAATTTAACCTAATTCTTAAAATATCCTATCGGCCTTTGAGTTTTGTTTGTTAGTTTCCTATTTGCCAAAGAGACTTAGTTCTTCAAATATGCACTTCTTTTTTTTTTTTTTTTTTTTAAATTACAGGAATATGCCAGAAAAGCTCTTGATTTTCTCTGGGAAAAAAGACAGCGAAGTAGTAATTTAGTGGGCGTGACTATAAATATTCATACTGGAGATTGGGTACGAAAAGGTATGTAAGTTAGGCTTTTTAAATCAAGCCTTTGCATCCTCAAAATGGTTGGGAAATAAAGAATTTTCATTTGTTAAAATAATCTTTGGGATACTATAAAGCATAGGTTCTCACAAGATTGCTGGAATTTTAATTAATTTAGCCAGATTTTCTTTTTTGATGCCAAATGTGACACACTTCTTCTACATGATTTAGTATTCTATTTCTTAATGGATATAGCATTATAGGTATAGGGTGTAGATGAAACGCTATAATTTATTTGAAAACTAGAGAACCAGATTTCTGCAGCCATCTCACGTCAAGGTGTGGTTTAGTAAGAATATGGGTTTAATAAATTCTTTTTTTCTCCTACCTCCAGAAATATAGTAGCTAAGAGCATAGACTCTGGGGTCATGTTGTTGGATTCAAGCTATGTGATCTTGGGAAACTTATTTAACCTCTGTGTGCCTCTCTATTCCATATCTGTAAAGTGGGCATATTAATAGTAATTAGTTGTTCTGTATGAGGATTAAATGAGTTAACCAAAGTAAAGTGCTTAGAACAGTGCCGGGCATGTACTACACTTACTATGAAGTAAGTGCCCAGTAACGAGATGTTAGTCCTTTTGATTAATAATTTTACTTCTGGGAATCTAGTCTGAGGAATAATACAAAACATAGAAAATTATTTGTTCCCAAGATGTTCCCATGCAATTATTTATAAATAGCAGAAAATTGGGAAACAGTCTAACCATCAGTAAAAAAAGCTAAGAAAATTATTTTACATCAGCGTTGGAATATTGTTATTAAAATAAATCAGGAGCATGGGAAGGAACATGTAACAATGTTATATGAACAAACAGGATATTGAATTGTACAAAGAACTGTGATTTTATCTTTATAAAACACCCTGATAAGCATAGATGAATGGAAATAAATTAGAATATTCTTAATGAAAGCATCTTTTTTATACATTTTCTCTATTTCTAAAAAGCTTATCTTGTTTATATGTAAAATAAATGGTAACTGCCTATATTTAAATAAATAAAAATTATAAAATTATTAATTCAAACATATTAAAATTATTACCTTTATTCAGTATTGTATAAAATTTTTCTGTGTCATCTAAATGACAGAAAAGAACTTTTGACTCTTCACAGTCAGTTATTTCAGTAATTCAGGGTGATACTGAGGAAGCTAAGAAATGACTAGATTTACCAGAACATTTGAAACTCAAGACAATTTCTTCCAAGTTCCTAAAAGCAAAATATTGAATGGCCACTGATGAAAAGTCATCTTGTGTATTCATTCACTGTTTTCTAGTATTTCACTGCTTATAACTGTCTGGTCTCATCTTGGTTATAGTTTAAAAATCAAATATTTTCCTACATCTGTGAATTAAATAGTACAGTGTGGTTACCATATCATACTTCAGCTGTTAAATTAAATCCATTATGTCATAACACTAAAAAGACTCATTTAAAAATGAAGATTTAAAATAACATAATATGTTGATTTAAATGTACCACTAGAAAAATGTTGTGTCTTACAATAGAAATGAAATGTATATAAATATGGGTAAAAAGACGAGTCACTAGTTTGAGATGAGAACTATTATTTTCATGGTAACGTACCAGCATGTATGTGCTTGTATAGCATACACATAAACAGAGAAGGCTTAATGCATTTATAATGCAAATACAAATGCATTAAATAGAAGTTTGATAGTGTATTATAAACCTAAGAGGAAAAATCCAGACTTGTATTTTTGATATTTTGTGCATCAACATATTGCTACAAACATGAAAACTGTGAAATTTTTAAAATCATTTCCTTGCAGTCATAGCATTGTACCATCTTCATTTTTGTCTAGAGTTGGTTCAGTTCTAAGTGGTCTAGACTCCACCTGCCTATCATTTTTTTTTTACTGGTTAAGACAGTAAAATAGGTGTTTTTTTGAATCTATAGGTTTCATTTTTGTGTTAGATAACATTTCTTCTTTTTAAGAGTAGATATTATTATTGTTCTTTAATTTTTCTTGACTTTGGTTCTTTTTTCCTTTTTAGGAAAAAGCAAAACAAGAGACTTCATCTTTAGATTTCCTCAAGATTTAAGTGAATTTACTATTCATTTATACATACCAATTTCTTAAAGAACACAAGATGCTTATTTTCCACCTAGTGAAACTAAGAGCTAATTAAACTATGAACTAGTTAGCAAATTATTTATTTTAAATATAATTATCTGTTCCAGGGCAAATCTAAACTGGTGTAGTCATATATATGCACAATGTTAATTTAATGCTAATCTAAGGAGTGCTATTTTTTTAAAAAAATTTAACGGTTTTAAAAAAATTTAATGAAAAATCACATTTGTGTTTCCATAGATAGTGGAGTTGGAGCAGGGATTGATTCATATTATGAATATCTGTTGAAAGCCTATGTCTTGCTTGGAGATGACAGTTTTCTGGAAAGATTTAACACAGTAAGTTGATACAATTTTATATTTTATAATCAACTTCATTTGAGTCCAGATTTTTATAGAAACTCCATTACCTGAATGACATTGTAAAAATAATTTTTAAAATGTGTAGTGGTTTTGTGTCAGTATTTCCTGATGATGTTGAACAGGGACAGCGTAAAAAGTGATATACATTCCAAAAAATCAGTTGATAAAGTAGTTTTATTTTCACCTTTTATCAGAAACTTTGCAGATCTGCCAATAAGAGATGTAATAGATTTGAGTTTTACCTAATCTTGTTTGTACAAGGATAAGAATTATTGAAATATGTTACTAGTTAGCTTTTTCCTTTGTATTTCAATTCTTTTTGAAATCTTGGAAGTTTGGCTTAGTCTTTGATTACACCAAGGATACAGGGCTTTGAAGACCTGGAGAAACTAGTGAGTATTCATTTCAAAAGCAAGTCTTAAGACTGGTTCAGAACCACAAGCATGTTTTTTTGGGAAAAGTGGGAGGATTATTGAACCCAATTGAATCACCTTTTTAACTGAAGCAAACTGAAATGAATATAGCAAACTCATCAGTTATATCACTATATTCTTTTTAAACTAATCTACCATTTCCTTGCTCACCTATCAGTTCATCCATGTTGTATGTATGAGACAGTATGACATGGTGATTAAAAGTATGGAGGAGAATGGCGTGAACCCGGGAGGCGGAGCTTGCAGTGAGTCGAGATCGCGCCACTGCACTCCAGCCTGGGCGACAGAGCGAAACTCCGTCTCAAAAAAAAAAAAAAAAAAGTATGGGAGATGTACTGGTTTAAATTCTGATTGTACCACCTACGGGTTTTGTGACTTTGGGCAAGTAACTAATATTATTTGCCTCTGTTTCTCATCTACAGAATGGGAGTACTAGTACTATTTATAGGGTTATTGGGAGGATTGAGTTTATGCATTCAAAGTGATTAGAGCAGTGCCTTTAACCTATGGCCAATATTCAATAATAGTGATTAAATAATAGGTAAATTTGCAAAAAAAAAATTAGTAAAAGTTAATAAGTCATTAATTGAATACTTTCTAAAATTATCACATAGATTGTTTATTAGATTATAACAAGAATTTCTTGAGGTAAATGGGGACAAATAACTATTTTTGTTGGCTTGTTATCACAACTCAACCTTTTGTCAAAGCTGAGAAATATCTAGGAGAAGAAGACAAAAGAAGGGAAAAAGAGTTTTCTAAGACCATAATAAGCTGAGATAGCAAACCATAAGAGTGGCAGCAGTGATTAGCTGCATTAGTTTAGATAGTAGTGAGCACCAAAATATTGTTAGCCGAGAAGGGATCAAACTTCCAAGATACAGGAAAAAGCAAATTCTGTAATACAGAAGCTGATAGCTATATTACAAGGGGACCTATGAGCATCAGTGGGCCGCAAAGTCATACCAACCACGGGCTAACGCCACAGGGCATAGAGATGTTCAGTTCCATTTTTCTCAGAAGGTCCTATATTACAGATAGTCTTTAATAGTCTGCATGTGAGTTAGAGGACATAAAGGAGTACATATATATTTTAGAAAGATCTCCATCTAAAATAACTTAAATATTTATATAAATTGGTAGTTATTTAGTGAATTTATATATAAATTCTAGTTTAATTTATTCACAGTGCTATTTAATGTGTTTAGAGTAGTACCTCTTTTTTCATCTAACTTTCATGAACACATGTTGTGATCTTTTAGCACTATGATGCCATAATGAGGTATATTAGCCAGCCACCTCTTCTACTTGATGTGCATATCCACAAACCAATGCTGAATGCTCGGACTTGGATGGATGCTTTGCTTGCCTTCTTCCCAGGCTTGCAGGTATAAAGAATTCTGTCTTCTTAATATGAATGTAAGATGATGATGTTAATTAGGCGCATTTTTGATCTTTAAAACTGAACTACAAAACATAGTTGCAGTTCAGAATTGTATTTGTATACATTTTTCTGTTTATGTAATGATTAGAGATAAAATCAGCTCATATTTTATTAGGTAATTTTATTGTTGTTGATTTCTAGGTGTTAAAGGGGGATATTAGACCTGCTATTGAAACTCATGAAATGTTATATCAGGTGATTAAAAAACACAATTTTCTACCAGAGGTAAGCAAATAATTTTTGGAATAATCTTACACACACACAAACACACACACACACACACGTACACATATACACTATAAGTTGCTAATATAAAGGTAGAAAATGTCATCTTCAAGGCTTGTTGGTTCTTTTTATTTTTTTCCTATTAAATAGTTTATTTTTGGTTTGTACAGTATTATATATGTTTTTGCTTTTCTTTGTGTGTTAAGAGAAGTCTGATTTAGGGTAATGCTGACATTTTTAAAATTTTATGTAAAAAAATTCCCAGCTTAGTTCTTCTCAACTCTTCCTAACTTATGCCATTGTAATATTCTCTCATTCTAACTCTTGTATGTACCTACCAGCTAGGGAGATTTTGTCACTTTTTATTTTCTAAAGCTTGTCTTATGAAAACAGTATATATTAGATATACTTTTGTTGTTCACACATGCCCTCTGGAAATGTATAGAATGCCATCTCTTCCTCATGCTGATTGAGAATTATTCTTCCTGATTTTTATACATCATATTAGTAATAAATATTCTTGCTAGCTTAATATGACAAGATTTTAATAGCATACTTTTTGGCTTCCCAGAAATGTACCGTTAAAAATTTCCAAATGTGTGTATGGCCTTGTTCTATCCCCGCTTATTGACTACCCTCTGTGAGATATCTAAGCATTCTACCAACTTAGAAGGGTTCCTAAAGTGTTTGTTTTGGAAAGTATAGTTTTATTAGCCTTCGGGTGAGTAGGACTGTGCATTGTAGAAAATTCATATCCATACAGAATAAACTGAGGTTTCAATTAATACATCTATCACAAATGAAATTTTTATTTAGCTCCCATAAAAGTTTTTGTTTGCTTTTATTTTTATTTTCTTTTAAAAACCAATTGATTATGTTATTGAATAAATTTCAAATAGACTAATTTTATTTATTTCTAAATAATGCTCTGTCTTATTCCACAAAGGATTTGAGGCTTTTAGAAAATATAAGCTAAAATATGAAATATGTATGCTTACACATTGCTAAGAGAGATTTTAAGTATTCTCACCACAAAAAAAGAGAACTATGTGAGATAATGCATATGTTAATTAGCTTGATTTAGCCATTTCATAGTGTATAAATATATCAAAACATCATGTCATATACCATAAATATATGTCACTTTTATTTGTCGATTTAAAAAATTTAAAAATAAATATGAGAACTAGGAGAGTAATAATCCAGAGGAAAAAGTAGAGGGAAGGATAAAAAGAAAACACAATTATGTTTACCACCAGGACCCATGTAGTGGCATTGCTGAGTTTCATTATGGAGTTTTTCTGAGTTTTCTAATAGCCAGAATGATCACTGAAAAAATAATCAATTTAATTGGTAAAAATAGCAGCCTTTGCAAAATGAATTGTTATTTTAAGCAATGAAAATTGATGTTTTATTGATGAAAATGTCCTGATTGCTATTTTAATTGCTTTTACCTATTTATATATATTCTATATATTCTGGAACTACTTGTGTATTTAATCACATTTTTTATGCCTTTTGTATGTTGTTTTGTTCAGGCATTTACCACAGATTTCAGAGTACACTGGGCTCAACATCCTTTAAGGCCAGAATTTGCAGAAAGTACCTACTTCTTATATAAAGTAAGAAAATATACCCCATTTTACTTAAAGTTTAGCCTCCATTCTCTGTTGGATCTCTCATTCTTTCATAATAGTAATTGGGTTTTCAGAGTCCCCTTTTAATATTATAATGATTGGATATATCATGATTCTTATTCATCTAGTCCATAGAATTATTGAATGATGCAAGAATTGACATGCAAGGTTTTTTTCTTTAAAAAATATTATGTAAACATTTCTTTAAAGAGAAATTTTATGTTCTAGAGCTGCTTTCTAAAGCATGTCTCTTGCCTTTCTTCAGGCAGCCTTTCTGAGCATTAGAAATTTAAAAACTAAGGTTATATAGTTAAATTTTATAATTGTGTATTTAAGAAATTCTGTAAAGCAGATTCATAGCTTTTTTTCAGAACTCAGTTCTATATAATGTCCTTCAGTGCCTGATACAGTGCCTGGCACCTAGTAGGTACTCAATAAATATTTGGTAAATGAATGGATATGTGGTAATATATAAGCTATATATATTATACATATATTCTCCTTTTTAATAGGCTACAGGAGATCCTTACTACCTTGAAGTAGGGAAGACACTTATTGAAAATTTAAATAAATATGCTAGAGTGCCTTGCGGATTTGCTGCCATGAAGGATGTTCGTACTGGAAGTCATGAGGACAGGTAAAACAATTGCTAACATCCTCTTTCCTCAGGGTCTCTCTGAAACAACACAAAATGCAGCTACCATTTAGGATTCAAATAAGTTTAATTCTTTTACAAAGGATAGAAACCTTTGTTCCTTGTGTTTACTTTTTTAAACTCTGTTGAATACACTAATTTTAATTTGTTTGAAAAGTTTGTATTTTTATCATAGTGCCTGGCATATAGTAGGTGCTCAAATGATTTTTAAATAAATGAATCGATGATTGTTAAATATCAGAACCTTGGTGTTAGGACTATCTAAAATGTGGCTTTTTTTCTTCTTTGATAATAGTTTCCTTTTATATTACATAAGACATTAGAAATTACCAAGATGAGGAATGATCTGGAATGTGATTTGTGTTCGGCCAAGAATTCCTCAAAAGCTGTGTGTACTTACACCGTTGCTGACTTGCAGGAGTGGGAAAGACCAGTGGTAGTTTCTGTTTCATTAGACACTGGATAGATGTAGATGGTATGAAGTATTCAAGCTATAAAAAGTGCTCCACATGAAATTCACAAGCATTCTCCTTATTCTAAGATCACTTATCTGGTTATCACATCTCTAAATGAATGCTGAAGCTTATTTGTTCATTTGGTTAGCAAATGTTCATTCCAGAAATATTTACTGAGGCCCCTTATGTGCCAGGGCTCTTACTAGTTTTTGAGGATTAAAGATATGAAGATAAGTCCTTTCTGTCTTTGAATCACTGAAGGCAGGCCAATAAGCAGACTTTTAAAACATTGTATATGTGTTTGAAACATATTAAAGGGGCATGAAGCACAAGTTGGGATGTGATAGTCAGCGAAGGGTTCCTGAAGGCTCCTATGTCCTGAAGGATAACCAAGAATTAGAAGAAGAAAGATGTAAAAGAAGTTCCAGGCAGTGAGACTGAAGACATGAGAAACACAGCACTCATCATCTACCCATAGAGTTGTCCCTTAGTTCTTCACTTAGTGTTCGGATAATGGTTAATTAGGCTTCGAATCTCCATCCCTAACCACAGCTAATGAGAAATGGTTAGGTTCTGGAAGCAGGCATACAAGTAATAGCAAGAAATAAAAGCAGATACCTTGTGTATTTATTTGCCTGTAACATTTATTGACTGTTTCCTATACTCCAGACAGTCTTCTAAGCATTTTATGTGTTTAACTAATTTGATCCTTACAACAGCTTTCTGAAGTGTACTATTACAGTCTTCATTTTAAAGGTGAAGAAACCAAGGGAAAGAGAAGTTAGGGAACTTGCCTAAGGTCACACAGTTAGTAAGATTAAGTCAGAATTCTAATCTAGGCAGATTGGCTCTTGACAATGATGTTATACTGGCAATTCATTAAAGAACAATAATTAAACACCTACTGTATGCCAGCCACTGCACTTAAGTGTGGGGTAGAAAGATAAAATAGAACCAGTCCCTGCACTCCCATGACTTGTAGTTAGTGAATAAGATAGGTGTGTAAAGAAATAATCACAACCATGTGATATGTTCTAAAATACAAAAGAGGTAACAAGTTGAAGAATTGCAGAGGAAGACATGATTTACTGTTCAGAATTCTATTTTTCAAAGTGTAACATCCTTCTTTTTTTCCCCACCAAATACTCCTTTTATGACATTGTTTCTGGACCTCTTACCACTGACATTGCCCCATTCTGATTGCATTCCAGTATATATAATAACTCTTAAAATATCACATCCAGAATTAACCATACTCAAGATGTGTCTGGCACACAGCACCATAACTGTCTGTATTCAGGCAAAGGGTCACTAATGTTCTATGAGGCTGATGAGTTTCCACCCTCTATCCAGTTGAGGACCACTGCTTCATTGACTCACTGTTCCTGAGGGGATTGTTGTGCCTCTCAGATGTCTTTAGCCAAATGAAAGGTTAAGAACTACCATTCTTCATCATATTGTGTTATTAGATGTGCTTTAGATTTTTTAGGAGCTTTATTATGTTCAGCTCACAGTGAGCTTGTGATCAACTAGTTTCACATACTTAACTGTATGGTCTGCTGACAAATGAGTGTTCTCCACCCTGCCTTTGAGCAGCCAAGTTTTCTTTTTTTTAGTGTAAACTTAGAACTTTTATATTTAACTCAGCAAAATTTCTTTTTTTGTTTTGTTTCTAGATTTTGGTCTAGAGGTTGAATCTCATTAGCTAAACTACCAGTTTTCAATGATCTATAGTTTAGATGAGCATACCTTACATTTTTTTCATCCAAACTGTTAGGAAGAAGTTTTGGTTGGACCCCAACCAGTGCCTTGTGGCACTGCACTCAAGAGCTTTCAGTTACAGGCTCTTTGCATGTGGTGGTTTATTACCCTATAGATCTAAGCACTATCACTGTCCTCCAGGTTACCATCATCTACACAGACACAGACATACACACACACTTTTCACAATGGAAATATCTGTATTTTCCTAATCATAATTACTGAAAAGAATGTAAATGGCAAAAATAATAGGAAAATATTTGCTAAGACACTGTCCCCTAACTGCGTAAGATTACCACTGTTAGCAATTTTATAAAGGCTTCCAGACATTTTTAATGCCTGTGTATTTTTATTTATGTATTTTTATGATTTTAAAATATAAAATAGATCATATGATCTGATGTTCAACTTGCTAGCTTTGCCCAATTCATATTGTAGTTATCTTACCATGCCTTGTTCTTTTCTAAATGTTTACAAATTGTCTATTCTAGTATTTGCCAATTATCAGTATCCTGCTCATCTGTCTGCAGTTCTCAAGATAGCATTTGCTCATGTAATAACTGTCAGTCCATCAGAAAAGGTTGAATTATGATAAGTGTATTGCAGATAAACAGGAAAGTGTTTTTATATTGTCTAAAAAGATTAATATCCAAAATGGCTAAACATGTTTTGAAACATTTCAGGTGAGTTTTTGTTCCAAAATAAAAAATCATGTGTATGTAGGAAAAATGATAGCTGTAGTTTCAATCTCATATGTATGCCAAGTGCTATGCTAAATAATTGACATTTAATATCTCAGTCTTCACACCAATGTCATGAGTGTATTGTTATATTCCTTTTACAGAAGAATAAACTGAAGCTCATAGTCCTTATATAATATCCCCATGGTGACAGAACTAATTAGTGGAAGATCTTTCTATTTCCAAAGCCCATGTTCTTTACTTCTTTGTTCTACTCCCTCTCCAGCTCATTCTTTAATCACGCTGTTTAAACTTGCATTTAATTTAGTAAACATTTATTGAGTGCCTACTGTGTGCCAGGAATTGTGCTTGGCCAGAGGTATGAAATTGTGCAACTTGTCCAGTAAACTAGAAGTTGTTTATTACTGCCAAAACCTATGATGCTTTGGGGAGTAGTGAATTAAATTTGATGTTACTATGACTCCATCTACCAGCTATGCTTTTTTCCTGACACTTTTAATTTAAACTTTTCTTAAATTGTTAAAACATTATAACATTAAATCATTTGTAAAAACACATATAGTTTTACTGTCTTTATTTCTCCACATTCCCTTCTTAACAGGTAAATAAATATTTAGCATGTTATAATCATAGCCCGTGTGACTTTGCATTGTACTTTTTTCATGTAACTATTTTTTTCTTTTTTTGAGTCGGAGTCTTGCTCTGTCACCCAGGCTGGAGTGCAGTGACACTGCACTCGGCTCACTGCAATCTCCATCTCCTGGGTTCAAGTGATTCTCCTGCTGCAGCCTCCTGAGTAGCTGGTATTACAGGTGCCTGGCACGACACCCGGCTAATTTTTGTATTTTTAGTAGAGACGGGGTTTCACCATGTTGGCCAGGAAATTACATGCAAGTAATTTCTTTACATTTAAAGCCTTCTTTTTAAATCACTTAAATAGCTACATAATAAATTCCGTCAAATTTGTATGACTTTTTCCAGCTCTCTAATTTAATGGAAGATTCTTATATGATTCTCACTAGTAAAATTTATCAGTTACCTCCCTGCTGTTGATTCTCTATAGAAGAAATGGAGAACTTTCCCTCATTGAAAGGCCTATAGAAAAATCTTGTCTGCATTATTCACAAGATTCAGTGTATCAGTGTGGTAGACAACTCCTCTGGTCTTTTTCATTAACATAGAATATACTTGGAGTCAAGGTTATTCTGCCCCTGGTAGATTGATACATTCTATAGTTCTTTGAACATCTAAGTTGGTATAGACAGGATTATTAACCTTGACTCTATGGCTTTCATATAGTTGGCATTTAAATTATTTTTATCTACTTATATTTATTTGTGACTTTTTATTTTAGAATGGATTCTTTCTTCTTGGCTGAAATGTTTAAATATCTTTACCTGTTATTTGCTGATAAAGAAGACATTATTTTTGACATAGAAGATTACATCTTTACAACAGAAGCTCATCTGTTACCTCTTTGGCTCTCTACTACAAATCAAAGCATCTCTAAAAAGAACACAGTGAGTTTTTAAATGAAATGTCTTATTCTCTTTTTTATTTCTACATGTTTTATTTTTCCAAGTGAAAAGTAATCCATGAGTAGAATTCAATAAATATATGTATGGTAAGAATAAATATATACATTTTCCTATTTTTTTTCTTTTATTGCATCCTGTATACACTTATATATTTCATTAACTGTTTCCTTTTAAAAATTATGTTGAGTAGGCCAGGTGCGGTGGCTCATGCCTGTAGTCCCAGCACTCTGGGAGGCCCAGGTAGGTGGATCACAAGGTCAGGAGATTGAGACCATCCTGGCTAACATGGTGAAACCCCGTCTCTACTAAATATACAAAAAATTAGCTGGGCGTGGTAGTGGGCGCCTGTAGTCCCAGCTACTCGGAAGGCTGAGGCAGGAGAATGGCATGAACCCAGGAGATGGAGCTTACAGTGAGCAGAGATTACGCCACTGCACTGCAGCCTGGGCAACAGAGTGAGACTCCATTTCAAAAAAAAAAAAATTATGTTAAGTAAAATAATTATTTCTGTTTACATAAAATGTTTTTCTCTTGTAGACCTCGGAATATACAGAACTGGATGACAGTAACTTCGATTGGACTTGTCCAAATACTCAGATCCTCTTTCCTAATGACCCATTGTATGCTCAAAGTATTCGTGAGCCCTTGAAAAATGTGGTGGATAAGAGCTGTCCTAGAGGCATCATCAGAGTGTAAGATGTATTATTTTATATTTTCTAATATCAAAGTTGTTTCTTAGTAAATGACAGAGAACTTAGGGAGCATGTATCAACAGCCAAGAAGACATTCACATAGGCCGAAAATGTTGAGGTATGTAGCTATCACTGGTTAAAATAAAAATTAGTAGTAAAGTTAGATAGTAAAGCTTATTTTGCAGTAATATCTTTTTTATTATTTTGGAAACTTTCAATATATCTTTTATTTTATGAACTAAGGTAATAATAGTGGGCAGCATGTAACAGTTTTTAACTTCTATAACTCATTTTTCATGGAATAGTTTCATCGAATATTTTCTGGCCAGGCATGATAGCTCACGCCTGTAATCTGAGGACACTGGGAGGCCAAGGCAGGTGGATCACCTGAGGTCAGGAGTTCGAGACCAGCCTGGCCAATATAGTGAAACTCTGTCTGTACTAAAAATACAAAAAATTAGCCAGGCATGGTGGCAGGCACCTGTAATCCCAGCTACTCGGGAAGCTGAGGCAGTAGAATCGCTTGAACCCAGGAGGTGGAGGTTGCGGTGAGCCAAGATCACGCCATTGCACTCCAGTCTGGGTGACAAGAGCGAAACTCCATCTCAAAAAAAAAAAATTTCCTTTTGTCTATAGTTTCTGTGTAGTGAAAATACAGGTATTTTGTTTGTTTGTTTGGATTTGATTTTTTGAGGGAGTACTTATTCTTGCTTGTTAAAATTGGCTTAATGAGTTCATTTTCTGACGAGTAGTTATATTAGGCCATTGCAAGGACTTTTTAAAAATTATTTTTACATAAGTGTTATTATTCACTGATGCAAGTATTGATTTGCTTTTAAAATATTGGGAGAAAAATCTGTGTTTTTAAAGGATAACATCAATAGTAACAAATCCCCAAGCAAACTTGTTCTGTACCTTTAAATAGTTATAGTTCTCTTGACTAATACTGCCTTATATAGATAATATACAAACTTTTATAACTAGAAAATGTTATATTTGAAAGCTATACCACTTGTTAACCTAAATTATATGTAAGAAAATACTTTCTAGTTATTCCAGTTTCACTAGTTCTAAAACTAGCAATTTTGCAAGTAACATTATTTTTATTTGACATGTGTTTTTTGCCAATTCTAATTTATAGTTTTTTAAGCCTTGCCTGTAATTACTTTTAGCAGAGAGGAGAGTTTCAGGAGTGGAGCTAAACCCCCTCTGAGAGCCAGAGATTTCATGGCCACTAACCCTGAGCATTTAGAAATCCTGAAGAAGATGGGGGTGAGTTTGATTCACCTCAAAGATGGGAGAGTCCAGTTGGTCCAACATGCAATCCAAGTAAGACATTGCTACACTAATTAGATACCGTCTCTGCCCTGCTTTCTTTGGTCGCATTAGCTTTAATAAGATAATGGATTTCAACTTTCTAAACACTTTAAATATACTGTTTAAAGTGAGAGAATGAGAATTTTAGGACTTGGAAGTATCTTGGAAAGTCACCTAATTCAACTCCTTTATAGTATAAATCAATTAAATAAATCAGAGCTAGGTTGGGTAATTTGCTGAAGTTAATATAATCAAATGCAGGACTCAAATCTAAGTTTTCTGTTTCTCAGTCCATTGGCTTTCCCCTGTTACTTTTATTTACAACATAACTTCAAAAACTAGTAATTAGTTTTAATATTCATATCTCCATGTTTTACATCATTTTAGTCTCCAAAGAGCTACTGAATCTTAAGTATTTTGTTCATCATAGGTATTTATTTGTCTGTGCCTAGGAAAAATAACATGTCTTTTTGAGAAATTTTTATTGATTTTTACTTTGAAAGTTTTTATAACACAAAGTTTTTAAATTATTTACCTTATTAGTATATTGATTCTGAGAAAACCACATAGTTTGCTGAATAATTTTTAACCTAGAACCATATTCAGGTATCCTTTAATCTCAAATTCAACCCTCCCACAACTTCATCACACCCTCAAGTTTTCATCTCATCCATATTCTTGCCACATCCTTCCTTCTTTTAAGAGTATTCTTCCTTCTTCCTTGTATTTTATTTGGCCTCAGTGGGAGTGACATCTCTTGTGACATTGCTTTTACTTACTTAGGCTGCCAATGGCATAATTACTGCCAAGTGGCCTCTTGATCCTTATATGATTTAACTTTTCTGTAACTATTGGCTGAACCCTTCATAAAACATTTTCCCTTTTTGGCTTCCCAGGATATTTCAGAAACAAAGTTCTTTTTCTACTTCACTGTTTATTGCTTTGTAGCTCTCCTTGGCACAACCACTCAATGTAAACAGTTTCCAAGAATCTGGATGATATTCTTTTCTCTATATACTCTTCTTCAACAGTGTCACCTATTTCTACAAGCTTAGCTATCATTTTTATACATATGACTTCTTAGCTATGTATGTGAATCCTGATTCCTAAATTTACTATTAAATTCAACTTTCATCTACCTCTCATACATCTTGCATCTCAATCTCAATCTGTCCAAACTTGAATTATCTCTTTCTTGTTTACTCTCTTTCTACCCTCACCTCAACCTATGTTTCCTTCTTTGGCTCTCCATGTCAGTAAAACCTATCATCATTCTTTAAGTCATCAAAGCTGGAAATTTCAGGATAGGTTTGAACTCTTCTTCTCTTCCAGTTCCTCTTATCCTTTTCCATCCTCTAACTTCTATCATGTCTTGTTGGTTTTTCCTGTAAAGTATCAGGAATCATCTTATTTTTTTCTATTATAGTCATTCTTCAACTTTCCCTCTGTTAAGACTCAATTCAAGTGTCATTCTAAATCTTTCCCAGGTACACACAAGCAGAATCAATTGTTCCCTCATCTGTGCTCCTTTTCCACTTTCCCACTTGAGAAATTTTATCATAGCTAACTTTACATGTCTTTCTCCTCCAGACACAAATTTCTTAAAGGACTGTCTCTCCAATGCCTAGGCAAGTGCTGAGATGGAATAAGTGCTTCACAGATATGTTTTGAATCAAATTGAATCTGGTTGTTCACTATTTCAAGGAGGGAAAGTGTGGGTCAGGTATGAGGTTTATTTCTTCAGAGGGAAAGCCAGTGGGGAGAATAAGCAAAGTGAGCATTTGAGCATTCGCTAGAAGTCCAGTTCTCAATCTGAATCAAAAGTGGTTTATAGAATAGCGAAAGTGACATTGATAAAAAATACGGATAAGTTATTTTCAGAAATACTATTTCTGAAAGTATTATTTTTGAGTACAAATAAGGTCATAAATACTTGGTGGTGACCTAAAGTGAAAGAAGAAGTTGTAGAGTAGAATACTACAGTACAGTGTCTTTAGGAAATCAAAAAATTGGTGGAAGTTTCCAGAAAGGAAGGATAAAATGAATTTGTTTTTTTCATAGGCTGCTAGTTCAATCGACGCTGAAGATGGGTTGAGGTTCATGCAGGAGATGATTGAATTGTCAAGTCAGCAACAAAAAGAACAGCAGCTGCCTCCACGAGCTGTACAAATTGTTTCCCACCCATTTTTTGGCAGGGTAGTATTGACTGCTGGACCAGCTCAGTTTGGGCTGGATCTGTCTAAACATAAAGAGGTATGTATACTTAAAATATAGTTGTTGAAACTGAATTTAAAATATTAAGTATTGCCTTATTTCTTAGTCTCTTCTCTAATTTAGTAGTTTTAATTTATTTAAAAAACTGAAATAGTCAATCTCCTGGATTTAAGTAAAGTAAAAGCATGTCTTGAAAACTTTGAGTCATAATTTATGTATATAATATGCTTACAGAATTTTAACTAAAATATTATTCAGGTTCTATTCAATTTCTTGGTCTCTTCTCTAATTTAATACCTGTAATTGATCTAAAAATGGTTTTCAGACTTTCTAAGAGCCACTAGAACCTTTCTTTGAACAAAAGTCTAAACCAGGAGCTTAATGTAGAAAACAGCTAAAAGCACAGAAGCTCTGGCTCAAGTGACTGGAGAAAGCCTGGGACCCTGAGGTTCCACTGGGCAAACTTTGAAGATCATTTAGCTAGTCCATCCTCTATAGTTGTAACATAGTTATAACGTAGAAAACAAAGACTTACATAACTAAGCAATTCACAAAGTTATCTAACTAATTGATTGCAGAGCTGGGACCAGAGCCCAAGTATCGTGACAATCTAAAGCCAATGCTCTTTTCACTCTATTACTGCTAATTTAGACTTTTTTCTCATGTATATTTTAAACTATGTAGAAGCTATATAGATTGATTGATTCATTCAACTGTTGATTGAGTGCCTACTATATTCTGTGCACTGCTTGCTGTATCAGTTTACAAAACCAATGAAGATCCATGCCCTTATGGAATTTACATTTTAGTAGAGTGAAGGATATTAAAACATCTTTATAGTAACGTGTTTAAAAAAATTAGTTCCTTGGTGGATTTAATTTTTTTGGTAAAAAGAACTGCTTGCAGATTCATATAGACTAAGTCCATTTTTTCCCCTTTCAAAAACTTTTCTTGTTACCAATGATCATTTCAAATTAGTTCCCAGCTATTGTAAATGTAGTGAATCTGCCTGCAGGTCCCAACTTTACTGCTTAGTAACATCGTGTTAACATTGTGAGCAAATTACGTAACCTGAGTCTCAATTTCCCCATATGTGAAAGGGAAATGTTATTTGTATTGTTTTGCTCAGGGTCATTATAAATAACAGATTTTGTAGTTTATATAAAAATGTTCTATAAACTGCAAAGCACACTAGAAATATTGGTTGAGTACTGTGATATGCAAAATGTTTAAAACAATATTTTATGGTGACTATATGTTAGATACGTTATCATTAGAAAAGAAATGAGTTCTAGTTCTTTTAAAACTCTAGATATTGAGGTTTAATGACTTGATTGCCATTTGAGAAGATTAAAGTATTTAAGTTGCTTTTATTTCTGACAGACAAGAGGATTTGTTGCAAGCAGTAAACCATCCAATGGTTGTTCAGAGCTTACTAACCCAGAGGCAGTGATGGGAAAAATCGCACTGATACAAAGAGGACAGTGCATGTTTGCAGAAAAGGCACGCAACATCCAGAATGCTGGAGCCATTGGTGGCATTGTTATTGGTAAGTAATCATCCATGTCATTGTGTTGACTGAAGGGGAGATAATTTTTAGGATTTTTTCCCTTTTATTTTCTAAAATTTTATCAAAGAGTTTGTCATAGTTTTTTTTACCTCACCTAGACAACAAGGATAGGTAATCCAATGACTTTTAATTTCTAGATATCTAACATCTTTTTTAAAAGTCTAGATTTGAATTTCTGTATATTAATGTCAGTGAAAATACTTGGGTTTAGGTGTGAGGGTGAGGTAGGGCTGAGTAGTAAAAAAATTCAGTACCATGGATAAGAAAAGGTGCCCATGAGATCCATAACCCCCGAAGGGCAAGAATTACACTGTGCCACGTCCAGTGGGGAGCCATTGAAAATTTCCATTACTCCACAAAGATGCAGGCTTTGGAGGCAGACACATGAGAGTACAGTTCCTGGCTCTACCACAAAATTGCAGTGTAACCTTGGCCTAGCTTCAGTTTTTTAATCTGTAGATTAAATAGTATAATTTTTTTTTATTTGATAGTAGAATATTTTTGAGCTCCAGTGGAAGTGATAATAAATATATTTTAGGTGATTGTAAGGTTTAAAGATATATAAAATTTCTTGGCATAATAGCAGACATAGGATAAGTGCTACTATAACAGGGTTTACAGTATTGCTAGCAGATCTTTATCCCCTTGGATCTTTTTCTACCGAAATGACAAGTTACCACCTTTAAATCATCTTACCTATATGTATCAACTAGTGGGTTTTGCTTTTTTATCTTTCATAGACAATCACTTATATCATGATAAACAGGCCATGACTATTAGGGGAAATATAAATTTTTCTGTTTTAAAGTAAATAGGAGTTTACATTCAGAAAGAACTGTAAGACCTGGGCTCACAATATGCTGATTGTGAGTTCTTTTGTACAGCTTCTCTCACAGGGAAATCCATTTTGGATTCCCCCCTCCCCTGCCGCCCAATAGTTAAGGTAAATAAAAAAAAATAGTTCAGGTAAAACAGAATATTAACACTTATTATGTTGATTTAATGGATGCATAAATTTTATTAATAAACATTAGGAGAAGTCCTGTTTAATGACTTAAATCAGCAGTTGGCAAACTACAAGACTATAGGCCAAATCCAGCTCATTGCCCATTTTTGTAAATAAAAGTTTTATTGGGACACAGTCATGCCAATTTGTTTGTGTATGGTCTATGACTGCTTTGAACTGCAGTGATGGAGTTGAGTACTTACAGGAGAGAACTACAAAGCCTGAAATATTTATTCATCATCTAGCCAGTTACAGAAGAGATTTGCCGACCCCTGACTTAAATCATGCTCTTTATCCTTGGGTATTTCCCACACTTAGATTAGTTTTATTGCAGAATTTATTATATTAACCATCACTATCATTTTGAACAGTTCTTACCAAGACTTCAAAATGAAAATGTAAAGTATAAAGTGTAGAATTTATGCATTAATGTTTAAAAATATTTCTTTGTGTAGTATTTTGGTTTTTTATATTTTTCAGTGAAGTCTAATTCTCATGATCTTCTATAGTATGCAATAATTGTCAATTTTTGTTTTGTTTGTTTTGAGATGGTGTCTTGCTCTGTCACCCAGGTTGGAATGCAGTGGCGTGATCTTGGCTCACTGCAACCTCCATCTCTCAGGTTCAAGCAATTCTCCCTGCCTCAGTCTCCCGAGTAGCTGGGATTACAGGTGCCTGCCACCACGCCTGGCTAATTTTTATATATATTTTTTTCTTTTTAGTAGAGATGGGGTTTCTCCATGTTGGCCAGGCTGGTCTTGAACGCCTGACCTCAGGTGTTCTGCCTGCCTTGGCCTCCCACAGTGCTGGGATTACAGTCATGAGCCACCAAGCCTGGCCCGTCAAATGTTTTTTTTGGTAGCTATTAGTTGGAAAATGGTATACTGGGTTCTGTGGATAAATAAATAAGAGATGATGATCCTTACTCTCAGAAATTTTTTTTTTTTTTTTTTTTTTTTTTTTTTTGAGACAGAGTCTTGCTTTGTCACCCAGGCTAGAGTGCAGTGGCATGATCTTGGCTCACTACAACCTCCACCTCTAGGTTTAAGTAGGTCTTATGCCTCAGCCTCCTGAGTAGCTGGGATTACAGGCACGTGCCACCAAGCCTGGCTAATTTTTGTATTTTTAGTAGAGAAGGGGTTTCGCTGTGTTGGCCAAGTTGGTCTCAAACTCATGGCCTCAAGTGGTCTGCCTTGGCCTCCAAAAGTGCTGGGATTACAGCCATGAGCCACCGCACCCAGCCAAAAATTTAATTTTTAATGAGAAACTTTCTTGTGTTGACTTCTTTCTCCTGAGTTTTTTGTTTCTGACAAAGCATTTTGTTTTTGTTTTAATTGTATATAAATGAATAAATTAGGAATTAGCTGTTTTTTGTTGCAAGGGTTAGAAATACGAATTATCTTAGAAATCATGTGGCTGCAGGAGATAATTACGTTGGTTTAAGAAGGGAGGTTTTTTCACTACACAGAAATGGATTATTTTTAGTGAATTAAACAGTACAAATACAACTAGGATTCACCAGGAGGTAGAAGTGGGAACTAAAAATCACCAGGATCCATGATAGTGAATGTTTTTCACTTTTCTCTCTGTATCTCTACCTCTGGGTCCTTCTGAACTTTTCTTCCCTGCTTCTCTTTGCAATTCTGCTTCATTTTCCAGCTTCTCACCAGCCTTCTCTCTCTTTGTTCCTCAGTTCCAAAATGGCCATTCTAGTTTGCAGCCTCAGCCCCTAAGTCTGTGTCATTCAACTGGACTATTACCCCCTGCTAACTGAAACAGTCTTTCTGTGTGCCAGTTCCAGGTCCCCCAGAGAGACTCAGGGTCAGGTAGCCATCTTTTGTCTAATCAATTATTACCAAGAGGATGGGTCATGCATTCTGCACTTAGCAGGTCCTATGAGAGTGAGCACCCTGAGACAGGACAGATAGTTTCTTCTGGGAGACTGGCATGCGATTTGGAGGTGGTCGTGATTGTCGTCTTCAGTAAAACAGCATGTTGCTGGTACTACTACTATTAATAGTTCTACTACTATTATTTAACCAATGCAAAATAGCAATACTGTTTAGTTTAGCTTATAGAGGAAGAAGCACTATAGTCATAACTATTCTTTGTGTGCATTATATAAAAAAGAAATGTCCATTTTTAGTTTGGTAAAACAATGTAATCATGCCAGTAGTGGAAATTTTCAACAATAAAATTCATTCATAGTTCTATCACTGTAATCCGAGTCATTGATTTTTTCCTTTCTAGGCTTTTCCATAAGCATATGAAATTTTTATAGTCATAATCATAGAATTCTGTATTCTACTTTTTAAATGTATTATTATTCTGTGTGTCCTATCAAGTAGGTCATTATAATTTACTTATAATGGTGTACAGTTGTTTACAATTATAAATAGTCTAGTAAAATTATTTGGGCATAGGGCTTTTCGCTACTTTTGAATTATTTCCTTTGGATACGTTTCTATGAGAATTAATGGGTCCAAAAATTATGTTGGTTTTTATGGTTCTTGATGCATAAAATTAATTCTGTCATTGTAAAAAATCAGTAACAATTAGTAGATAGATCTTTTTAATGGCTGGATATTTTGATGTTTGCTGTATTTATTTTCTGGCTAGATGACAATGAGGGGAGCAGCAGTGATACTGCCCCTCTGTTCCAGATGGCAGGTGATGGAAAGGATACAGATGACATCAAGATCCCCATGCTGTTCTTATTCAGCAAAGAAGGAAGTATCATACTGGATGCCATCCGGGAATATGAGGAGGTAGAAGTGCTCCTCTCTGATAAAGCAAAAGATCGAGGTAAGAGTAAAATACCATTTGTTTTTTTATGCAGCGTAATATTAATTTTGCTAGTTTGATAACAAGAATGAGTCACAAAAAATTGTTTTGGGGGGTTCACTGTGAAAACAAGTAAAACTTTTAGAAGATGATTTCAAAATATATTTTTCTTTTGGAAATAAGAATAATAAAACATTTATTTTGCTTTGTTTTCTGAGTTAGGATGTTTTTAGACATATGTTTTTATGTGTGATTTGTAATTTTTGCCCTGAGTCTGTTCAGGTGATAAAAATACAAGAGACTGCTTCAGGAAAGCCATTTTAACATCCGGAAATGTTCACAATTTGATTTCACTGATACTACATCTTACATGTCTTTTATAAGGAATGAGAAGACATATATAGAATGTTGTATACAATATCATAGTAGTTAGTCTCAACAGGCCACCTATAATCAAATGACTGCTGTCTTGGTGAAGGCAATAGAAATCTAGCAGCTTCTTCCCAATGAGATCTAAGTTTATCACATGGATATAAGAGTTACAAATGGCTGTTTCTGAAAAACAAGATAGCATGTCTTAATTTATGAGAGTAGATAGTCCTCTGTAGGCCAAAATGTTTGTTAGTAATTTGAAATGTCTTTGAAACCCAAATTACAATATAAATGCAAGGCCTTACTAGTATTCTTACATAGTTTCACACCCAGGGATAGAGGAGAAATGAGGGAATGTGAGCCTTCAGATCTTGCTTGTGGTAGCAGTCTTTCCTGTCTGCTGGAGAGACCTGAAGAGAGAGCTAAAGTTCTCCCATACCCTTAAATAGATGAAGTTGCATAATAGTACAGGGTTGTTACATCCCCTGGGGTGTTTGACAGATATGTAGGAAACTGATTCAATTCAATGTGACTTCCAAGTGGGACATTTAAAAAAAAATGTTCGGTGATAATCATGCTAGCATAATCATGCTAGCCTAATTTTGTCTTCTTGTATTGCTTTATTCTTCTTTGAGATTCTTTGAAATGTCAATTATTTATGAGCAATGGAGTGAGCAAGTAGGTTGTTTGTATATAACAATGTATAGATGGAAACAGAACAGAATACAAAGGTTTTCTAGTCTTAAATCCTCTGTATACCTGATTTTTTTTTCCTGGGCCCTTTTCTAAACTCAGATCTTCTTGCCTACATATATGCATTTAGGCACATCTAACATAGGCAAATTATTATTTCTTGTAACTCTTTAATGCATTTGCTTTTTTTCCCCCTATTTTGTGCTACCACTGGAATTTCAGCAGCAATATTAAAAGGTAAAATGATTCCAAGCTACATTATTAATAGTAGTAAGTATCTTGCATTAACAAGCCTTAAATTATATACGTATATATGTATTTGGGTGTGTGTACACACACTCAAGTACATATATAATTTTGTTTCAGTGGATACCATGATAATATCTTGTGTAACGTAATTAGATTATTTTCATGTCTAGTCAGCAGTCACATAATAATTTTAAATTCTAATAATTATACATCCCATACAATAGATGAATTCTATGTCTATGTCCATACAAGAGTCACTCTAACAAAGGCATTGTTGTTTTAGTATTTATTACTTTGATCACATTTTATTTGAACACAATGTAAAATATTTAAAGTATTGACTTGTTTTAAAAGCTCATGTGTGTGTATGGTACATGGGTTAGGACTACAGGATTATGGTACAGCATGTGCTTCCTGTACCAGAGAAAGGTTATGAGACATGATTAATTCTACCAGAAAATAAGAATTCTTGGTGAACAGTATCCCCTTAAGGACCTTGCATTAAAAGGGCATTATTTAAAAGATATTTTTTGAAAACTTTAGTCTATAAATTTATTGAACTGTGATTGTTATAGAGTGATCTTTTGATAAAAGTATTGAAAAGCCCCCTTTTTGTGTAATAGCTCTTTATAGAACTGTACAGCTATATTAATTAGCAACAAGATACAGTCTAATTGTTAATATTTATTAATGTAACAGAAATCAATGGTAATAGTGTTATGAAATCAACAAATGTATTCACTTAGGATATCCTAAGAAGCTACACAGTCTGTAGCGGTTATCATTTGTCCTATACCATTACTACATACATCAGTGTTTCTCCCCTGCATCAGAATCAACAGATACACTTGTTAGAAGTGTTGGCTTCTGAGTCCTGCTCCAAATATTCAATCAGACTTTCTGATTCAGACTTTATGATTGGGAATCAGAATCTGAAACTTCAAACAAACATCCCGGGTGATTGTGTTGTAGCTGCTTCCTCAGCTACACTTTGAGAAATATTGAACAAGATTCAGAAAGCACCCCTTTTTTGTCTCCCAGCTATGTATCAGGCCATATTGTACCATTACAGGTACTAGTTAACAGATTATATAAGTACACTAAGTAACAACATCCTTAAAATCTGAACAATAAAATGTTCTCCAGATTGCCTTTTCTAGAAATGTCATTCCACAAATACGTATTTTTCCATATGAAGTCACACAATGCTGATTAAGAAGTCCTTTTCATATTTAATACAGAAAATAGAAGCCCTTAAAAAGCCTTCACTCCTGTCTTCTTCTTCTGATAAGTCCATGCCATTAGTATAGATGTATCTGAAACTGTTCTGCTAGCAGAAATTTTCTGGTCATCTTAATACACATTTAGAAGCCAAAAAGCATTAGCATTTTATCAAGTGATGTTGCTTCCTTAGGTCAAACCTGTGACACTTCTGAAAGTTAAGCTATCCACAGTCTATTGTTGAACAGAATTTTCAATATCATATCTCTCAGTGTTTCATTTTTCCAAAATTTCAGTTTGTAAAGGTACTTAATTATTCCAACCGTGTGCCCACAAACAAAAGGCAATGTTTTGTTACCTTTAGGTCCAAATTGAAGCAGTTTACAATTAAGAGTAAATTTCCTTTTTTCAATAGTATTTGTCACAGGGAAAAAAACATCAGCATTTTTAAGTTCCAATTCATTGTCATGCTTGCAGCTTAGAGTGTAAGCCTATAGTGCCTTAAGGGCTCTAGACAAATGCTTTCAAGCAACTGTATTTGTCTCTATCTGGTAAAGAGCCAGACAGAGAAAATGGAGGAAAGAAAAAAAAAGGTTCCATCATTTGCAATGCTCTGATTTAAGTCAGGCAGGGTCACTTTTCCTGATTATCCCCCACTGAATTTGATTGGTGTGAATCTGTTCTACAGCTGAACTGCACACCTTAAGTTGCTGTTGGAAAGGATTTGATTCCTAGGAGAAAAATCTAGTACATATGCAGATGAACTCTACCTGGAGAGAAACATCTGAAACATTCTTCTTAGCAGAATTGATACTTAACCTTCCCTTCTCCATCCAAGACATGTTTTCTCATGCATTTTCACATTTGCGCCATCTCTTCCCTTTTTCTGGAAGTTCCCTATCAATCCCTTTTCCTCTCCCATGGCCCTTTTCCTCTTTGAGAACATTTAGATATCCTAAATTTCAAATGCCACCTCCTAGGTAAAATTTAAGGGTGTCCTTTTAATACAGTTCTACTATGATAGTTAAATAGTTCTTTACCTGCTTCTCATCTCTATATTCCTTGCTTTCAGTAAACATTTAATGTACAGATGAATGAATGAATGAATGAATGAATGGTTCTAAAACATCCAATCTCTAAGTCTTTGCCAAGGTTCACTTCCTCTTTTATTATTAAAACATACTGATTTTGTTTCTCTGTATTTTGAGATTTTCTCCATTCTTTCTGTGTTTCTGATGTACCATTCCTGAATTTAATATTGTGGTTGTTATGCTCTTACGACTTTGATCTCACATACTGGTGAAAACAGGCACCTTAGGATCAAGATTTGTAGCAATGTGGCAGACTTTAACTCTTCTATCTTTTTGTAGTTCTCTAACTGCCATTTTTACTTTCCTGATTGTTGCTTTTATTTCTGGTTCTATAGCTCCTTCAGCTTGCGAAAACCAAAATATTTTCTTCCATGGGCATCTTCTTCAAAGTTCTTCTCTCTGTCTCTCTCTCTCTGTCTCTGTCTCTCTCTCTGCTTCTCTACATTTAAATTTAGTTGGCCCCTGGTGACTTTCCTATAGTGCTGCATAGAATAGTTATTGGTATCTTTTTAAAAACTTTATAAAATTAAACTTGTAACAAATTAAACAATCCAGAAGTGTATTAAAAACTTTTAAATAATCTCTCATCTTTCTGAGATAACCAACCAATGTTAGCAGTTTGATGTGTAATCTTTTATATTCTTCTTAGTGCTTTATACATTTCTAAATATATGTATCATTCAGTAACTTGCCTTTTACAGTTAAAGCTATATTAAAGACATTCCTCCAAGTTAGTAGGATAGCATAACTTATTCTTTTGAAAGCTGCATTATGTTTTGCATTATCACTGTACCATAATTTATTTAACCATGTCACTATTAGGCGTCCAAATTATTTCCAGGTTTTTGTTTTGCCACTGTATACAATGGTGTAGGTAACATTCTCGTACATATCTTCTTAGATATGCATACTTTTTCTAGAATATTGAGATTTACTAAAATGAAATGCTGGCAGAAAGTATATGGGTCGTTTTCATTTTAATGGATGTTGCAAGTTGCATTCCAAAAAAGGTTGTAGCAATTCACATCCTTTCCAGCAAGATATGAGAGTACATGTTTCTTCCTATTTTAGTCAGCATATTTCCCTTTATAGGTATATTTTTTGTTTTTTCTCTTTATGGATTGCCTAGTCATATGTTTTGCATTTTGCCTTCTTTAAATAAGATTCTGTGTCTTTTCTAGATATTTTATAGGACCTCTCTGTTTGTGTGTGTGCGCATTTCCTATATTTACATACATACTCATAAAGAAATAGAGGTTCTATAAATTATCTAGAAAAGACACACATATAGGGACAGAGGTTACACACACACACACACAATTTTCCCAACATGTCATCTTTTCACTTTGTTTATGTAACTTTCATAACATTTTTAGGTAATCAGAAATATTAATTCCTTTGAGGCTCCTGGGTCTTCTGTCTCACTTCAGAAGATCACTCCATCCTGTTTTTACATAATATTTTCCTAAATTCTTCTGGCATTTTTACCATTTTTTACATTTTGGTCTCTAAATCATATGGAATTTTAAAATAAAAGTTAGGAGTCTTTCCAATTGAGTTGTCAGTTACTAAATACCATTTATGAAGCAAACCACTCATTTCTCCTTCAGTTAAACTACCATCTTTGCTATATATCAAATATTCTTGCATAGTTGGATCTGCTTCTAGACTTACCCTTCTCTTCTACTAATGTGTTTATTCCTTTGCCAATAATAAAAGTTTGCTGTTTTGAGTATATTTTATTATCTGATAGGGCAACTCTCCCCTCACTGATTCTTAGAATTTCTTGGCTTCTCTTTGACATATGCTGTTCCATAGAAACTTTAAATTAATTGTATCTGGTTCTAAAACGAAAACAAGAAGTACAAATGAGATTCATTTTGAAATTATATAATTGCATACTTTACATATAAATTAGGAAAATGTTAAATATTAAGACTTCATTTAAGAATATACCTATAAATTTAATCAAATCTTGTTTTATGTTCTCATTATGATTTTATTTAAGCAACGTGGGTCTTATACCTTTTATAATAAATTTAATTCTATGTTTTGTAGCTTTTTATTATGAAAAGGTTTAATGATTATATTTTAACTATTTATTGTTACTACAAAGGAGTTATTGGTATTTGCATAGTCTTCTTACCAAATTTTTTTTATCAATTCTAATAGTATTTTTTTATTAAAGTTGCTTTGACAGTGTACGATCACAATCTGAAAATACAAATAATTTGATCTTTTTCTATATTTACATTGATTATTCTACTTTCTTGTCCGATTACATCAGCTAGATTTCCAAAATAATATCGTATATGTAACCCTAGGAGAGTTTTTTATCACAAGCACAATCTTCATTACCAGGTAAAACAACCCTACACCTTTTCCTCTCCTTCTAATCTGGAATAATACAATCTAGAAAGAAACTTGGAGATTTTTCTTTTTGTTCTCTCTTGAATTTAGGGAACCTAGGATAAATAAGCTGTAAGTAGCCAGCTACCTTCTTTCTTTGGTCTGCACCATTGGTTTCCCTAATTGCCTAATTAAATTGTACCTTTTTCACAGCTTAGAAGACAGAGATTGTGTGGAATTCCTCAATCCACCCCCTGCTGATCCTCCCCTCCGGAAAAAAAACCCTAAGAATGTAAACTTTCAGAGTCAAGTAATCCCATCTAATCAGGGTGAACATATATGCATTGTAGGGGCAGAAAGGGGTGATCCTTTCCTCCCCATCATAAAGGGTTACAGCGGACACCCCGGGTTAAAAAAAAACAAAAACAGGTTAACAACAGAAAAGCATAATAATTTTATTATGTGTACGTGTGTGCACAGGAGCCATACAAAATATGAAAGGGGACAGGTGGTTGAAGCTTAAATACCCTCTTCTTAGGGTAGAGGAATACTAGGGAATGAAGAGGTCCAGTGCTTAGACAATGATTGGTAAAGGATTCTCTTTGCATAGTATCTAGATAAAGTCCCCCAGTTAATCTCTCAGCTGTCCTCAGAAGAACAGAAGAAAAGTCTGTTTGGGTGTGGTGAGGACCCCTGTCTCTACTCTTCTCTGATGGCTCATTTTTTTTCTCGTTATTTGATGAGAGTCCTAGGGAGGGATTCTTGAGACAATTGCATTTCATTTGGAAAGAAGCTTCCTTAGATAAGAAAATTCCAGAGAGAATCCCCCCAGTTGCTTCAGGAAAGAGGATCAGAGAGACAGGGAGGCAGGGGAAGGTCAGAGACAGACTGGTTCTGAGGCTTATTTCTGAGACCTTTCAGTTTTCCAAGCATTCATCATGCTGAAGCACCATATTTTGGGGAATTGTTTTCTGTGCCCCAGCAATACCCACCACACCTTCCTGCATGTCTACATTTCCTTTGTTTTTTCTGGTTTTTAAATAAATCCTCTTCCCTCCCTTCTTTGACATTATCTTATACTTTAAACCCCAGCTCAAGTGTCACTTTCTGAAGGAACTTTTTGAAGAAACTTCTCAAATCTCCTTACAGTTCTCCCTCTGTATCTGTGGGTTCTGCACCCATGGATTCAACCAACTGTGGATAGGAAATATTCAAGAAGAAAAAAGCATCTGTATTGAACATACAGAGATTTTTTTTCTTGTCATTATTCTCCAAACAATACAGTATACCAATGATTTGCATAACATTTACGTTGTATTAGGTATTATAAAGTAATCAAGAGATGATTTAAAGTACATGGGAGGATGTGTGTCAGTTATATGCAAATACTGTGTCATTTTACATAAGGGACTTGAGCATCCAAAATCCTTATCTCTCTTTCATAACGTGTCACAGTTGAGTTTTCTATTTATTTTCCGTGATTATTTGTATAATATCTTTTTCTCCCGTTGGACTATAAGACCCATAAGGGCAGGTATAGCATTTGGTATTGCTCCTCATTTTATCCCTAGCACTATGCAAATGATGACTTGGAGGATATTTGCTGGCCAACTGCATCACAGAGGCAGAGACTGAACAGGATGTAGCATGTAGGCGTCGATGCTATTTAAGCACTTTCTTGTAGGAACCCTAAATAAAATGCCTCTACTGGTTTCACTGTATATTCATTATAAGAGGTTTAACTCACTCTTCAGCCTTCCAGTGGATTTTAAAATGACTATATCTTATAATTCATAGGCCTAAAATAATAGAATTTTATGAATAATCTCAGTTCTTGTCTTGTGAAAGTATTTCTGATCAGTCACATTAATACCCTTAGTCATTCAAAAAAATCTATGTTATCTGCTTCTTTATGACTTACTGAGTAGGAATTTCACTTTTCAAAGGAATATTATTTGAAAATATAGCAATGATATATGCTGTTTAAAATTGATTCTGTTTAATATGTTCTTATGCATAAGCTTTAGGTATCTAATACATTTTAGCCATACATTGCAAATCTCTATATATTTTAATATTATTATTGGTTAGCGTACTTCTTGGCTTACTAATGTCCACTGATGTCAGTCTTAGTTATTGTCATTCCTTCCAATTTGGAAGAACGTTTATTTTCTAACACTGACACATTTTGCACAGTGAATCTATAGGAAAATGTGACTGCATAAAGACAGTCTTCATTTCAGTGCTGATGCTCACCTTTCTGCATTAACATGAGTCTCTTTCACGTTTTATTTCATCTTGTTGCAAAAACCAATATGCTTTGGAAAGTGTAATAGTACATTTTTTTAGAGAAGTAGCATGAGGTTTGTTTCTTTCTCATACAGATCCTGAAATGGAAAATGAAGAACAACCATCCTCTGAAAATGATTCTCAGAATCAGAGTGGTGAACAGATTTCATCAAGTTCTCAGGAGGTTGATTTGGTTGATCAAGAGTCTTCTGAGGAAAATTCTCTAAATTCTCACCCAGAATCATTATCTCTAGCAGATATGGACAATGCTGCAAGCATTTCCCCTTCTGAACAGACTTCTAATCCCACAGAAAACCATGAGACTACAAATCTTAATGGTGAATGTACAGATTTAGATAACCAGCTTCAAGAACAATCAGAAACTGAGGAAGATTCCAATCCTAATGTTAGCTGGGGTAAAAAGGTCCAGCCTATAGACTCCATATTAGCAGACTGGAATGAAGATATAGAAGCATTTGAAATGATGGAGAAGGATGAGCTATGACTTGCTAAACAATCTGTTGGTAGGTATTTAAAAAGAAAAGGTAAACTGTGTGTGGTTAATAGACATCCTAATACTAAGCAGGCTTTCTAATGGGAGGCTTTAAGTATGGTGATGAACAACCACGTTCTGACTGGCGTAGTTATCGTAGGAATCTGGAGCATGCTGTGTTAGAATTGACCTTGTTTAAAACTGTCCCATCAAAAATGGAAATCCACAGTTCCCCCTTCAAATGCAGCACTGCACCACCCTGCAACACCTCAGGCCAGGGAAAGATTACTGAGCATTCCTGCGAACCAGATTTCTGTTGTCTCTGGATAGACAAGAAACAAAATTCATTTAGTAGTGGAGTGGGGAATAGGAGTTTGGATAGCCTTCTAATTAAAGGAAGCTCGCCTTTCTTGGTTTTGGGGGTTAGAGGCTCTTTTGGGAAGATGCATCCGAGTATTGTGGCATTCTGATTATGCTGCCTTCACAAAACACTCTAAGTGACCTAAGTGGTTATGAAGCAAATGCATTTATGGTGAAAACAGTCTTTGCTCATTGCTTTCTCTTGTTTCATTTAGTGACAAATGATCAAGATGACTTGATTTTTTTTCCTTCTTAACAATGTCTTTTTTATTTAAACCAAAGGTGAAGCCAGTGTACTTTCTCAGTGAGTTCTCTGCATAAAGACTAATCAGTGGGACCAGGTAAAAAGGTCATATAATACATTGTGGAGATTGCTTACTTAATACTTCTGAAAAATGGAGTAAGGGAGAAACTGTAATGTTGCAATATGAACCTCCCATTGGGCCTTCCATAGGGAAAGCTGTGACTACTCTGAAATGGAACCTAGCATTATATCCTTGTAGGGTAGATTATAAATCATTTCCAGTTCATTTCTCTTAGAGGTGATTACCTCTAGCCATCAGCCTTACTCCATCCCATGTTTGGTATGCAATTTGAGCCACAAGGCTCGTATCGCCAACAGCTATATACATTTTGTTCCATTTTTCTGTCTTACAGAGCCATGATAGAACTGTGGTTAGTGAGTTAAAATTCCTGGAGTAACTACTGTTTTTCTCCTTTGAAACTTAGGTTTCTAAAGTTGCACCTAAGGAATCTGTCACATTTTCTGTTGAATCATGGTTTTTGTTTTTGTTTTTAACAGATATTCCTTCTGATACGGACTTGAAAATTAGTGTATGGTGACCTGTGTTTAAAAAAAAAAGTACAATACAACTACATATAGCTATATAGCTTAATGAGACTTCCACCCCCCCCCTTTTTTTTTTTGGTTTGTTGTTGTTGTAGTAGTCTGGTGCTGGCCACATTTAAGTCTTAAAAATTTTTAAATTTTGTTGTTGATGTTTGTAGACAGCCCTGTTGTTGAAATCATGGCTTTATTCATTTTATTTATTTTTTAAACTTGCCTGAATTTGTTCTAAAGGAATATTTAAGAGACATAATTTTCTTCTCTTTACCATAACATTACACAAAACTTTTTCCTAAAACACGGTTGTGAGGTACTGATGAGGTGTAAGTGGAGCTGTTAAAAACAGCAGTGCTGTATTGCAGTTATGTATATTCGTGTACAGTATGTTTAGATCCCAGGTAAACATATTCTTTTCTGAGAGGATAAATACCTGCATTCAGATATTCCAGGTAAATATAATTGAGTCAGGGAGTAGTAAATCTGATGGAGAATTCACTTTGGGGAGGGGAAAAAGAATAGTATGCAAGACCCTTATTGGCTTTTAATTATACCTGAAACCAAAATGGATATTTTTAGTCTCTCTGCATGTGAGATTTGGTGTAACAAGATAGAACTATAATATATACAGTATATGGAAGGATAGATATAGTGCTTTGTTCATTTTAATTGCAAAGCTGCCAAAATAGTTGAAGCTTAATTACTTGACTTGCCTTGATTTATAGGACTGGGGCTTGGAGAAAATGAGCAGATGTTCCTCTAAGACATCGATTACAGAAGCCTTATATACATGGATTTGATTTTGTATTTGTAGCTGAAAGTCACTGTTGTCTAAAACTAACTTTTCTAAGTTATCAAAACAACCTAATTTCTTTTCCAACAAGGAGAACTTAATGGCATGAAGGATTGTGTGACACATTGGAAAAGCCAGCTTACTGCCACTCTCTTCCTTTGGCCATTAGAGGGAGGTGTTGCCTTTCATTGACGCTTAGAAGCAAATTGTTCACTTGTTAAGAAAAGTAAATCCTTAAAAAAAGAAAAGGAAAAAATTTAACCAATTTTTCTTAATACCCAGAAGGAATTATACTCAATATTTCCCTAGTTAAGAAAAGAGGAGATAATGTTCGTCTAAAAAACTCCAACGTTGTAATTACAACTCTACATTCATTTACTTACTTGACATACTGCCACAAAGTAGTTTTTGAGTTCATTAAAAATTCCAAAGGCATTAGTTGTTTTTTTTTTTTTTAGTGTTTTGTTTTTTAGTTAACTTTTATAGACATTTTAGTAACTTGCTAAAGATTCAGGGGATTCTATGAAACCCCGAATTTAGAAACATCTGGTCTACCTCAGTTAAATGTTGACTGCTTAGAAATATAGCTGAAGTGATCACCACAGCCATAAAATTGTTTAAGAAAGATTTATATAATGTTTACAAATCTGGAATCAAGGATTTTAGCTGAAATCCTTTAAGAGATATTAGAGCAAGTATTTAATTCAGGTATTTTCAAGTTTTAAAACTTAACCTGTTTACCTACTAAAAATAAAATAGCTAGTTTTTTTCTGCATATAAAAGTTCATTGAAATGATATGCCCTTATTTGCAATACTTTTCCCATAAAGTTTTAAGTGTGAAAGAATTGTAATTTACTAGATATGTTTGGTATGGGATATTTTGTTAGGCAAGTTTTCTTTTTTCTTCTTAAATTGCAATAGGCTTCCAAAAAGAGTATAATTGTTTCAGAACAAATTAACTCTTGGCATTATACGTCTCCCTTTTTCTTTACAGTATTAGTAAAAAGAAAAATTGTACACTTTCTGATTTTAACTTCACTAATGTAATTACTCTCTCAAGAAGCTTTTAAAATTTAAATTACCATCACACAACCTTTTTTATAGTAAAGCCAACATTTGTTCTCTCACCAAACCCCATGCCAAATTCATCATGAAGAAAGCTCAGCATAAGTAATTCAAATACTGCTTATAATTTTAGAGGGGGGTAGAATTTAGTAAATATTCCAGCCGGTCGTTTTATGCACAAGGCTTCAGTCAGAACATAGAAAAAAAAAACATTCTGTGAATGAAATATTGTATGTTCAGATTTTATAAAAGACATTTTTAAAAGCCCAATTTACAGCCGTATATTTTCTTATGATGTAATTTATGAAAAAGATGTCTGTACTAACAGGTGCTGTAACACTACTGTTGTTGGATTTTATTGTTTGGTGATAAATGTATACAATATTTCTAAGGGAAACTATGTACTGTGATGTAAAAGTCTGGGCAAAATGTATATAATCCTGTATATAATTATGTATTTGATTATAATTACTGATTGTAAAGATTTAATAAAATATGTAAATATTCCAGTTTAGTTTTAATTTGAATTTTTAGAATCACTGTGCATATCCTCATACTTTTATGTCTTGATGTTTATCACTCTGTTTTCCTTTTTTTTTTAAACTCATTTTATCCTCCGGGGATTGAATTCTGGGGACATTTTAGGCTGTAGAAACCCAAGCTTGTGGGCTAAAGTAAGGATTTTGTTCTAAGAAATCACTGAAAGTTTTTCAACAAGTCAGTAGCATGCACAAAGGTAATGCTAAGTGAATAAAACTCTAGAATTGTGTATAAATTATGATCCAGCGCTTGCTCACTCTCTCCATACACATATATACATACACATTATATATATATACACACACATATATATAATGACATTGACTCATTTATTCAACAAAGATTAAGGGCGTGCATGCCTTCTGTATGCCAGGCACTATTATAGGACCTGGGGTTGTAGTGGACAGATGGACAAAATGTGGTAAAGAAGATAGAAAATAAAGTAGTAAGTAAAAAGGACAATGAGTTTATGAAGAAAAAATTATGGTGAGGGGATAGAGAGTGGTGGAAATCATGGAGTGAGTTAAATAGCCAAAATACTAACAGTGGTTATCTTGGATTGTAGGCAATTGCTATTTCCTTATTTGTATATGTCAGTATTTTCATAAGTTTCCAAAATAAGCATTATGCTTTTAAAAATAAGTAGTTTAGGTCAGCGAAAGAAGAGAACATGAAAAATACACACGAGGTGGGGCATAGTGGTGCACACCTATAATCGCATCTCCTCCTCAAGAAGCTGAGGTTGGGAGGATCGCTTGTGCCCAGAACTTTGAGACCAGCCTGGGCAACAGAGGAGACCCTGTCTCAAAAACAAAACAAAATCACCCCAGAATCCTCCTATCTCATGTTTCTGCACGATTCAACCAATCCCATATGTACTGCACACCTACCATGGACATAAGCAGCATTTGGCTGGGACTCAAAACCTTGAGAGATGAGGTTTACCAAGAAAACTGTGTGGAATAGGGAAGAGAGAAGATCTAAAATAGAGCCCTGAGATTCCTAGAATCTGGGGACAGCAGAGGAGGAAGGACTTTTGTAGAAGGGAATGAAAAAGAGCAGTTGGAGAAGTGGGAGGAAAACAAGGCTGAAGCAGTGTATAAAAACCAAGAAAGCATTTCAAGGAGGGAGTGGCAAATAGCCTGAAACCCCTAAAAAGTAGTTTCTTGGTTTTAGCAACCTTTTCTGAAGTCCCCTACCCCACTAAATAGCCGCAGGAGACAGTGGGTACTTGATGCAGGCATACTGTTGCTATGGAAGAATGTGTGGCTCCATCTTTTTAATATTTGAGAAAAACCAGAAATTCAGGTGAAATCTTATTTTAAAACATTGTTCAAGTTAAACAAAATATATGTGACAGCAGTGGTCTCCAGTTTGCAACCTCCGAGCTGTCAGATCCTTACCTCCACATGTGTATGTACAAGGAAGACCCCATTCGTTTTTAGAGGATCATTCACCAATTTCCACTTCCAAATTTATCATATGCACCATAGACCTCTTTCAACTGTTGAGATTTTCATATGTCTTAATGGCCCTGGTGGTGATTAAGTGGCTTTTTAAATGTAGATTATTCATTTAATCAAGTAGGTCAATGGAAAGTGGACATCCATTCATTCACCTTCCTACAATTACTCTTTTTAAAAAAATTTTTGAGACAGGGTCTCACTATGTTGCCCAGGCTGGAGTGCAGTGGCTGTTCACAGGTGAGAACATAGTGCACTGCAGCATTGAACTCCTGGCCTTAAGCAGTCCTTCCACATCAGCCTCCCAAGTAACTGGGATTACAGGCACCTGCCACCATGCCTGGCTTCACCTTTTTACATTTTCTAATGTCAACCTTTGAGACCATCTTTAACCTGAGGCAATGAAAGTTTGTCTCTTGAATCCAGTTCAGGTCTTTCTTCCATCAACTGGTCTGGCCAGACTGCTGACTCAACTTCACCCCACCTTCCTTCTGTGGTTCCTGGTGGCTCGCTGTCTCCAGGAGCCCCATCCAAGCCACATACTCCCCTAGGGTGTATCTGTAAGCTTCTGCTCAGCTCAACAGTGGTTCCTTCAAGTTCCAGCAACACCTCAAAGAGGACTGGTCCAGGCCAGCTCTCTAATAAGCTATATGAACACTGGTATCATCCTTGCAGTCCTAATAATAAAAAGAACCAACACTTTTTCTTTTTCGAGACAGAGTTTTACTGTGTCATCCAGGCTGGAGTGCAGTGGTGCAGTCTTGGGACACTGCAACTTTTGTCTCCTGGGTTCAAGCAGTTCTCCTGCCTCAGCCATCCTAGTAGTTGGGATTATAGGCGTGCGCCACCATACCCTGCTAATTTTTGTATTTTTAATAGAGATAGGATTTCACTATGTTGACCAGGCTGGTCTCGAACTCCTGACCTCAAGTGATCCGACCGCCTCAGCCTCCCAAAGTGCTGGGATTACAGGTGTGAGCTATCGCACCTAGTCAGAACCACCACTTTTTGAACCCTCACTAGGCATTAACATATACTGAGTGCTCTATATATGTGATTCCTTATCCATATGGCAACCTTGCAAAATATCTATAATTTCATTTAAGTGGCTTGCCCAAAGCCACAGAGCAAGTTAGATGGGCCTGGGATTTGAACCTAGATTAGCCTGATTTCTGCGATACAGACTGACTCTCCTAACTATGCACAATTATCTATTTGAACCAAGTGGGTGTTATATGGCTGCTATGAAGGCTGACTCAGATACCCTTGCAAACAACATTCACCTGCCAACCAGCCAGCTACCAAAGGGATCTGGGAGTTGAAGGTACTTAAAGGACCTGCAGTGGTTGTAGTGGACAAATGGACAAAATGTAGTAAAGAAGATAGAAAATAAAGTAAATGAAAAGGACAATGAGTTTATGAAGAAAAAATTATGGTGAGGGGCTAGAGAGTGACTCCCCAAAGGGGTGAGAATAGGAGAAAGGACTGCTTACAGCTTCAGGCCTTATGGTCTCTTGAGTCAGAGGATACTTATCAGACTTCAAAATGGTAGATACAAGAGACAAGTCTTCTTGTTTCCAAGGCAACTACCAATTTCTCTGATCCTTGGCTCCAACATTTCATCATCTCCTGTCACAATGGCCCCACCTAGGAAACATCTAAAAACCACGCCAGAAACCCATGTATGTGTTTTACCAGCTTATCACTGGCCTGGGAGCCGCTTGAGAAAAAGGAAAAGTTTGGCCTCATCACTATTGTCTCACCTCTGCCAGTGTCTAGCTCTTGAAAGGCACTCACTAAGCTCTTGTGGGGTGAGTTGAATGAAACACCTGGTTTGGAATGAGTGGATGTTTTCTGTCACTTCCCCAAATCACATTTATCCTGAAAGGGCTAGGATTTGCAATCACTGAGAAATGTCAAAGAAACGATGTGCCAATTTTGAAGACAGTTGTATGAAGGTAGCCCTAAAAATCTTTTTTTATTGGAAGTAAACATTGAAGAGACCGCAATTCATGTGAGGGTCTCAGAATTTTAGAGCCAAAAGATTTTTTAAATTGTCACGCCATTGATTCTCCTCATTGGACAGAGAAGACGACAGATGCCAGAGGTGGGAAGTGACTTGACCAAGGTCACACATCTCCAGAACTGAATGTGCTCTTAGGCAGCGTGAAGGTTCTGGCACAGCTGTTTCACAGTCGTCCTCAGGCCTTACAGCCTGAGTTCCTCCACTCTGTTCAAGTTAACATTCAGCCAGAGGGATAATTACTAACTTCAGAACTTCAGAGCTGCCCTTGACATGCCTTGGCAAAACTCCAGGGCTCCACTGAATACAGTGTAAAAACTACTGACTTAGATAATGTATTGTTCCTCATTTAAACTTTTAGCACATTCAAGCAAAAATGTCTTTTAATTCCCTGAAAACTGGCTATTCTGATTAGCACCATTTATTCTCTTCCTTTCCTGATGAGTAAACTCATTAATGAAAGAATACATACTGTACTTTCTTTTGTGTGTTCATCTGAATTAACACAAGTGTGGGCAGAGCTCAAAATGCTGAGACCAAGATACAGATCCTTTGCCGGGTGGGCCCTCTTGTGGGTCTCAAAGCCAAGGGTTCCCAAGCTTTGTGGTGATGGCAAAAATGGTCCTCTTTAGACCAAAATCACTGAATGTGACATTCTAAATTTGAAATTCTGAGTAAGAGCTACAGGAAAGAATGGTAACCTGTTTATCTCGTATTGGTAAGGCAATAATGGAAAATTCTAGGCTAACCAAGTGAGAGGCGTCTCATTTTAAGCCAGTACTTTCTAAACCTCTGTGAGTCTGAGCATGGTGGCTCACACCTGCAATCCCAGCACTTTGGGAGGCCAAGGCGGGTGGATCACCTGAGGCCAGGAGTTCAAGACCAGCTTGGCCAACGTGGTGAAACCCCGTCTCTATAAAAATACAAAAATTAACCGGGCATGGTGGTGGGCACCTGTAATTCCCAGCTACTCAGGAGGCTGAGGCAGGAGAATTGCTTGAACCCAGGAGGCAGAGGTTGCAGTGAGCCGAGATGGCACCACTGCACTCCAGCCTAGGCGACAGGGGTTGTGGGGGGGACAAAAACAAAATCAATCCTCTGCGAAACTCTCTACTATCTTTGTAATAATAATGCTCATTTATTGGCTGTTTACATTTATCAGGTACTTAGAACTTATAGTTTTGTAAGACCTGTGTGAGACAGATACCTTCGTTATTCCCATTTTATTGATAAGAAAACAGGCTTAGCAATGGAGTTTTAACTGAAATCAAAGAAATACATTGGCTAAATTAAACAGGCAAGTGTGTGAGGGTAAATGCAGGAAAAAGAGAAGGCTCCTGGAGGGTTCTAGTGGTGGTACCAAGGATCTGGGGGAGGGCAGTTGACATTTTCTCAACCTTTATTATGCATAACAGAAGTCACATGTATCCTATAAGTATGAAAATATCGTGTATCAACACAAGAAAAAGAGGACAGACCCTGGCGCCAGACTGCTGAGCTTAAAATCCCAGTTCCAGCCCTTACTCTGTATGACCTTGAAATTGGTCTCTCAGTTTCCTCATCTGTGAAGCGGGGATAAAAATAGAACCTGTTTCAAAGGATGGCTGTATTCAAAGCAGGTGGCTCACCGCCAAACTCACTGTGAGAATGCAGCACAATTGCTACCATCGGCTATTGTATAAAGTGCCACATGCAAATATGTTTTCAGTCCGCTCCTCCTACTGTCCCTCCGGATTGCTGTCCTTGAGTTTCACGTGTAAGTTCTGTGTGAATCAGTTCTGGGTGACTGCCTAAGGCAGTTTGGGCTGGGTGATGTATCCTTTGACTTCTGATAGGTCTGGGTAGAGATGCAGGAAGAGTATCTACCTGCTGAAACTGACCTAATTGTCTCAATCTCTCAAAAGATGGCAGAAAAATAGCCCTTGAAGCAATGATGAGCTTTCAGAAGCCAGGCGTTTAGGGGGAGAAAAGATCAAGGAGTGGCCTGAATTGCTTACACAGCTTTTCTGTGACTGGAGTAAGAAATTGACTCTCAGCATGAGACAAAGTGCACATAAGGGAGGGCACATCCTCAGGACATCAGCCTGTTCTCGTGGTCACCGTCCTGAGAATCCCCAGGAGTGGGCCAGCCAAGTGGGGATGCCAGCCAGCTCTCCAGCACAGGGCCTCCAGCTGCCTCCCAATAGCGCTGGCAGAGATGGACAAGGCGACAGCCTGGGCAGCCGGCCAGAGGAGAACCGCCACCATGGAAAGTGTGTGCTTCAGAGTGTGTGGCACACCCAGAACCCGAGGGACGAGGCTGCAAAGTGCCAGTGTCTTTGTACAATCTCCAAAAACCAGAAAAAGCTCAAAATTGTCAGAGGCTTATGGGAACAGAGGTAAAGAGGACTTTGAATAGAAACAAGACAATTATTCCAATAAAGTGCTGGCTTCACAAGAAAAACAAAACTGCTTTCCAGGGAATTCTAACCTCACCATCAAAAACGAACATTGCACAACTCATCCCTCTGGAACAAGTCGGGAGAGCATCTCCCTGGTGTAGGCTTGGACCACACAAAGCCTTGTAGATTCAGAGTAAAGCATCATTTTTCCTTGGTTTTTGAGGCCTGCATCTTGTTGTTGCTTCTTTATTTTCTCCCAAATTTTCTCTCTCATGTATAAGAACCAGAATTCCTGAGGCTCTAGATACCAGAACTTGATTAAAAAGTATTTGATCTTGTAAATGCAGAGTTAGTTACTTGCTGTGTGACTTTAGCAAGTTACCTAACTGCTCTGAGACTCGGTTTTCTCCTCTACAGAATGCTAGTTTTGTCTGCCCAATATGCTTTCCTCTATGTCTTCTGTTACTGAGCCCCACCCCAACGACCACATGAACACCACTGTAGAAATAAAAGCTATCGTATACAGTTACTTCGACAGCATCCCTTGCAGTCCTGGGACAGGCTCATTGCTTAATTCTGCCAGTCATATGCACATACCCTGGACTTTGATTTGGAGCTTCGAATTCGTGGCAGGATCCCACACAATCTGTTCATAAGAGAGTGGTGGTAGCCATTACATTCGGTCTCCAGAGACACAGAAACAACACCTGGGCCCTGGGAGGCTGGGGAAGAGGTGATGCTGAGAGGTCCATGGCCTGTGTGTGTGTGTGTGTGTGTTAGAGAGACAGAGACAGAGACACTTGATTCCTACACCCCGTGTTTCCACAGAGAAGGCCCTCCTTAAGGTAAACCCCTGGCTTGCCTTTCCGTCCATCGGTTACCTGATTGGTGAGTTGGGAGCCAGCCTACCTGTCTGTGGAAAACACCCTTCCTGGTACTTTTGACTTTGTAGTGAAAGCAGTCTCGGCCCTGGAGGGGAAGGAGTGTGTGGATGAGGGGAAGCCCGGGTTTTCTTGCTCTGCCAGTGCGGAGGTGGGGGTGAGGGTGTAAATCTGCCTAATGTCCGAATGAGGTGTTAGCACTCCTGTATTAGTCCGTAAGTCCATCTGCTGTTTTAAACCTTCATTTTATGTCAGAAGGAAACTTTATATGACCATCATTAATAGAAAAATGGTCTTTGTAACTTCAAGCACAGAATAATTTTTAAACACACAATTATTTTTTAAAGAACTTATTTTTCCATGTACCACTTAAAAGGATCTTCAGACCAGTGTATATGAATTTTACTTTGGGAAATACTGTGGTACGCTGTAAGGCCCCTGGTTGTTTTTGTTTTTTAACAGAGATAGCCTATTATTTGTCCTGAGGTAAGAAATGATCGACTACATTAAAATGAACCTTAAAGAGTATTTATACAGTAACATCAAATTAGTAGGTTCTCATGGCGATTATGCAACTTTCACTTTCTCTTGATTACTATACTTTCTAGTAAGTGTTGAAATCAGGTAGTGTGAGTCCTCCAATTTTGTTATTTTCAGGATTGTTATTTCAAGATTTGTTACTTTCCATCTTGATGCCCCTTTTCAGCCTATTATAGTTCCTTTGCATTTCCACATAAATTTTACAATAGACTTGTCAATTACTTCAAAAAAGCATAGCCAGGCATGGTGGCTTGAGCCTTTAGTTCCAGCTACCAGGGAGACTGAGGGGGGAGGATGGTTTGAAGTTGCAGTGTGCTTTTGATCACAACTCCAACCTCAGTGACAGAGCAAAACCCCATCTCTTAAAGAAAAAGAAAATGCCTGATTATATTTTGATTAGAATTGTATTTAATCTAGAACAGACACTTTTTAAAACGTAGCGGCCTCAACTGGGCATGGTGGCTCATACCTGTAATCCCAGCACTTTGAGAGGCCAAGGTGAGTGGATCACTTGAACTCAAGAGTTCGAGACTAGCCTGGGCAATGTGGCAAAACTTTGTCTCTACAAAAAGTACAACAATTAACCAGGTATGGTTGTGTGCCTCTGTAGTCCCAGCTACTCAGGAGGTCGAGGTGAGAGAATCACTTGAGCCTGGGGAGGTCGAGGGTTGGACCTAGGGATGGAAATGCTTGTCATAGTGTAAAATATAGGATTATTTGTATGTCTTCTTTTGGGAAATGCTTATTCAGGTCCTTTGCCCATTCTTTAATAAAATTGTTTGTTTTCTTGCTGTTGAGCTATTTCAGTGAGCTATATCCTGCAGTGAGCCATGATTGTGCCACTGCACTGCAGCCTGAGTGAAAGAGAAAGACCCTGTCTCAACAAACAAACAAATAAAAAAATGAGTCATCCATTCTATGAACATGGTATATCTGTTCATTTAATTAGGACTTTAATGTCTCTCAACAATATTTTGAAGCTTCTAATGTAGAGTTTTTGCATATTTTTTGTCGTATTTGTGATCACATGGAATTGTCTTTAAATTGTATTTTCAAATTATTTGTTAATAATATACAGAGCTATAATTAATTTTTTATATTGACCTATGTCATACAACATGGTAAAATTCACTTATTAGTTCTAGTAACTTTTTTGTAAATTCTTTGGGATTTTCTATGTAAAAAATTGTGCTGTCTGTCAAGAAAAGACTGTTTTACTTTTTCACTTCCAGTCTTTATTGATGACTTTATTTCTCTTTTTGGCTTCTTAAAAGAGATGGCTAGGACATCTAGTACAATGTTGAATAGAGGAGGTGAGAGTGAACATTCTTGCCTTATTCATGAAACTAGGGAGAAAGTATTCAATATTTCATTATTATATATGATGTTAATTGTACACTTTTCAGAGATGGACTTTTTCAGGTTAAGTAACTTCTATTTCTAATTTGCTGAGAATTTGATCATAAATGGCTATTGAATTTTGTCAAATACTTTGAATCATCTATTGCATAAATTGTGTAGTTTTTCTCCTTTTTACTGTCTACCATGGTGAACTACATTCACTAATTTTCAAATATTAAACCAACCTTGTATTCCTGTGTTGAGGGAAGTCAGGGATGCTGAACGGAGGGACCGGCTGGAGGTGAGGCAGAGGAACAAAATTGTGAAGATTTCATCTTAATATGGACATTTATCAGTTCCCAAATAATACTTTTATAATTTCTTACGCCTGTCTTTAATCTCTTAATCCTGTTATTTTCGTAAGCTGAGGACGTACGTCATCTCAGGACCACTGTGATAATTGTGTTAACTGTACAAATTGATTGCAAAACATGTGTGTTTGAACAATATGAAATCAGTGCAACTTGAAAAAGAACAGAATAATAGCGATTTTTAGGGAACAAGGGAAGACAACCATAAGGTCTGACTGCCTGCAGGGTCGGGAAAAAGAGCCATATTTTTCTTTTTGCAGGGAGCCTATAAATGGACATGCAAGTAGGAGAGATATCGTTAAATTCTTTTCCTAGTAAGGAATATTAATATTAATACCCTGGGAAAGGAATGCATTCCTGGGGTGAGGTCTATAAACAGCCACTCTGGGAATGTCTGTCTTGTGCAGTTGAGATAAGGACTGAGATAATCCCTGGTCTCCTGCAGAACCCTCAGGCTTACTGGGGTGGGGGAAAACTCTGCCCTGGTAAATTTGTGGTCAGACTGGTTCTCTGCTCTCAAACCCTGTTTTCTGTTGTTTAAGATGTTTATCAAGACAATAAGTACGTGCACTGCTGAACATAGACCCTTATCAGTAGTTCTGCTTTTGCCCTTTGTACTGTTCCCTCAGAAGCATGTGATCTTTGTTAGACCCTTATTAGTAGTTCTGCTTTTTGCCCTCAGAAACATGTGATCTTTGTACCTACTTCCTGTCCTTACACCCCCTCCCCTCTTGAAACCCTTAATAAAAGCTTGTTGGTCTGAGACTCAGGTGGGCATCACGGTCCTACCGATACATGATGTCACTCCTGGCGGCCCAGCTGTAAAATTCCTCTCTTTGTACTGTCTGTCTTTATTCTCAGCCGGCCAACACTTATGGAAAATAGAAAGAACCTACGTTGAAATATTGAAATATTGGGGGTGGGTTCCCCCAATATTCCTGGGATAAACCTTACTCGGTAATGATGTATTTTGGTTTTTAATATATTGCTGAATTTTAGTCACTAATATTTTTGGTCAGAATTTTTTCTGTTAATATTCATGTGGGATATGTTGGATTTTCTTTTCTTGTAATATCTTTATCAGTCTTTGGTATTAGGGCTAGGCTGGCCTCAAAGCAAGCTGGGAAATGTCTCCTCCTCTATTTTTGGAAAGAATGTAAGATTGGTGTTATTTCTTCCTTAAATGTTTGATAGAATTGACTAGTGAAGCCATTTGGACCTTGAATTATTTTTGTGGGAAAGTTTGATAACAAATTCAATTTTTAAAATAGGTAAATGGTTATTCAGATTTCTCATTTCTTTTGTCAGTTTTGGCAAGTTGTGTTTTTCAAGGAATTTGTGCATTTCATTTAAAGTGTTGAATTTATTTATATAAAGTTGTTTATAATAATCCTTTATTATATTTTTATTGTCATGTAATCTCTAATGATACTCTTCTTTTATTTCCAAAATTGATAGGTTGTGTTTCCTCTCTTTTTCTCATCAGTTTAGCTAGGAATTTAACAATTTTTTCTTTTTTATTTTATTTTATTTTATTATTATTATACTTTAAGTTTTAGGGTACATGTGCACAATATGCAGGTTAGTTACATATGTATACATGTGCCATGCTGGTGTGCTGCACCCATTCACTCGTCATTTAGCACCCCACAACAGTCCCCAGAGGGTGATGTTCCCCTTCCTGTGTCCATGTATTCTCATTGTTCAATTCCCACCTACAAGTGAGAACATGCAGTGTTCGGTTTTTTGTCCTCACGATAGTTTACTGAGAATGATGATTTCCAATTTCATCCATGTCCCTACAAAGGACATGAACTCATCATTTTTTATGGCTGCATAGTATTCCATGGTGAACAATTTTTTCAATAAACAAATTTTGGCCTTTGTTAATATTTCTTCCTACAGTTTGTTTACTATTTCATTGATTTCTGTTCTTATCTCTATTATTTCCCCCTCTACACCTTTAATTTACTTATATTTTTTTCTTGTTTTTTAAGGTAAGAGCTTTGATTATTGACTTTAAATATTTCTCTCCCAGTTTCCGCCTGCTTTTAGTTGATCTCTGTTGCCTTTCAAATAATTGGGTAAAATATTTTGTGGACAGTTTACAGTCATTATCTGCAGATAGTCAATATAAGTTATTCCTCTATTATTGGAACTGGAATTCAGAAGATTTGCCTTTTCTTCTAAGCTTTAAGCTTTAGGCTGGTGTGGTGGCTTATGCCTGCAATCCCAGCACTTTGGGAGGCCGAGGCGATGGATCACCTGAGGTCAGGAGTTCAAGACCAGCCTGGCCAACGTGGTGAAATCTTCTCTCTACTAAAAATACAAAAATTAGCCAGGACTGGTGGCAGGCACCTGTAAGCCCAGCTACTTGGGAGGCTGAGGCAGGTGAATCACTTGAACCCTGGAGGTGGAGGTTGCAGTGAGCCAAGATCAAACCACTGCACTTCAGCCTGGGCGACAGAGTGAGACTCCATCTCAAAAAAAAAAAAAGATAAAAAATAAAAATAAAAAATAAAATACAATAAGTTTTAAGCTTTATAAGCTTGGCTAAGTATTCTAATTTGTGTCAACCTCCTCATCTGTAAAGTAGGGGTTATGTAATAACAAATATCTTAGATGATTTTTTGTCATGGAGAGTAAATGAAATAATGCATATGGAAACACTGTTAAAGGAATAACATGATATATAAATTTTATTTGTTGTCATTAATGCAACAAAAAGAATAGCTCCCATGGCACACACTTGTATTTCCATTAAAAGTTAAGACACAATACTGAGTCATTTAATTTTCATAGCCTGGCAGATGAGGAAGATAGTCCTTTATCATCTTCTAAAATATTTTAAGTAACCTTGTAATTATATGCATTCATATTCAATGGATATCGATTAAATGTCTATTACACATATATTAAGCACTTTTATGTGCAATATATTGAAAAAAACTTTTTCTATTTATTTCTCACATAAAAATGGTGCCCTTCAATTTATCAATATGTAGCAATAACTTAAAATTTTTTCACACCTTTATTCCACTCTTAAAAATGTATCCTAAGTAAATCATCAAAGATGGCACCCATATTTATTGTGCAAACTGCTTATTGCAGGCTTATTCATAATGACAAAAAATTGAAACAACCAGAATAAATGTATACAAACAATTAGTCAAATAAATTATCGTGCATATGTAAAATGTAATACAACTCAGCTATTAGAAACATATTTTCAAAGATTATTTTATCACGTGGAAAAATGTATGCAATGTTAAGTTTAAATAATGACTACTGTTTAAATGTCATGATTATACTTTTGTTCAAAAATATGAATTAGAAAAAATACCAAAATGTTAACACTGATTTTCTCTGGGCAGACACAATTAGAGATGAGTTTTTCTTCACATACTTTGCCAGGGTGCTACATTGTTCACAATTAATGCATAGGTTTTGCTTTTTGTTTTTCCTTTGGACTCCAGACACACTCAGAATTGAATTAATCATAATTGGTAGTTTAATAAGGAGTCTACTCGTTGGTCCATGCATAGCCATTATTTATTAATTTGTTTATTATAATACATACTCATAAACCTGTTGGTTAATACGAAAGCTAAGACTCACACAAAAGTGGTGGAATATATTTGGATTATATTTACATCTAGCTATGAATTCTCCTTCAGCCCATTCACCACTTTTTTCTACCCAAGGTAAACATCATCCCAAATCTTATCATTCCCTTGTTTTCCTTTTAACAAAGTTGTATCTGTTTGATATATAGTCCTAAAACACTTATTTTTTAATGTTGGTGTTTTTAACTTTAGGGAAGGCAGCATGCTATATATTAACTTCTGGAATGCACTTCTTTTCACTTGATATTGTATTGCTAAGATTCATCCCTATTGATGTATGCAACTGTAGTTCATTTATTTTGATGACTATGTAATATTCCACTTTGTGAATATATTATTGTTTATTCTGTATTTAGGCTATTTCTGGCTTTTGCTGTTACAAACAGCACTGCTGTAAACTTCCTTATACATGGGTCCCAGAGTCCCTTTGTAACAATTCCTTTTGTATATAAACCTGGGGATGGAAATGCTTGTCATAGTGTAAAAGATAGGATTATTTTTATGTCTTCTTTTGAGAAATGCTTATTCAGGTCCTTTGCCTATTCTTTAACCAGATTGTTTTCTCGCTATTGAGCTATTTCAGTTCCTTATATATTTTGGATATTAACTTCTTATCAGATGTATGGTTTGCAGATATTTTCTTTTTAAGAAACTGACATATAATAATTATATGTATTCATGGGGTACATAGTGATGTTTTCATATATATTTTGTGATCAGATCAGAGTAATTAGCATATCCATCATCTCAAACATTTATCATTTCTTTGTGTTGGGAACATCCAATATCCTCCTAGCTATTTGAAACCATATAATATATTATTATTATTATTAACTGTAGTCATCCTATAGTGGCAGAGAACACTGGAAGTTATTCCTCCTAGCTGTAATTTTGTATCCTTTAATAAATCTCTCCCTATCCCCTTCTTCCTCCTATCCTTCCCAGCCTCTAGTATCCTCTGTTCTACATTTTATTTCTATGAGATCAACTTTTTTGAGCTTCCACATGTGAAGACAACATGCGGTGTTTAACTTTCTGTTCTTTGCTTATTTCATTTAACATAATGTCCTCCAGTTCCACCCGTGTTGTTGTGAATGACAGGATTTTATTCCTTTTATGGCTGAATTATGTTCCGTTATGTATATATACCACATTTTCTTTACCCATTCATCTGTTGTTGGACACTTAGATTGATTCCATATCTTGGCTATTGTGAATAGTGCTGCAATAAACATGGAGGTAAAGATGTTTCTTCAATATCCTGATTTCCTTTCCTTTGGATACATGCCCAGTCGTGGGACTGCTGGATCATATGGTGATTCTATTTGTAGTTTTTGAGGAACTCCATACTGTTTTCCACAGGAGTTATACTAGTTTACATTCCCACCAACAGTGTATAAGAGTTCCCATTTCCCCACATCCTCCCCAGCATTTGTTATTTTTTATCTTTTTGGTATTAGCCATCCTAACTGGAGTGAGATATCTCATTGTGTTTTTAATTTGCATTTCCCTGATGATTGGTGTTGTTGAGCTTTTTTTTTTTTTTTCCATTTATTTGTTGGCCATTTGTATGTCTTCTTTTGAGAAATGTCTGTTTAGATCATTTGCCCCTTTTAAAATTGGATTATTTGGGGCTGGGCACGGTGGCTCAAGCCTGTAATTCCAGCACTTTGGGAAGTGGAGGCAGGTGGATCACGAGGTCAGGAGATCGAGACCATCCTGGCTAACACGGTGAAACCCCGTCTCTACTAAAAATACAAAAAATTAGCCAGGTGGTGGCGGGCGCCTGTAGTCCCAGCTACTCGGGAGGCTGGGGCAGGAGAATGGCGTGAACCCGGGAGGCGGAGCTTGCAGTGAACCGAGATCGCGCCACTGCACTCCAGCCTGGGCGACAGAGCGAGACTCCGTCTCAAAAAAAAAAAAAAAAAAAAAATTGGATTATTTGGCCGGGTGCGCGGTAGCTCACGCCTGTAATCCCAGCACTTTGGGAGGACGAGGCAGGTGGATCACTTGAGGTCAAGAGTCTGTGACTGGTCTGGCCAACATGGTAAAACCCCGTCTCTACTAAAAATACAAAAATCAGCCAGGCGTGGTCGTGTGCACCTGTAATCCCAGCTACTTAGGAGGCTGAGGTAGGAGAATCGTTTGATCCCAGGAGGTGGAGGTTGGGGTAAGCTGAGATTATGCCACTGCACTCCAGCCTGGGTGACAGAGAGAGACTCCATCTCAAAAAAAAAAAAAAAATTGGATTATTTAACTTGTTTGCAGTTGCTTGTATATTTGGATATTAAGCCCTTGTCAGATGAATAGCTTACAAATATTTTCTCCCATTCTTTAGATTGTCTTTTCCCCTTGCTGATTGTTTCCTTTGCTGTGCAGAGCCTTTTCGTTGATATAATCCTACTTGTTTGTTTTTGCTTTTATTGCCTGTACTTTTGAGGTTTTATTCATAAAGTCTTTTCCAGATCAATGTGCTGAAGCATTTCCCCTATATTTCCTTCTATTAATTTTATAGTTTGGGGTCTTACATTTAGTCTTTGATCCATTTTGAGTTGATTTTTTTATAGGATGAGAGGTGGTTTCAGTCTTCTCTTTATGGATATCCAGTTTTCCCAGCACCTTTTATTGAAGAAATTATCCTTTCACCAGTGAATGCTCTTAGCACTTTTGTCAAAAATCGGTTGGCTGTAGATATGTGAATTAATTTCTGGGTTCTCTTTTCTGTTCCATTGGTCTTTGTGTCTGTTTTTATGCCAGTACCATATTTCTTGGGTTACCACACCTTTGTAGTATATTTTGAAGTCTGATAGTACAATGCTTCTAGGTTTGTTCTTTTTGCTCAGGATTGCTTTGACTATTTGGGGTCTTAAAAAAATTTTAAGTTTTTTTTTTTTTTGGTCTATTTCTGTGAAGAATGTTATTTATTTATTTATTTATTTTTTTTTTTTTGACAGAGTCTCACTCTGTCACCCAGGCTGGAGTGCAGTGGCACAATCTCGGCTCCCTGCAGCCTCCGCCTCCTCGGTTCAAATGATTCTTGTGCATCAGTCTCCTGCATAGCAGGGATTACAGGCATGCACCACACCTGGCTAATTTTTTTTTTTTTTTTTTTTTTTTTTTCAGTAGAGATAGGTTTTCACCATGTTGGCCAGGCTGGTCTTGAACTCCTGGCTTCAAGTGACCCATCCACCTCGGCCTCCCAAAGTGCTAAGATTACAGGTGTGAGCCGCCACGCCCAGCCAGTATTTTGATGGGGATTGCATTGACCCTGGATTGCTTTGGGTAGTAACAAATCTTTTCTTTCAATCCACAGTTTGTCTCTTCACTCTGCTAATTTGTTTTCTTGGCTGTGCAGAATCTCTTTGGTTTGATGCAATCCCCTTAACAGATACATGAAAATATACTCAACATTGCTAACTATTAGAGAAATTACAAATTAAAACCACAATATCAGTTCACACCTGTTATAATAGCTGTTATCAAAAAGGTGAAAGATAAGTGTCGGCAAGGATGTAGAGAAAAGGGAATTTTGTATACTACTGGTAGGAATGTAAGTTAATACAGCCATTATGGAAAACGGTATAGAGGTTCCTTAAGAAACTAAAAATAGAACAGCCATATGATCTAGCAATTCTACTGTTGGGTATATATCCAAAAGATTTGAAATCAGTATGTTGAAAAGATGTCTGCACTCCCACGTTTATGGCAACATTATTCACAATAGCTAAGATACGGATTCAACCACAGTGCCCATCAACAGATGAATGGATTGTAAAATGTGGCAAATCTACACAAGGAAATACCATTCAGCTTTGAAAATGAAGAACATTTTGTCATTTGTGACAACATGGATGGACCTGGAGGACATTATGTTAAGTGAAATAAGCCATGCACAAAAAGGCAAACATTGTATGATCTCACTTATATGTGGAATCTAAAACAATCAAACTCAATGAAACAGAGAGTAGAATGGTTGTTACCAGAAGCTGGGGGCTGGGGAAATGGGGAGATGTTAGTCAAAAGGTACAAAGTTTCAGTTAGGAAGAATATGTTCTTTGAGATCAATTGCACCATATGGTGACTATAGTCAACATATTGTGTACTTGAAAATTGCAAAGAGAGTAGATTTTAAGTGTTTTTGTAACTGCCCAACAGGTTCACCTTGCCCACTGCCTAGACGGAGCCGATTTATCAAGACGGGGAATTGCAACAGCAAAAAAGTAATTCACACAGAGCTGGCCATGCAGGAGACCAGAGTTTTATTATTACTCAAATCAGTATCCCCAAGGGGGATCCGAATTTTTAAGGATAATTTGGTGGGTGGGGGCAGTGATTTGGGAGTGCTGATTGGCTGGGTTGGAGATGAAGTCACAGGCAGTCGAAGCTGTCCTCTTGCGCTGAGTCAGTTCCTGGGTAGGGGGCCACAAGATCAGATGAGCCAGTTTTTCAATCTGGGTGGTGCCAGCTGATTCATCAGGTGCGGGGTCTGCAAAATATCTCAAGCAGTGGTCGTAGGTTTTACGATAGTAATTTTATCCCCAGGAGCAATGTGGGGAGGGCTCAGAATCTTGTAGCCTCCAGCAGCATGACTCCTAAACCATAATTTCTAATCTTTTGACTAATTTGTTAGTCCTACAAAGGCAGTCTAGACCCCATGCAAGAAAGAGGTTTGTTTTGGGAAAGGGCTGTTGTCATTTTTGTTTTAAACTATAAACTAAATTCCTCCCAAAGTTAGTTTGGCCTATGCCGAGGAATGAACAGGGACAGCTTGGAGGTTAGAGGCAAGATGGAGTTGTTTAGGTCAGATATCTTTCCCTGTTTCAGTTATAATTTTGTAATGGCAGTGTCATTTTCACCATTAAAAAAGTGTTTGAAGTGCTGGATATATTAATTTACTTGATTTAATCATCTCACATTGTATACATATATCAGAACATCGTATCATACCCCATAAATACATACGATTATGATTTGTCAATTAATAATAAAAAGAAAGTGTTTTCCCAAAGTTGTTGCATTAATCAATACATAGTCCCATCAGCAATGTGTAAGAGATCCTATGTCTCCATATCCTTACCAGGCATTGTCAGATGTATTACTTTTATATCCAGTAAAAGAAGAATGCTCCTCAAAACAAACAAACAAACAACAACAACAAAACTGCCTTGTCCTCTATTCCCCTAGATTCTGGGAAAGATTTGGGGCACAGGAGGTGATATGTAAAAAAACGACTCCTCCACCAACAGCTTCTCAAAACTCTCCAGTTCTAGACAGCCTCTCCTAGCAATGGAGTGGAAACAGTGTGGGGGCGTGAGAAGGTAGGGAAACTGCAGAATTTTGTGTCACGGGGACTCTTTCCAGCAGATGGTGAAATTATACTGCAGGTCTGAATTAGAAACACCTCTGTCTCTTTCTCTCCCTCCCTCCCTCCCTCCGTCTCCCACCCTCCAGAAATACAAACACTGGACCAGCCGATTTTTATTCTGTGCAATATGTGCTCAAGCTATTCTCTTTGTAACCCTCTTTGCAAGTATCTGAGATCTGACCTGTTTATCTTTCTTTTTTACTTGACTGTGGGGTAAGAACCTGCTGTTTACACTAAGTGAGGTGTGGAGCTCTCTACACAAGCCCTGCTGAGAAAAAGAAATTCAGTCTTAACAATTCCAACCGGAAAGGCTGTTTCAACAATGGCACCTCGCTTGCCTCTCCTTTCAAAACTGAGTCCTAGTTTTTATCACTTTGCAGTAGCCTCGGACACAATACAGAGCACCAGATGGACATGAGGATGTGTGATTTTGCTCATCGATTCTGAAAAAGGTAGGCAGCCCTTTTAAAAATGTACAGAAAAACAATGAGGAACAGGGCTGATAAGTTTGAGGGCCAAATTGACTCTCAGCCCAGCCCCGGATTTATCATTCAGCCCAGAGTGTGGGCCCCCAGAGGCCAAGCTCCAGGTAAGTCAGTTCTCCAGGGGAGAGTGTTTTAAAATAGGCTTGGCGGGTTCTCTCAGAGCTCTGGACAAAGTAGGAAACTCAGGGAGGCAGTTAGCATTCCGTCCTATTTTGGATAGAAATAGAGTAGCTTCAATAAAATTGGTTTCCAAATCAATTTTCTTTTGAAGAAATAATACTGTCTTAAAGGAAATTTGGAAACCAGTAATAGTACTTTGAACCTTAATGGGAGAAAGGGTAAGAGGGTAGATCTGAAATACCTTTGGGACAGCAGAGCTGAGTAGAACGAGGTTAGATGTGGATTCTGTGTTGCCAAGAGCTAGGTCCACATGATTTCCAAAGCAACTAAATGGGAAAATAAGACTTGAATCTTCGGATGAAAAGTAAGAAGCCAAAACCCAATACTCTTGTTCCAATATGATGTAAGAGTAATGAGGGGCAGACCTGTGCAACTTTTGTTCATCATTCTATTCTCGTGCCTAGAAGAGTGCTAAAGAAAGAAAAAGGGGGATGGAGGGAGACATACCACATGGGCAGGGCTAGGAGTTTCTTTACAAGATACTTTTGAGACTTTTCCTAAAAATAACCACACACACACACACAGACACACGTGCGTGCACACACACACACACACAGGAAATTCCCGTTTTTCACCAGAGAGCATAATGAAGAAAAATTCAGAATAATAGTTAGCAAACATTTATCTCATCTGCAGAAAAATTCTAACAACATACTTGCAACATATCACATTTAAATGGCATAGGTTTCTTTGAACCCTTCAGTGAACATTGGTTGTGGAATGAATCTCTGTGAAATAGAATGAGCTCACCTGGTGCCTAGAGTTGTAAACAGACTAATTACATTTTTAGGAACATATGCCAAAAATGATTTTGGCTCAGCAGTAATTCATCCTAAACCATTGTATCTGAAAGTAGAGAGGGAAAATCTTTGCTTTTGCTCTCTGACCATGGAGAGGACTAGCTTTTCTGCCCTCAAAAGCAGGAAGGGTTGGGTTGATGGAAATACAGGCATTCTTTGCAAAGATCAAAAAGGGACTGTAAATCATTAGCATACATTTTAAACAAAAGGCGCAAAACCTGCTCTATTTGGCACTCCTCTGTGACTCCCTCCAAAAAATTGTGTATATTTTAAAAAAAACTAAACTTAACTGACCCCGGATCTGAAGGCAGTATAAAATGCTGGTCCATTTATGAAGCAGGGACAGTTATTGATTGAGCTTTTATTTTGAGCATTAGCAGCTAAATCCAAAATTGGCTTTAATCCACAGAATGAAAGGTTGAGAAAAGCTCAGCACAGGACAACAGGTGATCTTGCTGTTTATTCATGAGAGATGCCTGCACAAATTGATAAAGAGCTATCAAGGGCTGGGCCCGGTGGCTCACGCCTGAAATCCCAGCACTTTGGGAGGATGAGGTGGGTGGATCACTTGAGGTCAGGAGTTCGAGACCAGCCTGGCCAACATGGTGAAACCCCATCTCTACTAAAAATACAAAACTTAGCTGGGTGTGGTGGCATGTGCCTGTAAACCCAGCTACTTTGGAGGCTGAGGCAGGAGAATCACTTGAACCTGGGAGGCAGAGGTTGCAGTGAGTGAAGATTGAGCCACTGGACTCCAGCCTGGGCAACAGAGCGAGATTCTGTCTCAAAAAAAAGAAGCTATCATTGCACCATGGGCCTGGAACATAACTGAGGACCACTGAATTCTCAGGCAGAGTAGCTTTGGAAACCTCAGGCTGGCTCTTATCAAGAAGGAAATGAGCATAGCATTTAGTTACATATCCAGTAAACTGATAAGGCAATAATTTGAAGGAGATGGACTATATTTACTGCAATTCCTGATAAGCTCAAAGTGGTGAGCAAATTGCCTGAGACCCCTACCAGTCAGAGTAGACCACAAACAGATCTTCAGGGAAGAGGTCTTCATTAGGTGATTAATTTTTTTGAGGCATTAAATTACACTCAGTGAGAAGACATGACCAGAATCCAAGCAGACAGGAGCCTGTGATCTACACACATTTGTTCTGTGAAAGTTGTCAGAAACAAAATGGAGTCACTAATATTTTTTTAAAAATCCTGACTAATAGGGCCAGGAAAAGCAATGAAGAGAGAATTCTCATGCTTGTGTGCTTGGTGACAAAAGCTATCACAAAAGACTCTGCAAAGTTCACAACCTTGCACAAAGGCTGTCACAACCCTACACAAAAAATACTTGTGCCAGGGAATCTGCCCAACAATGGCCTGTTCAAATTCAGATTGGTGTCACCCTTGTTATTGATCTTTGTAGCCAAGATCTCAAAACAATTACATTAATCGTCCTTGTTTTTTCCTTTTAAAATGTTTGTCTTGCTTTATCTCTGTCAGTATGCACATAGTTTACTAGGGCATACATATTCCCATTGCAATGCCTTACTCATGAATAAGTATCTTTTTCTTTTGGAGAGCCTTTCTCTGTTTGTTATTTAGGTTGATATAAATGGTGTCAGAAAACGGGACCTGAAGAAAGCTCGCTCTCAGAAGAATCGGCGGTTCTTGACTTCGGCGTGCAGTCCTCACTTGAGCCCTCTGAGATCCCTGCCTCAGCAGCTGGCCTTTTCGGCCCTGGAGTCTTCTCTTAGGCTGAGCTTATCTCTTTTTGTCAGAGCATTTTTGATATTATTTGGGATCTGGTTTGGTTATAAGGCTGCCTTAAATGAAGGATCTTACATCTCTTCTGGGATGATAAACGACTATATGTCTTTTCTGGTAAGTCCTTTCTGGTATAAAAACAAGTGTCTTTCTGTTTGAGTGCTCTGATTTCTACAGAATTTGCAGTCTGTCTCTGAGCCATGTTTTTTTTTTTTTTTTCTGGTGAATTCTCTTTTGGTCTGCATGCCTAATATTTTATTTGATTAATATGCCTGATAACTTAAACGGTGGTGACTACCCTAATGGCTTTCAATTAGTCATCCTGCATCCACTATTGAGTATTTTTTGCTTCTTTGTTTTTTTGTTTTGTTTTGTTTTGCTTGGCTCTCGGAAGATTTTCAGAAACAAGCAAGGGGAAAGAGCCAAATCAGGTGCTTGTCGTCCAAATAAAACTAAGATAAAAGTGTTCACAAACATTTTAACCTAGGCATGTTAATCCTAGAGAAGACTACACGGCCAAAAAGGCGAGCTGCTGAGGGAGGAATCTCAGAGAACTTTACAGAAGTTTGTGTGTGTGTGTGTGTGTGTGTGTGTAAGATTGTGATGGCCTTTGTGCAAGGTTGTAGTTTTTGCAGAGTCTTTTGTGATAGTTTTTGTTATCAGGCACACAAGCATGCAAACCTGCTCTTCAGAGCCTTTTCCAACCCTATTCGTCAAGTTTTTTTTTTTTAATACTGGTGACTCTATTTTGATTCTGACAACTTTCACATTTCCCACCTTTGATCAAGATCTTTCTCTGAAAGCATCACTGATTATCCTGTAGTTGGATGTGACGGCCCTTGGTCCCAGTTGCTTGTCTCATCCCACCTTGTGGGGAGTGAATGTCGGCTAAGAGTCAGTGTCAAAACCCTTTCAGCCACATTTGAACAATAAGGGAGATTTGAAGAAAGTGGTTCTCATGCTAATTCTACCTAGAGTCTATTATTAAGTTCAATTTTGTCTGTTCCATAGTCTTTTGTTATCATCTCAAAGTGCTGGGCTAGTATTATCCTATTAGGGTTGTGTTTCTGCAAAAATTTTAATAAGTAATAGATACAAAGTTTTTGTTTGGTTTTGAGATGGGGTCTCTGTCACCCAGGTTGGAGTACAGTAGTAGTGTGATCCGGGGTCACTGCAACTTCTGCCTCCCAGGCTCAAGCAGTCCTCCCACCTCAGCCCCTGGAGTAGCTGGGACCACAGGGCTTGCAGATACAAAGTTTAAAAAGGGAAAATACAAAGTAAAAATATCAAGGCTTCAGTGAGCCATGACCCATGGTGCCACTGCACTCCAGCCTGGGTGACCGTGTGAGACCCTGTCTCAGACAACAACAACCAACGGCAGCAACAAAGTAAAAATAATAGTAGTATGAAAATCCCAGTTTAAATAATGGTATTGAGCCATACACTGAGGCTTAAAGATAAACAATTGAAGACATCAAATGATGAGAGAGAATTAAGTGAGAGCTGTTATTACCATGTGGCCTGTTTTCCTATTTAACCAATGGATATTAAAGGATCTCTTAGTCAAGTTTCCAGCAGGAGCTACTGATTATGAAATTTCAATTACATTATTATCTTGCCAAGTGAAAAAGTAGGCATTAAAAGGGGTAAGAGTCTCATGATGTGGAGTCTTTCGATGTCTTAAGAAAAGCATGAAAACATCAACTCTCCTGGTTTGCAGTCTGAACATCTCTGGTCATGACATTAGGCAGCATGATGGATTTCTTGTTTGGCCCATACATCAGGTATGAGACTTGTTCCTTTCTATCTTATTTCACTAGTATTAAAGAAAAAAAAACACTTGACAAATAGGGTTGGGGAAGGCTATGAAGAGTGGGTTCGCTTGCTTGTGTACCTGATAACAAAAAATATCACAAAAGACTGTAAAAACCACAACCTTGCATGAAGGCCACACAATCTTATACACACACACACACACACACACACACACACACACACAAATACTTCTGTAAAGACATCTGCCCAGTAATTGCTTGTCCAACCTTGTACTGGCATCACCCTTTCTATTGATCTTTGTAGCAAGGATAATTATCTCCAAACAATTATGTAATCCATCTCATTTTTCCTTTAAAAATTTTTGTCTTTCTTTACCTCTCTTAGTATGCACATAGTTTACTATGGCACACATATTTCCATTGCAATGCCTTACTCCTGAGTACATATCATTTTTATTTTAGAGAGCCCCTCTTCTGTTTGTTATTTAAGTTGACAAGTGCTGAGATTGAAGAGCTGACAAAAGAAAGATGTTAGTCTGAATTTGAACTTTCAAGTTCATATTCAACCAATTCAGGCCTGGTTACGTATGTCCCAAAACCTTACCTCATTCACCATTGTAATGGCCAAACCATGAGTCTCCCATAAATAGTGGAGTCTTTTGGATCCAGTAAGAAGTTTATATAAGATTTGAAGCTGATAAATCCTAAAGTGACCTCTTCCAAAATCTATTAATTCATGGCCTCTGAAGCTTAGCCAAAATCTTTGTTACTATTACTTCCCCTACCAGGAACATGTGGATACAGCCTACATTGACCCAGACATGAAACAGATAGAACTACTCATTCATTCGACACATATTTGTGAGTTATATCCCAGGCACTTTTCGAGGTCCTGGGGAAATAACAATGAACTAAGTAAAGTTCTAGACTCCATATAGCCTCTCTTCCAATTTAAATCAACAATTAATCGATAGAGGCTAGAGAGAAGCCAAATGGGATCAGAAATGGTGCTTTAAAAGACATTCATTCAGCAAAAAATCACCCAGAAGTTTAGATAATCTCTTTTGCATCTCATCTCAACCACTCAATCCCAGGTGTGGCCACAAATAGGCCTAGCACAAGTATAACAAGTGTTAAAGGGAGAGGGACATTATTTATCTGAACCTACAACTTTATCTTAGATAAAGATGGATTAATTATAATATAATGCTGACACCAATTGCAGTGAAAAAATTTCCCCCAGAGAGTCCCCCATTTGCAGGTACTGTTTATTAATAGATTGTCTATGGAGGAGGGATTTTAGCTGTAAAATTTGCAAATAAGACATTTCCCAGGGAGTGTTTCAGATTGGAAGTTTCCAGCAGTTAGTGTCTAACCATGCAAGTGGAATAGAGAGGTCTCTAAACTAAAACTGAGAAAGTATTCTTTGGGCGTTGGCCAGTAGAAGTTCACTGGTGACATAGGAAAGAACAGTTTCAGCCAAGAGCTGGAAGGAATGATACCAACATTGTCTTTGTCTTTGGTGGATTTCTAAGTCCCCAAATGGAAGTTGATGATAATCTACGGTTCTCCTTTGTGAAATGTCTCAGCAACTTGAAAGAAAGAATCTCTACATAAATCTAGCACTCTGTTGTTGCTTAGTCACTGTCAACCTGTTTTATTTTGTTGGTTTGAGTTACCTTAATGTTTCCTCGTTATAAATAGATAAGTTCAACCGACATCAAGATCTCTGACTGCAGTAGGATTCTGTGGGGAATCTGGAAGCACTACCATTTAGCACATTACTAAGACGTAACACATGCCCCATCCCCTGTCAGACCTCTGATTTGTGCATCGAATCCCCAGAATCCCCAGAACAATAATAGACTTTACTTTGTGATTCCTCTGGTGACACATTTCTTTTAGTTCTTCTGGCAGAGCTGGAGACTCGCACGACAAATTCACTCTGACGTTGTTTTCTAATTAGGTGCCTTGACACAGCAGGCATTCCAGTCTCCAACATTTCTTTTGTTTCTCTAATGTGCCAGAAAGCTGTCTGCTTTTTAGCTGCCTGACCTTTCAGAAATGTTACCTGCCCTGTAAAATGAGATAACACATGGAAGGCACCTGGCTCAGTCCGTGGCACCTGAGAGATTCTTGAGAAGTGTTCATTCCATTGCCCTGTTTCCTCTCTCCGCCTTCATACCTTCTGGTGCTTTAGTGAACCTCAAAGATAAAAATATTCCCGTTGTAAGGTTTACATTTTTCTTCATCCCAAAATAGAACTCAGTAACTCTATAAGCAGATACTATATGGATTCCACATTTCATTTCCTCTTATTCTCACAGGGTACCTTACAAGTTAGAAATTTGTATTGTCTCTGCTTTTTGGAGAAAGGAATCTTAACTTTTCTCAAGTAACCGAGGTTGCAGAGTGGGTCAATAAGGAACGTGGGACAAGAACCCGCATGCGCCTCTCTCCAAAAGTCTTCATCCTCAACCCCTGCACCAGACTGTCTTCCACACATGGGCTCTGAGCGGCCAGCACTGGATCTGGAGAAGCCACCACCCTGTCCTGTCCTCCAGGCAGAACGGAAGTGTGCCTGACCCCAGCTGTAAGCACCCGCCCTCTGTGGCCCGGAAAGAATCCAGTCGCAGGGCTTGGCCCTTCCCCATCCCCTCCTCTGGGCAGCCCGCGTTGAGTCCCATCTGGAACGTGGAGGAAGAAGGCCCTGTAGCAAACGCACAGCTAGACCCCCTCCCTCCCTGCCAGGCCTCCCTCGCCAACTCCATGCCCAATTTCAGCCCTGAGGGGCGAGAACAGCAGGTGCTCGGGCCGCCTTCGCCCTTGGTGTTCTGGGAGCCCATTGTCTAATTTTGCTCGGGCCTGGCCTGCTTCCTTTTTAGTCCTGCGCATGTGGGCAGAGTACAAGCTAATTGGCAGGGCTGTTCCAAATCCTAAAGAACGCGCGCGCTGCCTGCTCGCCAGCGGGAGGGCCGTGTGCCCAGCTTGCGCCCTGACATTTTCCGAGGCCTGGGCGAGGCCACCTGCCTGACGAAGGCTTACCAGGGAAAATCAGGTCCTGACAGCCTGACAGGGACAACCGCCCAGAGGATTCATCTGCTCGCGATGCCTGGTCAGCAAGGAGGAGACTCGACCTGGGACGAGGAAGAGGCCTTGAAGGGACAGAGGAGAGCGCATCCTCCATCCCCCGGCCAGGGAGAAGTCACGCGGACCCCCAGGTTGCTGGGCCGCGATGGGGGGAAGAGGAGACCACCCCCAGCTCCGCAGCGAGCGCCCTCACTTCGGGGAGACAGAGGCGTCGATCCCTCCTGCGGACGGCTGGGGGCGCTGCGCTTCAACCGAAGGCAGAGATCCTGGACCGGGGCGAGGCAAGCCCTCCCGGAGGAGAGGAGCTCTGAAGGGGGAAAACAGCTCTGCAGAGTGTAGAGGAGCCGGACTTTGCAGCCAGGTACCTCTGTGCAAGTCTCAGCTGTGCCTCTGAAGTAGCTAGCCGTTGCCCAGCACTGTGCTAAGGTCTTTTCATCACTGTGTAATTGAAGGCTCACAGCCACCCTTTAAGGAAAACGATCTTGTCGTCATTATTTTATAAGAAATGGAATGGAAGCTCAGTGCCACCCCTAGCCCATGGACACATTCCCAGAGAGCGGCAGTGTGTCTGGCCTGGAACTTAATGAATTCTGTCGGACAGAAGTCCATGCTCTTAACCATTAGGCCTCCCATACAAAGATACTTTGTACGGGGACATGAGACACAGCCTAATAGCACAGAAACTCACAGAGGACGAGTTTCTTAGTTTTGTCATCTCTGAAATGGGAATAATAATATTACTCCCACCTTGCAAGGCTTTGGGAAAGATTAGAGAGAATGTAAAAAGGTCCATGTGAGAGGTCCTCGTGGGTTAATGTGTGGGGGGAGTCCCCAGTCCCTCCCCGGGCACTCAGAGCGATGTGGGAAGACTGTGGAGCCCATGCTTATTGATGCTGTTTCATTTCAATTAAACCTCCGTCAGAAACATCGCATGACATCAAAATGGAAGAGATGTTGAGTCTGAACGGTGAGGTCATAGATTTTGTTTTTATTTATGTATTTTCCAAATAAAAATATGTATCATGTTTTCTCATCATAATTGTAATATGTGATGATGTATCAATTATGGAAAATACAGAAACTGTAAAAGAGGAAATGAGGAAAACCTTTGCTTCTCACTGTTACAGATAACTACTGTTCAAAATTATAGATAACAACTCTGGAGGCTGAGGTAGGAGGACTGCTTGAGCCCAAGAGTTCGAGGCTGCAGTGAACTATGATTGCACCATTGCACTCCAGTCTGGGTGACCAGCAAGATCCTGTCTCTAAAAAAAATAAAAATAATAAAAATTTTAAAAATATTTAATTAAAAAATTATAATGAATAATAATTTATTGTATATTTTAAAACAACTACAAGGAAAGAATTATAATGTTCATGACACAAAAAAAGATAAATGTTTGAGGTGACAGACATCCCAATTACCCTGACTTGATCATTACATGTTGTATACATGTATCAAAATATCACATGTACCCCAAAAATATATATAACCATGATATATCAATTAAAACATACTAAAAAAGAGCGATAACTACTCACTTTTCCTTTACTTAGAGTGTTTCATTAATACATTTACTGTTTTACAGAATTGGTATCACATTGTAGGTTACTATACTACACTTTTAAAATGTAATATTTCATAAACATTTTACCATGACATCAAATAATCTTAACACATTTAAGAATTAATGGTTGCCTTCCAATTTTCTTTGCAAAGTGGTTCATTATTTTTGTCATGGAAAAATAAATTTACACTTGAAAGAACTTTATTGTGTTAAAAAAATACTTGTAAGAGGGCTGCACTGCTTTGCCCAACAATGCAGTGTGTTATGTTTTATGTGTAGTGCAGGTCTGATGAAAGGTGATAAGCCTCCAGTAGTAACCATGATATGTGAAATGGAGATAAAGATGGTTGATTTTGTGAGGATTAAATGAGATCAGATAGGCAATGTGTCTCTAAGACAGTGTGGGCCATGGTGAATGCTGTCATGACAAAATTATGTTAGTCAAGGACATTGCTAAGAGAATAAGATGGGTGCTGGTTGGGGGTGACCTGGAGAATTGGAGGATAGCCCTGCCAGTGGCTGCTGAAGCCAGCTCCTACAGGATATCAAAAGCCAATGTTAAATACTCAGGAACTTTACAAGCTGGTTGTAAAAGCCTGTGAAATTTCACTGGTAGCTTGAAATCTGTTATGGTATGAGCATTTACACCACCAAAATTGGAAATCAGCAAATGCTATATTGTTCTCTATGTATGTATGTACTTTTCAGAGAGCTGATTTTACCAGCACACCACTAGCAGGGATAATTCAAAAGCTTTGCTTTTTCTCAAAGTGGTGGAGCCTGCAGGAAATGCTTGTGAGGGCTTGTAAAGCATTAGTAGATTTTGTTGAGATGGTGTGTGATAAACATGAGCTGAAATCTTGGTCTGATTGCTCTTGCTCTAACTGGAGGAAAGAATAGGGAAGCATAAGCGTTGGGGAAGCTAAAAGGGTAAACCTGGGGAGTTATTGTTTATGCTCCAAAAACAGAAATAACTGGATTAGAGGATAAGACTGCAGGAGATGGGAAGCCTTGTCACTTGGAGTGACAAAGACCTATTAGTAAATGGGAAACTCAGGGCTGAAGAGACATTCTTGGCCAAGAGAAACTTGTGGGAAGGAGTTTGATCGATGAACAAACACAGCAGTCTCTTTTGCCATAGAAGGCAGGTGGCAAGGATCAGAGTCAGAGGGTCCGTGCGCTACAAGGGTTCACAGATCACTGGTCTGTCTTCTTCATCTGACCCTGTCAATTACTTCTGAGATTCCCCACCCCCACCTCCAGGAGCTCAGGTGCAGGCTATAGTCTTCTTCTGCCACTTCTCTGTTCTGTCAGCACACCACTGCTTCTGTGCCCTTTGCCCTTGCAGTTTGGGTTTTCCAAAGGCAGAAGCAAGGACAGCGTTCTTCAAGAGGACTTCATGGTGTTTTAGAGATCAACACCTTGGAAAGGAAGAAAAGAAAGAGAATAGGGCCTGGGAAGACAGCTTCAATGCAGACCCAATAAAGCTTCCGGCAACCAGGTGAAGAATCTCCGGAGAGACCATTGCCCTTCAAATGTTCTGTGCCACCTGGGCCAGGATTTTAATAAGCTGCTTTGCTCAGTCTCCATATGAGAGCTGCCCAGGAAGGGAATGTCAGGGGCAAGGAGACTGCCTGCAACTGAGGCAGACCCTGGAGAGATAGAGGCGGGGGACTAACTACACTCCCACAGTGATCTGCTTTTGGGGAGGTGGCGTGGCAGAGAAGACACAGCTTTCTTCTTCCTCCACAGTGAGGGAGCAGCCTCCTTCACTACCCTCAGTATTGGTGCTCTTTAGAGGAATTTTCTGAAGGGCTGGGGACATCAAAAAGGAAGTAGGACACAGTAGAGAATAGGTCATAATTAATGTTAGAGGTGGCCACTGTCAGGGCTCACAGGTCCAGGTGGGCCTATCCTTGGCCTCTGCAGAGGGTTTTGGGGCCAGGCTCCACTGGCTGGGCCTGCCCACCCCTGCATCATGACTTCCTGTCCAGACCCAACTGCCCAAGGTCAGGAGAGAAGAAAATGCTCTCTGCCTCAGCCCAACTCAGGGCCTGGCTTCCCAGGCTCCATTTCTTGTGTTAGGATCTACCCTTTCTCAGCATTTTTTCAAAGGGGGAATGACTGCCTCTTTCTTGGGGAATGCCATTTTACACACACAGGTGGGGAGTGGGTGGGACAGCCACCTCAAGCTGGTTTCTCTTCAGCAGATTCTGGGTGGCTTAATCTTACAAAATGGTTTAGGCAGAGCTGCCCTAGGCCAGTCCATTTCTTTCTTACTGTGTCATACATGGGATTTGGTCCTGTAGCACTTCTTTCCAGCTCTCTACATCTTGCAAATTATGCTTTAAAAATCCTCATGCGTTTGATATAGGGTGCATTCTAAATCATTCAGAAAAGGAAAACATTTCTCCTATTTTTCTCTTTCCCTCCCTCCTCACCATAAAACAAACATGAAATCTCCAGTCAGAAGAAAACATAACCCAGTCTACAGAAATCTGAGCTCTGGCACAAGCAGACACATGTTAGCATCACCCTGCAGAACACTCAGCTTCTGAGGCAAAAATATTTCTTTTGGGAGAGGGATGATTTTACTAGGTTTTTTCTGAATAAACTTTATGAAACCACACGGTTTCTTCATATGGTTTTCCCAGAATAAAAGGACAGTCTACCAAAAGTGAATTTGAGTTTCAGTCTTTTCAGGAAACAGTGGCTTGCATTTTAAAATCATTGTTTTCTTCAGCTTTTAAATTAGTTAAAAATTAGTTAAAAAACAAATTAGGAAGAAAATTCTAGCTACAGGATTCCATAAGAGATACACATAACTGTGAAAATAAGAAAAAAATTCCCTATGAATAAATTGAGAATAACTTGAGTGGGAAAGCTTTAAAAGGTTTAAAACAGAAGAAAACTATCATGCAAGCATACTAATACATATTATTGCAAAAATGTTTAAGAAAGAATGAGCAAAGAGAACAATGTATCATAATAGTAATAATATTTGACCAAGGAGGGCTTATTATAAAAATACAAGAATATAAGAATGGTTCAATATTAATAAATATATTAATGAAATTCATTATATCAGTATATTAAAGCACATTATTAGTCAAAAAACTAAGTAAAGTTATAAATAGAAAAGTATGAAAATATGATAATGATGAACAAATATCAATAGCAAACATCATCATAAATAATGAAATGAGAATACCATTTTCATTAAAATCAAGAACAGAAAAGACATGCTCATTATCCCCAAAATTCAACATTAGTTAATTCTAGTAAATGCAAGAAGGCAAAAATTGAAATATTTTGCATAAATATGGAAAAAGAAGAGATGAAAGATCATACTTTAGTAATGTAATTTTATACCTAGAAAATTCAAGAAATATCATAATATTAGAATTAATATGAAAATTTTACAGGATATAAATATAGACCTGAAAGGCACAGGAGCCATATGAAGTTAGCTATAATATTTTATCAAATGATCTAAAGCAAGATCAGAAAAGTAATCAAAATATATAGTATGGAAAGGAAAACTTCACACCATAAAAATGTCATTTTCCTCAATAGTAACATGTATAATTAATGGAATTTTAATTTAAGTGGAATTTAAGTAAGGTTTTTATTTAATTAGATACAGAATTTTTTAAGATTCATGTGGAAGACTATGTATGTCCAAGAATACACATAAAATAATGAGGAGAGAGTAGCAAAGGAGGACTTTACTACCAGTTCAACTACTGGAAGTCTGTTCTATAGAAATAAAGCCACCAGTATAAGGATATTCACTGCAGCATTGCTTGTGGTGGCAAACATCAAGAAACAAACTGAGAATTCATTGAAAGGGGAATGGGTAAAATCATGGCATATTCTTAACCATGTAATGTTGGGCACTATTTAAATAGAGCTTTACCAATTGATTTGGAGAGATTTTCACAAAACGTTTTTAAGTGATAGAACAAACTTCAGAGAATGTATAGGGAAAAAACATTTTTGTAAAACAAATATTGACAACCCTTAAATACATGTATACATGTTTTTATATTGTTACATGAACATGAGAATGTTAGAAAAACTACACAAGGGGTTATTAACTGAGCATCTGACCTTATTGCATGTTCTAATTATATATATATATATACGTTCAAACACAAAAAAGTATAGAGAAAGAGACAGATAATCTGAAATCCCACTACCTGGAGATAACTACCATGAGTATTTTAGAGTTCATCTTTCATACATCCCTTTGTGCATATTCACGATTTTATGTGGACAGAGTGAATGCTGTTTTTTAAATCATGAATTCCTTTACATATAAAGAAAATAAAATAAATCTAGTTTCATTTGGGGGAGTAAATTCCAATAAACTCTCACATTGAGTGAGATTCTACTATGTGAGTAGAATTCTGGAGTAAAAGGAGATGCTGAGAAGTGACGGCTCTTGTCAGTTAATTACGTACATTTGAGCAAGTCATTTCAATTCTCTGGGCTCCCATTCCTCCCATAAAATGAAGGTGAAGTGGATGAGCTCTTAGCTTCCTTTCTGTTCCATCCAATACAGGAATATCTGATGCTCCTATATTGTTAGCTGTGAGAAAATCAGAATGATGGACAGGAGGGAAAACACAGGCTCTAGAATCAGCACTGAGGTGAAATACCAAGTTTGTTATGACTGCACATCCTTGGGCTAGAGAAGCAAATTCTCTAATGAGGCTCTTTGCTTGAAAAATGGAGAACTAACAATTGCATTACAGAATTGTAAGGACTGACTGGAAAATATACATAAAGGATTAAGCATACATTATATATCTGGAATTATATATAATATAATACATATATTATATATATTATATATAAGCATATATATATATCATGCTTAGTGCTTTATGTATATGTTCCATGCTTAGTGCTTTATTTATATATCCACATATATACATGTGTGTATATATGTAAATATACATAGCATATAAACATTTATATATAAATATTATATATTATCTGAGTTATATAATATATAATGTACAATGCTTATATATTACATGCATAGCAAGAAATATACATAACATATATGTACATATGTCTATACATATGTAAATAAACATAGCAGCACTCTTTTGGATCTAACACTAATTAAGAGACAAAATAATTTTTAATAAACAAATTAAAATAATAGACTTTATATATAATTTCCAAAGGGCTGCTTTGTCACTTAAAGTGAAACATAGTTTAAAAATAAGACATGAAACTCCATGGGGGGAAAATAAGCAAGGATGAAACGGCAGAATAACTTTGCAGCTCTTTCAGCAGGCTCATTTCTGAGCACGGTCTATTTCCTAAACAGTTTACTAATGGAACGTTTCTATTTTGGAGAAGCTTGTTGAAGTCCACCCAAACAGGTGCTACTGAATAAAGCCTTCCTGGGTTTAAGCAAAATGAAAAGAGGCTGTATTTTCTTCCCTGTGCGAATGCTTCACATTTTCCATAAATCAAAAGGGAAAAAAAAGTTGTGAGTGAAATGTCATTAACCAGGACATTTTAGAAATGCAGAACCTGGACTTTTGATTGCACACCATAGATAAAAATGCAGGAAACCATAGTTTCCAACTCATGGCACCATCATTTTGTATCTTTGGGGCTATAACTTGCCCTGGGAAGAACTATTTCATTTCTCAACAATTCTAACTCTTCTTCTGAGGAATCCCAGTTACTACTGAGAATGAGTCCAATAACTTCCTTCAATGTTAAGTCAGTGATCCAGCCAGAATCAGAAATATTCTTACAGAGTAAAACAATCATTAGAAAGTTTCAGGCCGGGCATGGTGGCTCACGCCTGTAATCCCAGCACTTTGGGAGGCCAAGGCGGGTGGATCACCTGAGGTCAAGAGTTTGAGACCAGCCTGGCCAACATAGTGAAACCCTGTCTCTATTAAAAGTACAAAATTTAGCCAGGCCTGGTGGTGCAGGCCTGTAATCCCAGCTACTTGGGAGGCTGAGACACGAGAATTGCTTGAACCTGGGAGGCGGAGGTTGCAGTGAGCCGAGATGGTGCCACTGCACTCCAGCCTGGGCGACAGAGCGAGACTGTCTCAAAAAAAAAAAAAAAAAAAAAAAGTTTCATCATGCAGACTCCATATTGGACCTTTAGCTTCACTGTATCATGAAAGATACGATTCTTTCAAAATTAGAAACACTAATTCTTTCAAAATTAGAAATCTTTCAAATTAGAAACCTTTCAAATGAAAGGTTTCTTTGAACTGGCTGAGTGGGAGAGTCATGGCTTGGGTAAAGTCCAAAGAGGAAAATAAGCAAATGGGGTGGAAGAATTTGGGGAGTGATCTTTTCTCATGACATAAACTTATATTATTTATTATGCGCAGAAGACAGGAAGGTGTTGTCTGGGCCAGAATCACTTTATCTCACCAGCTACCAGACTCAGAAGTAAAAAAGAAGCATTCTATCCAGAAAGAGAGCTGTTCTGGAGGGATTGGTATGTTTTCTAGTCCCTAAAGAGTTGTGTCTTAGGACTGTCTGTATGGGATTTGCTGTACTGGAATTCGGCTTTCTCCAATGAATTTCTCCTCTCTTAGTAGTCTCCTTTTGTCTTGTGCTGTTTTTAATTTGACCACCAGCTTTTGGCACTGAATGAAAACCTTCAAACTCATTCAACCAGAGGTTTGCTGTGTAGAAGAACAAACCATTTGTTTGGTTTTAATTTATTTCTCTTCCCGACCCAAATACTAAATTGAAGTGACATTGAAAGTATCAATCTGAAGGATGGGAAAGAGAATTCAAGGGATTTGCTCCATTTGGAAAATGCGTGTCATTACTACAAAGTCTAAGGGCAAGCAGAGCTATGGTGAGCCCCGAACAGATAACCAGGTGATCAAAACCTTTTCAGGTTCAACTTCTGGTTTTGTTGTGTTTTTAATTTACAATAGTAATAGCTGACTCATATGCCAAGTTATAATTTATACATTGTTTCAGAGTGCATATATTACCTAATTTGATTCTCAAAACAGCATAATGATAGAGACACCATCATTATCTCCATTTTACAGATAAGAAGACCAAGGCTCTGAGAGAGTAAATGATGTTTTTTTAACTCAGGTTTTCCAGCTAACCAGGGGCAGAGATTGAAATTGAGCTTAGGCGTTCTGCCTTTTCATTCCTTGTTCTTACTGTTGCTTTTTTTTTTTTTTAAAGAAGAACTAAAACTATGGACTCCTTGAACTGAGAGAACTTAGAGATCTTTTAGGTCAGCATTTGCTAGTGCTGCAGGATGTGAACACATGCTTCAACAATACAAAGTTTGGGCAATGCCAGATGAAAGGATGTTAAATAGATTTCTTGACTACAGAATGTCCCAGGGCCTTTATTATGCTAATAGATCTTGGTGGCCTTTCTGATCTTATTTGGCTATGGACTTCTTTTTGGGGAGTGTCCATCTAAGAACCACATCCTTGGCTCCCAGGCCACTGAGATGCCTTTGTAGTCTTTTGTGTGAGCCCCAGAGCTAGCAGAACTAGGGCAACACTATAGTTTTAGACAGAACAATGAGAGGTAATGGGAGTTTCCTCTGGCTCTTGAGACCCTTCTTGTTTCTGATGCTTGTCATCCTGGGGCTCCTCAATTAACACAGGCCACCGCCCAGCAGGCCCTGCTGGAGAGCCTCATCCCTGCCTTCCAGGTGTCCTCACCCACCTCCACTTGCATCTCAGTCCCCAGTATTCCAGGCTCACAGTGAGAACTTTCAGAGGACAGACTCTAGATTGCCCAGATTTAGATCCGGACTCTTCTCGCAATCTGTGTGATCCAGAGTCTCTGTGTGTCACTTTCCCCCTCTGAAAGTGGGGTTAATTATTGTATTAATCTCACAGGATATTGTCAAGATTGAATTAGACCATGCATGGAGAGCATCAAGTTTATTGCCTGATCCCTCGTAAGTGTTCAAAAAATGCATACTATTGTTCTTACTATCTTAATTTGGATACTAGGTAAGTATTACCAAAAGACATGTAGGCTGTCTTCCATGCACTCTTCTAGATATGCCAAGCAGACATGACCCCTGCAGAATTGCCATTATCAAGTGGTAGCTTTGAGATCATGTCTTCTGCATGCTCATAGGATGCCATAGGCTTTAAAAATATAGTGATTATAGCTCCCCTAGGGATAGTTTTACATCTTTCTGTGTGTTTTATGGTGACTTTCTCATGAGACATTCCCTTTAGAATCAAGCTCTAGAAAAAGTACTTAGTATCTCCTTGTGACCCTGATCATGGTCCTCTGTTCATTTTGGCTTAGAGCCCAAAATTTTGTCTCAAATTATTTTTATTTTCCTCCTCACTTTAGTCTTTTTTCTCCTCTGATTTGTGCTTTGCATATTCCTGGGTTTCTGTTTGTTTTTCATAGCATACTTTAAAAATTTTTTTTCTTTCTTTCCTTTCCTTTCCTTTCCTTTTTTTAAGATAACATCTTGTTCTGTCACCCAGGCTGGAGTGCAGTGGCACAATCATAGCTCATGGTAAGCTTGAATTCCTGGGTCCAAGTGATCCTCCCACTTCAGCCTTCCACTAGGACTACAGATGTACTCCACCACGCTTGACTATTTGTTTAATTCTGTGGAGATGGGGTCTTACTATGTTGTCCAAGCTGGTCTCAAATTCCTGGGCTCAAGTGGTCCTCCCACCTTGGCCTCTTAAAGTGCTGGTATTACAGGCGTGAGCCACTGCACATGGCCATAACATTTTGTTTCCAATGACTTTATTCTGCAATTCGTTAAAAAATAGATATGGAGTCTTGCAATATTGCCCAGGCTGGGCTTGAGTTCCTGGGTTCAAGGGATCCACTTGCTTCAGCCTCCTGAGTAGCTGAGACTACAGGCACACACTACAACACCCAGCTGAGATTGGTGTTTTTTTTTTTTTTTTGGACACAGGGTCTTGCTCTGTTGTCCAGGGTGGAGTGCAGTGATGCAATCATAGCTCACTATAGCCTCAATCTGGGCTCAGGTGATCCTTCTACTTCAGCCTTCCATGTAGCTGGAGCTACAGGTACTTGCACCATGCCCAGCTGATTTTTGTATTTTTTGTGGAGATGAGCGCTCCCTACATTGTCCAGGTTGGTCTCAAATTCCTGGACGCAAGCAATCCTCCCGCCTCAGCCTCTCAAAGTGCTGGGATTATAGGTGTGAGCCACCATGACTGGCTGCAATTGGTATTTTTGTAAGCCGTTTAAATGTTATTGGAGAACTAGGGGCACAGTGTACACACACACACACACACACACACACGCACACATAAATATCCCAGATGGATAAGCTGAGTATCAAACCAAAATTACTATATTAGATAAACATCTACTGCCATTTATGTGGCATATCTTAGGTAATACTCTTTAGTGGTTTATCCATTTTCCTACATTGTACAGTATACCCATTTATAATTCTTCAAGAATTAAGGATTCACAGAGGTGTCATGGCGCAATTTAATAAGACCTACCATTTTTTGAGTATTTATTGTGTGCCCAGAGAGATTGACACGGACTTTCTCTATTTCTCGTAGTATTTCAGCAAAATGAGTAACATTATCTCCATCTTAAACAAGGGAAAACTGAAGCCCAGAGAAGGTAAACATCTTTGAATTCATGCAGCTGTTAAGTGATGGGTTTGAGATGTGAGTCCTGGAATGTCTAATTCTTCATCCAGGATCTTCTCAGTGCATCATGCTTCCTCTTACACAGAACCTCTCTGCCTGGTAATGGCTATTGCACATATTTCTCCTGCTGAGACCACTTTCTTCACATTAGCTGGTGTGCTGCTTTTAAAATATGTCTACAAATTCTTTAATTCTCCTTCCTTTAAGAGGTGAAGCTAAATTTTTCTTCACTTGAATATGGCTTGAAATTAGCAACTCACTTTCAACAAATAGAACATAGTGGAAGAGACTGTTTGACTTCTGAGATGAGGCCATAAAGGCATTGAGGCTTCCCTTTTGCTCACTCTCTCAGATCACTTGTTCTGGGGGAAGCCAGCTGTCATGACATAAAGACCCTCAAGTGGCCTTCTGGAGAGGCCCTGGTGGTGAGGAGAACAAAGTGAGAAACTGTCAGCAGGCACATGAGTGAGCCACCTTGACTCTCCAGCCCCAGTCAAGCCTTTGGATGACAGCAGCCCTGGCCAATATCTTGACATCAACCTCGTGAGAGACCCTGAGCCAGAACCACCCAGCTAAGCTGCTCTCAAATTCCTGACCCACGGAGACTATGGGATGACACATGTTGGTCATTTTAAGCTGCTAATCTTTGGGGATAATTTGTTATGCAGCAACAGATAACTAATACAGATTATATATCATACAGATATAGAATTTCAAGGCATTACAGATTATAGAACTTAAAGCATTATTCCAGGAACTTGTGTGAGCTCCAGACAGTGTTCAGAGTTCTCTTACAGGAGGCACTGGCTCTGCCTGTAGTTACTCCAGCTGTCCTTGTTCCTGCTGAAGTTAGTTCTCTTTTTCGGAGGATGAGGCTGTAAATCCAGCTCTTAAGCATCTGCAGGTGTTGCCTTGTTGTCCGGTAGCTAAACCAGAAGGTTCACATTTTAAGCAGTCTTGAAGAGCTGTACTTGGAGTAGTTGCTGGGAAGTCCAATTAAGAGCAGACCCTGAGTGAAAGAAGACTTGCCAAATCTCACTTAGGCTCCTGATGTTTGAGACAGATGACAGACCCAGGAACTTGTTAATGCAACCCATTTATAGATCCTCCACATTCTATCCCTGTATGAAATTGTATTATAAGAAATCAAAGTACCTGGAACATTTTATATCATACTCATCAGACAGTCTTCATAATTACAGGAGTCTTCTTTTAAAACAGTGTTTCTGTCACTTCCAAAAATCCTGCTTGAAAATGTCCTCGAGTCACAATTCAGCTAATATATATTTAACGCTTGTTAGATAGCAAGTGCTAATCTAGGACCTGGGAATACAGCAATGAACCAAACAGACAAAATCCCTGCCCTCATGAGGCTTATAGTCTAGTGAAGGAGACAGAAAACAAGCAGACAAACACATAAGTAAAGGACTTGGATGAGTGAGTGTAAATGCAACGGAGAGAAATAAAGGAAGGCAAAGTGTGGTTCGAGTGTGGTGCTAGGAGTGGGTGCTGGGGGGCAGGATGGCTGCTCTGAGGGGATACTTGAGCAGGGAGGCGAATGTCAAGAAGCTCTGCCGAACATTCCAGGAGATGGACGAGTCCTGTGGCAGAAGTCAGTGTGGCTTATTTGAGGAACAGCTAAATGACACTTTAGGACAGGGGTGTCCAATCTTTTGACTTCCCTGGGCTACACTGGAAGAAGAAGAATTGTCTCGGGCCACACATAAAATACACTAACAATAGCCGAAATTGCAAAAGAACTCCTAATGTTTTAAGAAAGTTTACAAATTTGTGTTGGGCCACATTCAAAGCCATCCTGGGCTGCATGCGACCCGTGAGCTGTGGGTTGGACAAGCTTGCTTTAGGATTTCTGTCTTTTTTCTTTTTTTTTTTGAGACAGAGTCTTGCTGTATCGCCCAGGCTGGATGGAGTGCAGTGGTGCCATCTTGGCTCATTGCAACCTCCACCTCCCAGGTTCAAGTGATTCTTCTGCCTCAGCCTCCTGAGTATCTGGGACTACAGGCGCCCACCACCATATCCGGCTAATTGCTTTAGGATTTCAGTGTAAGGATTCACATACCAAATCACTCTTGAGTTAGAGAGTTTTGGAAAAACTTTGTCTCTGCAGACTGACTTGTGATCTTTTGGCTGAGTAAATGAAAACCATGTTGCCTACAATGTCTTCCTTTTGGCCTGGGCTTCCAGGAAGCTCAGAGCCAAAATCTGTGCCTGCTGATGGTGGGTAATCAATTTATCTCGGGGTCTGGGAGCAGCTGCCCACTCTGCTTCTTTTACAGAAAGAGATGATGGAATAAATGTTTATTTATAAACATTATACTTTCTCCATGTAAACTGTTTTCACCCACATGCTACCTTGAGTTGACTTGGAAGGGGCAGAAGGATTGTCATTAAACAGGTTTGCCATTTCAAATAAGGAAGTTGTAACAAGTGGCAGATGTCATTGTCTTGCTGTTGGTTCATTGCACAAACATTTATTAAGTGCCCAGCACATTCCAGCTGGGCGGGGACCTGTATGGAAAGATGGAGAGGATGGTTCCTGCCCTCTAGAATGTGTTCCCTCACATTCTAGAATACAGTGCAATAAAAAATCAAATAATTACAAACGTGATGTAAACTGGCACAGGAGGGGAGCCCAAAGAGAGTGACAGCTAGTCCTGGGAGGTTTTGATGGAGGAGGAGGGGACTGGTGCATGGAACCCCCTTCTTTCTGCGTGGTAGGAGAAAGGCCACATCAGCCCCTACACACAGCACCCATCTGAGGACGGTGGTGACCAGCTTCCCAGCCTGCCCTCCCCACCTTCCAGAATCCATCCCAGCCCCAAGGCACCCGGGTCTGAGCTATGCAGCAAGAGTTTTCCAGACAGAAAGAAAAAATAGGTTAAAAATATCTGAGCCCCACATGTCCTATTTTTAATTGATTTACACACAGACTCTTCAATCACAGTATTAATATTTAATTGTCCTGTCAGGTCAGATCCTTCCCAGTCAGACAGTTAAAAATGGCTTGGGACAGAGGAGGAAATGAGGGGCTGGGGTGGCATGAAATGAGGAAAGTGAGGCACCTGCCCTGAGGGGATTAGGCTCTGAGGGACAAGGAGGAGCAGACCCTGGCTCTAGGGTCCTGGGAGAAATAACATCTCACTTGTTTTCTCTCTGTCCCTGTCCCCTCAGTACACACATGTGGAAGCACAACAGCATTCCCCCAAAAAGCCATTAAAGAAACCATGTAAGAGTTGAGACAACACCAAGGTCTGTGGAGACAATGAGGTGCTTCTTCAAGGAGACGCCAGGAGGCTGGTCTCTGGGGGAGAGTCCGGAGGATGAAGCATTCATGCCCTCAGTATTTTAAGTTTGTGAGGGGCCGATTGGTATTTTGACTCTGGGCCCCGGCCCAGCCCGCCCAGGTGAAACCTGATTTACATGCATGTTTCTTCTTTGAGAAACGGCGCCTGTGTTGGCTGTCCCAGCATCACAGCAGCATAGAAACATGGCTTGGGAACTATTTTGGGTAAAAGCACTCTCAGAGACAGCCAATAAATGTCTCAATGTGACTCATTCAAAGAGGCTATTAATAGACAGGAGATGTGAGGGACAGGAGAACTGAATTTCATTCAGTTTCAGCCTCTTGCTTTATTTGTTCTTCCTTTTTAAAAACAGAAATCAAGAAGTGAAGTTTGTCTTGTTGGGTTTGAGTGGGGTGGGGAGGAAGAGCTTGTCTGCCGAGCAGTCATCTACCTCCTCCTCTTCTCCCAGGGTCCAGAGAGGGAAAAGCCAACGGGACACTCACCTTGGAGTCTACTAGAGTCTTTTCTGTTCATTCCTGACTCCTTTGCTGAAGAAAAAGCCTAACAAGTCTGGATAGTCACAGGAAATCATGTTGAGGTGATGTCTCATTATCTTTGAGGTCTGAGGAAAATCTTGGAGTCCTACCCAATATCCCCATTCACCTCTCTGTGTGTCTTCTTGGTTTGGTGCAGTGATTCTCATTGGGAAAGCATCTGTGGGGGTGAATTTTGTTGTCTTAATGGTTGAGTTGGGATGGTCTCGCCATTTAACGGGAAAAGGCAGAAATGCTAGACAGCCTGCAATGCTCTGGGTGACGCTCCCAATGAAGAACTGCTCCTGTCCTGCATAATGGCTGGGTGCCAACTGTGCATTCTTTTTTTTTTTAGACAGAGTCTTGCTCTGTCGCCCAGGCTGGAGTGTGGAGGCATGATCTCGGCTCACTGCAACCTCCACCTCCCTGGTTCAAGCAATTCCCCCGCCTCAGCCTCCCAAGTAGCTGTAGCTGGGATTATAGCTGCACACCATGTCTGGCTAATTTTTTTTTTGTACTTTTAGTAGAGATGGGGTTTCACCATGTTGGCCAGATGGGTCTCTAACTCCGAACTCTTGACCTCAGGCAATCTGCCCACCTCAGCCTCCCAAAGTGCTGAGATTACAGGCATGAGCCACCGCACCCAGCCCACTGTGCATTCTTGAGTGGAGAACATGTTCAGAATAATCTGAGCCTAAAATCAAACTCCATTTGACTCATGACCATGGAGTATTAGTTGCATATTTTTAAATGCGTGAAGTTTTTCCAGGAATGCAACTGTTGTGAGAATCAGGGATAAACTAGATTTTGTGTTGTTCACCTTTTGAAAAAATCACATCCCTAATGCCAATGCCACTTGTGGTATTTGAGTTACCCAAACCACATACACCTGTACCAATCTGCATTTGCAGCTGTCAGATTTGCGGTGGTGCTTTTTCTGCAAGCAAGTATCTGACTGTTTCCTGCTGGCTGCTAAGGTAGTTGCACCAAACTTTAACATATTGAAACACATATGATGTCATCATAAATGACTTTTATTTCTCTTTTATATTTCAATTAGGGCATTATACTGATTTTTAAAATTGTGTGTGTAGGTGGGTAATATTAATTTAATTTCAGGGATGTAAAGGGGACACACAGAATATTTGTTAGGCACTGGGTCTGATTTAGGTCTTAAACCAGGATTGAAATAACTGATGTGGATGTTTTCTATTGTTTTGTTGTTTTGTTTTTTCTTTTGAGGCAGTCTTGCTCTATCGCCCAGGCTGGAGTGCAGTGGTGTGATCTCGGCTCACTGTAACCTCTGCCTCCCAGGTTCAAGCAGTTCTCCTGCCTCAGCCTCCAGAGTAGCTGGGATTACAGGCACGTGCCACCACACCCGGCTAATTTTTGTATTTTTGGTAGAGACAGGGTTTCGCCATGTTGGCCAGGCTGGTCTCAAACTCCTGGCCTCTAGTGATCTGCCGGCTTGGCCTCCCAAAGTGCTGGGATTATAGGCATAAGCCACTGTGCCGAGCCTAGGTATGGGTTTTTAAGTGGCACAAAGTCCTGAGAGAAGAGGCAGGCAAGAGGTTCACCAGCAGTTGGATTCCCTGAGTCATGTTCTACTCAGAGGCTCAAATGCTTCAAATAAGCTGCAGGGCTGTTTTTAAATTACAGTTGTCTGCAAGAATCAGTCAGTTTATAGAGAAGGGTGAAGGGTCAGAAAAGCAACAGTTCAAGGGCTGTGGCAGGGACACCAGACCTCAGATCACCAGGCATGGCTGGGTCTGTGGCAAACTGACTCGGTGCCTGCTGACTGCTGCCCTGCAGGACTGTGGACGTAGTGTTGCTAGATCTTCCACTTTTTTGGTGGATGCTGGAAATCTGAAATCTGACACGTTGGCAACTGTATTCATCGAGATAAGCCTGTGCTGCCCTGCCAACAATACAGTGGCTTAAGGGACCAGGACGGTGGTGTCTTTTGCATGTCTTGGTCATAATATGAAAGGTCATGATCAAGGCTGGGTCACCACCTGCCCAGGTGTCAGCTGGGGGAATAGAGGAAAGGGCGATGAGGGTGGGGGGGCACGTGCAGCATTGTGAAAGCCCAGCCTTGGAAGTGGCCCACCTCAGCTTCATGCGTGTCCTATAACTGGTGAGGAAATGTCATTCTTAGTGGGGCAGCCATGGCCTGGCTACAGCCCTGACGGTCTCTGCCAGAGCACCTAATTCAAACCTTTAAAATACATCATGTGGGCCCATCCTGTGTTGACCGTGGGGCTGGACTTGGCTGAAGGACTGCTGGTCCTGCCCTGCTGGAGTTTCAGTCCCACACATGGAGAAAGGATTCAGAACTGAGGACTGGGAGGAAGGCAAGTGGGCAGGGTGTTTAAGTTGGCTAAGGAGTGCCTTACTCAGAGCCAACACTGAGTGGGGACAGCCTGGAGGAAAAGGGGCCTAGAGCTTGAGTGCAGACAAGGGAGTTTCTGCCCAGATTAGCTGTCTCACCCCAGGAAACCTTTCCCCGCCCAGGTGAGGTGCTCGTGGTCTACACCTCCCTGACACCCCTATGTACTTCCTAGGACAGCACTCATCACATCACTGTTTTGCTCGCCTGTGTGGCTCTTCCCATCTACACTGCAATTCGATTCTGCTCACGGCTGTATCCTCAGGGTCTTGCAGAGTAATTGGTATATGGTAGGTCCTCAACAAGCACTTGATGAATGACTGAAAGAATCCTATGAACAGTGGAAAATTAATGGCTGTTTTTGAGTCAGTGCAGGGCACAATCACAGTGCTTTGTTAGGAAGATGAATCTGGTTCCCACGTGCAGAAGACCAGAGTAAGCAGCAAAAAGACAGGCAGGGTTGCTTATGAAATCCTCTGCAAGTGAGGGAGGAGAGATCCTGCAAGAAAGAATGGGCTCAGAAAGTGTGATGGATTGCAGGGTTCTGGGTGGGGAGAGGAGAATCAAAGACCCTGGCTCTGAGACATTTCAGACCACATCTAGTCAAGTGCTAACAGAGTTAGCTGCAGTACCAGTGGCTGAGAGAAGTCTGGCCATTAGGTGACAACTGTGAGCAGTAAGCCCTCATGGTTCTCTGTGCCACTAATTTAATTAAAATAGAAATTGTAGGAGGGGCTTCCTGAATGAGGGAGCGTTTATCATGGGCTTTGAGGCATGGGGAAAGTGAGTGTTCTAGAAAAGCATGTCAGCTTCTTTAATGTTCCAAAAATATAGTGAAATCCAGTAAATTTTTTGTTTGTTTGTTTTGTTTTGTTTTTGTTTTTGTTTTTTTGAGATGGAGTCTGGCTCTGTCGCCCAGGCTGGAGTGCAGTGGCGCAATCTCGGCTCACTGCAACCTCTGCCTCCAGAGTTCAAGTGATTCTTCTGCCTCGGCCTCCTGAGTAGCTGGGACTACAGGCGTGCACCACCATGCTCGCCTAATTTTTGTATTTTTAGTAAAGACAGGGTTTCATAATGTTGGCCAGGATGGTCTTGATCTCCTGACTTCATGATCCACCCACCTCAGCCTCCCAAAGTGCTGGGATTACAGGCATGAGCCACTGCTCCCGACCTCCTATATATATATATATGTGTGTGTGTGTATATATATTTGTGTGTGTGTATATATATGTGTGTGTGTATATATATATGTGTATATATACGTGTGTGTATATATATGTGTGTGTATATATATGTGTGTGTATATATATGTGTATATACATATACACATATATATATATATATTTTTTTTTGAGACAGAGTCTCGCTCTGTTGCCCAGGCTAGAGTGCAGTGGCGTGATCTTGGCTCACTGCAAGCTCCGCCTCCCAGGTTCACGCCATTCTCCTGCCTCAGCCTCCCGAGTAGCTGGGACTACAGGCGCCTACCACCACACCCAGCTAATTTTTTGTATTTTTAGCAGAGACGCAGTTTTGCTGTGTTAGCCAGGATGGTCTCGATCTCTTGACCTCATGATCCACCCGCACTGGCGTCCCAAAATGCTGGGATTACAGGCATGAGCCACCGCACCTGGCCTCCAATAAATATTTTTATGAGTGAAAGAATACAAGAAGAAGTGGCTTGCTGGATATGGTTTGTACTAGACTATTTGGGAAAATGATCAGGAAGACAGTTGAGGTTCTTCTCAAGTTAGGTTTTGTTCACCATGTCAGACCTTAGCCACTCAAGCCCATCAAAGAAACCCATGATCTCTGAGGAACAGGGTTCCTCTGGAGGGGTGGCAGGGGGTTTGGGGAGAAGTTGAATCACTTGCTACCTGAGCCAGTGATCTAAGATATACCACGCAGGTGCTGCCTCCGCAACCCAGGATCCTACCAGCTGCAGAAGTCGCGAGTAATGCCAGCCGGGCTCCGAAGACTCCCTCAGCCCCCGGGGCCAGTGGACAGTGCCCACATCCTCTGTGGCCCTCTCGCAGCTGTAGAAGACAGGCACAGGTCTTCCGTTGTGTGCAGGTGAGTGGGGCTGTGGGCGTGGGCCTCAGACAGCTGACGGGTATGAGGGGAGGCAGGCTCCACCATCAAACAAAGGCTTGGTTGTGTTAGACGGTCCTTCAGGGAGTCAAACATTTAGATTATTGGGCTTGGATTAAGGAAAGGGCATTCTCTGCAAATAGCATAGGTGCCTGGAAGTCACAGTGCCAACTCAAGATGCTTGTGGGAGGCAAGATTGAAAGGTTCAGTGAGGCCAGTGGCCAGGGTCATGACATTATCAACAAGCCTTGGGAGCTGGGTGAGGGAGGGTTGGGGCTTGGTTCTGGGTCTGGGAGAAGGAGGCTTTGAATGTGGTTGGAGGAGAAGGGGAGATGGGATGATTATATCGAAGGGGAGCTAAACTGGAATTCAGACACTTGGATTTCATATTCTAGCATGCCCAACTAGCTGTTAACTATGAGTACATCATAGTCCTTCTTTGTGCCCTGTTTTCTGGATCTGTCCTGCTTCTGGCCAGGGTTTTTAGGGGTGCAGGAGCAGATGGATGTGCTCGGAAAAGGCACACAGTCCCACAGCACTGTGAATGGCTAATGGATCTGTGTTTCTGATTTCTCTGCACCTTACAAGGACATCATGGTGCTCAGTAAATATAAAATAACAACAGTAGTTTCAGGCTTACAGACACTAACCTGAAATATTCTCTACTAAAGTCAAGTGGGTTTCAGATAACCTTAAGGAGGAATGATTTCCCTTTCCATAGCTCCCAGGATCAATTCAAAATAATAAAATTTGGGGCCGAAGAACTAAAAATTGGGATGGATCTAAAGTACTTCATCTCAAATATCTCATTCTTCCAAAGAGGATGATCCAAATTACCCAATTCTGAATGAGACAAAAAAATTTACTTTGGGAAAGAGATTGGATTCCTTTGCTGAACTTACATCCAGTGTTTTTGAAATGACTAAGAACAAGAAAGATAAAATATCCAAGCTTACCTCATGAATTAATCAATCAAGGAAACAGACGTTTCCATTATCCAAGATAAGTTAGCAAGCCTTGAAATGTAAACTTCTGAGAAATACCAGACTGTCCTATTTGGAAGGGACTTTTAAAGATGAATTTAGCCCAGCATACTCACTTTACAGATGAAGAAACTGAGCCCCAGAGAAGAGGCTAGTGTAAGACAAAAAGTACATATACAAAGCTTACCTCCTCCTCTGCTGAATAAGGACAGCTGGACATGACTACAATGTGTCCCAACATGGCACCTGGCTGCTTGGGATGTGTGCATGGCTGATGTGGTGGGATCTGTGGTTTTATTTTTCCCCAGCATCTCTTGCATCTCTTCCTTCGGGGGAACACTCCTCTCTTTCTCTTGAGTCTGTCAGTCACAGTACTGTCCATCATGGGAAGGCACATGACCCAGGCTGGCCAATATTTGCAGAGATTGATCTGGAGTGGGCATATGATCAACCAGAACCAATCAAAATCCTCTCCTGGGCTTTTTTTTTTTTTTTTTTTTTTTTTGACAGAGTCTCACTCCGTCACCCAGGCTGGAGTGCACTGGTGTGATCTCGGCTCACTGCAACCTCTGCCTCCCAGGTTCAAGCGATTCTCATGCCTCATACTCCCAAGCAGCTGGGATTACAGGTGCACACCACCACACCTGGCTAATTTTTGTATTTTTAGTAGAGATGGGATTCCACCATATTGGCCAGGCTGGTCTAGAACTCCTGACCTCAACTGATCTGGTTGCCTCAGCCTCCCAAGATGTTGGGATTACAGGCTGAGCCACTACATCCTGCCCTCTCCTAGTATTTTTATTTGGATGTTATATGAGTGCTTCCAACACTGTGGGGGCCATGCAAACCTGTTCCCCTGGTTGCAAAGAGGAAGCTGTTTAGGTGGGAGAGAATGAGGTTACTTCAGAAGGAAGTAAACTCAAGATTAGAGAGAGATAGATATAAATACAGACATACACACATGTATACATAGAAACATAGATAAATAGCAAGAACCATCTCCGACACCTGCTTACTTTTTAGCTTGAGGAGTTTGAAGTTTCTGTTGCTTGCAAACAAAGATTGAGGTTAATATTGTGGAAATATGAAGTCCCTGTGACTTTGTTAATGATCTAAAGGAGATAAGCTGATGGTAGAAGGGAAAGAAGTGAGAAAAGCTAGGTTGTCCTCTGCCACTTTCCTGTAAATCTTCGATTAAACTCATTTTTCAGATAGAATGTTGGGCCACTTCCAACAAGCCACTGTTCCCTGGAAGCTCCACACTTCCTTCTGCCTTTGCAAATGCTATCCTCTGTGCTCTTGGGATTGCTTGCCCCTTTCCTTTTTTGTTTCATTTCTGGTTAACTCCTCTTCATCTTTCAAAGCATTGTGCAAGTCATTCATTCATTCATTCATTATTCATTCATTTTTTAGCAAGAATTTGTTGATTCAAAGGCTGTTCTAGGAGCTGGGGATATGACAAGGAAGATGACATTTATTTATTCGTTCAACAGATATATTGAATGCCTGGTATGTACAAGAGGAGGGAATCCACTGGTGAGTGAGCAAGACGAGGTCCCTATCCAGTGGGGGTTATTCTGTTGGGAGATAAAAGAATGATTCAGGAGTGGGATGTGTATTCTGCAACTTATCTCAATCTTCGTCAATAGCTATTTCTTGCATTTTTAAAGAAACCATGAGAAACGTGAGGAGAGAGACTGTGTCCTTCATCTCCTGTCTCCACAAGTGGCACAGGTCCAAGGAAAGGTGGCCTGGTTTGAGGTCAGCAGGGCTTCATTATTCATAGAGGTTGCTGCCCAGTTTTGGCAGGGAGGAGGGGCTGCTTATGGGAGGAGGGACTGGGCTTCCCAGAGGCCTGGTGGACTCCTCTCTAGCAGTGGGTGGGAAGAGGAATTTAATGAGCTTTTAAAGAAGACAATAAAGAAGATCCAAAGACCTGGCCATCTGGACTTCTGCTCTTAATGAGAAAGTAATCATGGCTCCAGAAAATAGCTGGTTAAACTTAGAAGAGAAGCCAAGTATGTTTAATTTCCATTGAAAACTGTTTGGTAGTCTCCATGGGCAAGGCTGTGACAGTCAGTGCCACTTAATGAGGCTGCCATGGGCTTCTCCAGCTCAGGGAGAAGGAAGTCAGGGGACCAGGGAGGTAGGTTCAGGGCAGGGAAAATGCTAGAGGCTCTGGGAGGTGATTCCCTGGGTGCAGAGACGCAGCCAAGACCCCTATGGTCAGGAGACCTATGGTGCCCTTAGAATCAGAGCTGAAGGAACTGTGGAGTTCATCTGGCCCAACCCCTTTATTAGATGAGAAACCCGAGGCCCATAGAGGTTAGACAGCCTGATCAAGGTCAGACAGCTAGGTGGTGACAAAGCCAGGAGTTAGCCCTGAGTTCTCCTGACTCAGCAGGAAGCCAAGCCCCCCTCAAGTAGGATATGGGAAACTTGGCTGCTACCCCACCATATACAGACATGTTTCAAGATTAGTATCTCGTCCTCCATCCTTTCTCTCTCCCTCCCAAGAAGAACTGAATGCCTGTATGCTCCAGGGACTGGGATAGGTGCTGAGGAGAGAGACGTCCAGGTATGGTTGCAGCTCTGAGGGGTTGGCTACAGGGGAGGAAGACATAATAACCGCTAGGCAATTGCAGTTTGGTGTGGTCACACAGGACACTTAATGACCTTTAAGTGCACAGGGCCCTCCTGGCTGAGCCTGGGAACTTCAGGGACCACCTTCTGGAGGACAGGATGCCTGTGCTGAGTCTTGAAGAATGAGAGGGATTCCAGCATGGGACAGGCTTTGAGAAGGCAAAGGAGATCCTGAGAATTTCATTTCAGGCAAGTGACTGGTGATGGTGTGAAGGGTGAATCTAAGAGGAGCAGAGGCTGGCAGGGGAGACCTGTGAGAAGGCAGTCATCTAAGGAAGAGATTATGAGGACATATGGTTGCAAGTAGTAGGCAGGAAGGAAAAGATTTAAGAATACATAAAAGGTAGAATTAGCAAACCTGCCAATTGGTGAAGAGGGGGAGTGAGGCAGAAGGAGGAGCCAGGCTGAGTCCTCAGGCTCTCCTTCCCCAGCCAGAGTCCTGATGGCTCCCTTCCACAGCTCCAGGCTGCTGGCTGAACATCTCCATGCACACAGCCTTCTGGCCTCTCAAACCCTCCACTGGATTCTGCACAAAATCATCTCCACCTCTTCATTTTCTAGTTTCAGTCAATGGTCCCCTACTCTCCTTTCCGTCAAGTCCCATTTCCAGTTTTGCTCCCCTTGTCGCCAGGGCCACCCTGTCCTTACCTTGGCTGAGCAGAGGACACCTCTCAGAGCAGCCCAGTGCTCCGGGCTGTCCCAGAGGCTGAGTTTTAAACGTGCATTTAATCACTTCCCCAAGTGGCTGCCTTTTACTCTGAGCAGTTGATTTATCTAAAATTTAGTTCTAAGTCCAAAACACATTTACCAAAAATTCACTATTTGCTGAGCCCTCAGAATCTAAAGATGAGCACGAGGTCAGTTTCTGCCCTCCAGGAAATGCTCAGAATATAAAGAGATCCTTCTCCACTTCTGAACTGCAAGACCTTCAACTCCAGGTTGCTTTCTTCACCTGGCTTTGGTAGAATGGCAAAAAAAAAAAAAAAAAAAAAAAAAAAAAAAATTAAATCTGATGTAAAAAACAAAATAAATGAACAACACAAATCCCCCCCCACCTTTTTTTTTTTTTTTTTTTTTTGAGACGGAGTCTTGCTCCATTGTCCGGGCTAGAGTGCAGTGGCGCGATCTTGGCTCACTGCAAGCTCCGCCTCCCGGGTTCACGCCATTCTCCTGCCTCAGCCTCCCAAGTAGCTGGGACTACAGGCGTCCGCCACCACACCCGGCTAATTTTTTGTATTTTTTAGTAGAGACGGGGTTTCACCGTGTTAGCCAGGATGATCTCGATCTCCTGATCTTGTGATCCACCTGCCTCGGCTTCCCAAAGTGCTGGGATTACGGGCATGAGCCACTGCGCCCGGCCAAGCCCCTTTGTTTTAATGGGCCAGAGGTTAGAACAATTTAGTATCTAGTGATAAAACTGTCTGAGAGAAAAAAAATTTGGCTTTTGGCTTTATTATAGGTGCTTGATAAATATTTGCAGAATGAATGAACATCGGGGCTAACACAGCATTCATTGCACAGGTCCTGTAAGATCTGCCTGAGAGCAGGGCCGGGAGCCATCCCTTGGCATACTCTACGCCTGTCACTGGGCCCAGCAATCACAGAACTCAGGGCATGGTGGGTGGGTAAGCTCTCAGTTCTTATGTTCACATTCATAGTTTGTAAAAATCAGTGATATTTATTTGCCTTGGAAAATAGCTGGATATTTAAAGTAGGTCCCTGCATCCTGAAATCTTTAATTATTCAAATCAATTCAACATTTACTAAGTAAGCACAGTGCAGGTTGTTCAGAGACATGAGAGAACCAGTTGAGCCCCTGAGAATTGCAATCTAGGTGGTGGGGGGCTGGGGGTACAGCATGTGGCAGAAGTGTGAGCTCTGGGTGTCAGACAGGCCCGTGTCTCACCCCAGGTTGCCACCCCAGCCACTGCAGTTTGGGCAGGCTACCGACACTCTCAGAGCTTTGGGCTTTTTTCCCCTGCCTATCTCACCTTAGTGTGTTGGGAGGACTGTAAGAGACTGTATCAGGGCTGGATTAGGGCTGCCATAACAAAATACCGCAGACCGAGGAACGTAAACAACAGATACTTATTTCCTCACACTTTTGGAGGGCAGAAGTCCAAGATCAAGGTGTTGGCAGGGTTGATTTCCTCTGAGGCCTCTTTCCTGGGGTTGCAGATGACCATCTTCTCACTGTGTCTTCACATAGTCCTTCCCCCGTGCACCTTTTAAGGACACCAGTCAGACTGGATTAGACCCACCCTAACAATCTCATTTTATCTTAATCAGCTCTTTAAAGGCCCCGATCTCCAAATACTGTTCTATTCTAAGGTACTGTGGGTTAGGACTTCAACATATACATTTTGGGGAACACAATTTTGCCCATAACAAAGACCAGATAAAATCAGTATACCCTACCACACCATACTGTACCATACCATACTGTACGGTACCATATCCTACTATACTAGATTGTGCTATAGTACAAAATGCCTGGTATGATGCCGGCCTGGTACATAGTAATTTGAATCTTTCTCCTCCTTCCCCTAGTGGGATAATAAAAGTTCACAGTAGGCCACGCACGGTGGCTCATGCCTGTAATCCCAGCACTTTGGGAGGCCAAGGTGGGCAGATCACCTGAGGTCAGGAGTTCGAGACCAGCCTGGTCAACATAGTGAAACCCTGTCTCTACTAAAAATACAAAATCAGCCAGGCGTGGTGGTGGGTTCCTGTGATCCAAGCTACTCAGGAGGCTGAGGCACAAGAATCACTTGAACCTGGGAGATGGAGGTTGCAGTGAGCCAAAATCACGCCACTGCACACCACCATCCTGGGCAACAGAGTGAGACTCTGTCTCCAAAAAGAAAAAAAAAGAAAAACTTAACAATAACGATTTTTAGATAGAGGAAATGTAAAATTTGGCCCCTGTGGGTATAAATTGTCACTGAAATATGAATAAAGGGGATCCAAATTAGTGAGTTTCCATTATCCAAGCTAGTTTGGAGATTCATTTTTTTTGAAAGTTAGATTTATTGAGGTATAATTACATACCATATAATTCGCCCCTTTAAAGTGTTCAATTTGTTCAAGGAGTTTTAACAAATATGGATAGTCATGTAATTACAACACAATCAAGAGGGGCCTTCATGTTCTTTTGCAATTTCCTTCCCATTTTGCAACATTGGTCTGTTTTCTGTCCCTACAGTTTTGACTTTTCCACTATGTCATATAAGTGGAATTATATGGGACACAGTCATTTGTAATTAACTTCTTTCACTGAGCAAAATACTTTTGAGATTCATCCATGTTGCTGCATCTGTGAGTTGGATATCACTTGTATCGCTTTTTGTTATCAAGTAGTATTCCATTATATGGATATACCACAATTTGTTAAATAATTTGCTGGTTGATGAACATTTGAGTGGTTTCTACTTTTTGATTATTATGAACAGAGCTGTTATGAATATTAAAATACAAGTCTTTTGTGGACATATGTTTTCCTTTGTCTTGGATAAATATCTAAGAATTGTGTTGCTGGTTGACTAAGGAAATGCTGAACTTTTTCACAAACTGCCAACTGTATACCATTTTTGCACCTGTCATTGGCAAAACATGAACGTTCCAATAGTTCCACACCCTTGCACTTAGTACTTTTAGTCTTTTTTAGTGTTAGCCATTCTAGTGAGTGTGGAGTGGTATTTCACTGTGGTTTGGCTTATATTTCCCTAAGGGCTAATGATGTTGGGCATACTTATCAAATATGTGCAAACATATATACACCTATGTCAGATATATGCTTTGCACATGTCTTATCACAGTCTGTAAAATTTTTCTCAACAGTGTCTTTGAAGAGCAGAAGTTTTAAGTTTTGGCGAAGTCTAATTTGTTAATTTTTACTTCTATGATTCATGATTTTTGTCTGCTATCTAAACATCTCTACTTAATCCAGGGTCACAAAGGCTTTGTCTTCTGTGTTTTCTTCCAGAAATTTTAGATTTTAGTCTTTACATTTAGTACTATGATCCATTTCAGGTTAATTTTTGTGTGTGGTTTGAGGTAAGGGTCAAGGTTCACTTTATATATATGAATGTCCAATTATACCAGCAGAATTTTTTAAAAAGGCAATCCTTTCCCTCGCTGAATTACTTTGACACTTTTGTCTAAAATCAGTTGACCATATATGTGTGGGCCTATTTCTGGATGCTTATTCTGTTCCATTAATTTGTCTATACCGATTGTAACATCATATTATCTTGATTGTTGTAGCCTTGTAGTAAGTCTTCAAATCAGGTAGTGCCAGTCTTCCAAATTTGTTCTTCTTTTTCAAAATTGTTCTTGCCATTCTAGTTCCTTTTCATTTCTCCATAAATTCTAGAATCAGTTTGCCAATTCCTACACAAAACCAATCAGGATTTTTATTGGGATTACTTGTTATCTATGAGGAAATTCAGTTTTTGTAAATTAGATGAATGCCATTCCAAATTGTAGATAATCTTTGAAAACAAGCTTTTGGTATTTCAGTAAACTGGTTATTTTTAATTAGGTTGAATATTTACAAACCTATGATTGACACCTTCCCTTTTAATCCTAGGATGCAATGAAATAAATAAAACCTCTGTCATTCTCTGGTGCTGACAACATCCTGGAATGTATCTACAGCTCCAGGGACGCCATTTTGTCCTGAGAGGAAGCCAGCTTCCTCCCTCAGGTGAACTCTGTGTATGTTTGTGATGGTGAGGGAAAACCTAACAACTCAGGCCCAGGAGAATCTGTCTGAGGCCCTCCCAAATACTCACCCTTCTCTCATTTGTCCAGAGCAAAGTTCATACGGTTTATGAAAAGTGGTCTCCCTCACAGCGCAAGAACACCGCAGGCCCCTGGAGGAAAGCCTTCTGGGAAGAGGTTAAGGAGAGGCTGAGAAAAAGCCAGGACAGAGGCATGATATTCTGGAATCATTGCCACCACTAGTGCAGGGTCTTCCAGAGTAGGGGCCAGAATTGCCACACAGCCAGCTCCCCTGGGGCTACTCTCAGAAAGCCGGCATTTCGGCAGCAGAATTGTTGGCTGTTTTTCATACTGTGAATTGTTAGCAGGTTCTAAATAGACCATTCATGTTTTCCTTTTAGCACAGAAGGGGCTTACAACTCCAAATACCGCCATGGGTCTGACTGTTTCAAGTCAAAACATGCCCCAAACCACAGCCCTTGGGTGAGAGGAAGGGCTGGCTGAGGGCTTTGGAGGAAAAATAACCACCCACCAGCCTGGAAATTAGGGGGTTCACAGGAGGCTGAGTTGCCTTGCTCACAGATGCTGTGAGACTGAGGATTTTTACCCATCAGAGTTAATCTGACAGTCACCTTCCCAACCAGTGCCTGCTTCCACCTCCCCTTTGCTCCAGGAAGGAAACCCAGGCCAAGAGGACGGAATGGTTACTCATGTCATGCGTGCTCAGTGGCTGCCCATCTCAGCATCAGCGGTATGAACAGAGCACTCTGGAGGGGCAGGGAGAGGTGGCTTTGTGGGTAGTGGGATGCCACCTTCACTGTCCTTCAGTCCAATAGGACATGTAGCAAATGTAAATAAATCCAGTGACAACACATGAACAAGTCTTTGGCAAACGAAGTTCCTTTGACACAAAGCAGAAGGCTGCTGAGAGCTGTGGGAAGCCCTGGGCTGATGGGCCAGGATGCCACAGTGACTCACGGGAACAGGTCTCTCTGGAGTGGCTTGGAGAGAAAAGGGCAGAACTCATGACCAATAGGGACTATCTCCAGGTCATCTGGGTGACGACTAGAAAAGCTCCAGAAAATAGCAGAAAGCTTGAGAAGGCAGTGTGGGAGAAAGAAGAAGGAGGAAGGATCTCCACATGGTAGCTGCTGGGAGGACGGTCTGCCTGGGTCCAGGCTGGCGGGGGGCAGGGACTGGCTGCTTCAGCTCACACTCTCGGCAGTGCTTTTCCACTAGTGAGAGGTTGTTGGTCAGATTTGGTCCAGGAGGGACAAATTTAGGAAAGATGTTTTGGTTGAACAAAGGAAGGCTAGGACATACTGGATGGGAGGTGGAGAAGGTGGCAGTGGTAACGCTGGCAAAGGGTGTAACCAAAGTGTGATGATGATGGCATGGTGACCCATGTGTGAGTGGCACTGAATGGTTATGTGCCTGGGGACCTGAGTTGGTATCATGGCTCCATCACTTCCTGCTGTGTGACCTTGGGGTACGATACTCAACCTCTCTGAGGCTATTTCCCCAGCCATAAATGAGTGATCAGCACCCATTTATAAGGGATTGTCATGATTACATCAGAGAACATTTAGTCACTGCTCAATAAGTAGCAGAGACTGTTATGAGAATGGATCGACTGGGGACCCAGCAATGGCCTTGATGCCACATTTCACCTGAAGGATGAGGACTTTGCCACAGTTTGGTAGACTTGGCTTCTGCTAAGAAGACCATCTCACCGGTAACTTGAGGGCAGGAACTCAGGGCTGACCATGTTTCAATGTGGGAAGAGGCCTCACTGTGCCCTGGGGTCTTCTTACTTACCCTGAGGACTCTACTTATTTCTACTTTGGAGGCTACTCAAGCTTTTCTTTTCCAATTACCTCTAAAGGGGGAAAGGGGAGACAGGTGTTTGAAGCCACTTCTGTGGCTTGTAGCAGGAACCAGAGAGGGCCCAGGGCACGCAAATCCCACTGTATTGGCAGAAACACAAATACACAAATACCAGATGGATAATCTCAAGGATTAAAGAGGATTTAGGGTGACCTGATTTAAAGCTTCCTTTTTTCCTTTTTTGGGCAAAGCCTGGGAATAGGGGGTGGGAACTCAAGACAGAGCCTTGTTAGAGTCTTGAATTTTCACTTGTAGAGTGATGGAGCTTTGGGAAGGGGTTTCTCCTTCATGTTTGATGGCATCACATGCCATCAAACCTGATCTTTACATCTAAAACCCCATTTGTATTCCAGTCTGATAATGGGAGACTTGCTTGCCTGTGGGCCCCAGGTTGAGTTTGTGATTGACAAGAAATGTCCAGAGGAGTCTTCAGTGGACACAAAAAGCCTCTGGGAAATCAGCCAGCACTCCACCCAGCATCCCCACCCCCTAGATGGGCCACTAGGGAGCAGGATGGTGGCAGATCAGTCTCTACAATGGCTTTTTATTGGATTTTCTCTGTTGGTTGTATTCCAAGCTGTCAGTCCCTGATAGGACAGCAAGCCATGAGAACCTAGCGTCAAGTTGATGGCCAAGTGCCGAGCATACCAATGACCAGAACTCTGCAAACAATTGGAGCAAGTGCTTGAAATTCCAGCCATGAGCCTGGCCGCTCCACATGAGAGGATGCATATGTCTTGGGTAACATACCGGTTGGCAATTACCAAACTCACTGGGATGATCTTTTACCAGGAATCCAACCACTGCAGCCCCCATTATAGTAACAACCCCTAATGCCCCTTCCAAAGGCATCAGGTGTGTAAGTCCTGCTTTTCTGTTTATTCAGTGGAGGGGACCCTGCAGAGAGGATAAGCAGCTACTGTCCTCAGCCCCTTTAAGCCAGGGATCCCTCCTTCATACAAAAGTGTTCCTGGGGATTTGCTTTCCTTGTGGTTTGTTGGTCATGTCTTATAGGGAAGGGGCTCATTGCCTGGATGCCTATTCTAGCCTGAATGTGCCTCCCACGGCCGGCGTGTTCTGAGGGATGGGGGTCAGCTGGTTCAGGAAAGGGTAGGACAGGTCTGGGCTGTTGCCTGAGGTTAGCTCAGGGGGATAAAACTCCTGTACAGTAAGGGAGTTCTCAGCAGAGGTTAGCAGGTCCCCTGTCAAGACAGCTTCAAGAATTCTTTCTTCAGGATGGCTTGAGCAAAAGCATATCTGGGACCCAGCTGAATTGAGGCTTTTCCCTAGCCTGAACTCTTGGTCTTGTAGGGGTTGGTTCACTCTCTTGTCCTATTTCAACAAGAGGGACGCTCCTTCATGCATCACTGGGGAGTCCCTGCACAGAACCTACTCATTCGTGGCTGCCTATTCTCACCACCTTCTCCTGAAGGATTCTTTTGAGTTCCTTTCCCGGGCTCTTGCAGCCCGTTGGAGTACGTGTTTGCAAACCTGCACCCTATCATCTCCAAGTTCTTCAGAGGCAGGCTTTAGTCTGTTCAGCTTTGTTTGCTGGTGCCCAACTCAGTGGCATGCAGGGTGGACAAGTTGTTCTCAAACACTCCCTGTGGCTCGGTTGCCTGAGGTGAGATGATATTTACAATGCCAATGCTGGGCCCCATGCCCAGAGATTCTGACTCAACTGACCTGAGGTCTGGACATGGGCCGTCTAAGCTCCCCAGGTGATTCTAGTGTGCAGCCATGACAGAGGCCCAAAGGAGACCATCAATGAATCAACAAGGTGGCTCTGACCAAGTGACACCTCCTTTTTTCTCTTTCTGGTGGTGAGGAAGCAGATTCTCAACCTCTATTCATCTTTAGCATCTATCCATGGTTAATACCATTTGTTTGAGCCATACAACTCTTGGAGAACCAACTTCTGGAGGGAGACCTATTGGCAGGCATGTCTGAAACTGCACTGAAGAACTCACTGAGTCTTATGAAATCCCTGTCTGCAACAGACTGCGTGCTCTCATTCTCCTCCAGCTCTACTCTGTACCTGCCACTGTTTACTACACTGTAGATCCCGGCTCCCAAACTTGGTACTTGTCAGAATCCCCCACTCCAGTAGTTACAAATGAGACCTTTTGAGGGGTCAGATGTCAGAGGCCATGTGTGTGTGTGTGGGTGTGTGTGCACGTGTATGTGTGTATTTCAAGCCTCCTCAGTGATTCTTCTTATGCATTTGCAGAGTGGGACCTGCTGTCCCAGGTCATCTCAGCCAGTCAGTCAATGTTGCTCAAAACTCTGGGGGGTGCTCTCCCCTGAGGGACTCTGAGTCCTTGTGGAAAGAGCTGTGGCAAGTCCAAAAGGGCTGTGTGTGAGGGTCTGGTGGGTGGGGGGGGGGCAGGCAGCCCTGGGGGGAACATATATGTGGACAAGATGTTTTGTGCCAAATTGTAACACACCCAAGAAGACTGAATAGAGCCTCATCCAGGGCAAAGATGATGAGTGAGATCTGATCCGAAAGCAATTGTTGAGGTCCAATCCCACATGCAGCATACTAAAGCTGTGGGACTTCAGAGGAAGAGACAGTCTGGGACTTTGGATTAGTAACATGATGTGATCGGAGGAAGTTAAAACTTTGTCTCCTTCCCATGTCATCTACATATGAAAACTAGAGACAAGGACACAGAAATAGGAGATGAAGCAGATTTGAAAAGCCACCAGAGCTCTGAGAGGAGTGGTGCCCATTCCCTGTCACACCGTCACCGTTCTCACCTGTGGCTGACTGCAGCACCCAAAGCTCAACCAGCTGCAGTCTATCACCAACATGAAGTTGCTCCTAGAGCACTCTTTGTTCCTTTAAAAATGATAAAATAGTACAAGCACGCAGGAGTATAGAGAATATTGTCCCTATGTCTCCATATTTTCTTCAGCTGATGTTTTAAAAGACTAGAACATTGTTAACCCTCACCTGTGCCATTTCCTGCCTTCTTCCTGCTCTTCTGAAATTGGTATTTATGTTTTCCATGTATGTTTTTATACTTTTACTATACATGTAAGTATCCACACATAATAGATATGGTTTTGCAAGCTTTCAAACTTTATATAAATGGTGTCATACTGTATCCTTTGTGTGTTTTTCATTCACTGTTGTATTTCTGAGGTTTATCCCTATTGATACAAGATCAACTTCATTATTATTTATTTATTCATTCTTTTTCTGAAGGGTGCTAAGATTGTGTCCCATTTTTTACTGTTAGAAATAATGCTATAACATTATTTACAATGTATGTTCTGTAGCCATGTCCTTAAACACAGGTGTTCCACTCTCTGTGATCATCGCGTCTCTCAGACCTGCTCCTCACCTGGCCTAGGCTCTGCTCTGGGGTCACCCTTCCTCAGCATGGCAACTTGGCTCTTGAAGACCAAGTTGCACTTGAAGACCAGGTCTTACTCACCAGAATTCTCCCTGGATCATCCTTGTCAGGGATTCCTACCCCACCTTGCCACCCACACCCGGCCCCTCCTAAAGGGAATGTTCTTTGGCAGGAACGAAGGGCATATGTTAGGTCATACGGTGAGGAGACTTCATGTGAGTGCTCAATATTAACTGGAACTCAGAGGAGGCTTGGTTCCCAGTGGGAAGGAGAAATGGGAGAGTTTTCTTGGCGAAGGGACAGCAAGAGCCAGCATAGGCAAAGGAACGTGGTAGTGTCAGGAGAGGACCACGTAAAGAGCTGGCCAGCAGATGGAAGCTGAGTGCTGCTGGAGAGTAGGAGGCTGGATTAGTAACGTGATGTGAACTGAGGAAGTTAAAGGTTTGTGTCCTCCATCAGATTACTGCATTTCAGCTTTGTAGAAGGAAGTGGCAGGTTGGGCAGTGCCAGTGGCAGGGATGATGGTGGCCTGGAGACCCTTGAGGGGCAGAAACAGTGGCTTACTCCTGTGCTTCTGTGGTCTGTTTCCTCACTTTGCCCCATCCATCAAGTGTTGAGGCTCGGTGGAGTTGAGCTTCCTTTTCCCTCCATCACTCACATCCCACTTCCCATCACCTGCTTCCAAGCAAGAGAACTCCAGGTTACTGGCCTCCGGCAGCAGTCCAGCTGTTACCAGTAAACTGGAAGCTGACGTCACTAACAAGCATTCAGGGAGCACCAAGAAGCAGACCAGAGGTCTCCTAAGCTTGACTCCTCTTCGGCATGAGACTAAGGAAGCTCCCCAAGTTCCAGTCAGAGGTACGGGAGACCAGCTTTGTGTGTGTGTGTGTGTGTGTGTGTGTGTGTGTGTGTGTGTGTGTGTGTGTGTGTGTGAGAGAGAGAGACAGGGGAAGGTAGGTGGAGTTAGGGAGCTCTTTCAGCTTGGCTGGCCTTTGTGATTTCAAGTAAGCCTCTGCTGGAAGAAACAGGTTTGTTGTTACTGAAAGAACAAGTTTGGGTCCCAAGTTTCCTTTTGCCTTATTTGACAGCTCATAAAACTCAGCAGCAAATCTGAACTTCCAGCTCCATGGCTTGGAGGAAGAAGCCTAGGAATAGTTATCAACTCCTTCCCCTGTCCTTGGCTTGACCTCCCTCCCTCCCTCCTTCTCACCACACCAGTTGGAAATCATGAAGACAATCTGTTCCCAAGAGCAAGGCTGGAGGGCGGAAGGCTGGCTGGGCTGATGGGACCAACGCTTGTCAGAAATGAACAGGCTCATGCGACAGTGAAGACAGAGCAGAGGGAAACAGCTTTTGGCTTCATGCTTTGACAAAGTGCCCTGAGACCGTTTGTCCATGTGTGTGCGTATTTCTGTTCGGTAAATCCTGGAAGGCCAGTGCAGTGGGAGAATCCATATGTTTTCAGCCTCTAAAACATGCCAGGTAGTTATAGTTGACAGTGGGGTATGTGAGAAACTATATGGTACTGGCCTCATTCTTCATGCTGCCACTCTGGCCTTTGACCTTGGAGTGGGGAATTCCTTAAATTCACACATCCCTGAGCCCCTTTGTGGGTGACCCAGGCCCTGGCATACACTGTACAATTAACAAATGTCAGCTGAATGAGTAGAATGAATAAACAAAAAAGAGTCATTGTGTAACAGAAGGTTGTTCATTAAGCACTTCCTGTGGGATCTCCTCAAGTCAAACTCATGAGAAAATGATTGTTTTTAGTAGGCTCCGGAAGGTTAAATGACTTGTCCAAGGTCTCATAGACAGGACTGTGTGTGTGCACATGGTGTGTGTGTGCGCGTCTGTGTGTGGTGGGGATTGAGCAGGAGAGAAGGCTCATGGCGTTATTTTATGCATTGCCCATTCTTGCACCTTCATCAGGTCTGAATTTGTGAATTTGCTGAGGCTGATAGGACAGTGTGGGCTGTCCCTGAAAGTTGGAGGAGGTGACAACAAGGTTGGGGGCCTTCCATATGGGTGCCTGCTGTACCACATATCCAGTAAAAACAGAACATTTACGAATGGTAAGAGAAGCCCTTATGTACACGAAATAGGGAAGGCAAAAAGAGAGGAGGGACAAGGACACTAACAGGGTCTTTTGCAGATATTTACAATGGCCTCCTCCATGAGAAAGGAAAGAAGAAAGACATAAAAGAGAACAAAGCCAGGCCAACTCTTAAAAATTATTTAATAGAAAGTCCAATGTCAAAATGTAACAATAAACAAAAATACACATGTATAAATATGTATATATAATTAGACCTGTACACTTTCTCAGACCCTTTTCAAAATGGAATAGAATCATCATTACATCTTGGTGGTCAAATCAAAAATAATATTCAAGCGACATGGGCCCACTGCTACGTGGGGGGTAGTACTGCTGGAGCACTTCGAGGGTTCAAAGAATTCCAATCAGGAGAGAGCTGGGGATATTGCCAGTGTCCTTTTCTGGAGACCCAGAGAGGGAAGATGAACAATCAATCGCATGGCTCTGTCCAGTGTACCTGACTTTTGCTTAGCACCTGTAGCCACTACTGTCTAGGGACAGCTCTCCTTTAGGGTTTTGAATTATTTACATTTATGTTGTTTGTGAGTGAGTTTTCTTTCCTCATCTCCCAGATTTGAAGTTCCTGGGGATTCTGCCTTAGGACTTTCTTATTCTGCAGGCCAAATGTCGCACAGTGGTTTGGGATGCTATTTAGGCGTGCTGATTTGCACTAAAGCAAGGGTGTTCAAAGTGGGGTGTGCACATACCAGGAGGTGCCCAAGGTCCCCCTCAGGAGTTCAGAGAGAAAATGCCAGAACCTCTGTTTATAATATTTTGTGTCTTATTCATTTAAAGTTTCTATGCTGTATACTTTTTATAATGTGCCTAATATAGTAGTACAAAAGTAAAGGGATATATGCTTTAAATAAATTAATAAACACACAGAGAGAGTGCATCTCACGAAGTTTTTGCTGACAGGCATGTGTAATTGAAACAGATGGGGGCCCACTGCTTTGGAGAATTCATGTGCAGGCAGAGTGGTTAGGGAGGCCACCCTTCCGGGCTCCCACACTCACCTGAGGAAGCCTCTGCAGGTGTTCAGAAGAGCAATGCCCCAAGATACCTCCCAGACCTGATTGAGAGGTGATGCCTCGTAATCTTGATGCTAGATTTTCCTTGAATATAAGGCCATGTTCCTAAATAAAATGCAAATACCCTTGGGAAGGGCAAATATGTAGCCATTAACAACTGGCATGGAGGCATTTTGATCCCTTCCTGGCAATGAGGTGGAGGTGAGTGGGAAGTGGGCCAGGGCAGAAAATGGGGAGAGGTAAACTTGGCTTATATTCCATGAACAAGCCTAAGGCAAACTTGGCTTATATTCCATGAACACATGGCCCTAAGGGGACCTGCCAGGGGCTCTAGTTTTTAAATGGGTGAATATGAGGCCAAATGTTTGTTGGTTTCCAGCATCAGGATTACCGCTGGACAAATTCTAATCTAAACACCTGGGCCTGCGGAATATCCGAGTGGGCATCGCTAGCCTCAGAATTACAAATTCCTCAGTGAAGAGCAAGAGGAAGATCTGGAAAAAGTGGGTGTTTGAGCTAACATCTTTCCAAGGGTCCAGAAAGCTGGCGTTGCTGTTGAGTATGCCAGGAGGGCAGGGGTGGGTGTTTTGCAAAAAAGGTCAGCCCCAAGGTGCAGCAAGGCCCAGTGCCCCTTAGCTAGGAAAATTGCCTTCAGCACCAACGCCTCCAGCCTCTCAGGGGAACTGTCTTCTGTTTGAGCTTTTTCTTGAGTTTCTGGAAACAGTGTTGGCTTATAGCTGGTATTCTGATGCATCTAATTCTTTTCCTTTCTCCTAAACATTTTTCTAATTATTTTTCTGGGGGTGGGGAGGGGAGAAAAAAACCCAATGCTCTGAACTCCGAGGTTATTTGGAAAACCTAAAAGGCACTGCAAGTTGTCTCCATAGAGAGATTCTGCTTGTCTCTGAGCCTTCCCTGACTCATACCTGCAGAGCTCCCAGCTCTGGCAGCCTCCAGGTACCCACGAGGTCTTCCCTCCACAGCTGTCTAGGCCTATGGGTATTTTCCACTTGCATACAATTTGTCTGTGCTTTTTAAAAATCTCCTTTCTTTGGCAGGACTCGGGTGTGTATTTGGGACCCAGCAGAGGCTTGGCCACCAGGTGTATGTGACCTAATCCAGGGGAAGGCTGTCCAAGAGAGCTGCCTTTAGTTAGGATCACACACTAGACAGGGAAGCCCTCTGCTGCTTCCCGTATATTTATTTTAGGGTGCATTCTCATCCCTGGGTCTAGGCCAGCCTGGTCCCAAACGGTATTTTTCGCCTTAGTGGCTCTAAAGAAGGTCATGCTGACCCAGAGCTGTCCCCTTTGTCTCCAAACCAGATCCGGCCCAGGTTAAAGTCCTTGAATTCAAATAGCTTTTGGCAGAGGAAGAGGAGTTGGGGCTGGGTAAGGGACAGAGGACACCCTGGGATGAATCATCTCAGCAAGCACCCCTGCACTGCCGCAGTGAGCAGGGAAACCCCGGCCCTGATTGTGACCACACCTTACCTGTCTGGAGGACCTCAGCAGTGGGCTGCAGAGGACACAGCACCACCTAAAGCTCTTATTTATGCTCCCTGAATCCCCAGCAAAGCCCCGGGAACCCTCTGTGGCTAGCCTGGCTCACTGCCCCGTCCACGTCCCTTGCTCTTCTCTCTCCCTCTACAAGTCCAAGCTCCAGCCTCTGTACTGCAGGCTGGCCCTGGACAGTCCACACTGGCCCTCCTTTGGGCTGAGTCCTGTGCTATCCTCTCAGCCTGAAAGTCCTTTAGTAACACTCTCCCTCAGTCCTCTGACACATCCGGGCTTTGATGTCACCTCTTTCAGGAAGCCCCTGATTGCCAAAACTGGGCTGGCTGCCACGGTGAGATGCTCCCACAGCACTCAGGACTTTCCCCTGTAGGGTACTTCCATGCTGCCTCCCTCGTTATGGCTAGGTTCCTTGAAGGTGGATTTAGTTCAGTTGTGCTTTGCTGGCAATTAGCGCAGTGCCTGGAGTGTACCAGGGGCTCCAGAAATAAATGAGTTCAATGAATGAATCATCAAGACTGGAAAGGCAATGCTAAAAATGCTATACCTGGGTCAACCTAGATGAAGGGACCCCAACTCCACACACTGGGGTTAGAGCATCCCAGTGGAGCTGCTGAAATGCCAGTCAAGTCCACATGGATGAGGGGGACAGTGTGTGACACATGTGGTGGCTGTATGTGGCTGGACCAGGCACACGCCGTTAGGGATGTGTCTATTATGTGTGTAAGGCCAGGAAAGGATGTCAGCCACAACACCCCGGCTAGCAGCCCAGACGAGTCAAGCAGATGTAGTAGGGCATCCAGGCACAGATGGGGCACAAAGCAAGACGAGTAGCAGACCTCGATTCTCCCATGTGAGTCGAACTCAAACTTTCTCAAGAGTGATGGCTGGTTTTTCCTGTTTCGGTATCCCTATAGTTATACTATTACTTTCCTAGACACTATCTTGGAGATTACAGAAAGGCAAAATACAGCTCTTTCTTGAAGTATTGCAATGATAGAGTAAATTTCCTTTCTCCACGTATCTCTCTGTATATGTATGTATGCGCGTGTATGTGTATGTGTGTTAAGAAAATAGATCCGAATCTAAAGTTCTAATAAGGCAGCTGCCTGGATCTATTCCAGGAAAAGAGTAATTTTATGAATTTGCATCTTGGTTTGAATGGAAAAACTGGCTTGAAATCTATTGCAAAACTTTCTTTGCTTGCTTGCCTGTCAAGAGAGAACAGTCCTTGAAGGTCTAGACTGAAATGCCAGGACACAGGGGCTATTCTCTCCCTTTAGAGTCAATGCCAAGAGGTCCCCCTAAGGCTGTAGAATTATTTTCAACTCTAGAGACCCTAAGGGACCTCTGCCTAAGTTTATGGTGTTCTTTATACTGCCTCTAAGTCTTACTCAATCAAATTCAAAGCCTTGGGCTAAAAATGGAAGCAAAGAAGGGCGAAATCAGGGTAGAGAGGGCAGACACTATCAGAATGAAGCCTTCAGTTTAGAGGTGAATCTTCCCGAAATACAGCAATTTCTGTGGTTCCCAAGTTGTAAGGGCCATTTCCCACATCATCTTGAAGGGACATGACAGCTGCCAGGTTAGAAAGAAGCAGGATCTTGGGGGCCAGATTTCAAAGGAAAACTGGATATGACAGCCCCTTTACACAAGGACATTGTTTTGGTTCCTTCGAGCAAAGTAAGTAAAGGTGGGAGCGGGTCCCGTCTAGGCAGCACCTTTAACAGTTGCTATGGAGACATGAGTCATCTTTAGAGGATGTGATTCAAGAAGCAAGAAGAGGAACTCTGAGGAGTTCTTGGGCTCTTCCGACCTTGGAACAAGTTATTTAAATGTCTATCCAAGTCATTACATGACTATCTAAAACATGTAAGGTCTCGAAAGAGATTTGCATCTAGTTTCAGTGCTTAAATGGACCTGGAAGATGCAGATCCCCAGTCCAAAGATGAAAAAGAGACATCAAACCCTAGCCCACAAGAAAGGATTTCAATGCAAGTCAGTGGTCCAGGCATTGCCTTTCCTCCATGCTTGGAGATCGGATTGTCCCAGACCCCCATGAAGGTCAAGACTTTTAACCTTAAAAAGATACAGTTTGTGATGAAACAACAAGACTTGGGAACCCAGGAAAGAAATCACAGCACTCGAAAGCCTGTTCTGGTTGCATCTGGTATCTAACTGCAGAAATACCAGGTTCCTTTTCCAGATGCTAGAAGGATTCCAAGGAGAGAAACGTGTGCCTAAATTCCCAAAGCCTTTTCCTCAGGGCACTGAAGTCCTACTGTTAGCCAGTGGCCTCCCCTGGTGTGTGTGCAGCTCAGATAGGGGAGGCCAAATAAAACACTCCCCATGAGGAAACCAAGCTGGTGAGAAGCCAGAGAGAGATTCTGGAAGGCAGATGCCCCCAGGGGTTGTTTTCACAGTGTTGCGAAGGGCATAGTCATAATAAAAAGAATTTGAAAAATACTTGAATGACATCTTTCCTTCTTTCAACATGGGCATTTATGTTGGATAGATGCATTCCACACTTAAGATCTATTATTTAGAACACGGGGGTAATAGATCTACTTCACAGGATTATCATGAGGATGACACAAAACAATTATAAAATGCCTAGCACAGTATCTGGCACAGAGTGAGTATAAATGACAAATATTAGCTCCTTTTTCCTCTTCTCCCAAGATTAGATTCCAGATAAGGTACAAGAGTCTCCTGAAAAACATGGCATAGCTTGTGAGTCCTAAGGTTTGTCCCAGAGGTATTCACTCATAAGCCTCATCTTTACCATAGTTTTTTGACCCCTTTCTAGAGACATACAAAAAGGTGACTGCCAAAGTCAAGGATACTATTCCCCCCTTGGAAAAATACATCCATTCATTGGCAAAAGGCAATTCATAGACCTCGTTCATGAAATTCCAAAAGGTTTATTGCAGGCACATGTGAGTGTGACAGCCGACTGCCTAACCCAGCCCCTCACAGGCACACTGGAGTCCAGGCATCCACCCATGACACCATGAGGCCAAAGTTCCTGCTTCGAGCCACCTTTTTATTATGCCCCTAAATACACATTCCCTCCCCACCAATCATGCCTTATTATTTTTTTTGGTTGGGGTTTTAAACAAGAAAAAGTCCAATCTCTGAGAGGTACGAAGACATAAAGCTCTGAGAATGCCTTCCAGCAGGGAAGTGTGGAAGGCAGATCTTATGTAAAATTATAGTGTGCAATCTAATATCCTTTTTCTTTAGGGGAGGCAGGAAGGAGAGAACTTTAGATACCAATTATTTTGCCTTTCATAAAGAACGTGTCAGAGTCCCGAAGTCTAAGATTCCAACTCAGTATTTTCTTGGATTAAGAATTTGAAAATATTTCTTCCTTTAAAACTCAACATGTTTAACAATGTTTCTTTTCTATGACTAGTAGAGATAGAACAATCTTAAATTCTTGCCCAGTGTCAAAGCAGGACTTGTAATCCACATGCCAACCTGCTTCACAGGCTATGAGGTAAAGTTTGTAAGAGGTATCATCTCTGTTTTTTAGCAGGCTTATGGAAGAGTCTTGCCCTAACAGAAAAACAGGGATGAGGCTGGGAAGAGGATAAAGTTATAGCAGGATAAAGTTATAAGAAGATAACAAAGCAGGATGACATCACATGGGACCAAGAAGGGGGCTGCATCATCCCTGGACCTGCTCCTGGGGGCTGTCGGATTGTGGGCGTGGCCGCTTTGGATGCCCAGGTGAGCCCTGACACAGAGGTGCTTCCTCACATTACAGTGAGGAGAGGATGGGGCCAGTACAAAGACTGAAGAACCAGCACTCCTCCTGGGTCCGTCTTTGCTAAGTTGAGTCATCCCAGCCCAGGCTCAGATGATGGGCACTGTGGACGGAGAGAGACCTGTCTTCCAGCAGGCTTCTGTGTGCGTGGCTGCTGCAGTTTCTGAGGGCTGACCCAGTTTTCTCATCTCTGGACTTTATACCTTCTTTGTCCCTAAATAGACCACAACACCACTCTGTGTTCTCTGCAAGCCTGGGGCTAGGAAGCATCGCTGAGGTAAAGGCCTTTTTTAAGGTTCTCTGCCAATAACAAACACGTCTTCAATTATGAGAGCAGTACTCCATGATCCTGAATCTCTGCCAACCAAAAGAAAGCTGTGCACACACTGCTGAACTTTTACAACTCTACAACTCAGAGGACATAAGGCATGTGTAAGCCAGCTGTAAATCTCGTTGACAGTCTTGCCCCACCCACTGGCCACTAGGCAGCTGGATTTCCAATTTCACCCCGGACACGGCCAGCCTATCAACCCTCTCTGCTTAATGCTCTCAGTTCATTTCTCATCATTTTTCTACCTCCACTCACCAGGCCACTTACCCTCCCTTCCTCCTTCCAGCTTCCTGAGCCCTACAGAGATAACAACTAGCAGAGTGCACCAGCACGTACATTGGATTATCCTTTTCATTGTGTCTGAGCCAATCTGCTTAATGTTCAGATACACGTGGGGAAAAAAAGGCAAAATATTTTTGTTTTAGATCCTTTCAGAAGGCACAAAAAAATAAAGTACAAACACGAATCACTTGACAATTTTATGATTAAAACCAACAAATGGAAAACAGACAGTGTTGGGTGTTGCTGACATAATCAAGCATTTCGTGCGGACCCACTCAACCACCCCATTTCTTGGATCTATTTCTGGATGTACCAAATGTGTCTGAAGATGAACTCACTTTCGCACATCAAAGATGTATCCAGTGTTAAACACCGGAGCCAGAACCCAGGTGAAAATCTGCTGGTTCAGGGCAACACCACTTCCGGCTTTATTAAACACTCAAAAGTCAGGTTCCCAAGAAACGCTTGGATCTATGCGCAAGTATAACATGTCAAAACTGTTAAATGTGACCATGAGAAAAATGACATGAGCATGTTTCATCTTTGGGTAGAGGGTGGTGGTTTTCTGGGAAGACACTGTCTGAGACACCGAGTAGAGAAGTCAAATGGAAGACGTTTAGCATGTGCTTAATTCTTGCTTGATAAGAACAAGAAATCCCGGAAAAGGTCACCCACAGAACGGTAAGCAAAGTCCCCAGTGAACAAGTTTGAGGTGGGGCTTAGCAGTTTGTTTACAGTTGTGGAAAACTGTTTTAGTCACTTGGCCAAAAACCATATGAGGGGAGGCAACCTGAAACCCTAGACTACTTGACTCTCCCTGCATTTTTCTGCTAGAAGCAGGATAAAAGGCCTAAAATTTTGGCTGCATCTCTATTTATGTAACAGCCACAGCTGCTCCCCAAAATAGCTGCTGTTGGCCAAAAGAATTACGGGATTTTGTTGCTAATATGTGAATCTATAGTCAATAGCACTCTGCTAAGTTTCCTTCCCTTCCCTTTTGCCGTCCCAGGTCTAAAAGGAGATAGGGAATCTCATTATTTGCACATCAATGGTGCCATCAGTTGGATGTGGATAGATTTTAAAATCGAGGCTCATCTTTTCGGCAAGAGCAAATTGACATAGAACATCTTAACTCTCCACCTTCTGCAGGCGGCAGTGTGGCTAATATTGAGGCCCTTCAAAGTCACAACTCCAAAAGAGAGGAACATACAGTGCTCCTGTGATTTTGTGGGACAAACCCAGACCCGGACTGCTGGCGTGGCATTTAATAGGATGCCCTCCCCTGAAAGTAACAAAGAGAACCCTCGTCAAAGCTATCAAACACATTAAAAAAATACAAAAGTTATTTTCTCCTTTTGATTGCTATTTACTTGTGACAATATTTGTTAAAAATATCACTTCTGTCTTTGAGAAGAGATCATTCTCTTCATATAGTATGGAAAAATAAACTCTGCTGAACACTCAGTCAACATTCCCCACCACTGCCAGGGGCTTTTGGCTTTCACATCTCCAAATACCATCATCAGCATAAAAGTATTATGTTTTTGAGTAGGCAAACACTTTTGCTATGTCTAGTGTGCTGGAAGTAAGAGAAAAAGGAAGTGGCAAGGCTCATGTAGCATTTTGAAGGGGGAGAGTTACAAAATAGGATGGTTTATTTGCTAACAAAATGAAAGGTAACAAGGTGGTTTCAGGCCTTCCTAAAAAGTCATAGGATGTCCCCTCACCTCTTAGACCACTTTCAGCCTTGCTAATGCTTGGTAGATTCTTAATGGAAGGGTAGGGAGCCCTATAGGCTAATTATCAGTGTCAATGCAAAGGAGGGCTCAACTTCTGCACCCAGGATCATCTTAAAACACTGAGCTGGATGAATGGGAGAAGACAAGGATCCATAAAAACAGTAAAATGTTTATTTTCTTAGAAAAAAAAGTGAGGAAGAGGGATTCAAAATGATTGTGATCACACTTCCATCTGCATCTGAGCAAAGCCAATGTTGCAAGCTTAATTCTTGATTAAGATACCTATTAAATCAAACAACCTGCCACTCACTCCTACGTCACTTCCAGGAGTCACATCACAGCATGCTTTTAATTGATAATAGCTTCTCTACTTCTTCTGAGCAGAGAAACAAGGCTTGGCATAGCAACCATCCCATCTCCAAAGCTCAACACTGCCAGTGAGAAGCAAGGCTCAGTCCATCTCTAGACTGCGTGCGAGAGATGGGGAGGAAGGAGAGAGGGCAGGAGATGCTTGTCTTAGAAGCAGAACCAGTTTAGAAGAGAAGTTTGTTATCTGAGTTCACCACTACCTCATCTTATAGAAAATAGGTTGGAGAGCATCTGTAAAACCAACAGTATCTTTAAGGTGAAATTGCAGAATTTTGCTGCATACCTGGACACAAGAGAAGTGAAAAGTTGCAACAAGTTTTAACTAGCAGCAACAAAGAAAGTTCGATAACAGTTTTTTTTGTTTGTTTTTAGCAATATTCCTTTGCAAGTTCATTAAGAAACACTGTAATTTAATGGGGCGTACAATATGGAACGATCTTCTTTTGCTATAGTGCTGTTCGCTGAATAGAACCGACCTTTGCAAAGATTTCAACTGGGGTGTAACCTATTTACACAGTAGTAGCTCCTGGTTTGAGTGGTAAAATTGGTGCTATGTGATATCCTCTTCTTCCGAACAGTAATCCCGACCCTTGGAGGGAAAAAGAAAAAAGAGCATGTGAATGAGAAATTCAAAGCAGAGCCTGAAATAGTTACTTGTAATCAATTTTCTCTCAATATATGTCTCCTTGCAACAGAATCCAGGCTTTGTCAGTGATAGCTGGCACAGGGGTAGCTACGTCATAAATACATGTTAGCCAATTTATAAGCTATATATACTTCAAGGCATGACAGTTTTACCAAGCCCCAAATAAGCCCTTACTTTATGTTGGTAAGAATTTATATTATAACAGCCATATTCAAGAGTCAGCCTTTCACTAAGAAATTACCAAATGGCCAATCCATTCAGGAGATCAATTTCTTATCAGGAAGAATGAACAAGCCACATTCTACAGCTACATCCCCGTGCCTGAAAATCAACATTCTACAGACAGCATACAATCCAGGGATGTCTGAGTTTAATTCACTCTAAAACGGATTACAAAAAACAACAAACAAGAATCCTTAAACACGCATAACAGGTCTGTGCTTGGTATGTGTGGGATGCACAAGAAAGGCAAAGATGCTTCTGATTCATTTGCTAACTAAAACAGGTTATCTGAAGCTCTAAGGACTATGTACAATGGTTATTTGTGAACATATTTTATCCTCTCTCCTCTAGGTCATAAACTCAATGAAGACATGATTGGGGCTGGGCTTTAAGGATCCACATTTAACCGAGCTGGCTTGTCTTGGTCAAAACACATGACTCTCTTGGTCTGTAACCCATCACAGGGCACCTGCCCTGCCTGTGTCCGATGTCATAGATAAGGGTTTTGTAAAAAGTCAGGTGTTATTATTATTTGTTTCCTTCAACTTTTTCTTTTTCTTTTAAAATACACACTACATGTTTCATTTTTCTTGGGGGGGGGGAATGTTCTTTTAAAAGCAGAACTTATTTCTAAAAGTACCAATACTTAACGATACTAATAATAATTTTGCATATAACTATTTCTCAGATGTATTACATGTTTTTTGGTCACATTATCTATATAACAGAAATATTTTACATTTTCCTAATATTTAAGCATTATCAAAATGGATTATTTTGTGCCACGTGGCTGGGTGCTAATCTTGACTCTGTGACTTCCTAGCTCTGGGATCCTGGTAAAATTACCTCTCTGTGTCTCAGTTTCTTCATCTGTAAAATGAAGAGAACAATAGTACCTATTTCACAGAATAGTTGAAGATTAAATGAGTTAATAGTAATAAAGTGATTAAATCATTTCTGGCACATACTTTTACACATGATGTATATGTGCCCATGCCCGTGTGTGTTTGGCAAATTACAAAATACTGCTGGCTGGACACGGTGGCTCACGCCTGTAATCCCGCACTTTGGGAGGCCGAGGCAGGTGGATCACCTGAGGTCAGGAATTTGAGGCCAGCCTGACCAACATGGTGAAACCCCATCTCTACTAAAAACACAAAAACTAGCTGGGCGTGGTGGCGGGCACCTGTAGTCCCAGCTATTTGGGAGGCTAAGGCAGGAGAATCGCTTGAACCTGGGAGGCAGAGATTGCAGTGAGCCAAGATCGCACCATTGCACTGCAGCCTGGGTGACAGAGTGAGACTCTATCTCAAAAAAAAAAAAAAAAAAAAAAACAACAACAACAAACTGCCACACAATGAAGTCTTCAGGCCTGTGGAAGCAGGTGGGGCTGCTCACTCCCATGCCAACTGGCCCCAGATTGCTTGCTCCCTTAGAATGGGATTCACCCCTTAGCATGTTTTGGTTTCCTCCATCATCAGATTGCTAACTCCCACCCCTACCGCTTGCAGAGTGTCTGAGTCCAGTGTCATCTCTAGGCTTGTTTTACTTGCTGCACAAAACCTCTCCTGAGCAGAGAAGCTGGGTAACCAGTCTTCCTGACATAAGGAGTGTGTACTTGCCAGTCATCCCATGGGCAGCCTCCCTGGTGACACTGCCCAAGCAGATGCCATCCCTAGCCTTGGCCCAGAACACTCAGGAGACATGCTCTGAGTCACACACTGGAGAGCTAGAAAGAACTTAAAGGTGCCTGGCCACTGGGGATTTATTTTTTAATCTGGGGAACAAGACACATACAAATGTATCCACACAATGCCATAAATATCAGATGATGCTCTCCACAGATCCCCAACTCACGAGGCTCTGAGAGGTAACTTACAAATGGACCCAAGTATTCAGGTGGAGAGGAAAGGTAGGGCTCATGGAGTTTTCCTGAAGGTTTTATTAGGAAAGGAAAGTGGACATCTCCAGTGTATATATGTACATATACACTGTTGTTTGACAGCGCACAAATTGCTGGGCTTTGGTTTCCTGGGGATAATCACGGTCTCCATCCCATAGGGTTATGGTCAGGATTAAATGGAAAAAAATATAGTGTCTGGCAAGTAGTCAATAAATGTTAGCTAATGCTACTATTACTACTACTGCTACTATTATTGTAATTGTTGTTATTATAAACTCTGTGTTTGTTCAGTCCCCCTGGCAGGGGAATAGGGACCTCCTCCCTTAGTGGCTGTCAGGTGAGTAAGGACTATGACCATAAGCTGTCATCTGATAGGTGTCAGGGAACTCTTCCTCCCACCTCAGCCTTGCACTCCAGACAGGCCAGAAACCGATGTACATGAATAAAACTTCTACGGCAGAAACCGAAGTCCCTCTACTACCTGTGACTAAATGAGGCCTCAAATCAAAGCAAAGTCTCAGCCAGCCAATGTGGAGTTTAGAGGGTGCTTCATCCATGAGGAAGAACGTGGAAGGAATGGCAGACAGATACACACACACACACACACACGTGCACACAACACACATACACACGTGTGCACACACAAGCACACACACGTGCACACATGCACACACATGCATACATGAAAGGTGGTGTTCTCATTGTCTTCAATTTGGTAAATGAGTTTCTGGGTTATGTAGTAGAAGGACCATTTCAAACCACAGTAAAGGCTCCCCAACCCCACCTTTTGAGGGACAAATACAATATAAACCTTCTTTGTAAACACAGGACTCTGCAACTTTCATTTCCCAAGCATTGGCTACTCTGAAATTATTATCATTACTAAACAAAGGAGCAAGAAAACAGCATTAGCTGCTTTGCAGATATTATTTTACGTACTATTTATATCAGTCCTGCAAGGCAAAGAGTGAAGCCCTAATGCTTGCGGGGGAAGCTCAGAGAAGCGCAAGCCCACAGGGCTGCTCCTTGCCTTTGTTACAACTGCAGTGATTTGGTAACTAAATTCAAATTCAATTCAGCTTCATTTTTATTATCACCTGTTTCAGCAGCACTGAGAAGCAACTTCTTTGGTAACAAACTTTGAAATCAAAACACATTGAAAGTAAGATATGGCCATAAACCATATGGCCATCCAGTGCCGTTCTAAGAAAGGAGACCTGAGAATGGTGATTACCAGAGGCGATTACCTTGTGCAAAGGATAGTAGGCTTGGGGCAAGGATGAAGAGGGGATGGTTAAGAAGGAATACATTCTAGTGTTCAACAGCACAGTAGGGTGACTAGAGTTAGTAGTAATATATTGTATATTTCAAAGTAGTGAGAAGATTTGAAATGTTTCCAACACAAAGAAATGATAACTCTTGGGTATGATACATATACTAAGTACCCTGATTTGACCATTACACACTGTATGCATGTATCAAAATACCACATGTACCCTATAAATACGTACAATTACTATATGCCATTTTAAAAATAAATAAGTAAATAAAAATAAAGGGGATTTGAGAGAATTGTCATTGGAGGGGCCCCATCTCAGCATCACAGGGGACCCCATCTGCACACTGGCCCTACTGGGCAGGACAGGGAGCCTGCTTCTGTAGCATGACTTCATGTCTCATTTAATTTTTAAAGAACTGTGCCAAAAAGAGAACCTGAAGACCTTCAGCTGTCAGAAAGCAGGAAGTGGGAGCCGGGTTTGGGAGATACACAGCAATTCTTCGCAGAAGTATGCCCTTCCCCCTTAAAGGAACCCCAAATGGAAGTCTTTGTCAGGATGCGTTACTCAATTAGAACTGGAGGATCTTAGTCACAATCCCACCCTTGTGCAAAGGACACACTGAAAGCTGCAGAGAGCAAGATCCCTAGGAGGCCCTCGAAAGCTGGGAGAACAGAAACTCCTAGTGATGGTGACAAAGAAGGCTTGTTTGAAAGAACCATGAGTGCCTTCGGGTGCAGACTCAAAAAACCCCAAGGAACCTTTGCCTACCAAAATTTTTCCGACCACACCCTACTCTGTGTAGAGGCTTCCACGTCTTCTTCAGTTATCTGTATTATTATCCTCCTGGAAGTGTAAGTTGATGTCAGTGCAGAACACACATTTCTAAGGTTCTAGTGTAAGGGGTTTTTGTTTGTTGAAGTGTGTCTATAAGAATTAGAAGTACTAAGGAAAGGACATCATCCTAATTTTAAATCCTGCTAGTTTAAAGAGCAACAGCTCAAAGAGTGACTTTAAGAAACTGTTCCTCCAATGTGCCTAACGTACTTTTCCTCCACAGGTTTAAAATAGACAAATAGTCTAGGCCAGGGGTCCCTAGTCCCCAAGCCATGGACCGCTACTGGTCCATGGCCTGTTAGGAATTAGGCCACACAGCATGAAGTGAGCGACAGGCGAGTGAGTGAAGCTGAGCTCTGCCTCCTGTCAGATCAGCGGCAGCATCAGATTCTCATAGGAGCACGAACACTACTGTGAACCGTGCATGTGAGGGATCTAGGTTGTGTGCTCCTTATGAGAATCCAATGCCTGATGATCTGTCAGTGTCTCCCACCATCCCCAGATGGGACCATCTTGTTGCAGGAAAACAAGCTCAAGGCTCCCACTGATTCTACATTATGGTGAATATGTAATAACAGAAATTAAGTGCACAATAAATGTAATGTGCTTGAATCATCCTGAAACCACCCCCACCCCGCCCCACCCAACTCCCCATCCATGGAAAAATTGTCTTCCACAAAACCAGTCCCTGGTGCCAGAAAGGTTGGGGACTGCTGGTCTAGGCCTTGCCATTCAGTGTCAGGTATGATTCATCATATATGTTTTTAGTATGTTTCTATAGACATGTATGCATTCAGCCCAATACACACATCCCTCAGACATGTAACAATCAGTGTGAACTGAGTATTCTCCCACTGGAGTAGACTAGATGAAAGTGACTGAGAGGAAGTGTTGAATCTGTTTCTCCATCTGTAAAATGGGGACAATAAAACCTAACTTGCAGAGTTGTGGGAATTAAGCATATACATGAAAGTGTTTAGCAAAGCTAGGCACATGGTAGGTGCTTAATAAATTATAGCTCTTACAATGATACTGAAAAATGAGACCAACTGGTCCAACAGAAAATAAAACTGTCTAGGTGAGAAATGGGGCCCACATCTCAATCAGTCAGTTCACATTCAGATCCTCAAAGAAGCCAAGTACCAAAGGGCCTCGGTGCTTCTCACTCTGTCCTGGCTGGCTTCTCCTGCTCCCATCTCTTTATTTTTATTTCTTCAGAGAGAGTCTTGCTCTGCCACCCAGGCTGGAGTGCAGTGGCATGATCTCAGCTCACTGCAACCTCCACCTCCCAGGTTCAAGCAATTTTCCTTCCTCAGCCTCCCAAGTAGCTGGGATTTCCCTGTAGTTGCCCTAGGGAGAAACAGTCTCTTCCCTTCTCAGTGGTCCTTCCATCGCACCATCATGTTGTATAGAATTTTAGGCAAAATGTTTGCCTCCCTTACTGAGGGGGAAAACATGTTTCTTGTCCATCTTTGTATTTTGGGTACCTAATGGAGTCCTCGTGTGGCCCATATCCAAGGGTTGTGAACACTCTGGCTTTGGAGGGAAGCAGTGCTGGGGTGTGGGGGTAGCAGGGTGGAGGCTGTTAAATGGTATTACACAGAAAGTGTCCTGGTACTTTAGTAAGGGAAGAAAACCATCAACGTTTTGCACATCATAATGGAAGATGCAGCCTTTTTAAACAACACAACTGATAATAAGTTTTGAGCAAAACTATGCACACAGAATAGGGCATAGGCCCTGTTACATGAATAGCTTGGAACTTAGGAGAGGGGCAACAGGACTGCAAAGAGAGGCAACCAAAGTTGATACTAGAATCCCACTGTCCATTATTCATTATTTGTATTTATTTAAGTACAGTTGTCTCTGCTTATCCATGGGGGATTTGTTCCAAAATCACCAGTGGATGCCTGAAACCTCAGAGAGTACTGAACTCTACATATACTATATTTTTCCTACACATACGTACCTAACTATATAAATTAGGCTCACACCTGTAAGCCCAGCACTTTGGGAGGCCGAGGTGGGTGGATCACTTGAGGTCAAGAGTTCGAGACCAGCCTGACCAACATGGTGAAACCCCATCTCTACTAAAAATACAAAAATTAGCTGGGCGTGGTGGCGTGCGCCTGTAATCCCAGCTACTCGGGAGGCTGAGACTGCAGATCACTTGAACTCAGGAGGTGGAGGTTGCAGTGAGTCAAGATCGTGCCACTGCACACCAGACTGGGTGACAGAGTGAAACTCTGTCTCAAAAGAAAAAAAAAGGAAGGAAAAGGAAAAAGAATTAGGCACAGCAAGAGAGTAACAACAGTAACAACTAATAATAGAACAATTCTAATAATATACTATAATAAAAGTTATGTGAATGTGTTCTCTCTCTCTCAAAATATCTTAGTGTACTATACTCACCCTTCTTCTTGTTGACTCTGGGTAACTGAAACAGTGGATAAAGGGGACTACTAATACCCACATAAATCACATGTGGAATCAGGTCCAGTTCTCTTTCCATAATGTTCAGTGGGCTTTTTTTTGTTTTTTGAGATGGAGCCTGGCTCTGTTGCCCAGGCTGGAGTGCAGTGGCACAATCTTGGCTCACTGCAACCTTCGCCTCCCGAGTAGCATGCACCACCACGCCTGGCTAATTTTTGTATTTTTAGCAGAGACAAGGTTTCATCATGTTGGCCAGGCTAGTCTCAAACTCCTGACCTCAGCTGATCCACCTGCTTTGGCCTCCCAAAGTGCTGGGATTACAGGTGTGAGTCACCACACCCGGCCTCAGCCAGGCATCTTAAACTCTGTCTTTTGCTTTCATCATAAAGTTCTGAGTTAAAGAACCTCATGGGTAGGGCAATGGAGTCAGCAAACAAGTCCGGTCAAGACTCTTGGGTTTGTACAAAGCAAACATGAAGTTTTGTAATAAAGGCTCATGACAGAAGTTCATTTTAATGAGGCTTCTTTCTGTCTGGAAGTGTAAGCTGTTATGCTTGTGATAAAGCAGGCTCTTGTTGGCTTGGTGACTAGCTGAAGGATCACCTGAAGAATTTTTCCTCCGCTCCTTTACCTGTCTGGATGACACTGGGAATCTCTGTTAGTTGCTGGACTGTGCATTATCACTAAACTATATTTCTAATAACACAGTCACTGAGATAATGCCTTTTGTTGAATAATTTCCTCATTCAGTAAGGCTTTTAAAAAATTATAAATTTTTTTATTTCAGTAGCTTTTGGGGTACAAGTGGTTTTTGGTTACATGATAAATGACACAGTGGTGAATTCTGAGATTTTAGTGCACCCATCACCCAAGCAGTGTATATTGTACCAATATGCAGTTTTTTACTCCACATCCTCCTCCCATCCTCTCTGTTCTGAGTCTCCCAAGTCTATTATATCCTGAGTCTCAGTTTCTTGACTTATTGTTATCCTTCCTTGACAGCCTTTATCCTGTACTGTGGGACTTAACTGCTTTCTGAGTGGCAAACAGCATCCTGATTAATGAAGCACAATTGCCCCACCTGCATTCTGGTGCATAAATTTAATAGGCATCTCCCTCCTCTGTCCACCTAACACCCTTTATCCCCTAACCCCTTCCTCCATGTTTTACCATCCAGAGGCAACCTCAGATCCAAGTTTCCATAAGAATCTGTATGTTTCAGCTCTGTCCTTGAACCAGGACTGCAGGAGCAGATAACCACGTTCTGCAGCTTGAGCATCTGTGCACGACTAGCTAGAATCCAGAATACACAGGAAGAGGAGGCTGGAAAAGTGAAAGGAAGGCTATCCCCAGGGGCTGCTGGGCTTAAACCACCGCCTGCAGGGCTGCAGGGCCCTCCTCCTGTAGGAAGCAGGTGCCTTCCATCCCTTTCTCAGGGCTGGATGTGTCAGAGCCTCTTTAATCACAGAGCACTTTTCAGCAGCATTTTCGTTTATAGTCAAACAACAAGTCATAAGAACAGTTTTAAATGCCAAAGACATACTGAAGAAAAGCAAAAAATAATTAGCTGTGCTGTTAAAGTCTCCTCCCCTGGATTACTTCATTAGAAAAATCAATCGAGGCATTAATGGCTTTCTCCGTCTCTAATGAGCTTTATTCTAATTAGACTCACGTGTTATTGTTTCAGCTGGAAAAAGGTCTCGTTTGTAATGAGCAGTGGAGTGTGACAGCCTCTGACTGTTTCTTTGACCATATATAGGAATGATCACCGTGATAATAACAGCAGTGACAACAATCCCCGGATATTGGGCTTTTCATTTCCAAGAGAGAGTAAGTATTAACTAAACAGCTTCGAAACCCCCATGAAGTGTTTATTATACCCGAATCCCCATTTCACCAACAGTAAGGAGGATATTTTAGAAGCCTTTTTTTTTTTTTTTTTGAGTCAGAGTCTCGCTCTGTTGCTCAGGCTGGAGTGCAGTGGGCGATCTCGGCTCACTACAAGCTCCGCCTCCCAGGTTCACGCCATTCTCCTGCCTCAGCCTCCCGAGTACCTGGGACTACAGGCGCCTGCCACCATGCCCATCTAAATTTTTTTGTATTTTTAGTAGAGACAGGATTTCATCGTGTTAGCCAGGATGGTCTCGATCTCTTGACCTCGTGATCCGCCTGCCTCGGCCTCCCAAAGTGCTGGGATTACAGGCGTGAGCCACCGCGCCTGGCCTAGAAGCTTTAAGCCACGTACTTTTCAAGCTTTATCTGAGGCTGGCACTTGGATGACTTCAATGATGTTCTTTCCCCACAAGGAGGTGAGCAGGAGTGAGGATAAAGACATGGAGAGATAATGCAGACGACCACGTTCTCTTGGCCATACTGAACTGATGTCCGAGAGCAGGCCTTGGCAAACTTCCTCTGGGAAGGGCCACAGTAAATATTTTAGGCCTTCCATTCCATATGGTCTCACTGCGCTTCAACTCTGCCATTGTAAGCTTGAAAGCGGCCATAGATAAAAGTAAATGAATGAGTATGGCTGAGTTCCAATAAAACTTTATTTATGGACACTGAAATTTGAATTTCATGCTGTTTTTCACATGTCACAAAATAGTCTTCTTTCATTTTCTCCCAACCATTTAAATGTGTAAAAACCATTTTTGTCTCGCAGGCTGGATGTGGCCTATGGGCCATAGTTTGCCTGCCCTGCCCCAGAGAACAGAATTAACCACCAGTAGCATCAGAGGCTAACACTGTTCAAGGGTTTTGCCCTCTTTAGAGCTCAAACAGCAGGGATAATTTCCACCTTGAGAGACATCTCTCCAGAGCTCTTCTGCAAAAACTGTTCTTATTTTACAAACATGAAAACATTGAAAATCAAAATTAAATGGAAAAATTCATCTCCAACAGCATCTCTTCCCAATCAGTCTTCAAATTTCATTTCAATCTTTGTCCATATGCATGACATTTTTATACCATTTTAATCCTATTATAGACACAGTGTTTTAGTTTGCTTTTTTTCACTTAACGTTATCTTGTAAAATTCTTCCCTGTTGTGACTGATTTCTTCTAATCAGACATATCATAATTTTTTGTGGAATTTTTTTGTGGAAGATTTCCATGCTATTTGTTGGACTTAATTAAAAGGGATGTCTTAGTGTCTTCTCAAGTGTAACAGTTAAGATGCAAATGCTACCACCTTGCCCTCAAGCCAGGAAACCTGGGAAAACCCACTTGGTAGACTGGAGCCTCACACACCTCCCCCAGGATTCACTTCCTTTTGGACAATGGCTTTAGCAAATCTGGCATTTTAATTCATTTGCCTCTTGATGTGCCTTCCAGACAAACTCTTTAGAGCTCTTTGCTCTGAAAGAGCTCTCTGTTCCACATACACCCTAGAATTTATGTTGAACTTGGATGGAGGTTTGGGGAGACTAATCACACATCTCCTTTCATTACAGTTTTTAACCAGGAAATACAGAAAGAGTTAGATGAGGATCAGTTTTCTTGCTGGATTAGAGAACTTGGTAGGTCCCCATTAGTCCCTTGCCTCACACCTGCTGAGACCCTCTGGATGGTGACTGACTCATCCAGTCACATGTGGAGAAAGAAGAGGTTGGGTTTGCCCCTTCACTGTTCCATGGGCTGGGCCTCTGGAGAGGGAGAGGTGAGGGACATACTTTAAGTTGGTTCCTTTCTTTCCTCTCCACAAAGGGGGGTGACACTGTTTGAGGGACCACAGGGCTCACCTTCCCTTCCTTTCTCTTTGCTTTCAGAATAGGAAGCACATGCATTTGGCCAGGAAGAAGACTTCAGCTATTGATGGGAGGGCCCTCTTTCTAGAAGGCAGAGAACAATGGACTAGCCAGACAGGAAGGAGAGAGGCCCAGAGCGCAGTAAGGAGTGGGCATCTGGGACCCAGGGTTGGGAAGAACACTTCTGTTTGGCTTCCTTCCTCTTCTAGGGCATGGCTAAGGTGGCCAACCTGCATGCACCCCAGAAGAGGAAGATAAGTAGGCCCATGGGACTTTATTATGGAGCCTGAGGCTTTCACTGGCCTGATTAATCCATTTTCTGGGAATGAGCACTTTGGGAGGATAACAATCAAAGGATCCCCAGAGGACACGTGACAGGCTGGGGCCATCAGAACTACTGATCCGTGGGTACTATCCGGCTTACTGAATTATGAAACACAGGTTAAATTAAGGGTTGTCACACATTTGGCTAATTGGCCAATAAGAACAGCAATTAATAGAGGTCAGGCAATTCAACTGCATCTGTGGCCATGACTATCAGAGCCCTTGGAAACAGCAGTGATTTCAAGTGAAATCTAAATCAGCAGTGTTTCAGGTGACCTAGAGCAGGGCCCACGGCCCATAGCCCATATGTTAGCACTTCCTGAAGGTTTTCTTCCACCCAAATCCACATGTTGGGACCCAGGGGAAGGTGTAGCAAAGCCAGTGACCACTGTGTAATCTTTGTTTTTTCTATTTGACACTTTGTCAAAAAACACATTCCTGTTTTCATAGACTTCTTTTGATTTTGAGAAATTTAAAAGATACAGAAAAGTATGAAGAATGTAAAGACACTATATTCCCACCACTAGACATAAGAACTAGTAATATTTTGTACCATCTCCTGCTAGCCTCTGCCCTCCTTCTAAGAAATGAAACTACCACCCATTTCTCATTCCCCATCCCCGGGCACAGCAATGTTCATGGGTTTGGTCGGTTTGTATGTTTGGTATCATTTTAGATACTTTGATATTCATCTTATATCGATATAACAAATATACTACACTTTTATGTGTATATGAATATTTAAATATATAACAGATAAAAACACATGCCATTTGTAAATATGCCATGTAAAAACTGATGGTGCTTAATAAATATTTGTTGAATGTCCATCTATAAACAATGTATTTGTGTGTTTTTAATGTACATGGTATCATACAATTTTTATCATTCTGCATAATCCTCTCTTCACTTAATAATTGTATTTGAAATCTATAATTGTGACTCTTTCTCTCTATATATGTATATATATACACACACATATATATGTATATATATACACACACATATATGTGTATATATATACACACACATATATGTATATATATACACACATATATATGTATATATACACACACATATATATGTATGTGTATATACACATGTGTATATATATATCTATATGCTTGGTTTATGTCTCTTAACTGCTGCATAATATTGCACTGTATGAATATGGAGGATTTTAATTATTCATTTCTCCATGGGTGGATACTTAGTTTTCTTCCAGTTTTTTGGCTGTTGAATAAAGAATGCTGCAGTGAACTTTATTGTAGTTTAATTGATGGTTTTTACCGGTTTGCACTAATATTACTTCTTTATATATTATGCCTACAAATCATTTGATGTTTTAAGTGTTATAAATATATTCCAAACTCACTCTAGATCCACACCTGGGAATCATCCGGCCCATTAATAAGGTAGATACTGACCATGATACTCATCCGGCTCCCTGTGCCTGTTTTCAATTTGTAAGAAGCCCAGAAGAGAGGCAGGGTATGATTATGCATCTCTAAGCAAGCCTCCAACAATCAATTTTGTAAATATGAGCTTACAATTTTTTGGTACTCCTTTTTGAATCAACTTAGAAAAATGGAATTGAAGTGAGGGGAGTCTAGAAGTGTCTGCTCCAAGAATGCTTTCTCTAGGAACAGAGCAGAATGTGCCTGCACTTGATAGAATTGTGAAAGAGAGGAATAAAGTGCACCAGAAATAACATAATACTTCAGAATAAATTTTTCAAGCAATGTTCAGAACATAATGTGCCTCATAATTCCTTCCCAGCTGATATAAACGGGAATGTCTCATTCTTTGCTATGGAGGGTGCTGTTTAGTGGGAGATGAAAAGTTGAGGGTAAATTGGATAAGACATTCTCTAAAGTTCCTTCCAATGCAAAATGCTATTCTTCCAGATTTGAGGCTCCCTAAAGACAAGAATCCTATTTTATCATTCCTCATTATGTGCCTCTCATGGCCCTGGCTCATTTCTAGGTCCAGAGAACATGTTCATGTCAAGCTTATTAAATGGATCAAAGAAGTCAGTCTTACAATTTCTATGATTTTGTTTGGAGCCCCTTTCCTAAATTTTTTTTGTTGTTGTTACAAGCATATTTAGGCTGATAGTAATACTTTTTTGTTTTTTAAGAGACAAAGTCTTGCTCTGTCACCCAGGCTGGAGTGCAGTGGCACAATCACAGCTCACTGCCACCTCAAACTCCTGGGCTCAAGTGATCCTCCTGCCTCAGCCTCTCAAGTAACTGGGACTACAGGTGAATGCCACCATACCTGGCTAATTTTTATTTTTATTTTTTGTAGAGACAGGGTCTTGCAATGTTGCCCAGGCTGGTCTCAAACTCCTGGCCTCAAGTGATCTTCCCACCTCAGCCTCTCAAAGTGTTGGGATTACAGGCATGGGCCACTACACCTGGCCAATGAATATCTTTTAAAAGGCTTATAAAAGCCTTTCAAATGAGACACAACAATTAAGAGTAAAACTTCCAAACAGAAAAAAATATATAGGGATTCAGCTGTAGCTGTATCCATGCCACTGACTCACTGACTCATTCTGTAATCACAGCTCGAAAGTTAGCACAGGTTATTTAATGGCTCTGTAAGTGTTCACAAGAATCTAACTCCTGAACATGTTTATTACACCACATAGGAGGGAGGTGGATGAATACACTGGAAACTGTGCGATTCTACTACTCTTTCTACAAGGAGATATTTGTACCGTAGGAAGGCACTTGCTCACGCAGGATCCAAGTTTCTAAGTTCTGCATTTTCAGGTTCGGTTTAGCACCACCCCCAACAAGCCCATCCCAAATCCTTCCTGTATAAATGGCCTTGATGGTACAAACACAGGCGACTTCAACCAAAATGAAGGCTACCAATTACAGAGCACATACAACACAGCAAACACTACTGGAGACTCTGTGTATTTTCTTCAATATCCCAGACCAGTTAGTATTATTTCTCAAATTTTATTGGTGAGAAAACTGAGAATCAGAGAGTTTAACTTAACCTGGGGTCACACAGCTGCTGCCAGAGCCAATCCTTGGCTTTGGCCCAGGTTTGAAGCATGGGCTCTTTCTCTTGCACCATGCTGCCTCCTTCCCTTGGCCTCTATCAATCCAATTATCTGGCACTGTGCTTGCTCTATACCTGCTACGCTGCTCCAAGTAGAGATGTCTACTCTAGGAGTCTTCCAGGTAACATTTCCTGCCTTTGTATGCTTCTGTCTCCATTTGAAGCCCAGTGTTCTTATCTGCACCATTCACTCATTCAACAAGTTTCTTAAGCATCTGTTTTGTCCCAAGCCCTGTGCTAGGTTCTGAGGAAACAAAGACAAATGAGACCCAATTCTTATCCTTAGGGAGCTGTCAGTCTAAAGTGAGTCCTTTTAGATGTTCGTAAATAACAATGCAGTAGTTACCAAGAGTGGGACCCTTCTCTCCCTGCGTGTTCTCTGCAGGGCTGAAGCAACATCCATGACTGCCAAACCTAATGAATGGAAAGGTAATGGGAAGGAAGAGAAAAGGATAGCTGAAGAGAGGGCAAGGAGAAGCTGAATGAGAACTAGTCAAGGGAATGAGACACACCAACATTCCTGTTACTCTCAGTTGTACCTTGGGTTTCTTTCCTTGTCCAAATACTTGCATCCATGGCAAAATGATACCATTCACTGATTGTGCCTCACACTGCTATTGAGTTCAGAGTGTTGTTGGCCACACCTGATGCACAGAAATGGCGTGGTTTTTATTTGGACTCATGACTATGTTGCATTAGAAACTGAACTCTCCTTTTCTTCTTGCTCCCTAAAGAGCCAGGCTGATAGATCCTCAAGAATTTTCTGAAAATCAAGCCCTCCAGAAAAAAGAAAGTGTGTTGCATTTCTTTTCAGCTTGTTGCCTGACTCATTTTCCTTGACAGACTCATCTACTACTGTTAGCTGGATGGGCATGCAGGATCCTAAAGCCCAGAGTATGCACACACTTCACCAGTGGTTCCTACACCAGTGTCATCATCATGACAATTAAGAAGTCATTTGCATAAAACTATGCAGTAGAGATAAAACCAAAACAGACTGAGTCACATCCTTGCCTGTTGTAATTATAGCTCTAATTTGGCTGAAGAATGAGGAAAGGTACACTCAGAGGAGAGAGATGGCAAGGCAAGGTGATGAAGGGAGAGGAGACAAAAACAGACTTGGTTATGAGCAAAGCAACTTGGTTAAAATATGTTTACCATGGAGCAAGAAATTGTTTCATGGAATGACGATGGCAGCCCTGCCCACTGCTAAACTACATATGCCAGCAAGAGTATCTCTCTGCCAGTGCTGAAGGCTTTGGTTGCTACTGAAAGTGACAACCTGCTGGGTGGGAGGAACACACCATGACTTTCTCTGCACACGTGGGGCAGGTCATGTTACATTGTTTAGGTTTTGACGTGACAGTCCCAGGTTTTCTTATCATTGGTGGGCACTAAGCAGGTCTTTACACACACAGTTAAAAAAATAAAACCCATCATCATATCCACCACATCTGCCAAACAATTATATTTGGTTCTGTAACAACTCTGAGGTTTAATAGACTACAGAAATCGTTTACACGTAGAACCCAACATCATAGTTCACAACTATGTGCAAGTCACTCTCTTCACTGGATGAAAAGCAAACGTCTTCTGATCTCTGACACACCGACTCATAACATGGATCAGACTAATCTGATGTACTGTCAGTAGACAATTCTTGAAAAAAATTTACGAATGCAGATTTACCATGACCTTTTTCACCAACCACGTTAGTTCTGAGGCCATGGAAATAATGCCACTTCAAGAACTCCAACATTTTGTAAGTGTAAATGACTGTTCAATAGATGTAGAGGTCTACAGACAAACAAATATCTTTTATTTATTTTTATTTACTTTTTTGACACGGAGTCTTGCTCTGTCGCCCAGGCTGGAGGGCAGTGGCGTGGTCTCTGCTCAACTGTAACCTCCACTTCCCAGGTCCAAGCGATTCTCATGCCTCAGCCTCCCGAGTAGCTGGGATTATAGGCGTGCACTATCAGGCCTGGCTAATTTTTGTATTTTTAGTATAGACAGGGTTTCACCATGTTGGCTAGGCTGGCCTTGAACTCCTGACCTCAGGTGATCCACCAGCCTCGGCCTCCCAAAGTGTTGGGATTATAGGCGTGAGCCACTGCACCCAGCCAAACAAACATCTTTTAAAATCAGCTGATTTAAGTCCACATACTGCTCTTTCTCAGAGTTTTTCTGAAATGTCACATTGAATAATGTCAATCAACAGAGCCAGAATCTCAAGATCACACAGGAATATGTGAGATGCACTAGGCATGCTCATGGCTCTCCCTCAGGAGACTGTGAACTATTTTTACAGACAGGAAGGAGGGGATATAAGAAAGGAAGAAGAATGAGTTTGCATGGTGTCATCTGCACTCAATTCCCTAATCCTCTTTAAAGTCACAACTATCTATGGATAGGGTCGCCAGCTAGGCTCATGCATGCTCATGACTGCAGCTGGGCCCTGGATCTGACGGAAGCACACCAGCAAAATACATAAGAAAGAAATCCAAAGTTTCTTTGCCTGGGGCCCATGGCCAGGCTCCATGGAGTCTTAAAACCCAGAAATTATACTTAAAAGTTTTGTGTATATGATTTGTGCATTTTCATAGGGAGAGTCTTTGTAACTTTTGTAAGACTCCAAAAAGATGTACAAGGCCCAACAAAGTTTAAGAAGCCTTTCATCAGAAACAGTAATCAGGTGCAAGTGACATTGTACTAAGATACTCTTTATTTAATATTCAGGATCCTCTTTGAGGAAGCCAAGGACTCCCTGGTCATCAGCTAGGGTCTTACATCTTCATAAAGCAAAATGTAAATCCCTGTTTTGCCTGTAGAAGATACTATTATTGCAGATACCTAAAAAATTTATTTATTTTTTCTGCTTTTTACAAACAAACTGGAATGTATAGTGGAAAGCATATCTTAACATCTGATGTCATCTGTATTTGGTGCTATATTCAGAAACTCCTCCACAGGCTACTTTAATCTAGATACTGTCTTCCCTCTCTAGGTACAGTGAAAAAATGAAGTTTAAAATCACTATTTTGCTCCACAGAAAACTGTCATTTTCTTAAAGCTGCAAAGTTAGGCAAATGCTAACACTTCAAAAAAGATTCTAGGAGCCTGTGAATCATGAGTTACAATAGTAACTATAGATTCCAGTGGAATAACGATGGTTAGATAGCAGAGTAAAAAATAATGAGGTGAACAGAAATTAGGTGGCTCCCACTGGTTCACAGTGTTTTTACTCTCCAAAAGGAAAAGCAAAAGTAAATCAGATTACAAGCTTCTTTGAACTTTCACTGCTCTCCTGACAATCTGTCTCTCTTGGTCATCTCCGGTCGCAGCAGAGTGTTGTGGCCTCCCACCACCAGCATGTGAAATGGTACCAAGTCCCAAATCCCTGGTTAAAGGACCTGAAGTTCCAACCCCTGAACCAGCTTAGAAGGCAAATAGTTGTGTTCCACGGAGGAGAACCTCACTCTCAGTGACAATAGCAGGGTGAGGGTGAGGATGGTGGTGGTGGTGATGGGTGAAGTACTCCTTGATCAGAAAAATAATTAGATTTTTTTAAAATTCACTTTTAAAATTGAACTTGTCAAAGCAATGGACTGTTTACTATTTATTTATATTGTACTCTATAATTCCTATCTAATTTTGTATCCTCAGTAACTAGCATAATGCTTAGTGTAGTATTCAGTAGGTGCTGAATCTTATTTTATTTTATTATTTTTTTTTTTGAGATGGAGTCTTGCTGTGTCACCCAGGCTGGAGTGCAGTGGCAGGATCTCGGCTCACTGCAACTTCCACCTCCCGAGTTCAAGTGATTTTCCTGCCTCAGCCTCCTGAGTAGCTGAGACTACAGGCGTGTGCCACCACGCCCGGCTAATTTTTGTACCTTTAGTAGAGATGAGGTTTCACCACGTTGGCCAGGCTGGTCTTGAACTCCTGACCTCATGATCCGCCCACCTTGGCCTCCCAAAGTGCTGGGATTACAGGTGTGAGCCACCGCGCCTGGCTGAATCATTTTTTTAAATTGCATTTCTGCTACCTGCTTTTTATTGATCACCATAACTTCTTAGAAAACCACTTGTTCAGCTGTGGTGCAAAGGTAAACAGCAGCTCTGCACTGTGACAATCTCTGAATTAGAGTAGTCCAAAATGTGCAAATTAAGTTTTACTATAGATATGAAACCACCTTTCAGTCCTGGTTTCTGTATACTAATGGTGCTTTTACATCTATTTTGAGGGAGATAGAGCAGAAATTTGTTTTTTGGTATCCAATAACAAATTAGGTTAGAAGGTAAATTCAAGCCATGCCCTAAAGACATCCAATAAATGCAAAGGCTGCATCAAGGAAGGGCACATTTACATCTCCATAGGTTTAGTCAGTTTTGCTTCTTATTAATTTAAGGGAGAAAAAAAGAATTACTAGTCACTTCTGGGAGAGATGAAATCTTAAAACTCAAGGTCTCTCAGCATGACTCAAATCTCTCAACATGAAGCTCTAGGTGAGTTTAATCTTCTTTTTGTTTTTAACCAACTCTGTAAAATCTAAATAGATTTGACTTGCATTTATGGTTGTCCTCATGCTAGCCTGGACCAAATAAATATTTAGCAATGGTAAATGACCAGGAAAACAATTTGGAAGAAATTTGGAAGAATCCAGCTTTCAATTTTGGTTATATAAACGATGGCAGACTACATTAAGCAAACACATATATTAAGGAGGAGCATTTTAATTTTTGGAGGCTTAATGTTTAAACGACACATAAGATAGCATATTCAAAATATTTGGAAGGATGAGCTTTAAGAGAGGAGAGGCAGGAAAGCATGGCTCAGAGAGGAGAGAAAATTGCCTGTAAGAATCTACAGCTGGGTACCTGTCATGGCTGATATAGGAGCTCTTCTTCCAATGTAAATGTATTCAATAGTGGAAACAGTGTTTATGTTGAATCTACCAATGCTCTTTTGTCCAGGGAAGCTTCCATCCAACGAATGATCAAGTTATAAACTTTATTTTTGTTTTACTCTACATTCTGGATTACTCTTTATTTTGTTGTACTCTACATTCTGGATGCAAAAGCAAAAGGGGATCTCAGATTTCAGGTGGGAGCAATGAACTTCAATTCTGAGTAAAAAGAGTTAGAATTTCAATTACCAAAACACACTGGGCCAGGCACGGTGGCTCAACGCCCATAATCCCAGCACTTTGGGAGGCTGAGGTGCGTCGATCACCTGATGTCAGGAGTTCGAGACCAGCCTGGCTGACACAGTGAAACCCTGTTTCTACTAAAAATACAAAAATTAGCTGGGCGTGGTGACACACACCTGTGATCCCAGCTACTCAGGAGGCTGAGGCAGGAGAATCACTTGAACCTGGGAGGCAGAGGCCAGAGTGAGCTGAGATTGCACCACTGCACTCCAGCCTGGGTGACAAGTGAGACCTCGTCTCAAAAAAAAGAAAAAAAAAACCCACATTGGATATAGATTATATCATTTTAAGTGTTTGTAAGTGTTGTTTAAAAAGATAACTTAAAATTCAGGTTTCAAGTTTTACCATCTACCCCTAACTACTACGCAAATCTTTTTCTTGCCAAAAAGCTAGTGGGGGGAAGTCCAAATAAAGAAAGGAAGAAAAGATCTTCATCGTTTCAGTGGGAAGAAAATACAGGTTGAGTATTCCTTATCTGAAATGCCTGCGGCCAGAAGTGTTTTGAAGTTCAAACGTTTCCGAATTTTGGAATATCTGTGTTATATATACTTACTGGTTGAACAACCCTAGTCCAGAAATTGAAAATGCTCGAGCATCATGTCTGCACTCAAAAAGTTACAGATTTTGGAGCATTTTGGATTTCGATTTAGGGATACTTAACCTGTATTTCTTTTTATGCTTCTCTTTACTAAAAAAGGTTACTGACAAATTGAACAGCTTTTGAACCAATATGTGAAACTTGGCAACTGTTCCTGGATGAAGTTTCCAACTTAAAAAGTCATTCATAAGCCACAATTCCACTGAAAATAAAAAAAAATTATTATACTTTAACAAGTATTTATTTATTTACATCCAGGGAACATTATAGATTTAACTCTCATTTTAATTCATTATCCATCTCTATTTTTCGCATTGGTGACCTTTGCTGGTCTTTTAATGGTGGCTTAGAAGATGATACAATTATTCTCTCAGAGGGTCCATGTCAAAGTGGGATCTGCTGCTAAATAATACTAATGAATTTAAGACCTTCTTCATTATCTTCTGTTGAGTGATATACATCATAGCTTAGAAATTCATAAATAAATACTAAAATAAAAGGACAACACAAAGTAAAAAACAAATACAAATTAAAACAGAAAGATTTCAAAGGTAAAAATCAGCCTGTCACACCTTAACCATAGTGTGATATGTTCTGAACTTAGAAGTTCACTCTTCTTTAGAATAAAAAAATTATAATACTCGGATTTGTATCTTTACCATTTAAGATTCACCCCTTTGAAGAGATGAATTTAAATTCTGTAAGTATGTAAACTCTTAATTATGACAGATCGACTTTGTATCTTACTGTCAGTATAAATCCCCACACACTACCAGAGAAGCAACTTGGAGACACTGCTTTGGAGTCAGACAGACCTGGGCTGGAATTCCAACTTGTCCACTATTAGCCTTGCAAATCTGGGTAAATTACTCAAGCATTCTGAGCCTGTTTCCTTCTGTAAAATGTAGATAATATCTGTCTCAATGCCATTTTCCTAAGTATAAATTGAATTAGGTATAACATGCTTGCAAAGAACTCAGATCAGTGCCATGCATAGGCCCTCGATAGGTTTCAGCAGGTACTATGGGCCCCCTTGCAGTCGGAGGTTAGTGCAGGGTACTGGGTGCAAAATGACATGCAGTGGTCAGAATGCTCGGTCTAGAAAAAAAGACTGCTTATTGCTTTCCAACTGACTTCACATACTTTAATAGGCAAGGACAGTCCTGGGTCCTGGGAGTGTCTATTATACCTTAAACATTCTCACATGCACTTTATTTTGGAAGGGCGGTGACTTTTATTTAACTCTCCACCCAAACCTTCACAAAAATAGCTTTATGACATAGAAACAAGAATGTTATTGCCCTCACATATGAAGCCATTACTATACTTCCCTTGAAACATGTAGGTTATTTATTTCACTTCTTACCTTTTCAATTTTTTCATCCAGCATTCTGAAGAATTCTTGTTGGCTTTCAGAGATGTGCATGCTGAAAAACAAAGGGTAGTTAAGTGCATATTTTAGTGCTTTGCTAAACCTGGTCCCCTCAAAGGAAAAATGCAGAGTCCCCAAACTTTGGGGAAGACATTTATTTATTGCAGACTTTTCCACTGAAATACTCTGAAGTTACATTAAGGATAAACAGTACAGTAATCCTGCAAATGTGTTTCATAATTGTCTATCAGTGCCTATGACTTAAAGGAAGACAATTTCCTTTCAATGTACAGATGCTATTTATAGTAATGTTACTAGGAGCTGAATGCCAAATTGTTTCTTCAGATACACATTTGTGATTTAAAAAAAAAGCATGAGCAAGCAGCATAAGGCATATTTCAACAGTGTATTGAAAAAAATAAAAAAGAAAATGTATCCTAGTTATTGTATTGAAATATATATTTTACAAAGGTTATCAGTATCAGCATGATCTCCAGCTGACTATGGGTGTGGGCCGGTGGCAAACAAGCTGAGGACATACAGATGACCTGATATTACTACTGAGCACTTTCTGCACTGGTGGCAGCAGATACACCTCTGAAAACACAATTCCACTGGAACGTGGGAGGACGCATGTCTGAGCAGCACTTGCTCTGTGTTTCCTGTCCTGTGACTTTTAACAGCCTTCTTAGTGAGACGGCTGACAAGGCTGGTGGGGACAAAATAAGATGGTAAGGACAGCAGGGATGAATTACATATGGGAAGAGCATGGGGCAGTATAGGACTTAGTCTTAATGGGCCATGGTCTTAATGACGGTTGCTTCTACCTAGCAGATAGCTGTGGGTGTTTCAAGGAGGTGAAGGATGCTGGATAAGACACGTTATCACACAGAGTTTCCTTTAGTTACTATCAGTGCCTACTGGTTGTCCTGTCTGAAGGAGGGGGCTGGGGGTGGGCTCTGGAATGGCTTCTTCCCTTCATATCCAAGTGTGGTGAAATGTACCCTTTACCATCATGCCTTATCCTTTAGGGGCCACAAGGAGGGGCACAAGTGACCTGAAACCCTCCAGGCCTCCTGTGACAGACAGTGGGGCCTGAGGCTCAGAGGGGGTCCCCTCTGTATAAAAGCAACATTAAAATCTGTGAGCAATGACATTAACTCGGTTATCAAAGGAAAACAATGTACATATCTGATTCCATTAATCAATTGTCATGGTTTACAAAGCACTTTCACATATATCACGTAATTTTACTGCCCTTTATCTGATCATTCAAATAAGGTAAACGTTTTGTTTGGGAAACACGCCCTCTCTTATTGCAGGTTTGAAAGGCAGAACAGAATCTGGGATGATGAGAGTACATTAAACTGTCTCCTCTCTGTAGGATCCTGGGCAGAAAAGCCAGTTTGCATAGCTGAGTTTTCCCAGGTTCCTTATGTTTTCACCGTCTCAAGCACCAAAACATTTTTTATTTGAGCCACGTTGGATGCAAATCTTTCTAAATTTCATATTCTTATAATAGAGGATCTCTCTCATAAACACTTCTTTCTTTTCTTTTCTTTCTTTCTTTTTTTTTTTTTTTGAGACAGAGTCGTCTCGCACTTTCGCCCAGGCTGGAGTACAGTGGTGCGATCCCAGCTCACTGCAACTTCTGCCTCCTGGGTTCAAGCAATTCTCCTGCCTCAGCCTCCCGAGTAGTTGGGACTGCAGGCGTGAGCCACCACGTACAGCTAATTTTTTGTATTTTTAGTATAGATGAGGTTTCACCATGTTGGCCAGGCTAGTCTTGAACACCTGACCTCAGGTGATCCACTCACCTCGGCCTCCTAAAGTGCTTGGATTATAGGCGTAAGCCACTGCGCCTGGCCAGATCTCTTTCTCTTAATATAGGTAACTGGATAGATAACCGTATGTATATGTTGCCCCAGAAATGTTGCCCTAGAAAATATTCCAGGGACCTCATAAAAAACGGCATTTTTAGGATTTGACGTTCATTGTGGAAACTCTCTGGTTGGAGGTTTTAGCATTATATTGCCTTGAATATAGCAGGAGGGCCAAAAATATTTCTTAATTAATTGACAGAGTCCCCCTATTTAAGTTCATGTGATTCATGACCCCTTGCTGAAGCAGCAGAGTTTGTCAGCAGGGGTGATGTGCAGGGCCTGAGTCCTCATCTATAAAACCAGGGCTGGTCACTGATGTCCCTTCTACTGTCTATGATTGTCACTAACTTCCATTAGCTCCTTTATTTAAATACCACAACATGAAAACTGCAACGTTTGGTCAGTACTCATACACATGCACATGAGAGGGACAAGAGGGGGCATTTTTAAACAAAAGTAACTCTGCAAATGTATCTGCAACCTCTGCGATCAAGAATGCACTTATCACAGGGTCGGGATCCCTATCAGGAGCTTGAGACCAAAAGTGGTGGCTAAGGACCTCGGGATGCTTATGTAGGAAAGCAACCACAAAACTCTCAGCGATTTCAGTTTTGTGTTGTCCCATAATATAGAAATGCTGCCTGCTTTTTCTTTGTCTAAGAACATTAGAACATGCCTGCCTGCCTTTGCCACATTTCATAACCCACGAAGAAGAGTCACACACCAGACTGAGTCACTCTCTTGACATCTTGAAGTACGGTGCATGGGTTGTGTTAGGAAAGACTGAATGGAAGGAAGCTTGATGCACCAGACAGGCTCCTCCAGATAACCTGCATTGTCACTGGAAGTGTGTCAGACATTGCCGGGGGAGCAAATGCCCACACGGGTCACCTGTGCATCGTCTCAGATATGGTGTCATCCGAAAGCATGAGGCCTACTCTGCTGTTCTCCATTGGATTGTTTCAGGGAGAAGAAGAGAAATCTCTTCAATGGGGCAGGGACAGAATTTTTATTCTGATGAAATAAAAATTTCCCCATATCAACTGATTCCTGTCTAGATAAACATGGGTCCCCTCTTCCCATGTGAAAGAAACTTATCCACACAGCACCATGAATATGTGTTTACCTTCAAGAGTACAAACTGCACTGTAGAAAACAGTTCCTGCATAAAGACTTGATTCTAAAATCCTTTCTGATGCACAATTTGATGATTGTGAGTGGGGGAGATGAGGAGGAAAAGCTCACTGGCTTTTCTTTTTTCAAGATATTAGAAAAGGATCACTGAATTGTTTATGACTTAAGTTCATAAAGGATGAATAATTGATTCTAAGATTCACTTACAAAAGATTCACTAGCATTCACTTACAAAAGCCTGCACATTGGTACCTGACTTAACCAATAAGGCTCAATAATTTTAGTAATTCCTATTTCTCTCTCGTAACTAAAACAACCTTGGAAAACTCAATGCAGCACTGGAGCACTCCCTGTGCCCTTGGTCAGCGCTGGCAAAGCTCTTGTGAATTAACTCTGCACCCTCAAACACTCTTCTTCCTGAGACTTCTCAGCTTCATGGGACTAGGGATGACAATACAATGGCATCTTAATGCAAAGTAAACAAATTAATGAATGGTGGGCAAAATGGGCTTTAGAGCTAAAAGATATGGGGCTTTCGCTTTTGGTGTCTTAAAAAAATAAAATCTGCAAATGATAAAAAGCTAAGCCCCAAAGTATGAGAAGGCAAAGTCCTAATTCCCTAATACCTCACCTGTGAAGCCTGGCAGAATAAGCCATCCTAAAATATGCTTACTTTAGCATAAGGACTATTTTGAGCTAAAGACAACTGGAAACAGCAGGTGCAGGAGGGGACTTCTGACCTCCTCTTTTCTTCCTGAAAGAAGGAGATGAAACTCCCATGTGAACAATGCCCTCCCCACACCAGGAGGAAAGAAACATTCTTATCACCAGAGACAGGGAGTCAAGGCCAAGAGAATTCTGTACCAAGAGACTTTGTTAAAATAATTCCTTTCTTCCTTTAGTCTCCCCACATATTTCAGCTGCTTTTCCATAACTGTTTCTGTTTGTTCAACCTAGTATACAAATATGTGGGTTTTGTCACTTCTTGGGTCTTCATTTTCTCATAGGGGCTCCCATGTACATGTAGAAATTGATATCTTTTCTCCTGTTAAATCTGTCTCATGTCAACTTAACTCTCAGGCCCAGCCAGAAATCCTGAGAGGGTTGGGGTAAAGTTCTTCCTCCCCTGCAAAAATGAAATTAAATTACTAGGTGGGTTCCTGGTAAATCTTGGCCTGAACACAGTTTTTCCTTCATGATCATCATTTTTCAACTGGACCTCAGGGAAGTAGATTCATCCTAACCCTCATTCTGTGACAGACTCCTACTAGTAGTTCATGCATAGCTCACTTTTATTTATTTTGTTAATTATTTTTTTAAAGTAGTATAATAAACACCTGTGAAACCAAAATAAAAAACAAAAGTGAGGACCTTGACAACCACCCATAGCTGACTCCATGTGAGTTCCCATCTGCGTGTGTGTTCCCACAACCCAATGTAACTATCACTCCCTCACTTCGCTTTTATATAGTTTTAATGCATCTCTTTGTGTGCCTTTAAAAGACAGATTATTTCAGTTGTTTTTAACTTTATAGAGTGCGTCATGTTCTATGTAATCTTTCAGGACTTACTCTTTTCTTGTAATATTAGACTGCTAGGGCCCATTCAATATTGCGCATTGCTGCTGTGCATTTGTTTGAACTGCTGACTAATATCCCATTGTGTGACTATAGTGTGGTGCATTCACGCAACCTCCTGTTAAAGGCATCTGGGTTATTTCTAATATTTAAGGCATTTTTACCAAGTGCCAGACAATGCCATAAGCAGTGGGTATACCCTATTTCATTTGTTCTCCAGCTCAAGACAGGATCTTTCACTTCAATCTCTCTCTGAGAAAACTGAAGCTCAAAGACATAGGTCACTTGCCTGATATCAAACTAAAGCATTAAATGAAGGTATGAGGATGACATGCCTTCATGGTGGTATGAGGATGATCTGCCTTTATGGTATGGGATTGTCCTTCCACTCATGGGGAAGAAGAAGCCTCATCTTATTTTATGCATCAGTACAGTAAATTGATCCTATATGTCAGCAAGTAGGAAAAGTAAAACTCTTCTCTTGGCCCTCCAGAAAGATTTCTTAATTGAATTCCAGGAATCCAATGTTCTGTTCACAGTTTGAAATACATACACACATGTGTGTGTACACACACACACACACACACACAAGCATGCTGCTGTGGGGAAAACAGAATTTTCTCCTCTGAAAGCTTCAGCACATGCCAGTCTGTGAAGTGTGCTGCTTCAGGGTGTCAATGTTAAGTAAGTATTCTTTCAAACAGAAAAGAGAAATTCTCCTCCATTCAATCTCTCTTTATAACTCTGAGATAAGGGAAGCATTTTAAAATAGCATTTTTCAGACATCCTGGATGATAAGGTGGTTTGGCTGTGTTATCAGATATCTGCTGTCCCCAAAGGCAGATAAAGTGGATGAACGTGATGAGCAGTAAGGTGGGCTAGGGAGGTTGCGGCCATAGCACAACATTCACCTGAGGGTGAAAACATCAGCCGCATCATTACACTGACATTGTAAATGGTAAGTGGATTTTAACATGTCCAGTTTTCTTTGAAAGTAAAAATTGAATGACAGAGCCCATTACCTACCCCCTGAGGTCTCCTAACTGCGACACCACAGTGGCCATAGCTGCAGCGACTCCACAGACACTGAGCCAGGGTAAAGTGATTATGAGTTAGGTAATTTTTGTCACAATTTTCTGGAAGAACCAGAGATAACATACCTTCTTCTGCTTATGATTTTGATTTATGGGGCTATCAATACACATATGTAATAGTCAAATTTATTTTGGGTTGGGGTGCCTGTGTCAAATGTACCAGTGTCATCGGTACTCTCAGGAAATTTGTCTCCATTTAGGTGAAACACTAATAGAGATTTGTAGCCGCTGGGATAACACAGCCTCTTTGAAGGAGAGGACGGCTTCAAAGTCATACAAAATATATTTTATCATTAAGGTTAGAGTCAGTTCTAGAACAATCTAGAAAACTACTCATTATTGTTTTTTAACTTTTGAACATGCAATGACCTTTTAAATGAAACATTTCGGGATAGTCATCTGTTGGTAATCAACAATCATATTTTCAAGTTTCTACTGTAAGTGGGAAAATGTATTAGGCACTCAATAGATCCTCACGTGATATAATCTTTTTCTTCAAGTTAATTTTTTTCTTTTCTTTTTAACTTTCCAATTGTGATGTACCTAACACACAGAAGACATATAATGTTATTTGTACATTTTTTTTGCAAAATAACAATTGAACATTCATGTAATTACCACCCAGATTAAGAAATAGAGCCTCTGGTTCCACTGTCCTCCATTTGGTCAGAAATAACTAATATTCTGAATTTAATGCCTTTTCATTTCCTTATATCTCTTTATTGTTTTACCATATACTAACAGACAACATATGCCTTAGTTCTGTCTGTTTTTTGACTTCATATGAATGAAACCACATGTAGGCATGTATCGCTGCTTACTCTACTGCCTCATCCTTATGAGATTCCTCCATCATGATATGTGTACCTATAGGCACTAATTTTCACTGATGTATAGTATTCCCACAGTTTAGATGCCACAGTTTAGTTACCCATTATATTTTCTTTTTTTTTTTTTTCCTTGAGATGGAGTCTCGCTCTGTCGCCCAGGCTGGAGTGCAGTGGCGCCATCTCTGCTCACTGCAAGCTCCACCTCCAGGGTTCACGCCACTCTCCTGCCTCAGCCTCCCGAGTAGCTGGGACTACAGGAGCCCGCCACCATGCCCGGCTAAGTTTTTGTATTTTTAGTAGAGATGGGGTTTCATCGTGTTAGCCAGGATGGTCTCGATCTCCTGACCTCGTGATCCTCCCGCCTTGGCCTCCCAAAGTGCTGGGATTACAGGCGTGAGCCACCATGCCCGACCTATATTTTCAATGGACATTTGGGTTTTACCTTTAAGAGCTTTAAGAGCTTCTTAATTTTAGTGCAGTCATATTAATTAATGATTATCCTTAAGAACTACATCCTTTGTGTCTTATATGCAAAATTCTTCCCTACCTCATGGTCATAGTGATAGTCTCCTCTGTTTTCTTCTAACTGGCCTACAAAGTCAGCTTTGTCATGTATTGTAGGTCTGTTTTCATTATTCTGTTCTGTTACACCAAACCACATTTTCTCAATTACTAAAGCTTTATATTAGATCTTGATTATCTGGTAGGCAAAATGGAACTCACTCTGAAAACATTTTTAGCTTTAAAAACAATGCAGTTGTTCCTTGGTATCTGTGGGGGATTGGTTCCATGACCTCCCTGCAGATAGATAACAAAATCTGCAGATTCTCAAATCCCTGATATAAAATGGTATAGAATTTGCATAACCCCCACACATCCTCTCATATACTCTAAATCATCTCTAGATTACTTATAATACCTAATGAAGTGCCTACACATCACTTCATTCACATGAATTCAACATAGTACTTGGTGTGCGGCAAGTTCAAATTTTGTTTTTTGGAACTTTGTAGAATTATTATTTTTTGAATATTTTTGATCCATGGGTAGTTGAATCCACAGATGCAGAATCCATGGATATGGAAGGCCGACTATATAAGGAAAACAGAAACTAGAACTTACTTTGCTCTGGGTTGATGAACTAATCCCGGAACCTCTTTATTAGTTTTAAGTCTTACATTTGAGCTGGCACTTTTTTCCTGAAACACATAAACACAGACATGTGAAAGACAGGATTAGAATCCACAATTAAACAAGTGTATGAGTTTTCATCACACAAACGTTCAATCTGTTTGGGGCCCTATACTACGGCTGGTTACCTCACAAGGGCAAAAGTCCTTGCAAAGATGACACACAGAACAGGTAGAACCTGCCAAACAGGGAGCACTGCTATGAAAAGTGAAATTAGCTTTATAACAACTATGACTCTGTTTAGAAAACAATGTACAGTTAATATTTAATTCTTTAACACTAATAGTAATGAATCAAAGAACAGAAGATCTAGTATCAAGAGAAACAGCAGCAATACAATCACAGCCTTTGTTCACTTGCTCAGGTTAACTGACTTCCGTGCAATTTATTTGTAAAAGACAACTGCACTTACTGAGATGTAAAGTTTGCTGAAGGCCCTAGCCGTGACAGGAACAGGAACATGACTAAAACCCACGACAAATGCTGAGATTGAATTCAATTGAATTACTACAATTCAATCCTAGCCTGTATTCAAGAAACACTTCTTTGGCTTTTAGCCTGACCTAATTTCTTATTCCCAATAACTAGCCACATGGGAAGGAAATACTCTCAAATCTTAAAATGCTAGTATATCAGTAAGGACATGATCTCAATAATACTACTGCTCTGCATTTTTCAACGTTATCTTAAAAAGATATTCAAGGTGCTTTATAATTTGCTCACAAAACATACCCCTGAAATGAAAGGAAAGACCACTCTGAACCTATGTAACAGGTGACTATATACACTCGAGGAACTTGAGGTAAGGCCACAATTAAAGACCAAATCTAGAGTGAGGAATAAAAACTGCCATGGGCCGATGCAACATTCTCATCACATGCAGAGTGATGTGGGATGACACATAAAACAGATGGTCCCCAAATGAGCTCTTTTTGAGGTCCTATTTCTCCTGGGACAGCAGAAGCCACTTAAGTCAGTGAAACTCCAATGACTTACATATTCTAGTTGTTTGTTATTAACTATCAAACATGAGCTTATGTGCCTATCATCAGTACTCCAAAAAATATGTGATTTTGTTTGTTTTCTTTTAGGAAAAGAAACAATCATAAGTTTCTTGCAGTCTATCTTACCTTCTTTACCTTATACTAACTTCAGAATGTTTTCATGAACATTTAAGAAGGATAAAACATATTGTTCTGTCTGTTGACGTATGTCAGGGAACAGTAGATGAACACTCCTAATCTTTTACAAAGCAGGTGGGAGAAATTAGAAAACCCGAATGCACTCACAACAGAAGGGCAGGGCCCATGTCCTTTCTTTACCACATGGGGTAAGGGGCCTGGCACTTCATGAGCGGCACTCAGCAAATACTGGTGAATGAATGAACGATGTCAAAAAGTCATTCACGTGTTTTTAAAAGTTAGAGGTAAGAATAGCTCAAATGTAGTCTCTTTGTAGGACTGAAGGCGTAAGTTCCTTCCAAGTTGGTCCTTTTCTCCTTTAAATCTTATGTTGTCTTAGATTAAACACTGAAAATGAACAAGACCTTATCCTCTTTCTCTTTCACATAATTTCCGCAACTCTTTGAGCTTAAAAGAAATGCACTGTAATTTTAAACATTGCTGAGGCAGGAAAGTGACTTCTAATTCTAAAAATGCAAAGGATATACAGTGGTATGTTGTTTATATTCCATTTATTTAACTGTACCCTTGAAAATTATGTTGCCTCAGCAAGTCTTTCTTAAAAACCCATTCTGTGGTTGCTAAGTAAGGAAGGATCTCCCCAAACAACAGAGGCTCAATGGACAAGCAGGACTGAGAAGAAGCCGGCCCTCAGTAACGCATCACTCCCAGGAGTGCGCTTCCAGGGCCAAAAGTGAGACAGAGGCAACAGGAAGAAAAGCAGTTTAGGATTTCCCATATAATTCCAAAAAAACTTTCTTCTACTATGTATTTACAATGTGTTTGCTCAGTTTTACAAATTTTCTCTCACCAAGACCAATAATAACCACTCACTGAGCACTTACTGTAAGTCAGGCATTATTCTAAGCACTTCCAAATATTAATTCATTTTAACATTCACTAATATTTATATATATTAACTCATTTTTATGCCTACAATACCTCTCACGGTTGGGTACCATTATTATCCCCATTTTACAGATGAGGAAGCTGAGGCATACAGCGGTGAAGCACTTACCTGAGACCATACAAGTAATAAGCAGTAGCGCAGGGATTTGAACCCAAGCAGTTTGGCCCCAAACTCCATGCTGTTCACTACTAGCTCAGCATTTCTCAAACTTTTTAGGGTCAAGACCCTTTTACCTATAATCTCCAAATTTTGACACATTTCATTGTACAACATAAAAAAATCCCATTTGTTAAAATCACCATCAATCTCATCAGAAAACCATTGACTGAAGCTGTCAAGCTCATGGTAGTGAATATAAGTTTTCCAAACTTATAGATTTTGTTTAAAGTTTGAATTTTATCACTGGCAAGAGATACTGTCAGTTATTTTTCTTGAAGTGTCAGGCTCCCTTACTCTTTTTTAAGAAAATGATTTACCAAATACCAGGTCTGAATATCCATAATTTATCTGCCAGAGATATATATTTTTAAAATAGAGAAGATGTCCTATAAAAAACAATGCCTAGTTCAGCTTTCAACTCAATCAGCTATAGAGGTGCTTTTCTCCATGATAACCGTCTAACCTGGACATGCAGAAGAAATGCTTTATGCATACTTCCCATTTCATCACACAGGCTATTAAAAAGATATGCATCCAAAGTCTCAGGACACAAAATCAAGGTACAAAATCAATGTATACCGTGGCTGGGCACAGTGGCTCATGCTTGCAATCCTAGCACTTTAGGAGGCTGAGGCAGGCAGATTATGTGAGGTCAGGAGCTCCAGAGCAGCCTGGCCAACATGATGAAACTCCATCTCTACGAAAATATAAAAATTAGCCAGGCATGGTGGTGTGTGCCTCTAATCCCAGCTACTTGGGGGGCTAAGGCAGGAGAATCGATCATGACCTGCACTCCAGCCTGGGCAACAGAGCAAGACTCCATCTCAAAAAAAAAAAAAAACCATACAAAAACAAAAATCACTAGCACTCCTATACACCAACAACAGTCATGCCAAGAGCTAAATTAGGAATGCAGTCCCATTCACTACACACACACACACACACACACACACACACACACACACACACACAATTCCTAGGAACACAGCTAAGCAGGGAGCTAAAAGATTTCTACGAGAACTACAAAACACTGCTCAAAGAAATGAGAGATGACGCAAGTGGAAAAAACATTCCACGTTTATGGATAGAAAGAATCAATATTGTTAAAAAGGCCATACTACCCAAAGCAATTTATAGATTCAATGCTATTTCTATTAAACTACCAATGTCTTCACAGAACTAGAATAAAACTATTTTAAAATTCACATGGAACCGAAAAAAAAAAAAAAAAAAAGCCCAAATAGCCAAGGCTGTCCTAAGGAAAAAGAACAAAGCTGGAGGCATCACACTACCTGACTTTATGCTACAGGACTACAGCAACCAAAACAGCATGGTACTGGTACAAAAACAGACACATAGACCAATGGAACAAAACAGAGAACCCAGAAATAAGCCTGTACACCTACAACTATCTGATCTTTGACAAACCTGACAATAACAAGCAATGAGGAAACGATTCCCTATTCAATAAATGGTGCTGGGATAACTGGCTAGCCATATGCAGAAGCTTGAAACTGGACCCCTTCCTTACACGATATACAAAAATTAACTCAAGATGGATTAAAGGCTTAAATGTAAAACCCAAAACTATAAAAACTCTGGAAGACAACCTAGGCAACAGCATTTTGGACATAGGAATGGACAAAGATTTCATGACAAAGACATCAAAAACAACTGCAACAAGAGCAAAAATTGACAAATGGGATTTAATTAAACTAAAGAGCTTCTGCTCAGCAAAACAAAATGAAACAAAAAACAAAAAACTATCATCAGAGTGAACAGACAACCTACAGAATGGGAGAAAAATTTTGCAAACTATGCATTTGACAAGGTCTAATATCCAGCATCAATAAGGAACTTAAACAAATTTACAAGAAAAAAACCCCCAAACAACCCCCATTAAAAAGTGGACAAGGCCGGGCGCGGTGGCTCACGCCTGTAATCCCAGCACTTTGGGAGGCCGAGGCGGGCGGATCACGAGGTCAGGAGATCCAGACCATCCTGGCTAACACGGTGAAACCCCGTCTCTACTAAAAATACAAAAAATTAGCCGGGCGAGGTGGCGGGCGCCTGTAGTCCCAGCTACTCGGGAGGCTGAGGCAGGAGAATGGCGTGAACCCCAGGGGGCGGAGCCTGCAGTGAGCCGAGATTGCACCACTGCACTCCAGCCTGGGCGACAGCGAGACTCCGTCTCAAAAAAAAAAAAAAAAAGTGGACAAAAGACATGAACAAACACTTCTCAAAAGAAGACAGACATGCAGCCAACAATCATATGAAAAAAAGTTTAACATCACTGATCATCAGGAAATGCAAATCAAAACCACAATGAGATACTATCTCATATCAATCAGAATGGCTATTAAAAAGTCGAAAAATAACAGATGCTATTGAAGTTGTGGACTTATACACTGTTGGTAGGAGTGTAAATTAATTCAACCATTTTGAAAGACAGTGTGGTGATTCCTCAAAGATCTAAAAATAGAACTACCATTTGACCCAGTAATCCCATTACCGATTATATACCCAAAGGAATATAAATCGTTCTATCATAAAGACACACACAGGCACATGTGCATTGCAGAACTACTCACAATAGCAAAGACATGGAATCAACCCAAATGCCCACCAGTGGTAGACTGAATAAAGAAAATGTGGTACATATACATCTGGAATACCATGCAGCCATAAAAAAGAATGAGGTCATGTCCTTTGCAGGAACATGGATGGAACTGAAGGCCATTATCCTTAGCAAAATAACAGAGAAACAAAAACCAAATATCGCATGTTCCCAATTATAAGTGGGAGCTAAATAATGAGAAGACATGGACACATAGAGGGGAACATCACACACTGGGTCCTATTAGAGGGTGGAAGGTGGGAGGTGGGAGAGGATCAGGAAAAATAACTGATGGGTATTAGCCTTAATACCTGGGTGATGAAATAATCTGTACAACAAACCCCTATGACACGCATTTACCTATGTAACAAACCTCCATGTGTACCCCTGACCTGAAAATAAAAGTTAAATAAAGGTATGCACACAAGCCACAACATTTTATAAAATTAAATAATTTTTACTGCTTCATTGAGAGCATTCTTAAGTGAAAACAGCAGTGGAGAATACAATGTCTACTAAGAAGGTTTGATGCCAATGCCTTGGTTTAGGCTAAGGCACCAGCAGTTTACCTTACTGTTGCTGTTGCAGCATCAGTGCATATGTCAACACCATGAGAAAAGCAAATAGCCTCTTAGTATCATTAGGAAAATGGCTTCAAGAACTCCCTGAGAAAGTCTCAGGGACCCCCAGACCACACTTTGACCATAGTGCCTCTCTATTTCTTTTGCAGAGAAAAGAACTATTAATTATTTAATTATGCTATATGGCTTATTTTTAAAAACAAATATTTAACAGCCTTATGGGGGTAAAATTTACATTCTATAAAATTCCCCCACTACAACTATATGATTAAATGATTTTAGTAAATTTATAGAGCTATGCAGTCATCACGACAATCCAGTTTCAACATAGTGCCATCATCCCAGAAAGTTTCTTTATCACCACTTACAGGTCATCTCTGCTCTCATTCATAGTGCTGGGCAACCACAGATCTGCTTTCAGTCTCTAGAAATTTGCCTTTTCTAGATTCATGTCATGAAATCACACAATATTTAGCCTTTTGTGCCCAGCATTTTTCACTTGGCATAATGTTTTTGAGATTCATCCAAATTGTAGCATATAACAGTATTCTATTTGTTTTCATTGCTAAATAATATTCCAATGTATGGATACACCACATTTTGTTCATCTCCCCATCCCTTGATGGACATTGATATTGTGTTCAGTTTGTGGTTATTATGAATAGCGATGTTATGAACATTCAGATAGAAGTCTTTTTGTAGACACGTTTTCATTTCCCTTAGGTAGATTCCTAGGAGTAGAACTGCTAGATTACATAGTAAGTTTATGTTTCATTATTTAAGACCTTCCAAACTGTTTTCCAAGGTGGCTGCACCATTTTACATTCCCATCAACAATGCAGAAGGGCTGTAGTTTCTCCACATCTGCACCACCAACACTTGGCATTGTCTTTTCAACTACTGTCATTCTAGGTAGTGTGTAGTGGGATCTCACTGTGGGTTTTATTTACTTGAAAACATGATTTTTTAAGGCTTGTTATATTGGTGTATTCTCCAGAAAATCCACCTTAGGAGCATGTGTATACTTAACTTGTTGGCGCATTTGCATAAAGAAGTCAGTTTTATATTTGTTTATAAACATTTAACTTCTACTTTGGGATTTGTGTGTTGGGAAAGGGTAGGTTTAAAGAGATCTGCTTTCTTAAAAAAAAAAAAAAAAAAAAAAGAAGAAGAACAAGCAAACAAACCAACAGGGCTGGAAGGAGGGGGAAGGAGAAAGTGGTGGGAGCAGTGAGACACGTGGTTCACTACCAGCAGCAGCTCGGATAAAGCAGACCCAGCAGAGGGGGCTGAGAGCTATGCAATATCTGAGGTGCTCCAGAAATAAGAAAAGAGAATAAATTGCGAGATGACAGACGAAGCAACTAAGATACTGTTTCTTTTAGCAAGAAAAAACTATTTTGATGGTATTTGACACTTGTGAACTAAGTATTCTCCCTAAAACAAACCGAGACCAACTGCGACTAAGATAAAGGCTTTTGACAGGGTCTCCACAGGCAGTTCGTTTTTCATCAGCCATCCACACTTGAATCAGAATCATCTGGGATGTGTGTTAAAATAGAGTTTCCCAGGCCCCACTCAAGACATCTCAAGTAGGAGTCTGTGGAAGTGAAGCCCAGGAATCTGCATTTTAAACAAGAGTCTTAGGTTATTCTTCACTCAAAAAAGTTTGAGCACGTCTATTTCAGCAGAAAGATCCTTTACACTTAGTATTTCCCCATTTGGCTCTCTACAGAGCCAGCTTTCAACCTAAGCCTTGGGGCTCTGTGGAGCTATCTCAGGGTCGACAGGGAGACCCACCAGACCAGCAAACTCTTTAACTTTTTTTATTATTAATATTTAGGGGCTCCATCAGTTGGGAAAAACATCCATTTCTCAAGAATGTTTGCACTACTACTGTCAGGTAGTGACAGATTTATTTAAACAACAAATCAAACAATTTTTTCCTTTGCTTGAAGTAATTTTATTTCTTTATGAATCGAATATACTTGTCAGTGTCTAGAGTAAACCGATCATTCTCTTCTTAGTTTCTCTGATGCTGAAGACAGTCAAACTCACTATACTTATGCTGTTGTCGCGAGCTTCCCAATCCCTTATTCCCTTTGATATCTCCCAAAGGGACAGTGAAAATACCAAGAGGATCTTCTTTAAAACATTCCTGGCCAGGCACAGTGGCTCACGCCTGTAATCCCAGCACTCTGGGAGGCCGAGGCGGGCGGATCACCTGAGGTCAGGAGTTTGAGACCAGCCTGGCCAACATGGTGAAATCCCTCCTCTACTAAAAATACAAAATTTAGCCAGGCATGGTGACGTGTGCCTGTAATCCCAGCTACTCGGGAGGCTGAGACAGGAGAATCTCTTGAAACCGGGAGATGGAGGTTTCAGTGAGCTGAGATCAAGCCCTTGCACTCCAGTCTGGGTGACAGAGCAAGATTCCGCCTCAAAAAACAAAACAAACAAACAAACAAACAAAAAAACATTCCCTCAAACCTCACCTTCTTAATACTAAAGGGAACAACACCCATGTTCAGGATGCCGACTAAAAGCATTGTCTGCAAGGAATGGAACTGCTTTTCTCCTATCACTTCTTTACCTTTTTTATCCCACTTAGTCTAAGAAAGCTGTTGCCCTGTAAGGTTCCCTTTGCAAATTGGTTCTGAATTGATAGTCTGGAGAGGAATCTCATTTTCTTTTTCTGGGTTCAGCAATAGGAAGTCTGTCTTACAGAGAAATCTCAGGGGCCAGATAGATGCTGGAGGCCTAGAGAAAAGTAGTGGGGATTAGAGTATCGGCTCTTGGGACTGCTAATGAGTGCCCTACACAGAGAGGAGACATAAAAGCACTAAATTGGGACTCTCAAAGGGTGTGCCCTGCACACAGACTGTGAGCATGTGTGTGTGTACATTTGCACAACTGCATTTCAGAAGCACATGAAAACTAGAAAAAATAATTTGACAACTAGAAGCAAGAGATTTGTGGTGAAGTACACACACATTTTAAAAATTTGGCTATAAAATAAACAATAATGCTAGCTTTGGGGGAGTAACCCACAGGATGTAATCTCTAAGAAAACAATCCCATTTGATGTCTTACACTTGATTTCTCAAGCGGTATTAACATGAGATAGGACACTGTCTCCTTCAAATACAAAGGAATTTTATCTTGTCTTCTGAATGATGGTGATCAGAGAAGCCACCTTGACTCTCAGAATTTCAGGATGTTTACAAATGAAGCCCAAGCTGCCAGATTCAACAATTAACTCAAGCCACCAGTATCAATACAATTACCTGAAGTCAATACTTCCATTACAATTACCTGTCCACAGAGATTATTAGAGTTATTAGTATTTTGTTACAATTATTTAGTAGTAATAAAGTTGGCATGTAAAGTCTCAGCTTTTTGGAAGTTATTTTTCTATAAATTAAAATACAGCCATGTATCTCATTTTATATCAAACAAACATGAAGTGGGGCAAATCAGTTTTAAAGCACCTAACATTTTTCACAAAGTTGCTTTTCAAGGTAGACTGCAAACATTTACAATCTTAAGAAAGTAAACAGAGTTGTAAAAAATTGCTCAGAACAGATTTAATTGCATACCAACAAATTTATTAAAAGTCATTAAGTCACCATGTCAATAATTAAAATAAGCTATGATATAAATTCCACTGGGAATTATAAGTTAAGGCTGTTTTAAAAAGATAATATATCTCCAAGTTTTTCAAATAAGTATTATATACACACACAGAAAATCAACGAACTTGGAAGAACCACATTCAATTTTTACCCAGAGTGTTTTTAATCAGTCAGAATAGGGTAGGTTATGCTATAGTAAAAAATGACCCCCAGTATTAATTTTTTTTTTTTTTTGAGACAGGGTCTCCCTCTGTCACTCAGGCTGGAGTGCAGTGGCACAATCTCGGCTCACTGCAACCTTCGCCTCCCAGGTTCAAGCAATTCTCCCGCCTCAGCCTCCTCCTGAGTGGCTGGGATTACAGATGCATGCCACCATGCCTGGCTAATTTTTGTATTTTTAGTAGAGATGGGGTTTCACCATATTGGTCAGGCTGGTCTGGAACTCCCAACCTCAGGTGATCCACCTGCCTTGGCCTCAAAAAGTGCTGGGATTACAGGCGTGAGCCACCTCGCCCAGCCAATATTAATAGTTTATCTCCTGCACACACTACACGACCAGCACAGGCTGCAGGATGGCTCTGCTTAATCTAATCACCCAGCGACTTGGGTTAATGGAGGCCCCATGTCAACAGGTGGTTTTATAATAACCATGGCTGGAGTTCAGCAAGGGTTAGATGTTCCTACTTACTTGGCCAAAGCATGTCACAGGACCACATCTAAATTCAAGAGAGGAAAAAAATACATAGGGAGTTTTCAAAAAAGTTCATGGAAAACGTGTATTATGAAAAAAATATGCATGGATTTCAAAATTTTTTCCACCAAAATAAATTTGTACTGACTAGTTATAACATGATTGAACAGAATCTAGTTCAAGGCACTAAGGATAAGATATCAGTTTGAAAACAGCCCCTATCAGAGCAATATGAATTTTACTAAAACTGAAGCAAGAACAAACACAAATTTATGGTGAAGCTTAAGTGGAAGAATGGTGAAATCATTGATGCTTGTTGAAAAGTTTATGGGGACAACGTCCCAAAGAAATCAGCAGGTTACAAGTGGATAATTCATATTAAGAAGGGATGAGATGATGTTGAAGATGAAGCCCACAGGGGCAGACCATCCACATCAATTTGTAAGGGAAAAATCAATCTTGTTCATGCCCTATTTGAGGAGGACCAATGATTAACAGCAGAAACAATAGTCAACATCATAGACATCTCAATTGGTTCAGCTTATGTAAGTCTGACTAAAAAATTCAAGTTCAGTAGACTTTCCATTCAATGGGTGCCAAAGCTGTTGCACCCAGATTAGCTGCAGACAAGAGCAGAGCTTTCAATGAAAACTTTAAATAAGTGAGATCGAGAACCTGATCTGCATTCCCTCAAAGGATTGTAACAGGAGATGAAACGTGGCTTTACCAGTACAATCCTGAAGACAAAGCACAATCAAAGTGATGGCTACCAAGAGGAGGAAGTGGTCTACATAAAGCAAAAGTGAACCAGTCAAGAGTCAAGGTCATGGCAAAAATTTTTAGGGATGTTCAAGACATTTTGCTTGTTGACTTTCTGGAGGGCCAAAGAATGATAACACCTGATTATTAGGAGAGTGTTTTGAGAAAGTTAGCCAATACTTTTGGAGAAAAATGCCCCAGAAAGCTTCACCAGAGAGTCCTTCTCCACCATGACAAGGCTCCTGCTCATTCCTCTCATTAAGCAAGGGCAATTTTGCAAGAGTTTTTATGGGAAATCATTAGGCATCCACCCTACAGTCCTGATTTGGCTCCTTCTGACTTTTTGTTTTCTAATTTTAAAAAATCTTTCACACAAGGAGTCATCTCTACTTTAAGAAAATCTTGGGCTGGGCGCAGTGGCTCATGCCTGTAATCCCAGCACTTTGACAGGCCGAGGAGGGTGGATCACGAGGTCAGGAGTTCGAGACCAGCCTAACCAACATGGTGAAACCCCGTCTCTGCTAAAAATACAAAAATTAGCCAGGTGTGGTGGTGGGTGCCTGTAATCCCAGCTACTCGGGAGGCTGAGGCAGGAGAATCACTTGAACCCAGGAGGTGGAGGTTGCAGTGAGCTGAGATCGTGCCACTGCACTCCAGCCTGGGCGACAAGAGTGAAACTCCATCTTAAACAAAAAAAAAAGGAAAAAAAAAAAAAAAAAGAAAATCTTGATGGGATGCTGAGGTGGGAGATTGCTTGAGGCCAGGAGTTCAAGACCAGACTGGGCAACATGGTGAGACCTCGTCTCAAAAAAAAAAAAAAAAAAAAAAAAAAAACCCAGCTTATATTAAAAAAATACCTTTAGGTCAGGTGTAGTAGTTCATGCCTATAATCCCAGCACTTCGGGAGGCTGAGGTGGGCAGATCACTTGAGTCCAGGAGTTTGAGACCAGCCTGGCTAACATGGTGGAACCCTATCTCTACTAAAAATACCAAAAAAAAAAAAAAAAAATTAGCCAGGCATGGTGGTGCACTCCTGTAGTCCCAGCTACTCAGGAGGCTGAAGCACAAGAATTGTTTGAACCCAGGAGGTGGAGGTTGCAATGAGCCGAGATGGAGCCACTGCACTCCTGTCTGGGCAATGGAGTGACTCTGTCTCAAAAAAAAAAAGAACTTTAAAGGGCACCCAAGACGCTCAGTTCTTTTTTTTTTTTTTTTTTTTTAACCTTCACAAGAGGATGGATGCCAGGTCCTCAGTTCTTCAGTGATGGACTAAATGACGGATATCATTGCTTACAAAGCTGTCTCAAACGTGACAGAGCTTATGTTGAGAAAGTTTATATTTTTATTTTTTAATTCCCTTTATACAATCCTACTCTTGTGCTTGGGAGGAGAATTGGAATATTTATGGATAGCCTTAATAACTACCATAATGCTAATTAATAAAATATGTATGTATTCTTGATCACAGAACTATCTAACTATCTAAGATTAATCACAGAGGTCTCCTCTTCTTAGTAGTCTGATATGTAACTCTGTCAAGTATCTTATTTGTTATGAACATATAGGTATTTCACAGAAATATAGAAAAAACTGTATTGATGATTTAAACTGGGCCAAAATGCCATTTGGAGCTTAAACTTCAAAACAAACTAAAAGTACTTGATTAGCTTACTGTAGTGGAACAGGACTAGTCAATTATGCTAAATGCCACTTGGACACAATAAAATAGAAGAGAGACAAAATCCGTGGTTTATACCCCAGAAAGCTGCATACATACAACCCTACCTTGTTTTCTCCATTTCTAATTTCTCCTCTCTGATTATCAAATGAGACAAAACACATGTGAATGGGAATCACATTTACTGTGATCCAAAATAAGACCAAAGATCTTAGGAATTCAGCTATTAACTATGCCTGTTGCCTGGTCCCCAGGAGACTGCATTTAAGACCTGACTACTGGCCAGGCATGGTGGCTCACACCTGTAATCCTAACACTTTGGGAGGCTGAGGTGGGTGGATCACGAGGTCAGGAGTTCGAGACCAGCCTGAACAACGCAGTGAAACCCTACCTCTACTAAAAATAAAAAAAATTAGCCAGGCATGGTGGCAGGCGCCTGTAATCTCAGCTATTCGGGAGGCTGAGGCAGGAGAATTGCTTGAACCCCGGAGGTGGAGGTTGCAGTGAGCTGAGATGGCGGCGCCACTGCACTCCAGCCTGGGCGACAGTGTGAGACTCTGTCTCAAAAAAAAAAAAAAAAAACAAAAACAAAACAAAAAACAAACGGACAAAGAACCTGACTACTACAGAATAAACATGCTTTAAAACTAGATTTTTCTGGTGGGTAAAAATATTGCCAGAAAAATAAAATTACATTGGTAAAAGTTAACAAAATATTATAACAAAGAAATGTATCATCCATCATGTCTTTGATATTTTAACAAATAAAAACCCACCATTTGTGCAGAATTGCTAAACTTTTTCTGTGACTAACCAAAACCTTGCCAGTTTTTTTTCCCACTAAACTGAGAAACTGCGCATGTCAAAGCTAAAAACAAAAAGTTAAATGATCTAGTTTTTCTTACAGGCAGATCATTTTTCTCACACTCATTGTGCCATAGAAGCCAGCCAAAAATTAAAATCAGACTCCAGCCTTCCTGAACAAGCTGGACACACCCACAACTCTCTTTAATTCCAAAACTGTCAGTGCCCAGAAAATCTGCTATATTATTTTCCTACTGCTGCTTTAACAAATTAACACACATTCAGTGGCTTAAAATGACACAGATTTATGACGTGACACTTCTGGAGGGCCGCCTTCCTTCTGAAGGCAACAGGAGAGAACCTGTTTCATTGCCTTTCTAGCTTCTACACATCACCGACCCGCCTCGGTCCATAGCTCCTTTCTCCATCTTCAACGCCAGCAGTGTAATATATCTTCTATCTCCAATCTCTGCTTCTGTTATTACATCTTCTTTCTCTAACTCTGATTCTCTTGCTTCCCTCTTGTACGAATCCTTGTGATTATACTGTGTCCACTGAAAGCATTCGAGATAAAGCCAAGATCCCTAATTTCATCACTTCCGTAAAGTCTCTTTTACCATGTAACATAATATATTTATAGGTTCCGTGGATTTGGATGTGGACATCATTCTTCAGCTTACCACAGTGTGCCCTCTGGGCTGTAAAGAGTCACACCCACCCCACATGCAAAATGCATTCATCCATCCCAAGGTCCCCAAAAGTCTCAACCCATTTACAGCACTGGCTTGGCTCCTGGCTGGAGTGCAGAGTGCAGGCCGGCAGGGGATGAAGCTGAGCCGTGCACCTCTGCCAGATCCCCAGGGCCTTGCAAGACAAATTAAGGATTTGGGGTTTTATTCCAAAAGTCATGGGGAGAGCCTCTGAAGGGTTTTAAGCAGGAAAGTCACAAGAGTGGATCTGAATTCTCGAAAGACCACTCGGGCAGCAGTACCCATGAGAACTGGAGGTAGGGAGGCTGCTTAGAAGCCTGCTGCAGTAATCCTGGGGAGGAAAACAGGGCAGTCTGTTTAGTTGAGCATTGCCATAGACTGTGACTACACAAGGGTGGGCCTGAAGCTGGGTGGTAGTGGAGGCCTGAGAGGACCCTGGACAATAGAGGGAGGAGAAATTTCAGTTGGCTAGGGCAATGCACACGGCAGTGCCAATGAGGACAGAGCAGAGGAACTGGCAAGACAGTGAGAGGATAGAAGGTTCTGAGAACTGTCTGTTCTGTAGCAGTTAGGACTCCTTCCCTCAAAAGCCACAGAAGCCGGGTGCGGTGGCTCACGCCTGTAATCCCAGCACTTTGGAAGGCCCAGGTGGGCAGATCACCTGAGGTCAGGAGTTCGAGACCAGCCTGGCCAACATGGTGAAACCCCATCTCTACTAAAAATACAAAAATTAGCTGGATGTGGTGGCGCATGCCTATAATTCCAGCTACTCAGGAGGCTGAGGCAGGAGAATTGCTTGAACCCAGGAGGTGGAGGTTGCAGTGAGCCGAGATTGTACTACTGCACTCCAGCCTGGGTGACAGAGTGAGACTCTATGCCAAAAAAAAAAAGAAAAAAAAAGTGACAGAAACTCAACTTGATTTACCTCTGCAGAAAAGTGATATGTTGGTTTACCTAACAGGAATGAAGCTGATCAGGCTTGGGCCTGACTGGATTCAGGGAGTCAAGCAATGCCCTCTGTCCCCGTCTCCCATTTTTGCTTGTCACCTTGGTTTCATTTTTTTTTCATGACCTCCTGGCAACCCCAGATTCAATCCTTCCACCTCTGTGGCCCAACAGGCAAGAGGGTCTTCCTATTTGTATCAATTACAAGCATCCCAGGGAAACACTGGTTAGCCTAGCTTTAGTCAGGCGCCTACACTGTATTAAGGGGTTGGGGGGTCTCTTAGCAGGGGTCAGGGGGTTTGCTAGGAGAAGAGAAGCCATAGCTAAAACCTCTCTAATTCATCTGGTATGAACTCTTTGTATTAAAATTTTTTTTCTATTAGTATACATAGATATAAAATGTATGGATTCTGTTGCATGTATTATGATTTTTTTAAAGTTCTTCTTTTTTTTTTTTTTTTTTTTACCTTTTTGTGTTTTCACATACAGGGGGTTTTAAGTTTTTCACTAATGGAAAAAATGGATTGTTTTCATTTATTACTTCTTCTAGCACTTCTATGATTAGTCCTGGTTAATTGTAAATTTAGGTCCTTACTCATACACCCTCTTCCATACCCCTCTGCAACCTCTTCCCATCAGAAGTCAGAGTAAATGAAGGGAAGTCAATATTTTAACAGTGTACCCCTTCATCTTCTTGGCTTTTTAACTAATACAAGAGTCATCTCTGTTGTGCTATAATTATTTTACAATGTGGAGCCAGTCACTAGATTTCTATACACAATCTGAACAGTCAATAATCAAATCTGGCATTGTTCTATTTCTGAGGTACTTTTAGTCCAAGGCTGCTAGGAAGAGACTGGTTGTAGCTAGAATTTGGGTTAAAAATGTTCTTCAAAATTGAAATACGGTATTTAGCAATAGAGACTAAGTGCCATTCTTTTTTTCTCCCTTCTTTCCTTTTTGAGAAATGTACTGCTAGAAATATCTTCATTCTAAACTCTGCAAACAGGATCCTGTAGTCCTTTAAAGTGGTGTGTTGAGCCCCGAGTTTCTTCATTTGCGTATCTTTTCAGCCTTTTAGAAGCTTTCTTAAAAACTCCCATACTTTCTTTCTTCACACTTGCCCTCGAATTTGGTGTGCATTCCCCTAAGACACCCGAGCTGAGCTCGTCCTGTGGATGCGGGATAGTGACAGGACTGGGCCCTCCGCAGCCCGACAGGGACAGCTGCTGGTCAGGGAGAAAGAGTGAGAACAAATGAGCCACATCCCCTGCTGCTCTCACGGCTCTTCCCTCTGAGACTCTTTCACTAGGAGGCTTTCAAATTAAGGGTTCATTAAAGATATAATAAGCACATTCTCTCCATTCTTTTTCACGCCCTAGGTCCTGCTAGTCAAGTCAGCCTTAAGAGCCAGTTTCCTTTTGCCCTTATTCCTTGCCTCTCCACTTAAGTGAAAATCTTTTCCTACTTGAGTAAAAGGCAAAGAAAAAAAAAGTTAAAGAACATGATTAGGAGCTTTAATGAATCATATAGGTCTAAATGTAAAGTGGTTCCTGTCTTTCCAATGAGATCCTCAGAAATGTGTCTTGGCAAACATAAATACGTAATCCTTTAGGGATGTGGTTGAAACCTTCAGCTGACTACTTATATGGTTTGTTAATTCAGTGACATATATATTTAAGTTCACATATTATGTGAAAATCATATTTAAAAGTATTACTTTTTCCATATGCACATTTCATGAAACAATTTAAACTTTCCAGATGCATCTGACATCAGAGTTTTCACAATCACTTAGAATCACAAAATGTTTGAGTCTTCCGATGTTTCCAAGGTATATATTATCTTCACTTCTTTTTTTTGTTTCGTTTTGAGACAGAGTCTTTCTCCGTTACCCATGCTGGAGTGCAGTGGCGTGATCTCAGCTCACGGCAATCTCCACCTCCTGAGTTCAAGCGATTCTCCTGTATCAGCCTCCCGAGTAGCTGGGATTACAGGCGTGTACCACCACGCCCAGCTAATTTTTGTATTTTTTTTTTCTTTTAGTAGAGATGGGGTTTCGCCATGTTGGCTAGGCTGGTCTCAAACTCCTGACCTCAGGTGATCTGCCTACCTCGGCCTCCCAAAGTGCTGGGATTACAGGCATGAGCCATGGTGCTCGGCCTATCTTCATTTCTACTTTGAAGTAAAAGGCAGTTTGAATTTTTTATTTATTTTATTTTTAATTTTTTAAAGATTTCAACTTTTAATTTATATTCAGGGGGTACATGTGAAGGTTTGTACCAAGGATATATTGCTTGATGCTGAGGTTTGGGGTATGAATGAACCTGTCATCCAGGTTGAATTTTTAATTCCAGGCCACCAATACTCCACATTATTCACCACTTATCATATTATTTTTTCAAAGTAACTGTTAACGCTTTTCCTGTGTAGAAAAAAAAAGTGAAGCTCGCTGCCAGCACTTATTTAATTTTACGTAAACATGCTCTTTGAGGCTGAAGCAAATCTGACTTTCAATGTGAAAATAAAATATACAAACCGTTTTTGGAGTTATTTCTAAACAGAACTAACATCAGAATTGTCTGAATCATCAGAAACGTCTATTTCGGAAAAATCGGATTCATCAAATGAATCTTCGGCCAAGAACTCTTCGAGAATGATGTTAACATCACGCGTAGGAATGTTACGTTTTCTAGGACTTGACATTTTAAGTGATTGAGAATTACTGTATTTTGTAAATGGAAATACCACTACTAAAAACAGAATGGTATGAATAGAATGATGTCTTTTGTTTCCAAAGTCGATATACTAGAGCGATGTGAAAATAATATTAAAAGAGATTTTGCATGATGAAAGTTATCTCGGGGTAAACGCTGCAGCTGCAAGTGCCATCAGTGAGTATTCTCAGGGTAAATGGAAAAGGGTTAATAGGCTGTTTACAATGACATACAGCAATAATGACTATATTAAAATAGTTTTTTTTCCTCCATTAGAAACAAAGTTGATTCTGACAGAAGATCTCTGCAAGCATCCAGAGTGATCATGGGCTGAGAGAGTGCCTACACCATGAGACTTACATACAAGGTGGCATCCACTTGACTGAAGTGTATTTTTTTTTTTTTTTTTGAGAAGGAGTCTCGCTCTGTCTCCCAGGCTAGAGTACAGTGGCGTGATCTTGGCTCACTGCAACCTCCGCCTCCTGGTTCAAGCGAGTCTCCTGCCTCAGCCTCCTGAGTAGCTGAGATTACAGGTGCATGCCACCATGCGTGGCTGATTTTTGTATTTTCAGTAGAGATGGGGTTTCACCATGTTGGTCAGGCTGGTCTCAAACTCCTCACCTCATGATCCACCTGCCTCAGCCTTCCAAAGTGCTGGGATTACAGGCGTGAGCCACCGCACCTGGCCTGAAGCATAATTTTTTTAAAAAAAATCTTGCATGGATCCTGGCTTATACCATAATGCAGTAGAAACTTTTACCAATGATCATCTTCAACAATGACTTTACCAAACTCCAGGGTTTTCTGATTGATAGAACTTACTAGAAATGTTAGAGACTTTATCCCATTTCTCTAAATTTCACTTCAGTAAACTGCTGAAATGAAAACTCACAAATGTGAGTGCTACATCTGCTGTCTAACAGTCATTTTCCAGAAAACATGCTTACAAAACAGAACAGAATAGCATGTATACTGGTCCATTTACCTATATGCATGTTCTCGCTCCCTCGCTCCCTCTTCCTACGCCTCCTCTCTCAAATAATTGTATGTTGTAGATGATAAACTGCTAGAATACAGACACAATCATGCTTAATTTGTTCCTTACATGAGGTCTTATGTATATTCTTCACTGATGTTCCCTTGATAATCTGATAATGGAGAAACACAGCTTTTGATTCCTTGTCTCTTATGGTCTCTTGTAATCATAAACACAATAACAACAAAAATAATAGCTCTCATTGACAGCACCCCTCCCAAGAGCCAGACACCTGACTAAGGCCTGTGGACATTAACTGAGTTAGTGCAGATGAAATGCCAGGCACAAGTCCTGCCATGTGGTAAGAGCCCAATAGATGCCAGCCATTACTATTATTGCTGTTATCTGTATTAATTGTTATCATTCAATCCTCATAACAACTATATGAGGTAAGCATTCCCACAGTTGAGAACATTAAGAAGAACATCAAGGAAACAAGGCCATAGAGTTACTGGTCAAGAGGGGATAGAAACTCTGCATGTCCATCTTTTTCAATAAATACTTTACATTCTTAAAAAGGCCAAATCTATATAAATTAAAGAGGATGAGGAAAAGAGCAGTCCACATATTTTTAAACTCCCCCCTTATGTTCCAATATCTAATGATGAGAGAGGTCTGGAAGGGACACACAATTTTAATGACAGGGCAAGAATCCTGGAAATCCCCCAATGGCCATAGATGATAAACAGCAGCTGCCCCTTTCCAGCCCAAAGCAAGTCAAAGCCAGGCAAGTCATGGAAAGGGATGAAGTGTCTCCAGCAAACAACAGGGGGTAGAGGGACCAGGTATAACTGGTAAGATAAAGCCTACTCGAAAGGCAATCAAAATTCTTCTAAACGGTCATTCAAGTTGACCAAGTAATACATATAGCCGGCATTGATACTAGGTAAAGCCAGTTGTTAAACACAGTCACATGCTGCATAACAGCATTTTGGTCACCGATGAACTGCATATATGACAGGGGTCCCGTAATATTATAATACTGTATTTTTACCGTACCTTTTCTTTTTTTTTTTTTTTTTTTTTTGAGACGGAGTCTCGCTCTGTCGCCCAGGCTGGAGTGCAGTGGCGGGATCTCGGCTCACTGCAAGCTCCGCCTCCCGGGTTCACGCCATTCTCCTGCCTCAGCCTCCCAAGTAGCTGGGACTACAGGCGCCCGCCACTACGCCCGGCTAATTTTTTTTTGTATTTTTTAGTAGAGACGGGGTTTCACCGTTTTAGCCGGGATGGTCTCGATCTCCTGACCTCGTGATCCGCCCGCCTCGGCCTCCCAAAGTGCTGGGATTACAGGCGTGAGCCACCGCGCCCGGCCTTACCGTACCTTTTCTATGCTTAGAGATGTTTAGATGGACAAATACTTATCATTGTGTATAAACGCTTGCAAGATTCAGCTCAGTGACATGCTGTACAAGTTTGTAGCCTAGGAGCAACAGGCTATACCATAGAGCCTAGGTGTGTAGAACCTGTGTAAGTTCACTCTATGAGGTTCACATGACGACAAAAATCACCTAAGGATGCATTTCTTTGAACGTTTCCTGGTCGTTAAGCAACCCATGACTGTGAATACGCCACTTTCATTACATCTGGCAAGATGTTCTGCCTTAGCACTCAGTTGCATTATTTTCCTTTTCTTTCCTGTTCACTATGCTTTAATTCTGAGGACTATAGGAGGGTAGAATATTACTTTTTAAAAACTTTAAAAATGTGTCTAAGCACACCCTTTTCTTAAATTGATGACTTGATGTTAAAATATTATTTTTCATGTCATTTATAATCTTATCAGAATCCATTTAATGAAGTTTGGTTAGACTTCAGTGAAAATTATCTTCCAGAGTTGTTTGCCCTGCCTGAGATATAGGGGTAACTTTACTACAATTAGTATGTATAGTGCAGAATTTCATGCAAGGGGACTGTGGCAGCAGTGTGATAATTTAAACAACATTACAATTTAAACATATTTAACAATTAAACATAAACATATTTAACACATTTCAGCATATTTAACATAATTTAAACTTATTAAACATTATTTAAACATTCAAACAAACAAAACAAAAAGGATATACGCGCAAACTTGCTGCTACTTAGATCACTGCAGCTTCTAGGATCCCATGTCTTTTACTGATTTAAAAACACAGCGAAAATAAAAAAATAAAAAAGTTGTGCCTGAAAAATATATATTTAAATCTTATTTAATATAGTATAAAATTTGTTTGCCACCTCTACCTAATTCCTTGTTCTAGGGTGAACAAGGCAGAATGATATTACATAACTAAGTGGCAGCTTTTCCCTCAAATAAATATCCTTTACCTATTATCAAGAGGAAACTGCAGTTTCGAGGATGATTTGGATAGACCAGACTGCAGTGTCCATGCTACTTTTTGAAGACTCAGTTAAAGGGCCCTAAATTCTTGGCTTCTGTAGGCTTTGGCTTAGGACATATGGCTATGCCATAGTCCTCTCCACAGCACAGTGACCTCTTCCTGAACTGACAACAGTAAGTCCTTTACCAACCCTAGCTCACTGTTCTGACATCCCTGGCCCCAATCTTCAAAATAGTACCACCCTGTCACAGCCAGTTTCTATCATCATTCTGTCTTGTACAAAGTTTTATTATCTATTTTATTTTTTAGGGATGGAAGTCTTGCTATATTGCCCAGGCTGTCCTCGAACTCCTGGCCTCAGGTGATTCTCCATCCTTGGCCTCCCAAGTAGCTTGGACCAGAGGCACCTGCCATTGCACCCAGTCTGGAGTTTAATTTTATTTTTTCCTCCAAATTAAGTAGTTGTCTATTTAGGTAATTTTATTTGAAAGGAGAATACCATAATCCAGAAATGAATGAGCATTTCCTCATTTAACCTTCCAACGTTCAGCCTCTGACAAAGTGTAAGGCAAGTAACAGAATTTAGCTTATCTGTATACAAAAGGACTTTCAACCACGCTCTGGAAAATGTGCACACTTTCATTTAATGACCACTGATGATGGAAATGAGAAGCAAGTGGCAATGGGAACTGCTGCTTCCTTGTCCAAATTAGCGAACCACCACCTGCTCTACTGCTCTGTATCACTGGAACAACTCCAGTTCCTCCAGAGACTATGAAAAGGAACTGCAGAAGCTAGTCAAGGTAGCATGGTACACTCCATCAGGCTTGTGAAGAAAAGCAAAAGAAAACACCATGCTGACGCCCTCTCATCCTGGGTAGAACCACTGTCTCCCTCCCTATTCTTGGCAGAGACTTATCCCAATGCCTTGGCTTATCTGTTTACATATCTGTCTCTTCTTACTACAGGCTCCTTTAAATGCTTCAACTTAATAAAATGCAAGCCCCTAAAGACGGTGTTCACGTCTTATCCATCTTTGTATATAGTAGGTAATGTGGTAGGTACTCAATAAAGGTTGAAAGAAAGAACGAATGAACATTTGTCCTCCTTTACTTGTGTGCTACACGGTTCAGTAACATTAATCCCACTCAGAATGAAGCTGGGCACAGAAAGGGCAGAATGACCTTTGGAGCTGAGGCACAAGAATGGAGGACCATCAAAGAGAAGGAGTGGTGCTTTCATTGTAACCTTGACTAAAATTGTGACTGTGGCTCCATGGGAGAAAAAGAGAGCAAGAAACAGCAGTCACCCCAGTGCATGGGCACCATCACTTTTAAGCTGAGTTATAAGAACCTCAGGGTGTTTTTTAAAAAATAGGTTTTAAGTTACTTCAAGGAGGAAAAAGAGCTTAACATGCATCATTTTACTCTAAATATCTTTGAAATATTTTCACCATAAGACTTTTAGGTTGTAATGCCAATAAATATCAAATATTATTCCCTTATAATACTCACAGTATCACATAAGAACTTCTCTAAAATGCACAGCAGCCTGGAGTAGTCAAATTCATGGAGACAGAAAGTAGAATGGTGGTTGCCAGTGACTGGGAACAGCGAGGAAGGAGGAGTTAGTGTTTAATGGGTACAAAGTTTAAGTTTTGCAAGATGAAAAAAGTCCTGGAGATGGATGGTGGTGATGGTTGCACAATAATGTGAATGTACTTAATGCCACTGAACTGTATTCTCAAAAATGATTAAGATGATAAATTTTATATTATGTATATTTTACCACAATTTTTTGTGTGTGTATGTGGTAAAAGGAAAGTCGCTCTCAAATGCTAGCAGATAGGAGAATGCCTGGGCTCTAGCCTCAAGGGTATCACTTCAAACTTTAGGCTAGAGAGAGGGTTTTAAAATGGTGAACATGGAATGGGAGGTGTGCAGGAGTGTGCTGGGTACAAGGTCTGGGTGTCTTGTTCTGGTGGCTGTCTTCAGCCATGGTGCACCTGGAGTGCAGCTGGGTGTCATCTCAACAATGGCTGGGTTGTGGATTATCTGCCTTGAGGTCATCTCTGGAATTTCACAGCTCAGTCTTCATGCCTGATTGTCTCAAGATTAGCCCCTGGAACTTTCAGTGTGGTTCATTCCTTGTGGTTTCATCACGGGGCTTGCAGGAAACAAAAGCTAGTATGCGGAGGGCCTTGAAGTTTCAAATGGCTTGAACTTCCTTGTAATGCAGTTCAGCATGGGCTGGGTTCACATAGCAACAATTAACTGTCCATATTCCTTTGACTTTAGCAGCCCTGGAAAAATCTCTGCTTGACCAGTATGAAACTCAAAGCTGGTGATGCCATTGTAGGCTGCAGTCTGCCTAGCATCCTCCACTGCCTGCCCCACCAACGAAATCCCAAGGACCTGCGATGTAGCTGATCCAGAGGGAGGCTGATCACACCGGTTCCACAGCAGATGTCAAGGAGGATGGTGTTAGAGTTCACTGCACTCAGCTTCCCTACAATCCAATACAGCATCTCTGCACCAGCAGTGTTAATCTGGAAAAAGGCATCTGGAGAGATGCAGACCTTCAAGCCCAGGAGATCTTTAAAGATATGAGGTTCCCCAAACAAGAGCTGGTAGGTGGACTGATGATGGCTGAAACAGGTCCTGCTTTCCTGGAAGTCAGGTGAAGTCAAGTCACAGACTGCTCCAGGACCTTTAATGAAAAATTCCTTTACAGTCTCCTTCTGAACATGGAGCTCCTCTGGACTTAATTCCTGGGGATGGAATGTGATGACAGCCATTGTGTGCCTTAGGCTATTGGTGTGGACTGTGAGCTCACACCAGTAACCACCTTCATGAAGAAGGCAGGGCTCTGTTGGAGACTGTGGAAGGAATACTTCATAGTACTGTGCCACCTGACTGTCTTTCTCAAGGATGTTTTTCAGATGGTTAGACTGTACACAGACAATGTTCCCGTCTCTTCAAGTTCCCAGGTTATATTCCACAGTCTTTGGATTGCCATCTGGACCCTGATTCACAGAGAAGGTGGACTTATTTCTGTAGCTGCTGATGACAGGAGATGGTATTATAGGATGGAGAAGACAATACAGCCCCTCAGATTTGGGTGCAGCTGTTGTCACATTGACTCCATCGAGCATTTGGATGTGAGACTCTAGTCTTTGTAAAATTTCACCTTGAGCTGTTCATAGCTCAGCCTCCAGAGCAGCATCACAACACCAGCCAGCCTTTCCTGCCAGGAATCATCTGGTAGTCCCAGATGGCTTGGTTTCTTCTGACTTTTTTGTCCTTTTTGACACTTCTTGGCTACCACATGGGTGAAATTTCCCTTACATACTATGCCCCAAAAGAGCTGTGACCAACCTGGTGGTTTTATGGCACACCAGGGAAGCAGTCTTGGTTTGGAGAAGAAACCCACCATAGAGAGGAAGCACCTGAGGCTGTGTGTTAGGACTCTTCTCTTAATGCTTGCCATCCAAAGACACACTGAAATCCACCTCTCAGGGTTGAGGTGAGAACAACAAGTTCATATATATGGCGCGCTCTGGACTGTGCTGAACACGGCAGCTGTCCGACATGTGTCACTACTCTTCTTTAGGCTCTGAATTGAAGCGTGTCACTTGGTTTCTTCATGCCTTAATGTCTCCAACCTGCAAAATCGAGGCAGCAAACCAAAAGGGCAGCAGATGGCCCAGTTTACTGTGGCGGGGAAAGAGTCATTTCCTGTTGAGCAGGGCACTTCTACTACTCCCTGGCACATGCAGCCAACCTGGGGGCAGGTACGGCAGAACGTGGGGCTCCTCCCAGTGCCAGTATAGCAGCTGGCCTGGGCACCTCGACTCCTATCGGGAAGTACCCTTCCCTACTTTGCTGGGGGATCTTCTTTTGAGACCTTCCTCAAAAGCATTCATAACCCTAATCCACAATTTTAAACAACGTACAACAAAAGTTGGAAGTTCTCACCCCCATCCTCCCCTAAGCTTCCCCTCCCCTTTTAATATATTATCTCTTTCATTCCATCCATTAAATGTCCTCTCCTTATTTTTATACTCAAAAATCAACATTAAACAGAAAATTTACATACACAGATTGGTTAAAATATTTACTTGTAGATTTATAAATAGTCTGCAGTCCCAAGGACAATTGGCCATGTAATCTATTGAACAACAGTGATCTGTATAAGTTTGGTCACAATGGAAAACTACAGATCCTGTAAAGGTTTAATATGCAGGACTTTAATAATGTGTAATTTCACACATGCAGGGCCTTTTACATGCCTGTGGACTTTGAGAATTCAGAGGAAACTGACTTCGTGAGAGAAATATGGTACTTGGCTTGTTTATAATTCCAATGCCAATCCACTTTACAGGGGGACACCCCAAATAATTTTCCAGTTGAAGGTAATAAAGTCATACTACAAACTGAAAGCAATCATAGGAACTGGAATGAATGTGATGACCTTTCTGGAGAAGCACCAGTGTTCAGAAAAGAGGTGCATGGTGAGGTCTAGAGAACCAGGGCTCTGAAGGTGGCCAGATCTTTAAAAGCTAGACTCTGCCACTTAATGTTTCTAAAGTCTGTAAGTAACTTAAACTCTTAGAGCCTTAGTTTCTTAATCTGTAGACTGAAGATAACAGAATTTCTCTCATAAAACACTATTATTATATCAAATGAGATTAAGTAAGATAGTGCAAGTACCTGGAACATGGTGGATATTCAATAATTCTTAGATACTATTAATTATCCTCATGAATAATATCAGAATACAATATTGTTCTGTTCTAAATTTATTATGTGTGTGCATATGTGTGTGCACACACTTCTGAAAAGTAACCAGGTCAACCTCAGAGTCTTGTCCTGAAATACTTTTTTGTTCTAACATCATGAGGTTTGACAGCAAGGATGGCACTTTTAAGGGTAGTCTAGTCTAGCCCTTCATTTTACATCAGTGGTAACTAACGTCTAGAGAGAGTAAAGGACTTGATGAAGTTCATACTGTTAGTGGCATAATTAAAGCCTATCCTTTGATCCAGGTCTCCTTCCTTTCTACTGTGGAACTTCTGTAGGTAGCAGAACGAAAACAGGTGAATTTTCAAACCTCACCTTCTAATTCTGGACTGTGTGCCGTGTAAGCAGCAGGTGAAACATGGCAGAGGTGACTCGCTGTGTCCTGTGATAGCTGAATTAGAAAAGACCCCAGCTAAGGTTTCCAGAGATCCCTAGTGCTAGCAATTCCTGAGCCTCTGGTTCATTCTACATATAACTGGCTTTCTTGGGTTTGCTAAGAAATGCAACTCTTCACTCTCTCAGCTTTCCAATTTACAGAATGTTATAGTATTATTGTCTCCTGTTCTCTTAGCCTTAGAGAATTATTATTATTAGGCCAGGTGTGGTGGCTCACACCTGTAATCCCAGCACTTTGGGAGGCTGAGGCTGGATCACTTGAGGTCAGGAGTTCAAGACCAGCCTGGCCAACATGGTGAAACCTGGTCTCTACTAAAAATACAAAAATCAGCCGGGCATGGTGGTGCATTCCTGTAGTCCCAACTACTTGGGAGGCTGAGGCAGGAGATCACTTGAACCTGGGAGGCGCAGGTTGCAGTGAGCTGAGATCACGCCATTGCTCTCCAGCCTGGGCATCAGAGCAAGACTTTGTCTCAAAATAAATAAATAAGTAAATAAGGAGAATTATTATTATTATTCTGTAAGACCAACAGCTGTGTTCTATCTCTTCTACCTAGTCCAGTCTAGGTATTTTGCATATATATTCTAACTCTAGAGTAGTAAGCAGTAGTTGTTATTATTACTTCTAGTTAGAAATGAGGAAACCAAGTTTCAGCAATTTGCCTAAGGTCTCTCAGAGGGTTTGAATTCAGGTATCTCCAATGTCAGAGCGCAGGCTGTAGATCCTGACCTCATTCAAGCATCCACGGTGAAATAATGCTAACAATGACTGTTGATCACCTCTGAGAATTCACTTTGTGCATAGTAACCACAACAGCCTTACGATATAAGTACTATTAGCATTTCTTGATTTTATAGAGGAGGAAACTAGGTCACAGAGTGGTTAAACTGCTCAAGAGCCCAAACCCCTGAGACTGTGTTCCTAAAATTCACCAGACAGTTAAATATTCTCTGTCCACCTTGTGGATTTCCACAATCTTCTTTAAGAACTTCCCCCAACCTTGTATTTTCTTTCCTAGATGGCTTGTTCCAAAAGAAAACAGAAATCTCCTCGAACCAGCCAACCAAAGCAGCGACAATGGATAGAGGATAGCCAGAGTTCAAGTAAAATCATTTTGAAAATATTTTCACAAGAAATCATTTTGCTAGATTACACTATTCTCTGCTTATAATTACCTTCAGACATTCAATTCAGGAATAATGTCAAGAAGGTGCCCATGTAACTAGACATGTAAAAAATGATAACTAGAATTTGCTTTCTAGTCTGACGGCCTGAAATTATGTATGCTAGGGGGAGCTGTTGAACAATTTTAAGGTTTTTATCCATTTGGTATTTTTAGAGTTGCATGTGGTAGTGCTTTGGGGTAGGATGAGCTTGTAATTTTTAATTAAAACCCATTTAACCTCAGCTTGGTAACTTTTAACCAACACAATGTTTTGCTGCAGAAGACATTTTAAAATAAGTTGTATTCATTACATGTGCAGTTAATTTTTATTCATGCAGAAGCATTTATCACCCATTGTTTTTTCTCCTATCACATTTAAGAACTTGATTAAAAGATAACACAACATAGGTGTTAAACCTAAAGAAAGAGGCAGTGTCTCTAGAGCATTATTGATGATGGTAAGATGTGCATCTCATAGTAGTTAACAGAATCTCTAATATAGAGGAAGCAAAGAACCAAAACCTTGGCAATCAGGAAATCTTAGCTCTAACTCTCTTGCTCCACAATTCAGCTAAATGACCTAAGTACTTGTTAATAAATCATGATGCAGAAAATACACAGGACTAGGAAGGTTAGAAAGCAGAGCACCACTTATGCTGAACTGACACAACTTTGGTCATGTAGGCTCAGTCAAAAATAGAAAATGTGATGTAAACATAAAAGGTCACACAATAGGCAGAACTACCCCAAAGTCTATATAATTAGGAATTAAGCACACGTGCAAATATATATCCTTCTCTGAACTTTCATTAGTGGTCTACAAAATTACTTGTTGTAGAACAGTGCCTACATCTACACAAAATAATTTTAGTAGTAAATGCTTAAATTTTTTGAATGAATAAAGATGATCAAGTCCAGCAGTTACAAGTTTGCAGCACTTTTAATACTTGCTTCTTAAAAGAAAATGAAGAAGAATCATTCGTGTGTGCTGAAAGGCGCTGTGTAGACAAATGACAATTTACCAAGATATCACTATGTTGCCTTAATTATTCCCTCGATGCTTCATACATTGCTTCTCCCGTATGGGGTGAATGACTTGAAGTAGGAGGCAATGTCTTTACACGCTGCTCAGATATTTCATGCAGCTGCTAGGGCTGTGCCAGGCAAAAGGAACTCAGTGAACACTTGTTGACTGATAAACTGTGCAGATGAAAATGTGAGCTACTTCCTATGTAGTTTATCCAAGTTTATGGGAACATTCCTGTGGTACGGGGAGAGATATTGCTATATAACTGCTGTTTAAAAGGTGGAGTGAACAACCTAACACCATTTGTTATAATTTACTCTTTGAAAATTACTAAGTCAAATATAATTTTTTTCTTTCCATTCTCAAGTCCAGGAAAATTGTTGCTTATGATTAGAAGATCTGACAGCTGCTGGAACACTGGGGCAAAGGGGTTTTCCTGCTTTCCATGAAAATATGTGAGTTACTCCATGTACTAGTTTTCTAGAACCATTTAGTTTGTTCTTAGAAATAGCTTACAGCAGCATCCACAACACATAGGTCCTTTTGCAGTTGGCAACAATGAAACTACTATTCTGGTACACGGGCTAAAAAAAGAAAACCTAAAAAAGGCCTTTTGGTGGGTGAAAAATGATCTTAGATAATTTTAAAAAAGAAAGAAAGAAAACTGGGGGTGGGGGGAAGTGCCCAAAGGAACATGTTTTTAAAAACCCCACTTTGGGAGGCCAAGGTGGGCGGATCATGATGTCAGGAGTTCGAGACCAGCCTGGCCAAGAGACTAGCCTGGCCAATATGGTGAAACCCCGTCTCTACTAAAAATACAAAAATTAGCCAGGCATGGTGGTGGGCGCCTGTAATCCCGCCTACTTGGGAGGCTGAGGCAGGAGAATTACTTGATCCCGGAAGGTGTAGTTTGCAGTGAGCCGAAGATCACACCATCGCATTCCAGCCTGGGCAACAGAGCCAGACTCTGACTCAAAACAAACAAACAAACAAACAACCCTAGAAACATACCTGTTCAACAAAGTCAGACTTTTGGAATCAAAAGTTGCTTTTCAGGGAGCAACTTAAAAAGATTTAGGAGAGAAAACACTTTGAGAGGTACTGGGGCTAAGGCACATGATCTGAGTATGTCCTTTGATTCAAATCTACTGATCCTAAAATGCCAGGTCTTGGCTTTATCTCATCACTGACAGCACACTGTCATCCAGATAAAGTCTATCTGTTGGATTATACCAGCCCAGGATTATACCTATATCCCTGCTCAAGGTGGTTTGGCAAAGTTCAGCAGGTATCCTTCCCTGGCTCCACCCTGAAGCCTTAAAATTAGGAGGAGGAGGGAGCTGTACACCAGAGTGTCTTTGAGGAGGGCAGTGGGTTGGGTGAGAGAACCAGCTCTGCAACACATTAAAATGCCTTCTTGCTGTGGCACTGGCAGGCTTAGGTTGGGCTAGGCAAATCCACTGCCCTGCAATTTATTCTAAATATGGTAAATGCCCTTGTCAAGATGATCTTGCTAAAACTGGATTATTCCACAAAGGCTGGAAATATACCTCTACTTAGCAAAGGATTTCTCATAGAGAACACAACAGCATTGTAAACAAGAGTCTTAACAGAATTCAGAAAATAAATCTTTCAAGAAGGCTTAAGCACATCAGAGAGCATCATTTACATACAGATAACTGGCGTACTAATTAAAAATAATTCCTATTGATTCATTAAAACAGGCAATTTCAGAGCTGCCATTAGTCACCATCTCATTAATCCATGATCAAAGAATCATTCAATGTAAAGTGAAGAATTAATTTCATAGGGGCATCTTTGCCAGGGACAGATACCTTTTAGAGGTGGTAAGCTGGGGATCATGCCTGTCACATTGGAGGATTCTGGAGAGCCTGCTCTTGGGGCCTCCAGACTTGCTGGTCTGGAGTGTTTGTGGTCAATGGCTGGGAGGAAGCTGATCGTCTCCCCCACACTCCACTTGAGGTGTTTCTCTACCTGCAGAAAAGGTACCTAACAATGATTCTTTCAGCTAATTAGGTTTTACAAGAAAGGGGTGGGGGGAGGATATTGTAATATTTGAAATGAAAAGTTTGAATTTTCTTAAAAATATTCTGATTTGCCTTTTCTTCTGGCTCATATGAACCAGTGCGGTTTTGCTGTCATTGAAATTACTAGAAATTTGGAGTTGACACACATCATCTTATTCATTCTAGTGGTTTATTGTAAAAGGTTTTCAATCTCTAGGTTTGCAAAGATCTTACGGTGCCTTTTCTTTGGTTTCTAGAAGTTCCAAACCTGAATTACTCTCCAAAGTCATCTAATATCTGTTATGTACTAATGTGACAGGCACATTACTATTATGTCTTAGGCAAACATATCCTTTTTTTTAATCTCTTCAACTAAGCATGTGACTAATCATAATTGTTTAATGTGCGTCTACTCTGTACCAGGCATCTTATATGAATTCTTGCTAACCCCTTAAATAATCTGGCATGTTACTGATTGCTTGCTACATGTATTAGGCCATTCTTGCATTGCTATAGAGGAGAAACCCGAGGGCTGGGCACGGTGGCTCACATCTGTAATCCCAGCACTTTGGGAGGTCAAGGCGGGATGACTGCTTGAGCTCAGGAGTCCGAGACCAGCCTGAGGAACATAGTGAGACCCTGTGTCTACAAAAAATACAAAAGTCAGCCAGCAACGGTGGCTCACGCCTGTAATCCTAGCACTTTGGGAGGCTGAGGTGGTGGATAACTTGAGCTCAGGAGTTAGAGACCAGCCTGGGCAACATGGTGAAGCCTCATCTTTATAAGAATTACAAAAATTTGCTGGGCATGGTGGCATGCACCTGTAGTCCCAGCTGCTCAGGAGGCTGAGACAGGAGGATCACTTGAGCTCAGGTTGTAGTGAGCCATGACTGGATTGTGCCACTGCACTTTAGTCTGGGTGACAGAACATGTGAAAGAAAGGAAAGAAAGTAAGGGAGGGAGGGAGGGAGGAAGGAAGGAAGGAAGGAAGGGAGGAAGAGAGGGAGGGAGGGGAAGAAAGAGAGAGGAAGGAAGGAAGGAAGGAAGGAAGGAAGGAAGGAAGGAAGGAAGGAAGGGGGGAAGGAAGGAAGGAAGGAAGGAAGGAGGGAAAGGAGAGAAAGAAAGATGCCTGACACCAGGTAATTTATTTAAAAAGTGGTTTAATGGGCTCATGGTTTTGCAGGCTTTACAGGAAGCACAGCTGCATCTGCTTCTGGGGAGGCCTCAGGGAGCTTTTACTCATGGCAGAAAGTGAGGCAGGAATAGGCACTTCAGGTGGTGAAAGCAGGAGCAGGAGAGAGAGTGGGGGTGGGAGGAGGTGCCACACACTTTTAAGTGACCAGATCTTGCAATAACTCACTATTGCGAAAATAGCACCAAGCCATGAGGGATCCTCCCCCATGATCCAAACACCTCCTACCAGGCCTGACCTCCAGCACTGGAGATTACAATTCAACACTAGATTTGGGTGGGGACAAATATCCAAATTATATCACTACAGCAAGTACATACTGGGGATGGACTCCCTATCCACATTTTACAGTCAAGGAAACTCAAGCTCAGAAAATATCAAGCAACTTAACTTCCATGTTCACAGGACTAGGTATTGGCAAATTCTGGACTCATACCTTGTCAGTCTGACTCAGGTCTATCTGCTTTCTTCTACTCTACAATTCTGCCTACAGGGCCAGTATTAACAACTAGCAGGGACTGAGTATGTGGCTCTTGCCAGGCATTGTCCAGATGGTTTTGCATGTATCAACTGATTTATCACTCACAACAATTCTATGAGGAAACACTATTAGTATTACTAGTGCTATTATTGCTATTGCTACTGTTACTATTATTATCACTATTTCAGAGAAAGAAACAGAGAGCTTAAGAAGCTAGCCCAAGTTTACTCGAAGGATCCCAGATGGCCAACAATCAAGGTGGGCAGCCTGGTGACCCGAGAGTTCCCTCTCTCATCAGGAGTGGCCATCTGCAGCCAAAGGACTCTGTCTGGGATGCTGGAAAAGGGAGTCTATATTGGATAGATGGCTGCATTTGACCTCCAAACTTCTTTCTAAAGATTCCTAGATGCTTACAATCTAATGGTTTATGTACATTTTGACTTTGGAATTCCTGGCATATAAGATAGGTGTGCTTTAAAAAATCCTAGCAACTACTCTAGAAAATTTTTTTAAAACAGCACGATTTTTCACCTTGTCAAGATCAAATGTTCTGAAAGCATTAGCAGTCATTACACAAATCAGGGCCATAGAAATCATGAATAATTTACTGATGAACATTAAGATTTTATATTCTGTGACATACATGGTAGAAGCTTATTGGTGAGTTTTGAAGGAGATGTGAAGAGGCTGCTGGTAGGAAAGGGAAACAGAAAGCTAAGGTGACTTCTACTGTACTGGCTGCTAATGAATTAATAAGAAGTGGTGAGTAAGAGGAGACAGAAAATCAGCTGGAGAAACTGAGCCTGTAGAGAGCCACCCTTTGCTCTTACCATGTTGAAAACCAAAACGGTAAAGCAGGATATAAATGAGACTTTGCATACAGACATGTGCCTGAATTCATACAAAAGACAGGGGTTTATCACAATGAAACCTGTTAAGGGCAACTGCATATGCCAGTCAAGTTCCACAGGAATTCCCCACTTCACATCTGCAGAGCTGTGCCCAAATCACAGTGATTTTATCTAGAATGAATGGCTCCATCAGCTACATTATCTGGTTGTACTGCCAACGAGTTGTTGGTGGTATTTTATGTTAAAACAAAATAACTGAAAATAACTAATATATAACCAAAGGTCATCAAAGTCAATCTAAGTACTTCCTAAATGGAAACTGAAACTTGAAGGGAATGAGGTTTTAAATTGAGCTTCTCACACAATTAGCAATTGCAAAAATATGGAACCAGCCCAAATGCCCATCAATCAACAAGTGGATAAAGAAAATGTGGTATGTATATACCATGGAATACTATTCAGCCATAAAAAGGAATGAAATAATGGCATTCACATCAACCTGGATGGAACTGGAGACCATTATTCTAAGTGAAGTAACTCAAGAATACAAAACCAAACATTGTACGTTCTCACTCATAAGTGGGAGCTAAGCTATGAGGATGCAAAGGCATGGGAATGATACAATGGACTTTGGGGATTCAGAGGAAAGGGTGGGAGTGGGGCGAGGAATAAAAGACTACACAATGGGTACAGTGTACACTGCTCGGGTGATGGGTGCACCAAAATCTCAGAAATCACCACTAAAGAACTTATCCATGTAAGTTAACACCACCTGTTCCCACAAAACCTATTGAATTAAAAAAAAGAAAAAAACACACATACACACAAATTGAGCTTCTCAGGCTAACTAAACACTACAAGAACAATAATGGCACAGTTCATGACCCCCACATTGACATTAATGAGCGTCAGGAGGCTAAGACATATACGTGGAAAATTCCATCTGATAGTGCAAAGGTGGGAGCAGAGAGCAGCTCACACACATGCAAACGAATCAGCAATAATTCACGAGTTGACAGAATGTTTGTCAATGAGGAGAAACTACATATTGTTTGGAGCAAGATAAAAATGAATATAAAAAAATACCAGCCATTTTGGGAACAGAGTGGGAGGGGAAATGACATAAAGGTTAGTTAAGTCTTGTGATGCTCAGGCCGCTTTTATCAGAGTGATTCAGTTGGACAAAAAATAGAAAAGGGTTTTCTAAGCCAAGACAGTCTTCCATTCATCTTTTCCCTTCTAAAATTATAGTCACCCTCCTTAACAATAAGGATCAGATTTTCAAAAAGTGAGTGTGGCTCATGTGTTTTTCCCTAGGCTTGGTCATATGATACAGATATCACCTTTCCACTCTTTAGAAGTCTGATTCTGTTTCCCCTTCCTTCATTCTTCCTCAACATGTGGAATAGTTCCAAAATAAAACATAATAGCTTTAAGATTTTCTATTTAAAATCATTATTTGACCACATAAATCTGAAAAAATAATGGGCAGTGGTCACAATGGTGGCCAAGACGGTGGAGGGTTCCTTCCTTCCTGTTTTGTGTTTAAATAATCAGGGGACTGTCCTCTGATTCCCATTCTTTGGCTTGGCCTGGCCTCTGGCAGAGGCTCCTGTTCTTCTCCTCTGCCTGGGTCCATGACAGACACAGCCTTCTGGAACAGAACTTCCTTCACCAGCAGAGGCTCTCTGATTCTTTTTGCTCTGGAAGCAAGAATGGGTTTTTGGATATGCTTTGATAATATGCAAGGAGTATACCTGGTATGAAAGCCTGTCAGCAGGCACTGCAGGTTCCTTTTCTAAAACTGGGAGCCTGACTCACATCCTCTGCTACTGACCCACCCCACAGTGTTATCCAACAAGTACCTGCATCAGCTTATTTGGCCAAGAAGCCAAATAAAACCCCATGAGAATCCATACTGTGGTGAACACTGTGGATGCCTCTCAGTGTGTGTATGTGTGTGTGTTGTGTGTGTGTTTGGGGTTGGGGGGGTGGTGAGGGAGAGGAGAGAGCAATTACCTATTAGGACATTTCTTACAGATCGTTCTAGAGTACAGTTCAGGACAAAGAAGAAGGGAAATGGTAAAGCTTTATCTCCCTCTAGCAGGAGTCCCAGCCTGTGGCTACAGTGAGATCTCCTCAGGGATCCCTTTTGTCCAGATGGCCTGGAGGGCCAGTGGGCGGATCCTCGCAGAGGTAATTGGCATAAGGCACCATATTGTGCCAGGGAAATTATTTTTCCTGCCAGAAGCTTGTTTAGCTAAGTCAGAAGAATGCCTCTGTGTTGGAGGGGAGCCTTCCTCACTCGGAACTTCTGATTTAGTTACGCCTCCCACCCCACCTCCAGTCCTCCTCCCCCAACTCCTTGCCCCGCTCCTGAGAGTAAAGCCAGAAAGTGAGTTTCACCAAAAGAAAAAAAATGGGGGCACAAGGCTGCTCTGGCCCAAGGGTCTGGGTAAAGAAGGTAACAGGTGTTTGTGCATATGTGTGTGACAGTGTGTGTGTGTGTATGTATGTGTGAGGGTGTGTGGGGGTGTGTGTGCTATTCCCACATCACAGCACAGTTTTACAGAAGAGTGGACTTTGGAGAAGATCCTTCCATGACAGAAGCAGCAGCATCTGGCTGTGAACATACATCAGTGACCTTAGCTTGGGATCTGAGGGGCTGCCTCAGTGTAGACATTGGCAGCAGCTCACAGGGGCCTCTGCCTACCACCAATGGTTTCTTGGGTGTCAGAGGTCTGGCAGAAGATGCCAGTCCCTGAGATTTCCCAGGAATAACTTAGGGACCTCAAAATGGAGGGGAGATGTCTGGTTCCACGCAGCTGATAAGAGGCAGAAAACTGATTTATTTGTTTATTCATTCATTCCATACAAATGAAAATGAGGGCTAGTTATAGGCTAGATATTGTTCTAGGTGCTGAGCAGGAAAAATGGCAAAAACTTATGCCCTGACAGAGCTGCCACTCCAGTGAAGGCAAAGGGAAATGGGAAATGAGCAAAAACTAACTAGTATCAAGTCAGGTGGTGAGAAGTATGAGGAGGAAATTACAACAGAATAATAGAGACTGGGGGCTGATAGAGGCTACTCTAGCCAGCTGGATAAAGGGCTGTCTCTGGAATCAGAGAAATGTGTATATTCTTGTTACACACATGTGCATGCACTTTTGAACTATAAACAATAGAAAGCTTAAATTTTTACTTCTATTTTCAAGAATCTTCCAACCATCAAATTAAAAGAACCCTATCATATACCAATAAGTTGTAAGAAATTTTTAAGAGACTGTCCCTAATTTTTATTTACTTAGATTTTATTCTGTAAATTAGAAAACAAAGGATAGGTCATAAAGTTTACAAACATTTGTTATACAGATTTCCTTGAATTGGTGTTTGTTTTATTCACTGAATGAATGAATGAGGCACTATAAGCCAGTTAAGAGATGGGGTTAAAACCATCACTTATTTTTTTAAAGGCACTAAACTACGTCAATTTTATTGTTTGGCTATACAAACATTTATTTGCTACTGAAAACTGAAATAACACAGCAAAATTTCCTTTTATTGTAATTCAAATTTTTGGAAACCAAAATATCCAATTAATTACTATGCTCTAGCCAAACCACCCAATAGTTTCTTTACCTTCTTTCTCCATACCTTACTCTGCTTCAAATTCTTGACATTGGGTTTCATCTCACTGATTTGAGGATTCTAAAACACAGGGGAATGCCTGAGACCTACTGGTGCTTCCTTGGGTTATATCAAAAAGTAGAACTGAAGTATTATTGAAGTCACTCAAATACATTCAAACTATATAGATCCCTTACAAATTACTGGTATCAAGGTAGGAAGGAAAAGATACAAGAAGAAAAAGACATCACAGAACTCATTACAGGTTATCAAAATTATTGGTATACAGTCTGTCTCAGAATAAAGTAGCCTTCTCAACCTGCTGCATAAAATTACAAGCAAGAAAGGAAGTATAGGAATAAGGTTTATGACTGAACTGGCTCTGTGCCATAATTCTCCATTGTGGCATTGTCAGAAGGATCCCATTAATGCAGAAACTGCTGGAATGGTTCACGTTTTGATTTATTCTTAACTCCCTTAAGCCTAGTGTCTGTTACTTCTCTTTCAAGCCGAGAAAATCAGTTGAGCAAGATGTAACTGAGTTTTACCATCTTTTCTTTCTGAACAAATAACAACAATGACCTTGTTCCTCTCCTCCTGTGTGGCATGCCATCTCTGATGTCCTGGAAGATCTTTTCTCTTCTACTCTGCCATTGGGGTAGACCTTCTGGTAGAGGGGAAAGGGACCAGGGTTGAGAGTCAAGTTATGCTTTGTGATGAGTCCATTGGTAATCTAGCTACAGCTCTAAGCTGCTCCTGGATCTTTGGGTCTCAGCAGAACATGATGCTGACTCACAAATTGCTACAAGGTAGCCTGGAAAAAAGTCTATAGCCCAGAAGGAGCCTGAAAACCTGAACTCCAACAAACGGTGCCCAAAGAGCCAACCATTCACTCATTAACTTGACTTCTAAGCCTATTTCTGTAAAACGGGAATAAGAACCTTAACCATCAGATTGTAAAGACAAGGTAAGATAGTCCATTCAGTGTTTACGGCACAGAACCAGGAAAAACAGTAAGCAGGCACTCACTTTTGTAGGTTAAAAAGAAAAATAGAATGAAACTTATGTGTGAGTTCTAAATTAGTTTAAAAATCATTTAAAGACAACCTATGAAATAACTTCTTTGCCTAGGATTATTAATGGAAATCCAGCAGATATTCTCAAGAAAAAAATGGAATTAGTTTCTCCCCCCCTTGGACTTACGAATAAACAGTGTTAGAACTAAATGGTTTTTTTCCTATTCTAAAATCAAAAAAAATACACCATCCCTCATCCTCGTGTCTGTGACAAGTCGTACCCAGATTGTATTAAGAATTGAAAAACCATCCTCATTAGACTTGAGGGCCCTGTAGACATGCACAGCAGACATTTATTGAGCACCTATTATGACCACCAGGAGTAGACCAAGAGCTTTAGATGGATTCTCTGAGTCCTTCTTAACCAATATGCCAGAATTCATGGAAATAACTTCATTGTTGAGCAGACATGTCTCTTCTCTAGGCCAAATGACAAAAATGTACATTTTGCTTGGTATAAATACCAAATATGTTGTTGCTGTTGTTTTTCTTATAACCAAAGCAATATTTCATTGTAGAAAATAAATCATCTGTTATCCTACCAATTGAGTGCCATTAAAATTTGGAATGTTTCCTATGTCATTTTTTTCTCTCTCTGCTGTTTATCTACAAAATTGGAATTATGTAATCATTCTTTGAGCAAATGCTTTTTTGGTGGTTTATACTATCTCATTATATGGATAAGCCATTAATTACTCATCCGGGTAATACTGGGAAATTTGGTTATTCCCTTTTTTTCACCATGACAAATAAAGCTGTAGTAACCATCTTTGTACATCTCTTTGATTTCCCTCTTCCTAGGAAAATAATTATTAATTTGAACATGACCATCTTTTGGGCTTGCAATATCTTCATCCAGAAAGGTTGTGGCTATTTACACTCTCAGCAGCAGTATATGAATATGAGTGCCTGACTCCTCTACTTTTGTCAGAAATGACAGTGTGATTTTAAAAACACACAAAAAAGTTTACAAAAAAGTTGCCAATTTCTTAGGAAAAAAAGTATCTGATTGTTTTCTTAAATCTGCATTTTTAAACTATATACTATAAGGTTATTCTTCTACCTTCCTTCCATACAGGCTATTTTCTTTGTTCTGCAAATTATCTATTCCTATCCTTTGCCCATTTAAAAATCTGTGTTAGGGATATCCTTCTTGTCTGACAAAAACACTTTCTATGTTAAAAGTATTAATTTTTTTTCCTGTAATATTTGTTGCAGTTACTATGGTATTGCAACAGTATTCCTGGGCAGTATTTATCTTTTAAATGTTTACTGTACTATTTCATGTAAAAAGTTTCAAATTTGTGTATGCAAATGAATCATCCATAGCCTGCCCAAAGCCCTCTTGTTTTCTTTTTGTTTTAAAAAAACGTTAATTCTATCACCTCAAGGTTCCTTTTTTTTTTTTTTTAAGACAGGGTCTCTTTCTGTCACCCAGGCTCAATTACAGTGGTGTAGCCATAGCCAGGTCTACAGGCACATGCCACCACACCCGGCTAATTTTATTTTTTGTAGAGATGTGGTCTTACCACATTGTCCAGGCTGGTCTCAAACTCCTAGCCTCGAGTGATGCTCCCACCTCAGCCTCCAAAAGTGCTGGGATTATAGGCATGAGCCACTGCACCCTGGACCCCCAAAGCCCCTTTCTGTCCAATTCATTTCTGCCCAGATGAGGCGATGGATCCACCCTCTTGCCAAACACGGTAGATTGGCACGGGGAGGGGCAGCTAACCAGAAAGATGCAGACACAGCTGATGTAACAAAACTATATTAATGATGAGCCCAGTGAGGGAAGATCCTCAGATTCAGTGCCCAGATCCTGGTCCTTCCAGAATCTAGCCTTGCTTCTCTATCTCAGCCTTGAGAAGGTCCAGCCCAATGACAGTCCCTGCCCTGAGGTTAATCCAAGATCACTTTACAGTAAACTCTCCATTTACTTGTGGTAATTTGAGTTGGTTTTGTTCCTCACACTCAAATTTATCTTCACTAAAACATGACAAAGAATTCTTTCCCTTGTGGTTTCTTCCACTGCTTTTATATTTAAAAATACTTCCCCATCCCATTATTAGTTAGGTAGTCATTTTTTTCTCCTGGATTTTTTAAAAACATGATTTAAAAAAAATACACACATAGTTCTCTAAATAATTCGCCTGGAGTTTATTTTGGTGTAGTTTGCTGAATAATCTACCTCTTCTCCATGGGATTGCTGTATTCCAGGGATCATATATGTCTGTATGCTGTCTGTCTGTGCATTTCAAGGGCTATTTATTCTGTTCTATGTGATTCCTATGCTGGCACTAAACTGTTTTTAGCTTTACTATATATTTTACATTTGAAATAGCAAGTTTCTCTTCGTTGCTCTTTTAAAATGTTTCCTAGCTATCCTCTCTAAAACCATTTTGTTATCAAAAAATTCTTTTTTATTTCATCATGTCACTGACTGAACTATCTCAACCTCTAGACAGCCAGTTATGGCTTAACCAAGTCCAGGAAATCCATCTTTACAAAACCAGAAGACAGCCTGGTGCGGCAACTCATGCCTGTAATCCCAGCATTTTGGGAGGCTGAGGCTGAAGGATCACTTGAGCCCAGGAGTTTGAGACCAGCCTGGGAAACACAGTGAAGCCCCATCTCCACAAAAAATATGGAAAAATTAGCCAGGCTAGGTGGCATGCACCTGAAGTCCCAGCTACTCAGGAGGCTGAGGTTGGAGGATCGTTTGAGCCCAGGAGGTCAAGGCTGCAGTGAGCCAGGATTGCACCACTGCACTCCAGCCTGGGTGACAGAATGAGATCCTGTCTCAAAAAACAAACAAACAAACAAACAAAGAAACAAACAAAACATAAAATCTCCACAACTTGAAGAGATGAAATCACTTCACGACAGCCAGGTCTACTGCTGTAACTCCTGTCTTGCAGCCCTGCCAGATAAAATTAAGAAGGCAGCAAAGAGAAATTTAGCAAATGTGTTCTAAATAGTATTATAATTTGCCTCTTTTTTTCTTGTATTGGGTGAAGAAAACTGAGCAGTCCATGAAATTAAAACAAATTAATTTACTTTCCTAAAAGGTTTTCAAAAATAGACAATAACAACCTTTACAATCTCATCTAGCACTACATGCGTTCCTTGATATTAAATCTTTTTTATTCTTAAACACTTATACTATTTGTTTTTACAAAACAAGATTCAATAGTCACTGGGACTTTAAGGAAAAATATCTATAACAACCCCAACCAACTACTACATTTTGTCACATCATGACTTAAACCAGCTTACCTTAAACATGCTGAGAACACTGACAACAGCCTACAGTTGGGCCAAATCAGGTAACGCAAAGCCTATTTTAAAATTAAGTGCTGATATCTCAGGTAATTTATTGAATATTGTGCTGAATGTGAAAAACAGAATGATTCCACACCACTGTAAAGTTGAAAAATCATAAATCAAACCATTGTATGCCAGACAGTCTGTGTATGATTGGATATTTTCAGTGAAATATAAAAACATTTATACATTATCTAAATCTAGTATTTATGTATATTATTTGTATACATAAAAATAAATAGGAAGATTACTCATATTGGGACTGTAGTGATGAATTTTTCATTAAAAGGAAAAGTGATAGACTAGAGAAAAAACACCTGGAATGTTCCAGAACTGCCTGGTTGGCAGTCCCTTCCTTCCCTGCTGCTCCACTCCTGAATTTTTACACATCACAAAAACAATCAAACAAAAAGAAAAAAAAAACTCAAAAGATGTTATATCATAGGGAAAAGTATGAGTAAGGAATACAATGTTATCTCCTTACCAGAAAACTAGAGACTACAAAATATTTTAAAATGCAACAACTAAAAAGGTAAAAATGTTAGTGTATGTAACTTTATATATTTAATACATATATTTAAATATAAATTTAGTATATTTTACAACACTGCTGTTGACTGAGAAGACAAATGCAAATAAACAGATTTGAAGATTTCGGGTGATTTCTTAATGATTCTACTTCATTAATTTAAAAGCAAAGTACTTTAAAGAAGGCGTCACACTTTTTAATGTAACCAGAGGAAGAAGAAGTCATCCCTTGACTGAGATTCTCACCCACTTCACCAAAATCATCACTCATCTTAAACCATTTTGCAGATGACAAAACTGAGTCTCAGATGTTGCTATTCTAAAGTTCCACGGCTAGGAGACTGAGCAGGACTTGAGCCCACCACCCCAGGAGTTCTTTAGCTTTTTTGTGCCATGTACTCCTCTGACAGTCTGGTAAAACCTATATACCTCTTCTCAGAATAGTATTTTTAAATTCCTAAAACAAATACATAGCACTAGAAAGGACAAAAATTATAAAGAAATAATAATTATCAAAATATTTTTAGGAAAAAATTGTGATAGAGTAATATATGTTCTTTATTAATGTATTAAATAAGAAGATATACTAGTGGGTCTGATAACTATGGTAATTTTAAAGGAGTCATGAGCATTAATATTTCAACAACTTTAACGTGGTATGAAAACAACCGTGACTTTTACTGTTGAAAAGTCACAGGTACTGCTATTACTACTGGCTTGTTGCCTACATTCACAATTAGGGTGTCATTTGCTGAATACTTTAGTTCCTTCTCCAAAGGAAAGTACCCTGCAAATTTGTCCAAATCAAAAGTCTAAAATTTCCATTAAAGGTTAGTGAAAATAAAGATGTAATTTTTTTTTCTCATGGAAGTTCACAGACTCCCTGAATTCTGTCTACAGACCTCTTGGGAACTGCCCATTCTGGCTAAGTGCTTAGTGTAGAGTCCAGGTAGACTTCTCTAAGGAGTCTGCAATGGGGAGAATGGCGTGAACCCGGGAGGCGGAGCTTGTAGTGAGTGGAGATCGCGCCGCTGCACTCCAGCCTGGGCGACAGAGGGAGACTCCGTCTCAACAAAAAAAAAAAAAAAAAAAAGAGTCTGCAATGGGTATAAAATGAATGAATAAATGCAAGTTCCCACTGAAACACTGAGGTGGGTCAGGCACCACTGCCAGATGGTTCACTTCCTCTTTCAGGGCCAATTTAACCAGCCCATGCTCCCTAACTACAGTGTGAGTGAGTGTGTGAGTGTGTGTGTGTGTGTGTGTGTGTGTGTGTGTGTGTGTGTGTTGGGGATTTGAGATATGGATTACTATACTTCCTAGAGGCACCTTCATTTACCTGCCTAACCAGTATCTTGTATCACCTGATTATCATTTTCTAAGATCACACAGCCTAGGGTACCAGAAGGTATAACAAGGTCTTTGGGAAACAGACCAGGTTGTGAGGCCCAGCACAGAGTAAAAGCCTCAGCTAGTCTGCAGCAGCCTCTGCTATGGTCAGGAGGAGCAGGAGATGGTCAAGTGGGTACTGATGGGACAGCAGCCAGTGCCACCGTGGCCATAGCAGGTATCCATTTCCAATGGTATAACTTGTCTGCCTTGGAGCAGCACATTTCTGATGCCCTGGGTCAACATTTCAGATTGTAATGAATGTCAAACAACTGTTACTGAGATTCTTGTCTGATATTCCCTACACCTTTTTTCTAGAGAGGAGCATACTCCAGTATTTTGATTATTCTCTTCATAAAGGATGGGATATGCTCATTTCATCTATTCAAATTTTTAGATTAACTTAAGATAGCTAAAAATTTAAATATCTAAAATGCTGCCAAAATAAAAGAGAAAACACATTTGGCTTTACTCTCTCAACTTTGTATGTGAGAGAGAACATTCCTGTGTTCATGTGCATGTGCGTGCACACGTGTACACTGCTTCGTGGGGAAGGAAACAGAGCTTCCCTGTGATTTCCTAGATTTCCTCCCTGTGGTTTTCAGAAACCATGTTCCCAGCAGCAAATCCAAAGACTTGCCTTGAGCATGCATGCCATTTTTGCAAAGAGACCAAAAAAAAAAAAAAAAAAAAGTCTGGATGTATCTTTAAATGGCAAGGAAGTAGGATCATAAACACAAATTTAAATAAGCAAAGAATGATTAAACTTCAAAGCAAAAAAGGAAACAGAATAATTCAGACCCTGATATAAATAAAAGAACAATACTCTAGTTCAAATTCCCTAGCTAGGCATTCAAGACCATGCTCAATCCAGCCCTACTAACTTGTCCTCAGAGGTCCTGCCCTGCATGGTCTGGCCTCTTCTGGCTGCTCCGGCTTTGTATCAACCTACTCTTGCCCTCATTCTCCTTCTCTAGACTCAGTTCCTGGAATATCCCAGGCTCTCTCCTACTTTGGTGACTTTTAACTGCAGTTTTATCTGCCTGAAAGGCTCTTGATGGTCTTGCCCATCACCCTTCTCCCATTTTTTAGTTACTGCTGTTCATTCTTCAGGTTTCATCTCAGGCCTTCCCTGATCCTCCAGATCAGCCAGATTTCCAAGGCCTGTGCATTAGATTGGGTCAACTGTGCTCTAAATCAGGGTGTAGAGTCAAGTATGGGGATGGCGAGGCTGCCCTACTGGCCAAGCCATGCACCTTAGTGCTGGGCTTTGTCCAGCTGGACACTTTTTCCAGTCCTTTATGTGAACTGGAAAAGACTCCACTGGCTTGCCAAACCATGTGCCTACAGGTTTTCATATACCTGGAGGTTGCCTTTTGTTTTGTCCTCTGAGAGCGGATGGCTTTTTCTTATGTGCACAAAGGCATGCATATCATATCATTGACCCTATAAATCTCCCTGCTTTACACATGCAATTGGCTTTTTCATTCATAGACTTAACAGAGTCTGTGGTCTGTAGTCATTGATATCTATGTATAATTAAGTGGTATCAGAGTTTCCCATTAGATGGTAAGATCCATTAGGGCAGTAACCATGGCTTTTTGCTCACAATTATCCCCAGTCCCTAACACAGGGTCTGGCACAGAATAGATGCTAAATGCATTTTTTTGTTTGGTTTTGAGATGGAGTCTTGCTCCTTCACCCAGGCTGGAGTGCAGCAGTGCAATCTCGGCTCACTGCAGCCTCTGCCTCCTGGGTTCAAGCAATCCTCCCATCTCAGCCTCCCAAGTAGCTGGGACTACAGGTGTGCACCACCATGCCCAGTTAATTTTTATATTTTTAGTAGAGACAGGGTTTCACCATGTTGGCCAGGCTCATCTTGAACTCCTGGCCTCAAGTGATATGCCCACCTTGGCCTCTCAAAGTGCTAGGATTACAGGTGTGAGCCACTGTGCCCAGCCTGCTAAATCCATGTTTATGAAGTGAATTAATTAAGAAGAAAGCCATAGATATGCTGTAATGAAAGAAATAACCAGACTTAGGGCAAGATGGAGGTGTCTAGCAGATTTACTTATACTTACTGAATAAATCAGGATTTGACAGATAGTAAGAAGGAAAAGTTGGCAGACCGAAGGACAGACTTTGCAACTTCATAATCGAAGGAGAATTTCCACTGAAGCATTTCACCCTAGGGCTAGGAAGAAACATGCTGCTTCTAGAAGAAATCAGAGTCAGGCTGGTAGTGCCTCAAGAGCCTGCTTGGGAATAAAGGGCGTTTTAAATAGGATAGCAAGCTGGGAGGGAACCTAAGTGAGACAAAAATCTAATGATTCATGAGATTCCAGGCAGACCAAGAACCCTGGAACTTGCAAAACTTGTTGCAACAAGAATTCTTGCTCAGTTGGCTGAAGACACTGAGGCAGAAAGCCTCTGTGTGTCACTTAGTGCACTGCACAACAGGAAAACCAGCTTCAAGTGAAGATCTGAGGCGAGCATAGGAGTAGTTATGGCCCGAACAGCCCTGAGACTTGGAAAATAAAGATCTGTATAGTTCCCTGAAGACAGGCAGGGAACACGAGCATCGGTACAGACTTAGGTGCCTCAATTCTAAATTTCTAAAAATTTCTCCCTATGGAAAGGGAGGGAGGGAAAAATGCAAAACACTTTTTCATTCTAGAAAAAAAAATATATGCTACACCAGATTACATGTATATATTTTAAATTTATCTAAAATATATCAAGCCATATAGCACTATTACAGATTCTTTCTTTACTTAATAGTATAACTTAAAGATCTTTTCATATCTGCACATACAGATTTTTTATTCTTTTTAACAGGTGCGACACATTCCACAGTATGATGGATCATTCTTTAGCATAAAGAGGGTCATTTAGCTTGGTGACACAGCTCAGGCTTTTGTGTTTTTAGAGTAGCCTCATGGGGTAGGAAGACTCCAAGATGGCCTGCAAGGACCCCAGCTTCTAAGATTCACACCCTTGTGTAATCCCTTCCCACACTGTACCTGTACCAGGGTTGGTCTATGTGATCAATAATCTACAGCAGAAATAATGGTAGGCCACTTCCAAGATTTGGTTATAAATGATTGCAGCTTCCCCCTTGGGTGCTCTCTGACTGGCTCCCTCTGTCTCTCTTGGTTTATATGCTTTGAAAGAAGCCAGCATGTATATCATAAAGGCACTCAGGCCACCCACGGAAGGTCCAGGTGGTGAGGAACTGAGGCCTCCCAACAGCAAACATGAGTGTGCTTGGGAAGTGAATTCCCCTGCCCCACTTGAGCTTTGAGATGAATGCAGCTGCTGCCCACAGTTTGGCAGCAACTTCATGAGAGACCCTGAACCACAAATGCCCAGCTAAAGTGCTCCCAATTCCTGAACTCAGAAACTGTATGAGATAATAAATATTTGTTGTTTTAAGCTGTTAAATTTTGTGGTAATGTGTAATGTAGTACTGGGTAACTAATACATCACGTATGGTGAAGTCGTAGCAGTAGACTACGTAGATCAATGGTATATGCATTAAACATTTTGAAAGATATTGATAAATTATCTACCAATGAGGAGCCACTAACACAGCAAGGGCTCTGATTTCCCCAAATCCTCACCAGCATCAGAAATTATTAAACTCAACAATGTTTGCTAAACTAAATGGGTGAAAAATGGCATCTGATTGCTTTGACCTGTGTTTTTTTAATTTCAAAAGTTCTTTGGGGCACATACCAGGCTTCATCAGCAATGCACAGGAAAAGGTGCATGGTAGGGTTCAAGTGATTCATTACACAATAAGAGACTCTGAGCCACCCTGCCTCAACTTCTAAACCACTGCCTTTCATTTAAAATTCCCATTAAGCAATTAATTTTATAAAAGAAATAACCACTGAAGTTGAGTCTAGGAGTGAGAGTGTCTGATTTTGATTACTTTCTCGGAAATGTATAGAACATTAAATGATTTTAATAAGAGGCGTGCCCTTGAACCTCAAGCCATGAGCTTCAAATCAGAAGAGATGTAAATTCAAGTGTTAATTCCCTTTAATGTTGCTGAACCAGAAGTTCGATAACAAACTAGAGTAAGTAACCAGAATCAAATGGCAACCAAATGTCTGTGTTTTCCAAAGCTACTTAAATGAAACATCACTATAGTCTCAAATCAAATATGAACTCAACTATGTCTTTATCTGGATTTAGTTCCTGGTGAGAATAAATGGTTCTGAAAAAAAATGATCTTTTATGAAAAGCTATAAAGAAGACTGGAACTCAGTGATATTTGAGAGAAGCAAAAATAATACTCCTTGCTAGAGAAAAGCATCTGAAATCATTGTAAGTCTCCTACCACCAGCAACCCCAAGTTCCATAATAATGAAGACAAATGTATATTTAGTATTTTTTAAAATAAACACTATTCTTGATGACATCTCATTAAATTATCAAATATACCTGTTTCTACTGCCAGAAGTGATAACATTTTTATAAAAATAAACCTACCTCTTATAAAGATACAGTGGACATATCACATCAGAGAAATTCTAGAAAGAAGTTCCCAGATACCAAGGGCCAAAAACCAAGACAAATAGTTTTAGATGATTTCAAATGGTCTTTAATCACATAAATAAACAATTCAGAAGGCTTTGTATGGTTATTAAACTAACTAGCTGATTTCTCACTGGTACATGACGAATAAGTGACAATATAATTTAATTATTACTGTTACTTTCCCAGGCTACAATGGTCAGAGAAAGATTTTTTTTTTCTTCTTGTAAGAGATTGAGTCTTGCTCTGTTGCCCAGGCTGGGTGATCATGGCTCACTGCAGCCTTGACCTCCTGGGCTCAAGTGATCCTCCCACCTCAGCCTCCAGAGTAGGTGGGACCACAGGCACACACCACCACCTAGCCCAGCTAATTTTTTAATTTTTTTGTGAAGAAGGTGTCTTGCTATATTGCCAAGGCTGGAATTCCTGGGTTCAACTGATCCTCCTGCCACAGCATCCCAAAGTGCCAGGATTACAGGCGTTGAGCCAGAGGAAAGGAAATTAAAGTGTTGGTTCCCACAGCAAGGTGGATGCCATGCTCAGGGTTCTCTAAGGTTCAGGCCAGAGGACATTTTATTTGCACTAAGCAGTATCATCCCCCAAAGCACTGTTTCCCAATAACAGTCAAAGAAGGCTTTGGATAAGGCCATGGAATGTTAACTCTTTCTTTCCTCCCTTAGGATAATGTGGCTATGGAAGGCAGGCAGTCTCCAAAAAGCCAGGAGAGTGAGGGACTCTGGGCTCATTGAAGTGAACTCTCCTTCTTCTCCCTAGAGGTCTGCTGGATTCTCAGAGACACAAAGACAATCATCCTTGTCTTGTTACTGGCACATGCTCCACACATAGCGTGTGCTCCATAAAGATTTTCTAATAACTCATCTACGTATAAGCACTATCTCTTATTGTACTCACTAACTCACCACCTCTCCATGTAGGAAGGAGAAAGGATTCTCTGACATGGAAGTTTCTCATCCAGTGGCAGCTCAGAATTCTGACATGCTTGCCAGGTACTTCATCTACAACCTTCAGACAACACAAAACAAACATATGTTTTGTTGAGATATGCATTCTGTCCTATGAATCATTATGGATCCTACTGAATCCCTTGAGTGAATACTACTGTGAACTACGATTGGGTCATTCTGGCTACTGCAGCCAGCCTGCTTGGGTTTGAATCTAGCTCCATTCTTTACTGGTTGTGTGACCCCAGGCAAGTTACCTAAGTGTTTAAGTTTTCCTCATCTCTAAAATAAGGATACGAAAAACCTTTTCCTAAGACATGTAAAGTGCTTAGAACTGTGCCTGGCACATAGTGTATGCTGTTGGTATTATTATATGAATTGCCCTGTCTTTTACCTTGATATCCCCACATCTGGTAGGATGTTCACGTGAGACCCTGCAGAAGGGCTGGGGTTTCTGCTCAAATATTTAGGCAACTCTATGTGGCTAAGCTGATGATCTTCCCAACAAGTTGTGACAATAACTGACAAGCTAAAGATGACTGCACCCGGTATAGAAGAGGAATTTGCCTGAAAGCAAAAACAAGAGCACAGTTCAATCACCTTCGCCCTTCCTTTCCCAGAATATTCAACTTCAGCATATTCAAGAGTTCTATACTTGTAAAACTGTCATAGGATAGCTGGCTAAGCTCACAAACCACACCGGCCCGAAGCCACACTGAATCCTGTCACCTTCCCACTCAAGTTCAGACGCTTCTAGCTGAGCAACTCTGCACGCCAGTCCGTGATCCCCCTGGTTTCCAGATTATTAAATGAAAACACATTCGTTGGCACACCTTTCCCAAAAAGCCAATCAAGCAAATGAGCTTTCCCTCTGGAGTGCCAGGTCCACTCTGAAAGAAGAAACCCAGGCCACTGCTTTTAAAGTTTTAATGGGAGAGCACTGTAAACAATTAAGATTCTTTGGGTTCTTAACATCCTCAGAGGACCATGATGAGATCTCTTCGTAAATATTTAAGAATCACATATTTTCTCCCTGTCATTTCTGCCAGGGTCTGAGCACAAGATATATATCCATATCTGTCACCTGAAGACATCCAGACAGGCCACTTATAAACAGCCTTAGCTGGAGACCTAAAGAAGAGGTGAGGTCATAATTCTGTGTGCTGGGGTGGAGGCATGTGGTAGATGGCGAGGTCAAGGCTGGTTCTTCTAATGATGACAAGAAAGTATGATCATTGAGGATGGTGCTCAAAGTCATTATTTTAAAGATATTTGCTTAAATAAACAAGCAAAAAATAAAACCTAGGGGTCCTGAGGGGGAAAATAACACACTGGCTGTGTGTGAAAAAAGTATAATTTATATTTCATCTGTACTGCTACCTTCACACTTGGACAAAATCAACAACAGACATAAGTGGTTCTGGGATCCCACCCTTCTCCAAGAGGCCAGATGTCACAGACAACATGTCTTTAAATCCCAATTCCTTCATACCCACCCCCAACTATGTGGGGTTTAGTACATTTATTGGTTTCTCTATATCTCAGTTTCCTCAGGTAAATGATGATTGTTATGAAGATTTTTAAGATAATTCATATGGACCACTTAGATCCACATGGCAAACAGGAAGCATACAACAATTGTTAGCTATTATCATTTGTTTTTGGAACTGGCTTTCAAATAAATGAAATAATTCTTTTAAATGGTTAAAAAATAATAAACATTTGGAGAAAAAACTGGTATGATGGCATTTACGCTATTTGTGGCAATACCATTTACAGGTACAGATCAAAAAGTCACCAAATTGCATGGCATCAGAACTACAAAAATAACTTTTTAGCTTCATAAACTTTTTCTAAAACTAGATTAGAAATTCCTGGCTGGGCACGGTGGCTCACGCCTGTAATCCCAGCACTTTGGGAGACCAAGGTGGGCAGATCACCTGAGGTCAGGAGTTCAAGACCAGCCTGACCAACATGGCGAAACCCTGTCCCTACTAAAAATACAAAACCTTAGCCGGGCATGGTGTCATGCACCTGTAGTCCCAGGTACTCGGAAAGCTGAGGTGGGAGAATTGCTTGAACCCAGGAGGTGGAGGTTGCAGTTGAGATCGTGCCACTGCACTCCAGCCTGGAGGAAGGAGCGAGACCCAGTCTCAAAAAAAAAAACAAAACAAACAAACAAAAAAAACTCCTATAGCCACCAATGCTGCCAGAATCAAAGATGTATCATAAGTCTGTCAATCTCTTTTAAAATCTTGGTACATCTTATAACTTAAAAATTATGTTAAGATGCAATTTGTGAATATACATTTACTTAAAATATTACTACTAACTACCATGAAAGAACAATAACAACTAAATTGAACTAATAATTTGAGCACTAGTTTTTAGTATTTGGGTAAAAGATACATGCATTATGCACTGGATTTCTCTGGCATTTATTAACAATTATTAACAATAATGGATCTTTATTTAATGACTTCACTTTCAAAAACTAAGTAGTACCTGACATGTTACCACTCATTATCCATAGGTGAGGTATTTTAGTTTGGTTATGTTGTAGTAACAAACATCCCCAAAACAGAATGGCTTAAAACAACAAGGGTTTATTTCTCACTCGTGGGTACATGTTCATCACAGGTCAGCAGGGTCACTGCTCCGTGTCATGTCCTTATTCAGGAATGCAGATTGAAAGAGATCAGAAATCTGGAACTTTGCAGGTCACCATGGTAGGCAGAATGGAGATTGTAGAATTCTGCATTGGGTCTTAAGACTTCCCCTTAAAGGTGACACATATCCCCTCCACTCACATTTCATCTGGAAAAACAAGTCACGTGGTCACAATGGGCAAAGAAGTGCCCATGGACCCAGAGGGAGGAGATTTGGAATACTAGTGACCATGTCAAGTGACTACCATACCATATAAAGAAACTTTGCAGGATTTTTTCACTTTAATTTAAAGGTTAAAACATGCAGCTGTGAAAAGTCCTGGGCCTGATTGCTTCACTGGTGAGTTCTACCAAACATTTAAAGAACAAATACCAATCCTTCTCAAACTTTTCTAAATAACTGAAGAAGAGGAAACATTTACTAACTTATTTATACAAGATCAGCATTATCCTGATACGGAAGCCAGACAAAGACACTACAGAAAAGAAAATTATAGATCAATATTTCTTATGAACATTGATGCAAAAATCCTCAACAAAATACAAGCAAACTGAATTCAGCATAGTAAAAAGATTATACACCATGACCAAGTGGGATTTATTCCTAGAATGCCAAGATGGTTCAACATATAAAAATCAATCAATGTAATATACCACATTTACAGAATAAAGGGAAAAAAACATAACCATCTTAATTGATGGTGAAAGAGCATTTGACAAAACTCAACACCCTTTCATGATAAACACTCAACAAACTAGTAGTAGAAGGAAATCACCTCAACACAATAAAAGCCACATGTGAAAAACCCCAGTGAACATCATACTCAATGGTGAAAGATTAAAATCTTCCCCTCTAATATCAAGAACAAGGGAAGGATGCCCATTTTCATCACTTCAATTCAACATGGAACTGGAAGTTCTAGCCAGAGCAATTAGGCAAGAAAAAGAAATCAAAGGTATTCAAACTGTAAAGAAAAAAGTAAACATTTCTTTTTGCAAGTAATATAATCTTATGTTTGGAAAACGCTAAGGATTCCACACACAATAAAAAAGTCTGTTAGAATAAATGACTTAATTACAAAATTACAATAATCAAAACAGTGTGGTACTGACATAAAGGTAGACATATAAAATGAAATAGAATGGAGAACTCAGAAATACACTTTTGTATATATGGTCAAATGATTTTTGACAAGGTTGCCAAGACCATTCAATGGAGAAAAGAGAGTCTTTCCAACAAATGGTGCTGGAAAAACTGGACACCAATATGCAAAAGAATGACATTACTCTTACTTAATACTATGTACAAAATGACCTCAAAATGGATCAAAGATCGAAACATAGGACTAAAACTATAAAGCTGTTATTAGAAAGCATAAGGCAAAAGCTTCATGACATTGCATTTGACAGTGATTTATTGGCAATGACACCAAAGTCACAGGCAACAAAAGAAAAAAAATTGGATTTCATGAAAATGAAAAGTTTTGTTCATCAAAAGATATGAGTGATAGAATAAAAAGGCAACCTACGGAATGAGAAAGAATATTTGAAATCGCATATCTATTAAGGGATTAATATCAAAATATATATAGAATTCCTAAAACTTAACAAGAAAAGAAGCAAACAACTAAATTGAAAGATTGGAAAAGGACTTGAATAGACATTTCTCCAAAGAAGATATACAAATGGCTAATAAGCACATGAAAAGATGTTCAACCTCACTAAATCATCAGGGAGATATAATTTGAAACTACAATGAATTACCACCTCACACTCAGTAGGATGACTACTCTCATGAAAACCCAGAAAATATCGTGTTGGTGAGGATGCAGAGTAACTAGAATTCTTGTACACTGTTGGTGGGAATGCGAAAAGTTACAGCGACTGTGGAAAACAGTTCTGGCAGCTCCTCAAAACATTAAAAATCAAACTTCCATATGGTCCAGCAATTCCACTTCTGGGTATGTGCCCAAGAGAATTGAAATTAGGGTCTAGGTGCGGTAGCTCACTCCTGCAATCCCAGCATTTTGGGAGGCCGAGGTGGGCGGATCACCTGAGGTCAGGAGTTCGAGACCAGCCTGACCAACATGAAGAAACCCCGTCTCTACTAATAATACAAAATTAGCCGGCATGGTAGCGCATGCCTGTAATCCTAGCTACTCGGGAGGCTGAGGCAGGAGAGTAGCTTGAACCCGGGAGGCGGAGGTTGCGGTGAGCCAAGATCACACCATTGCACTCCAGCCTGGGCAAGGAGAGTGAGACTCTGTCTCAAAAAAAAGAAAAAATAAAAAGAATTGAAATTAGGGTCTTGAAGAGATACTTGTACACCCATGTTCAAAGCAGCATTATTCACAATAGCTAAAACATGGAGACAACTCTAGCTTCTACTGACAGATGAACATGTAAGTAAAATGTGTATATACATACAACGGAATATTATTCATCCTTAAAAAGGAGAAGCTAAAGAGGAAATTTTGATACAGGATACGACACGGATGGACCTTCAGAACATTATGCTAAGTGAAACAAGCCATTCTCAAAATGACAAACATTATATGATTCCACTTATATGAGGCACTTAGAGTAGTTAAAACTATAGAGACAGAAAATAGAATGGTGGTTGCCAGGGACAGTGGGGAAGGAGGAATGGGAAGTTACTGTGTAATGGGTACAGAATTTCAGTTTTGCTAGATGAAGAGTTCTGGAGATGGATGATGGTGATAGATACACAGAATTATGAATGCATTCAATGTCACTGAACTGTACACAACTATTAAGATGGTTAATATTGTTATGTGAATTTTACCACAATTAAAAAAACCCAAACATGCAGCTGTATCTAATTCAAACATCAGACATAACAAATGTGCCTTTTCAATTCCCCCTTGCATAGCCCGTATATAACCTGGGCTATGCAAGGGAGGGAATTAGTACTTTGTATTCAACAGAAGCCAACTTGATTTTTGGATGCAAAACGAAACTTGGATGAGAAAGTTGCAAAAAGAAATTAAGGTCCCAGTTAATTTGTTTCTTTTTGAATTTCTTATCTGTTTTTCCATTTTTAGGGAAAGTAATCTTTTTTTTTTTTTCCACAAAAGAATACACTCCATCAGACTATGCTGTCGAAATTTACAAGGTCACCCCTGCTGGGCTTTCTTCCATCTACCTCCTCTGCCACCTTCAAACACAGGCATCTGCACAAGAGGGATAGTGTCTGAATTTTTTTCATAGGTTAATAGGCAATTAGACATGGAACTTGCACACATTATTTATTTTTAAAACTGAAAAGGACCTCACATGCTATGGCAGGCACCTACTAGTTGTCCTCGGATATCTACCCCTCCCTAACACACACATCGCAGTTGTACATGACAACTACTGGACATGACGTGACAGCCATTTCTCACCTCTCTCCCAGTGAGGTGTGACCATGTGACTACATTCTGGTCAAAGGGGTATGAGTGAAGGCCACGTGTCACTTTTAGATCATGCCTCTAAAGGAGGGGGTGTGTCTTCCCCTTGGTCCTTTCCCTTCTCTCACTGGCTGGTGTGTGGACATGAGTGTGGGCACTGGAGCAGCAGACTCAACCACAGGGTGAGCACAGTGGAGCAACAAGATAGCAAGAACCTGGGTCCCTGAAACTATGAAGTTCCCACCCAGCTCTTAGAGTGTGTACGCCAACATTGTACGTGGAAGAAATAAATGTTTGTAATGAAGTTTGACCCAGGTCAGATGGGTCAAATCTCACTTTAAAATGAAGAAACTGAGGCCAAAGAGATTAAAAGGCATGCCCAGGGTCATACAGCCATCCCCTCTGTAAACTGTATATTACAATGATGGAAAATTACTCTTTCTTCCTGTTAATGGCCATGAGATTAAAATCTTCTTTCTGCAATTCCTTCTTGAATGATTTAATGTCATACTCAGCAGGGGTAACAATAGAATGTAATGATAAGAACCACATCATTTCAGGTTTCTTAGGATGATAAACATGTCCTATTAATAGAAATTATTTAATTCAGTGTAGATTGCCAGAGTATAAAGCAAATGGAAAATTTTGAAGGTTTTAATGGAGGAAACAGCTCCACTATGAGATAGTCTAGAAGTACATTTCCTAAAGTCCACAGGAAGACAATCAGTGAGTTGTACTGTATTTATACTTCCTTCTGAGTAGGAACAGTAAGCCTTCAAACGTGATGGGAACTTGGCTCTGAGTGGTGAAAGTACCCAGCTTTAATAAGCACACATCCAAGAAACCACAGCCTTACCCTACTAAGATAAAGTCCATCTATGATGCTGCATTTGCTTTTAGTTAACTTTTTCATAGAAATGAAGAAAAAGTGTTCTCAATTCACTATGTCCTTGGTATTCTCATTTGCCATTTAAAAATGACATTCACCAGGAATGATGCTGTTTGACGTACTTCATGTAGCTGATGCTCTAAAGGATTGCAAAATAGCTTGGAATTGTTTCAGAGAGCACAAAAACATCTGACCTTATTGGTTTAAGCTTTGGGTACAGTTTGTGGAAAACAAGAAATTCTTTCTCTCCTTTGGAACATACTTTGGAAGCACTTCTTTTAGGCTCTACTTAGCGACTTCCTGTTGAGAGAGCTGATACTAAGTCACAACATCACAGGACAACTAAAACCATCAGAATGCAAAGCCATTTGGTTCAATTTTACGCACCCCTCTTTCCAAGCTCCTACACAGCTGTCCCGAATCATTCTTACTACTAGCAGAAATGACAGCTGGTGTGAAGGGGGCTCACTTCCCTACAACAGATCGTAGTTCCCTGTCTCACTGTACTTGTAGCTCTCAAAATCTTCAATGCCAGTTAATGTTTCAAATCTGATGTCACACACCTGTTTTAAATAATTTCAAGAGCTCCTTGTTGCCTCGAGAATACCTTACCTTTAGCACCCAAAGACCTCAAGTCCCCCCACCATGCCTCTCCAGATCCAGCCCCTCACTGCTCCTCTTTGCTGCCACTACCTTGGACTATACTCCAGTTCAGGGACTTTCTCACCCCACCCTTCTGAACTCTCTGCCTGGGCTGTCACCCGCCCCAATCTCTTCCATATTTACGACCTCTGCCTGCCCTCTCTCCTACTCCCACGTAAAAGTGACCATTTCCTAGACTTTCCTACCTCTACAGAGTTACCTGTTCAACTGCATTTTATTTATTCATGTACCCGTGCCCCATTCTATGTCGTGAGCACCTCAAAGGGAGGGATCGTGTCTTAATTTTCTTTCTAACATCTGGGACGGTTCTTGGCACACAGATGTTCAATATATGCTTGCTGAATGACTAAGAGAATAAAAGAAAAAAGAATCAGAAAGTACACAGCTTAAATCACTAAAATAAAAAAAAACACAACCAAATGTGTAAAAGAAATCACAATTTGTAATAGTGTCTTTGTTAAATCTATTATGCTGAGATAGAAAGAAGCAAATCATCTATGGTGCAGAAAAGCCCTGTGAGAGGCAATTGATGTCTTTACACCTGGAATGAGAAGACCCAGATTTGAGTTTTAGCTCTACCACCTTCTGCCTCTAACTCTGGGCAATTTACATGTACAAAATGAAAATCTAAATTCCACCTCATTCCAAAGTAAATCTCGGCAATAGCTGGCAAGAAACACCCCTCTGAGCTTTTCTTTTTCCCTTTCTAAATTCGCTTAAACAGAATTTAGAAATTTAAACAGAGATGAAAATACCCACAGTACCGACCTCACAGTGTGTGAGGCTCCAATGAGCTAGTGACTGTAAAAGCACTCTATAAACTATGCAATGACACATAAATGAAAGGCATTATTATCAGAGACGGGAAAGAAAGAAACTATTCAGAGTGGTTACTGTGGGCCAGGTGTTAGGGATTCAAAGACAACTCAGAAATTCAGGACTGCCCTGGTGAATGCTCTCTCAGACAGATCCCACCCCACTCTTGGGTCGAATCAGAACCATTCACATGACTTTACTCTGCCAACCAACTTCTGTCCCCATAGGTCTGAGTATCATGGACCAAGTACAAGTCTGGATATGGCAAAGAAACAAAGGCAGCCCAAGGTAGAGACGTACACACCAAATGTTGAAGAAAATGCTCCGTCACATACCCCATTCACTGCCCACTCCCCAGCCCCGGCCAGGGCCTCCTGTGGAACTGGCTGGCATCCATTCACCCTTTCCTGAAGGACATTTTATGGGGGATTGTGTGGAGCAAGTTCCCAGAGTTGGGGATATTTGTAATTGGGAAAGGTATACAGAACTAGTCACTTCTTACTTGAAATGAGGATTGCAATATAATTTAATTTTACTTTATTCTTTGTCAAAGAACCAATAGCTGAAAAAAAATCATGTCGGAACATTTATTTTTGAAGTTGTTATGAAGCCTTATTTCTTAGCATCCAACCTGCCTAAGTCTTGGATCTACCGGAAGTATTAAAAATAAAAGACCATGCCTTCTTTAACATTATGTTCAAGATCACAGTCATTCATTCATTCATCCTGCAAATATTTATCCAGCACTTATGACCTGCTAGGGCAGTAGGCTAGGTACTGGGGAAACAGCTATTAACCACCTAGAAGTAGGGGCCTAGAGCAAACAGGACTTTAATTACGATTATGATATGAGTTACAAAGGGGAAGTATAGGGTTCCATGCTCTAATGAAACCTGTGTGGGGAAGAGGATGTGGTGGGAGGGGTCAGGGAGCAGTCAAGAGAGGAAGCTGCAGGAGTGCAGGCTCTAGTGGGGAAGGAGCTTGGCCAGAGCTTGAGCCAGAGGGAAGGGAGAGAGAGGACCCCAGAGAGGAGTGAGAGGTCATCCCTGCTCAGGTTATTACCCGGGAGCAGCAGGAAGCCACTGTAGGAAGGGCTTTATACTGGGGAATGACATGATTAGCTATATATTAAAAAACAAAAACAAAAGATGACTTTAATACTCATGATGGTGGTAAGAAGCTTGCAGACCTACAAAAAGGTGACAGGAAGAAGTCATCACTGTTGCACCACCTCTTCAATATATGGATGAAGACGCCAAACCTCAAAATGAAGTGACCTGGCCAAGATCACACAGACAGATTCTGGCAGAGCCTCATTTTTCTGACTTGGTCCAGTGGTTTCAAAATTTTTCTACAATAAAAACTGTAACTGTGAAGTTGGAGTCAGAGTTCTCCAAATCTTTTTTTTAAGAAACAAGTTCTTGATTTGTTGCTTAGGCTGAAGTGCAGTGGCACAGTCATAGCTCACTGTAAACTTGAACTCCCAGGCTCAAGAGATCCTCCTGCTTCAGCCTCCTGAGTAGCTGGGACTATAACTGTATGCCATCAGGCTTGGCTAATTTTTTTTAATTTTTAGTAGAGACAGCGTCTTTTTATGTTGCCCAGGCTGATCACAAACTCCTGGCCTCAAGTGATCCTCCAGCCTCAGTCTCCCAAAGTGCTGGTATTACAGACATGAGCCATAATGCCTGGCCTCTCCCAATCTTTGACTCATACCCATATAATCATAGAACTGACAGTGCTTTCTCACCACTTTGAACTTAATAACACTACTAATAATAGCAGCAGTCACTTACTAGAAACCTTCCAAGTGACAGGAAACTTGCTAGGTGCTTTCCATATCTCATCTTTACAACAATCTTGTAAGACGGGTATTATTTTTATTGTTTTACAGTTGAAAGAACTGAGGGTCAGAAATATTTGTTTAATTGCTCAAGGTCACACAAGTGAGCTGAGTGTGATCAGAATCTGCAGCCATTTCCCTCTCACTCCAAACTCTGCCACCATGCCATGCCAGATCTAGATTTTATTATTATCCAATGCTAAATTCTGGCTTTCTAGGGAAAATCAGAATAGAAAGGGAGAGCTTCCTCTCCCTAAATTAAAAAAAAAAACCTACATGAAATTGTCTGAAAAGTTCAATCAATTAATCAAATGTATACCAACACAAATAATAAGAATTGAAAAAATTTTTATTTTTAAGCTACATTAGAGGCACAAAATTCTAAGAATTCTCCTCTAACCTGTTTAAGAGATAAACATTGGGAGTAACCATGTGGTCGGGCCAAGATAAAAATGTCTCATTAAAATTGTCTGATATACAATCTCAGCTGTAGGAAGTGCACTGTTAATTCCTGAAAAGGTGAGCTGTGGGGAAAAAAGAGATCATCTCTGACTGACCTGCTCTTGACCCTCCAAAACTGAAGGAAATGAAATTTAAAGTCGGCTTCCATATGATAAACACTCCAAAAATTGGAGAGGAAGTATAAGAAAATGGAAAAAAAAATCTGGCCCTAATGAGAAAGTTATGTAGCCCAAAAGAAAAATGGAAAACTAAGATTTTATAAGCAATTATAGCCCGCCTTAAATAAACCTTGGACATCACATGAAAAAGTTATTCAGGAAACAGCTGTTATTCATTCTTAAGGAGAGAGAAATATTCCCATTAAGACACAGGAACAGACCAGGATACACTCATTCTATGAGAGACAAAATAAGATCATCACTGCATATAGTAAACATTAAAATCAACACTGCAGGAAACTGGGCTAGTGAATCAGAAATAGATACAAGAAATACATATGGAGGGTTGAAAGAAGGAGAGAGAAGATGGCAGACATAGAAAATAGAGTGTAGAGATGTAACCTGCAAGCAATGGGAGTCTCTAAGAAGAAAGGAACAAATGAAAGACAGTCGATTTTCCAGAAGTTAACACCAAAGCCAGATACAAAATATCTGTGGTGTAAAGATGGGAAATGCTCTGTGTTCTCTTATATTTGTAAGCAGAAAAACACATGAAGCCCTATCTGTTTTAGGCAAAGAAAAAAGCTTTTTTAAGTCTAAAACCAGATCACTTTGAAACAGGTGGAAATTTGTATAGCTTTAGTTTTTCCCGCTGTAAAAACCAATTCTAATGAGAAAACAGGAGAGTGGGAGTATAGGGACTGGGGACTTGGGAAGAGGGTAAAACCTACATAATATTTAAATGGCCGTAGGTATCCCAAAATGTTTCTGCCTGCATCAATATTACCACAATGCCATTTCTACAAATATCAAGACTGTTGCCCCAAATACCAGAAGAAAAGGGGCAATCTCTTAAAGGGAGGATACTGACGTTCAGTAGGGTATGGGTGATCATGAAGTCAGTTTTCCACTTGGAAATAAGTAAGCAAGATCATAAATTCAAGGTAGGATAGTTGCTGAATAAAAATAGCTATAAGGAAAAAAAAGTCATAAGTGTTGGGCTTGATGAATCTAATAGCTGATGAAAATATTGAAACAAAATAGACAAAAGAGAAATAGAAGTGAACCCCAGCTCAAAAAAAAAAAAAAAAAAGAAAAAAGAAAAAAGAGACTTTTAAGACTCTCGGGAGAAATTAATGAAGTATGACCAAGGGAAAGCATAAAAAGAACTCAAAAGGCACAGAATTACTTATATTATTAAAATAGAGTAAAGTTATTTGGTCCAAAGATGTAGCTGTCATCATCATCATCATCATTGCCTTCATCATCACTGTCATCATCATCATTGTCATCATCAAAGCTATCACTGATGCAGCACTTATTATGCAGCAGGCACCATTCTTAATGCTAAAAATAAATCTATGTGGTGGGTGCCATTATTGTCTCCATCTAACAGATGAGGAAACTGAGGCCCAGAGAGATAACTTGTCCAAGGCCCAGAGCTAAATAACTGAGATTTAGTCCGGCTCTTAACTACTTCATTCTTCTACCTCTCTAAGACTAGTTACGACTAGAAGAATAGAGCATGTATGGGATATGTTTTAAAATAATAACTACTATATTTAGATTACTAATAACTAAAGCATCTACTATTTGCAAAGGACCTATTATGTACCAGGCATTGCATTAAGCATTTTAGAGACATCAGTTCATTTAATTCTAGCACCCTTGTAAGATATTTTAAAGGTGAAGCGTGTAAAAGTAAGATATGGTAAAGAGTGCAAAGGTGTTAAGATTCTTGGCCAAGGTCATGCAGCTAATAAGTTGCAAAGCCATGATCTGAACCAGGGTCTATTTGACCCTAAAGCCCAGGCTTCTTCTCTACTAAGTTAATACCCACATAGGGACAAGATATTCACATTCCAAATGGCATTCAAAGGTAAAAAGATATCAGACCCAATGACTTCTAAGTAGCCCAATCTGGTCCGCTCCTCACTTCTTTAAATTCCTTCCTTCCACTGCTGTCTTCTGATTTTCCTCCCACCTGACTGCCTTTTTCTTTCATTCTCCTTTATTGGACTGCTCTTTGTCCATCTTCTTATCTGTCGTTGCTCCTATCTTTGGGCATGGGTCCTTTTGTCATCCCATGATAATAATGATCCAATATGATACATCTCCAGATTTTTGTCTGATACACATGGGTGCATGTGCAAACACATATCTGTATGCAACTTCCTGTTAAGTATACTCATAAATACATATGTACAGATAGAATCTATATATGTTTCAAAATATCTTGACAGCCAAGAAGTTTGATTGTTCTTCTCCTCCATGTCTCTATGTTCTTATTATATGTGGACACCTATCAAAGTCCTTATCACATAAAGCTGAAGTCTATTTGCTCAAATATCTCCCCTACCAGACATAAAATCCTGTATCTTTCACTTCACATTTGTATTCAAAACATGAAGCACAGGATCTGGTGCAAAGTAAACACTCAAGAAATGTTACTAATTGAATAATAAAAACTAGAGGAGAAAGAAAGCAGAAAAGAGAGTAGGAAATAAATTAGCCAGCAATCTATTTTAAAGAATAATCAAAATATGCAAAAAATAAAATGGCCTTGAGGTATCATTTTTACTCTTAAGTAAATCGGCAAGAATTAAAAAAAATAAAATTCTCATTGCTAGTAAGGGTATCAATTCTGCCTCTTATCTCAGTGTTGAAATTGGCAATCTCCATATACTGCTGGTGGAAGGCACCAGGCAATATATGTCCAAAACAATAAAACGATTCATATTCATCAATCCAATGATCCCATTCCTGGAAACTTATCTAAGGAAATAAATCAACAGAAGAGAATGGCTGTATTTGGGAATATGCTTACAGAAGTATTATGTAATATATAATAACAAAAAACAGGAAATAGACTAATACCCAACAGCAAGATAAAAGCTAAGGAAAATCAATTTGATGTGCTTTTACACATCCATTAAAATTTAACACAATGACTATAAAGGAAAATAGAAAATGATATAATGCTCAATTTGGGAGGCTGAGGCGGGTGGATCACCTGAGGTCAGGAGTTCGAGACCAGCCTGGCCAACATGCTGAAACCTTGTCTCTACTAAAAATACAAAAATTAGCCGGGCGTGGTAGCAGGCGCCTGTAATCTCAGCACCTCGGGAGGCTGAGACAGGAGAATTGCTGGAACCTGGGAGGCAGAGGTTGCAGTGAGCTGAGATTGCACCATTGCACTCCAGCCTGGGCTGACAACAGTGAGACTCTGTTTCAAGAAAAAGAAAAGAAAAGAAAAGAAGGAAAATGATATAATGCTAAGAAAAAAGTGGAATGCAAAATTTATGCAGGCTATGCCTACAATTCTGGAAAAACTATTACTTGCACCTGGGCAAAGATGGAAAGCATCTCACAAAAATGAAAAATGTGTTGTGATGATAGGACTAGGTATGTCTTTTAAAATCATATTTTAAGGTGCAGCTGCTATAATATGAAATGAGACAGAGATTGAATACTGGTTCCATACTTTACTAGTTATATTACTTTAGAAAAGAAGTTTAACTTATCTGAATTCTGCTTACTCATCTGTAAAGTGGAAAAATTTTATTTCTATTGCTTAGCAGATTTCATTAACTTAAAATATGGAATAAACACTTACACAGCACTTACTATATACCTGGCACCGTTCTAGGCACTTTACAAATATTAACTTGTTTAATCATCAAAACAATATTTTAACAGGATGCACAAAGAGGTTCTGGAATATGGGGTGACAACAGCAAGATAATAACTTTCTATGGCTTTCCAATGTCCATGGGATAAAACTGTAAATAAAATTAACTGCTAACATTTATTAAGTGTTTGCTATGTGACAAGCATTGTGTTAGTGCTTTCCTGACCTTATCTCAGATAGCCCTTACAACAATCCTGTTAGGTAGTTACTATAAACTACACTTTCCTGAGGACTCAGAAAAGTTGGGCTCAGAGAGGTTAGGTAACATGCTAGTAAGTGACAGGGCCTATATCTAAATCTGGGTTTCTCTGAGTTCACAGCCAGGTTCTTCACCACAGTAGGACAGCGTGTCCCATTTTGTTAGGAGAGTATACAAAGTCTTTCACAACCCGAACCTTACTCCCGGTCCCATCACTCCAAATCTGGGACAGTTCTGGGTGGACACCCTCATCTTTTAAGTCCCTGGCCTCTGCTCCCGCTGTTCCTCACCTGATCTTCTTTAAATACCTATTCAGCCCTTAAGGCTCCACTTTCCCATACCTTCTGAGACATAATCAATTGTTCCCTCATCTGCTGTCATTTAGACACTAATTTGTGCTTATAAGTCAGTGTGTAATATATTATTTTTATGCTCCTTTACCAGCCTGTTTCTTCCAGACTATGAATTTCACAAAAGCAAAGACCATGTTTTATGCTATTTTGTATACTGCTGTATTCCTTGTTCTAAGCATAGCTGCCACACTTGATAAGGACCCAACAATTACTTGGTGAATGCACAAACACTTCTGGCATAGAGGATATTCCCAAGACTCACCAGTCAACACTGGAGCATCATTTGCTAAGTACAAAGGATTAAGCATCAGGACATGGTATTTCTCGATACTGTTTTTCACAGAGCTTTGATGCTGAAGGTAGTTTAGCTAAATGAGAGCATAAAGGGGGCCCCTCCATTAAGAAGGCTTCCCTGATGTTCTAAGTTTGGGTTATGTGTGTATAATATGATGCATTTCCCTGTTAGGCCCATTAGCATACTTCATGGAAACTGCCTGCTTACTGGCTTGCCTCCTCCTTCTTAGACAGTGAGCCCCTTAAGGACGGGACTGCGGGTTTTACTTATAATACCCAGAACCAAGGACAGTAGCTGGCAGGTAGCTGGTGATTAATAAATACTTGTTGAGGGAGTGAATGAATGAATGAATGAATGAAGGGGGTTGAGACCTTTTCTTTCCCTCGGTTCTCCCTTCCTTACCTCTATAAACATTCTATTCAGATTTTGGGCTATTTCTCAATGAATAGGCTACCGGTAAGTGTTATGTTCCAAAGCTGATGCTTTTATTTTTAATCCAGAAAACAGAGTAGGTTTTTGCAAAATTATTAGATATACTTGGAGTTAGTTGGCCATAAAGTTGTCAAACAATTCTCATTTTTTAAAACAATAGCCAAAACATGACTTAGTCCCTGACCAGCTTTAGAAAGATGACAACCTGCTTTATATTTGTATTACCTGCCAAGTTCTACCCAAGCTAAGAGAGAATTCAGCACTAATGATCCCAAGTAAAAGAATAAAATGCTGGGGATGGGAGGATGCTTCAAAAATACCTGTAGGTTTAGTATAAAAGAAATTATTGTAAAAATATTTTCTAGGGGATGTCAGAAGGCTAGCAAAGAATTAGTCAAACATCCTCAGCTTCTGATTCTATTGTTCAGTTTTTTGGTGTTTTTAACAGTGACCTTAAGGCAAAGCAAGATATTGAATCATGAAGAAAAATTCACTAATGTTTAAAATCCTGTATTTACTAACAAGGAGAAAGCAAATATATTTCAGAAAACCTTCAACAATAAGGCAAGAATGATCAGCACACTCCATTCCTTGGACAATATGGTTAACTCAACATTTTCTGTCATTAACTCTAACAATACAATTTTAAAATGACTGCCACTTTCCTAAATAATGGGAATAGCTTCACAACAGTACTTCCACTGTATCTTTTAAAGAACTAAAAAGCCAAAGTAATTTGTCCACATGGTGAATGTATTTACCTTATAAAGTCCTGAAATTATATATTGCTACAATCATTAATTTACCATCTACAGCAGAATGAAGTTTCCACTGATGCTCCACAGAGATGGAAATTAGGTGACTGGACATTCTCCTTCCTCTCACAGAATGTCCATTATAAGAAGAAAAGCAACAGGCTTTTGATCTGGCAGAAAGCCTGCTGTTCTGCCCAGCTGTAAATCCTTGTGTTTTAAATGCTTTTTGTATAATTTTATTTTCCTGAGTTGTAAAGTAATACCTTTCACTAAGGGGCAAACCTTTTTAAATGTAGAAAAGAATTTTAAAAATAATCTCCCATAACCCTACCACCCAGAGATAATCCCTCATATCCTTCTGGTCAGTTAACACCAGCAAACTTCTCTCATAGGTTATTCTACAGGTGTGTTTCATGATCAGATCACTAAGTTCCTGTGCATATCACAACCTTGATATGGCTTTTGATTATACAGTCGGAACCCCAAGCCAATATTTCTCAGTGATGATACGGATGATTTCTTGGCTTAAAAACAAACAAATAGAAAAGCTAAATGATGGAAAGGAAAGAGGTCACCAAAGAAAGGAATAAAATTAAAACTAGTAAAGTTGGAAAATCATAATTCAATCACACTGAAATATAGTAGGAAGAGCACACTATATACATTTTATGATAATTCGATGACAAATTAAGATGTTATCACTGAAAGTCAACTTTCCATGGAAACCAATGGTATGAGAATAATCATCCAAGAATAATTACAAGAATAACCAAAATTTATATAAAAATAAAATAGAGGTTTTAATGGTTAACCCTATGTTTAAAACAAGAGTTTTTTTTTTCTGTTTATCCCTGCAGGTATGTTTATTTTTGCCTAAACAATGCAAAATATCACCATACTGCAAAAACATGATGTGTAAGAGACTTTCACTCTTTAGGGAGAAAAAAATTTGCCATTCTTCCAACTCAGAAAATACTGTTATTTTAAGAGGTAATCTCAATGTACTCCTCAGACTAATGGATATTTTAAGAAGTAAGCTATGAAAATATTTTCTATAATAAAACCAATAATGCCCACTTAAAGATTTTAGTCCCTGCTCAATTCTCTCATCATTTACTAGACTACAAGCTGCCTTTAGGTTGAAGCAGAAACCGTATACATTTTGATGTTCCTAGTCCACATCATTGAGGAAGGGTGCTCCTCTTTAGGGGTTTGAAATTTGTTGAATGACGTAAATCATCTAGCAGCCAGTGAAGCTATACTGTCCAGCTGTATTTATTTGTCTAATTCAATACTGTTGGAATAACTAATGAATACTTCAAAGTCATTAAAAAAAACCCTAGTTCTATATAAAAAAACCCAGTTCTATATTCTAACTGAATGGAAGAATGTACAGATAGATGAGTAGATGAGTGATTTTAGAAGAATATTTTAATCTGGGACAATTCCAGCCAATGTCATGATTTTTTTCCATCTTATGCAATGTTCTTGTGGGGTACAATCTTGGCTCAAATTCAAATGCAACATAATAAAGGATGAGTCAACTTATCTAAGTAAGGTTTAAGGAGGTCATTACTTAGGAATTCTCCATGAAGGTACCCAGTCTTATAGTTTTATATTCATACGTAAGAATAGAATTAACAAAGTCTTTAGTTCTAATTTTTTTCTAGATTCCAATGAAAGGAAAACTTAAGATTCCAGTCAAAGGGAAATGTATGAAATACAGTATATTCATTTGTTCAGCAAATATTTATTAGTACCTGCTCTTTGTCAGGTCCTGAATAAAACAGACAAGGATCTCACCCTTGTGGACCTTACACTCCAGCTTATAAACACATTTTAGAACGTGCAAACTCATTACTATAGTAATCAAAAAGTACAAATCAAAACAAAAAGATACTAGTTGTTTATAAATAACAACTGAAACTTGTAAAATTACCTGTAGTGGTAAAAAGTCAAAAGAAATCAGCATGCTCATATTTTGGTGGTGGGAAGACAAGTTGACGTAAGATTTCTTTTTTGGAGGGAGGCTCATTTGGAGTACATATCAAAAAAACCTTTTTGTCTCAATAACCCTACATAAAGTGGTTTATCCTCATGGAATGCTTGGAGATACAAAGTATTATAGAACACTGTTCATTAAAGTATTAGTTAAATTATGGCATATTCAAATGGCATTTCACAGTGTGTATGGTATAGGTCCTTTTTCATATTTAAACAAATTTTATACCTTAAATTACGGTTTTAGACTTACACAAAAGTGAGGATAGTACAGAGAATTTACATATACCCCATACCTAGCTTTCTCTTCTAGTAACATCTGACATTAGATAATACACTTGTCACAATTAATCAAGTAACATTGATAAGACACTCCCTTACGGTTTTTATTTAGTGTCCTTTTTCTGTTCTAGGATCCCATTTAAGACACCATGGCACATTTAATTGCTGTGTCACCTTAGATTCCTTTTGGCTGTGACAGTTTCTCAGATTTTCCTTGTTTCTGATGACCTTGATAGTTTTCAGGAGTACCAGTCAGATATTTTGTAGAATGCCCCTCAATTGAAGCACATTTTTCTCATGATTATACTGAAGCTCAAGGTTTGGGGTGGAAGACCACAGAGATAAAATGCCATTCTCATCACAGCACATCAAGGATACATGCTATTAACATGACTTATCACTACTGACATTAATTTTGATCACCTGGCTGAGGTATTGTCAGGTTTCTCCACTGTAAAGTTCTCATTTTTTCCTAATTTCCATACTGTACTCTTGCAACGAAGTCATTATGCGCAATCTACATTTACTAATTGAGAAGTAATGTTCCACCTCCTCAAGGGTAGACTATCTACATAAATGATATGAAATTACTCTGCACAGATTTATCAATTCGCCTGCATGTATTTATTCAATCATTTACATCAGTATGGACTCATGGATATTTATTTTATACTCTGTATAAAGTGTACCCTTTGTAAGTCTGGGCGTACTGGCTCATGCCCGTCATCCCAGCACTTTGGGAGGCCGAGGCAGGTGGATTGCTTGAGCTCAAGAGTTCAAGACCAGCCTGGACAACTGGCAAAACCCTGTCTCTACAAAACATACAAAAAATTAGCTGGGCATAGTGGTATATGCCTGTGGTCCCAGCTACTCAGGAGGCTGAAGTGGGGGAATTGCCCAAGCCTGGGAGTTCAAGGCTGCAGTGAGCCAAAATTGCGCCACTGCACTCCAGCCTGGGCAAATCGGAGTGAGACTCTGTCTCAAAAATAAATACAATACAAAATAAAGTATATAGTTTGTATTCTCCACTAGATTAATAGTGTAATCTAACACTACATTACATATTTTGTTGCTCAAATTATTTCAGCTTTGGTCACTGGAGCTTTTCAGTGGGCTCCCGTATCCCTTTGACATATCCCATCATATTGTGTGTATGTGCATACACACACTTCCTAACTTTCTGACACTACAAGACGCACCAGGAGCCTCTTACATATTCTCCAGCCCTAGACTCAGACATTTCAAGAAGCCCTAGTTCCTTTTATTGGAGAATGGTATTAGAAACAAGATCTGGATGTGGGTATGCTTATTGCTACTGGGGTGTCATTGCTTCTAGGCCCTCTCAACTGACAGAGCAATAAAATAAGTGTATACATACATGTACCTACACTTTTGCAACCATATACACATGTATAAATACATGTATCTATACATATATACATGCCTATATACATTATATGTATTTACACATGTATGTACAAATATCTATTAATATTTTTCCATGTTTCCATCTGTATCTATATTAAGCTAAGCATCAATTCATACTGACATCTCTAACTCTAATCTATTGCCACAGGATCATTCTAGCCATCCCCTGTTAAATATCTGTAACCTCCCACTCCAACAGTGAGAAACCTGGCTTCACCATCCAGTAGCCAATATTTAATTGTTCAGTTCAGTATACATTTATAGTGTTTTCAGAATTGTTAATTATTACCTCCATAGTAAAAATTAGTACAGTGCTTATGTATGGTTGCTTTTAGTTTTGGTCTCACAGTCTTCGTTGATTTCCAAAGTTACTTAGGTTAGCATCTTTCCCTCAATCTCCTTCAGTAAGTTTATTTCACATATTTGTAATACTGTTAGACTCTTTTGTCACAGTCTGCATTCTATACCGAGATCCCCAGGCTTTCATTTTTGTTTGTGTTTTTAATTTATGTACGTTAAATTTCACTCTCTTTGCTATAAAGCTCTATGAATTTTGACAAATGTATAGTAACATGTACCTACCATTACAGTACCATACAGAATAGTTTCACCATCCTAAAAGAAAAATCCTCTGTGCTTCACCTATACACCCTTCTTTTTTGTACAAATCTCTGGAAATCTACAGTTTTGCCTATTTCAGAATATCATGCAAGTAGAATCATACAGTGTGTATCTTTCAGACTGGCTTTTCTCACTTAGCAATATGCACTTATCCATGTTTTTTTCATGGCTTGGTAGCTCATTCCTTCTTATTACTAAGTAATATTCCATTGTCTGGATGTACTACAGCTTGTCCACTCATCTATTGAAGGACACCTTGGTTGCTTCCAGTTTTTGGTGATTATGAATAAAGCTGTTACCAACATTCACATAAAGGTTTTTGTATGGTTACAGTTTTTCCAATCAGTTGGGAAAATACCCTGGGAGCACGATTTCTAGACATATGGTAAGATTATGTTTAGCATTGTAAGAAATTCAGATCTATTTTGTTTAGAAAAAAAATTATATTGGCCGGGTGCAGTGAGTGGCTCACACCTGTAATCCCAGCACTTTGGGAGGCCGAGGCGAGTGGAGGTCAGGAGTTCGAGACCAGCCTGAGCAATATGGAGAAACACTGTCTCTACTAAAAATACAAAATTAGCCACACATAGTGGCGTATGCCTGTAATCCCAGCTACTCGGGAGGCTGAGGCAGGAGAATCATTTGAACCCGGGAGGCGGAGGTTGCAGTGAGCCAAGATCGTGCCATTGCCCTCCAGCCTGGGCAACAAGAGCGAGATTCCATCTCAAAAAAAAAGTTATATTTCTGTATTTCTATTTATATTAGGCATAAAAACATAAATGATTGTTATGGGGTTTATGCCTGATTTTATTTTTTATTCACTTCTGTATTTCCCAAAGTATGTTTTAAAGTAATTCAAGCAAGTAGTATGTTTACAAACAGAGAAAGGTTAATTTTAAAAGTACAATTAAATAAAGTACAATTATTTAAAGTACAATAAATAAGAAAATAACAGGAGTAAACCAATCCATTAGCTATGGGTGGTTTACTTTGTCTCACTAGATGGCCATCTCCTGGCCAGCAGAGATTGTTTGATTTGAGCTGAAACATTATGAGCAGTAAGGCATCGCTGTGAATCATTAGAATGAGATTCTCTGTTCTCTTTGTCTGCAGTTGGCGTTCCCTGCTGTTCCTTTAGGTTTCATTGTGCCTCATACTCAGGAGAAGCAAAGGAAACCTGGCCTGATAATGTCAGACCCATGTGCTAATAATGAATCTTCAGCTTCATTTCTGAGACCAAGCCCTACCTCATATTCCAGTTCCACTCACCAGATTCCTGTCTCATTTTATGCACTCAACTGTAAAAATTCTAAAAGAAGTATTTGCCTAAAATTAAGCAAGCTCTCAAGTTATCCAGTTATAAGCAGAAGTTTGCCAGTAAATGAGACTCTGTAATGTACCATTACACTCGAACAGGAACCAAAAAACGGAGTCATCTCATTACATTTTGGGAAATATTGTTGTCATTATCAATTGTTTTACTTTTCAAAGAAGGAAGAAATTTGGCATCTGTTATCATACAGAGCACTGAGTAAATACATTAATCCTATTATGAACATGAAGCAGGCACTTATAATGGTACCTTCATATACTTATTATAATGTTGACAAGCTAAACAATATTCCTCCTCCCTCCAAGGAAGATGTATGAAATTTTTATGCCTCATTATTTATTTCTATGTTTTCTGGATGACAAGAATAAACTCCATTTTCAGAACTACCAAAAACCTGGTAAAAATAAAAATCATAAGGCTGGTGAATCCTGTATCTCCGTTAATACTGGGTATTATTTGCTCACAAATGAAGTCGACAGGAAGAGATGCTTACCGGAGCCGAGACTCCTGGAAACATAATGGTTGCTTTTGATACTCTCACCTCCAAGGCATAAATTATTAATGTTGGGTGAAGCTACCTCACTGAGTTTGCCAATAGATGAGTGAAATTTATATGCTGTGGTTTTATTTTTAGCAACACATAGGGAATAAGAGAGAAATCTGAACAACCTGCAGAAAGTAACACCACTGTGTTATTGTTCTGGGTACTCTAGTAACAGTGGCCCAGCCTTAAAGGTGGCCCTCTCAATTGTCACTCATTTCCCCCGACTCAGGTGTCTCAATGGGGCCACTTGCATATAAAAAATGCTCATGTTTTAGTGAGATAAATAAATCCACTATCTAAAATGACCATGTAGATCAAACAGGATCAAGCTTTGAAGAGAGCTTCTTTCTACTTTCTACTTAAATATCAGGGTCCTGCTCTTAGAGAAGAGGCCAGAAATCTAAAGTATTGTTTATGTTGCTGTATTTCCAAAAGTTAAACAGGAAAGTTTCAGGGGATAAACTAGATGCTATCCTTTACTGGACAGGAGGAGGTCAAGAGTAAATCTGTTCAACCACTTTTAGATAGCACCCTGCATCTAAGGAAAGCATGTTTAAAAGCAATCACATTTTATAACAATGCTGGGAAAAGGGAAGTCATTATCAACACCCCAATCTTTAAATTAGACCAGCAGAGGTCTGTTCTATTTATTCTGTCGTTACAAATACTGCAAACTGGCCAAACAATGTGACTATTGGTAAACCAAAAATTAATGTGCTGACAGGAAAAAAACACCCAGCTAGCCAAATAAACACTTCCTAAATTATTCCATCAGCCTCCCAAACCACTTCGTTATTCATGCCACGTCTCCATGCCGGGGTGACACTATTCCTTCTGCTTGAAATCTGTTTCCCAATTTCATATGCCAATGAAAACCTGGTCTCATTTGAGGCCCTGTTCTCATTCAAGAACCTCCATCAGAGACTCACAGTATGTTTATCTATCTCCTCCTGAGTTTCCTGAGAGTTGCAACTGTGCATTGTCAATCCTTACACACTTTCAGTGCCTATATTATGCCTAAATGGCAGTGAGAGTACACTGAAATAGAAATGGATTCAAGAGATATGTTGTACTGGGACACTAACACTGTGTTCACCTGAATATGGTCAGTTCAGTGTTGAGCATGTAGAAGAGAAAAAAACATTTAAAACAGGATTGCAGTCATGTAGTTGCTTCAAAAGCCACCGGAGTCATTAATTTCTGTGTATGTTAAGTTGAGATATACTTTAATATCATCCTTTCTTCACAGGAGATTGAAGTGTGATATGAAGATATAACTCTTTCTTCAAGGGAAGTAGGTATTAACTCTTACCTACACCCACAAGCATGCTGTGCCATAACTTTGTTTCCACTACAAAATAGCAATGAACAGAAATGAAGCCAGGTGTCCTTTTAACTAGCAATAACAATAATCATTATAATTTGTTGGGCTTTTTGTTTACAAAGCAATTTTGTGTGCATTATTTTATTCTCCCAGTATTCTGTTCCCGAATCAGAAACTTTGCTTCTGTTCAACACTTAAAACTTGGAAGACTGATTTAATAAATCTCTCATCCTTAGAGAATTAAACTCTACTCCAGCTCTACTCTAAATCAAATTACCACAATGCCAGAATAATCTCTAAGACCTTGAATGTGCTTGGCTCATGTAACACAAAAATGCTAGCTGGATATAGGAAGTCTTCCAAGATCAATGAAGGGGTATCATTCTTCTCTCTTATACCTTCTATGCCACAACAAACAGAATAGAATGACTCCTGCGAGTAAGGTTATTCCCTTAAGAAACTAAATGTTCAGGTAGATGGTGTCTGGGATCCTGATACTATTCCTTTAATTATCTGGAAGAAGTTCAGGCTGATGTCACCATCACATAAGGCATGAGAGAATAAGGAGAGAGACTACTGAGTTAGAACCATGAGATCTTTGGGGATGAATCTGATGCTTTAAAATGGTATTTATTAAACTGTCTAGGAAAGGGTATATCTTATCTGAATCAGATACCTAGAATCACTATCTATCTTCACTTTAGTTTGGGGAACACCTCAGTCCTCTAGAGGTCCCCAAACTATGAAGTACCTCCCTCAAGTCCAGAACTCTCTCTTATAATTCATCCCAGCCCCACCCAGCCTGTGCTCAAATCCAATCTGTCCCTAGAAGGAGAGAGTGAGAAGAGAAGTAGTACTTCACATAGCTTGACATTTTGCCTATTTCACTCTTGTTGGTTTCTTTCACTTTATTCTCAAAAGTGCTAAGGATGTACAAGTGGCTTGGGAAATTGGGGCTATTCAAAGTCATGGTCTTTTGCATTAGTTGGTCTCTAAAAATAATTACTTGACCTTGCATTTGAGAGTGAGAACTCAAAGGTAAATAGTCATTTCTAAGATAATCAGGAACAACCTTTACACAGAAAAGTCAGTTTGCTGTTATATTAGCTGCTCTACAGAGTCATAGGAAAAGTAAACATAGTACTTATTAAAGAGTTCAAATGGACTTGTAGAGGGTTCCTAAATATGAGAATATCTACAGGGGAATGTATATTACTATAACAAACATTTTATTAGTGATTGAAAGTTTTAACATTCATTTACAAGCCTTTTATTCCTCACAAGTTATATTCTAACAAATAGAGTAATATGACGACCGTGATCTTGAGCTCTTGGCTTTCCTACTGACCTACAGTGAATGAATGGAATTGCAGAATATCCTCTGGTTTATGTTTCAGGCTGCCAATCAATCAAATGCTTCGGAAAACACAAGCCCCCTTACAGGGTACTGCTTCAACCACAGCTTATTCTGCGGATCAGGGCCACTTCCCAGTTTTCACCAACTGGATGCCACTGCTCCAAAGAGCTCATATGAGCTTCTGAAGCATTTCATCTGATCAGGGATGCCTCCTAATTTCCAAGTCTTCATTTCTGCAGCTGGATGTTAATATGGTTTGGCTCTGTGTCCCCACCCAAATCTCACTTTGAATTGTACTCTCATAACTCCCATGTGTTGTGGGAGGGACCTAGTGGGAGATAATTGAATCATGGGGGCAGTTTCCCCCATACTGTTCTCATGGTAGTGAATAAGTCTCACAAGATCTGATGGTTTTACCAAGGGCTTCTGCTTTTGCGTCTTCCTCATTCTCTCTTTGCCGGCTGCCATCCATGTAAGATGGGACTTGCTCCTCCTTGCCTTCTGCCATGATTGTGAAGCTTCCCCATCCACGTGGAACTTAAGTCCAATTAAACCTCTGTCTTATGTAAATTGCCCAGTATTGGGTATGTCTTTGTCAGCAGCATGAAAATGGACTAATCCAGTAAAGATGTCCTGACATGTAATGGAAATTTAATGCATTGGAGATAGGTAAGGAAACTCTCATAAGCTCCATAGGTGCGGGGGATGTAGTCATGCCTAAAACTTGATTTCAATCTCCTTTACTGCTAATGCATATTAAAACACCCTGTTTTGTTTGTTTTAATTTTGTCATATAATTGTTTTCAGGAATTGATGACTGTGAAAGGGTGTTTCAAATTAGTCCTCAACTCTATAGATAAGACTAAAATCAAAAGCTCAACCAATCATGTTGTATGTCATCAAAGAGAAAACAATCTTTTCATTTATACATAGATACCTGGAAACAGTAAATCAAAAACCAATGTAGGCTGGGCATGGTGGCTCATGTCTGTAATCCTAGCACTTTGGGAAACCAAGGCAGGTGGATCACTTGAGGCCAGGAGTTCAAGACCAGCCTGGCCATCATAGTGAAACCCCATCTCTACTAAAAATACAAAAATTAGCCGGACGTGGTGGCAGGTGCCTGTAATCCTAGTTACTCAGGAGGCTGAGGCAGGAGAATTGCTTAAACCTGGAGGCGGAGGTTGCAGTGAGCCGAGATCACGCCATTGCACTCCGGCCTGGGGGACAAGAGCAAGACTCAAAACAAACAAACAAATGAAAACTAATGTAATATGTGTAAAGCTAGGAAATACAAGCAAACAAACAAACAAATAAAAAAATCCATCATCAAATGGCTTAATATTCTTAAGGGAATATGGGCTGATAATGACAAATGTTAATTAAAGCAATAATTTTCCTTAATGTCCTTAATATTTTCCTTAAATGATGTTTTGTTTTATAGTAAGAAGGAACACTTAAAAACTAAAATGGGAATGTCCTTTATCTGCCAAAATACTTACTTTAGAGAGGCCAAGGAATCTGAATACTGCCAAGTCTGGGGTAATATACTTTTAAATCATTTATATGCAAAACTGGTAACCTACGTAACGACGCCCGGTGATTCTTGAGTTTCCTTCTAACTGTGTTCTAACAGTCCTAATCTGTTAATCAGACTTCAGAGATGACTAAAAACTGAGGACATGTCAGATAAAGAGAAAATGTCATAATTCTACTTGCAGATTCCCAAGTAGTCAATATTGGACTTTTATTATTGTTATCTCCCTTTTTAAAAATCAATTTTAAAGCACACAGATAATATACTCATATTTTCTTGAAAAAATTAAAAGCATTAAGTTTAAAGATAAAAATCCCCTTTAACCACCACATGCAATTCTTCTAATCCATTCCCACCTGACCCAACTCCACTAATAAAAGTAACAGGAAAATAGCCAAGAATGGCATCTTCTATGCCAGGAGGTGTTCAAAGAGGTTATAGGTATACCTTATTTAATTTTCATAACTTCCCACTAAAGTGGCTCCAATTATTCTCCCCATTTTGCAGAGCAGGAAACTGAGTCTTTACATTCTTAGGTTCCCCATCAACTCAGGTATCCACTGTTAGTAATTTGGGATACATCCACCCAGTTTTTAATCTATGAATAACTATACATATATGGATACCCACAGAAAATACAGTGTTGCTGTTTTATTTTGTTTAATAAAACCTTAAATGGCATCATGCTATACATATCCATTCCACAATCTACATGATTTTTCCATGGCAGCTCATAGAATTCTAACTCATTCTTCTTAATTGCTGCCTTGTATAATATAGCTGTATTATTCTCGTATCGACAAGCAGGGAGGTTATTTTCTAATTTTCACTAACATAAACAATGCTGTAGTGAACTAGTCTTGTGCAAGCTTCCTCATGCACATGGGCAGCTGCTAGGGTGGACAGCAAGATGTGGAAGTGCTGGGTTATGGGTGTGCATGTTTAAACTTTAACAGATGTTGTTAAACTATCCTTCAAAATGTTTACCACTAGTATTTGAATACCTATTTTCCTGTAATCAGGCCAAAATCTGATATTATCAAACTTCAACATTTTGCCAATCTAATGGGTGAAAAATGGGATCATGTCATAATCTGCATTTCTCTGATTACAATAAAAGTCCTATTAGGCAACACCATCCAAACTGGTAATTAAACAATCTAGTGAGTTAAAGGTATATATACATTAAATATATGATTTTCTTTTAAATTATATGAATGTGTATTTCCTCTTTTTAGAGACAGGGTCTTGCTCTGTCACTCAGGCTAGAGAGCACTGGCATGATCAGACCTCACTGCAGCCTTGAATTCCTGGGCTCAAGCGATCCTCCTGCCTCAGCCTGCTGAGTCACTGGGACTATTGGCATGCACCACAAGGCACAGCTAATTCTATTTTTACTTTTATTTTTGTAGAGACAGAGTCTCGCTATGTTGCCCAGGCTGGCCTCAAAGTCCTGGCCTCAAGTGATCCTCCCACTTTGGCCTCCTAAAGTGCTGGAATTATAGGCATGAGCCACCGCACGTAGCCCACTCCCATTTTTTGATGTAGGAACAAGGCTTCTCCTTTAAGCAAGGAACCACTGACTAGGGCTGCACATTCACCTTCTGCACTGATCACATCATCTCATCTAAGATTCTCTGTTTTGGTTTCTTATGTGAAGAGGGAACGTAAAGACCTTGTGAAATAATCTGAGCACAGAATTTAACACCAAGCTTTTAGTAATTTGCCTTCATCAAGACTTTCCAAAGCATTTGGCTTAATTTTCACTGAAACAGCTCTTTCCATACTTGTGTTTCATTGGCTTACATATTATCTAACTAAATTACATAATTACAATGGCATTCAACCAGTATGAACCAGTTTGGGAACCAGCAAACCAGCTCTTGGAAAACACACAATTAACTGTGGGAGCAAATGCATAGAGGTGTTCTAGTGAATAGCCTACCAGCCATCCAGGCAAGCATGCTTTGGCTGCAGCCAGTATCTTTCAGAGAGAGATTTGCAGAGCTGGTTAAGAGGGTATCCACTGTTCTAGTGATACGGAACGTATTTTCATACGCTTATCAACCAGTGTCCTCTACTGTAAACCATCTGTTCATTTATCTATTTTTCTAACAGATTATCTTTTTCTCAATTATTCACATGTTCCTTCTGAATCCCAGTCATTAATCATTTGTCTTTTATTTATCATAAAAGTTTCCTCCCAGGATTTTGCCCATCCATAAACTACTTTTTATAGTTATTCTGCTTTACCAAAATATTTAATTTCAATGTAATGAAAGAAAGCTTTTTCTTCATAGCTTTTGCTTTCCCTCCCTTTGCTTAGGTTGTAAACATATTCTCACATAATTTCTTCTAATACTTTAATACAGTGGTCCCCAACCTTTTTGACACCAGGAACTGGTTTCATGGAAGATAATTTTTTTCACAGACCAGGGTGAAGTGGCAAAGGGGTGGAGCTTTGGAATGAAACTGTTTCACCCAGATCATCAGACATTAGTTAAGAATCTCATAAGGAGCATGCAACCTAGATCCCTCACTTGCACAGTTCACGATAGGGCTTGTTCTCCTATGAGAATCTCATGCCACTGCTGATCTGACAGAAGGCGGAGCTCAGGTGGTAATGTGAGCGATGAGGAGCAGATGCAAATACAGATGAAGCTTCGGTCTCTCACCCGCCTGCCGCTCACCTCCTGCCGTGTGGCCTGGTTTCTAACAGGCCACCGACTGGTACTGGTCCAGGGTCTGAGGCTTGGGGACCCCTGTGTCAATAATTAATAATTCTGTGATTCTCCAGGTTCCAGATGAGGAACTTGAAGTCTGAAAGTTTTTGATATTTGGCCAAAATTATAAAGCTAGAAATGGTGAAGCTAGGCCCCATACTGATACTTACCTATGTATACTCTCCAAAGCAAATGCTACTACTTTACACCACCATCCTTAAGATGGAATTAAAGTCTGAGAGAAGCAAAGTGGAATATATGACATTAAGCAGTGATGAAAACTGGGATAATGAACATCTTCATATTGTGAGTACATAAATGACTGACATATAAATCATTCATCATCAGCCTCAGAAAACCAGCACGATCTTCTCCATTGCACAGCCCTGATGTCAAGAGGCTCAAGAGACTGGAGGTCTGTGGCAATTATTGAGCAACCACTAGGTGCTATGAACTCTTAGGTGCTAGACACTTAACTATAGGCCAAAAAGATAGTTTTTAGCCTCATGAGCTTACAGTCCAAAAGAGGAACACATATTAAGCAGATCATGCACAGTTATCCCAAAACAGTTGTGTTAAGTACTATAAAGAACTTGGATATAATCCGAATGAATAATGGAGAATCTTTAAAAATGAACCACTGATGATGAGGCCTGCTGTGAGCAAGGAGGGCAGTGGCAAGACAGAAACCAAAGCCTCCTGTGGGCACAGACCACCTAGGGAGGGCCTTGAAGTAGACCTTGGAGTCTTAAGAGGCTTTCTTTGACCATTGTCTCTTCTTTTCCTTTTGGCTGCCCCATTTACACTCAAGTGATACAGTCTGGCTCTGTGTGCCTACCCAAGTCTCATTTTAAATTACAATCTTCACTTGTAAGGGGAAGGACCTCATGGTAGGTGATTAGATCATGGGGGCAGTTCCCCCATGCTGTTCTCATGACAGTGAGTGAGTTCTCATGAGATCTGATGGTTTTATAAGGGGCTCTTCTCCCCTTCACTATGCACTTCTCTCTCCTGCCACCATGTGAACAAGAACGGGTTTGTTTTCCCTTCTACCATGATTGTAAGTTTCCTGAGGCCTCCCCAGCCATGCGGAACTGTGACTCAGTTAAACCTCTTGCTTTATGTATTACCTAGTCTCAGATATGTCTTTATAGGAGCATGAAAACGGACTAATATATCAAGCATTCAGCCATCAACTTGATCTAAATGTATACCTATAGGCCCAACTATGCCTATTCATTCATTCTTCTGTTCATTCAAACCAACAAAAATATTCTGAACACCTGACATGTCTCAAGCAATGCTGCTGAGCTGCACACCTTCATTTCCATCTCTTCACCAGAGTTTTTCCACATGAATGTTCTACAAGTTCCTAAAGCTCTGCTTGCTCAAAACCAACCTCTATTTTCACATAGTACCCTGAATTGTGGTAATTTAGGTCACATGCCTGCTATCTGCTACCAGAAAGCGGGTTCCCAAGGGGGGTTTATGTATGATGTGCTTTTGTCTCCCAGATAATCTGACTGTCTAAGAATCTAGTAGTAACAGGTGAAGTTCTGTTACTGCACTTATTACATTGTTGTATGATCCATGGTTTAACTTTTTCTTTTGTGTACTATACTTTGAGCTTTTTAAAGATTAACAGGAATAAATAAAGAATGAATGGATGGATACCTTATATTTTCCTCAAACACAATCTTCCTACTGATTTCAACATATCATTATGCTCACTACTTACTCTCACCACCACCAACTCATCATCGTTCCAGCGGGTCTAAATCTTGGCATTACCATCTCCTGATTCATTGGTCTTCTTTAATATCTAATGAGCTGTCAAATCTTGTGCTTCTACTTCTGCAACCTTACCCAAATCTTTTCTACTCTCCCTGCCAACACCTTGGTTCAGACTTACTACCTCTTGAAAAAATTATTGTGACTGGTCTCCCATTTTGGTTCCCCAACCAAATCCATATTACACCAGCTGTTGCCACATAAACATTCCTGAATTGTAATCCCATTCTACCAATCCCCAGTTTATGACCACTCAAAGCCTCCATTTAATCCACTGCATTAATTTTAGGCCTCTTGGCTGGACATTAAGGCTCTATACATTAGCCCATCTGGGTTTTGATTCTAATCTCCCACTGCTTCCCTACTGACACCTACTCCTCTTCTCTGCCATTTCCCAACCAAAAGGACTATGTGCTTTTTATTAAATATATCTTATGTTTTCCACCTGTTACTTCTGCTTGGGCACTTGTCCCCAATTCCATACTTTGAGGCCCATCGTAAATGTCAGCTTTTTCATGAAGTAGGTCCTGATGCCCCAATAGACGAGTTCTCTGCCTCCTTTGAATAGCTGCAGCTCTTTGTATTTCTTTCTCAAAGTTCAATCTCACCTTGTTTTACTCATAGTCATTTCATACTTACCTTGTCCACTGCAATACAAGCACCCTGAGGATCAGTGGTTTCCTTATTTATCTGTTTCTCTGCAGTCTAGTGCAAAGGCACTCTCTTTGCAAGAGGCAATCAAATATTTGTTGAACTGAGCGAAAATATACCGTAAGCTCCTTGAGGACTGTGACTTCAAGTACTCTGTGTCTCTCAGAACTTAGTGAGTGTTTTGTACATAATAGGTATAAATAAATACATAATAAGTATTCATTTAGAAAGCTCTCACCAAGTAACATAAAGCAAAAAAGAAAGAAACCTGATTTTAACACTCTTTATTCTTTCCTTTTGTTTTGTATGATGATGCCTAACTCTTACAGGTGGTGCTTATCATGTGCTAAGCACTGAACTCAGTCTTACGACTATCATCTCACGCAGTACTCACAACAGGACTATGAGGCACTGTTTTTTCCTCACGTGATGGGTGGGAGGTTTAGAGAAATAAAGAACTTGATTCCACAGTGAGCAAGTGGCAGAGCTGAGACTGAAACCCTAAGTCCTCACCATCATGCCATACTTCCTTGGTTGTGTTTGCTGAGCCCCTTCAATGCAACAGTTTGAGTTTAAATAAACTTTTAAAAAACACTGTAACCTACATCTTAGTATCATTCGTAAAATAAGTATCAAGAACTTCTCGATACTTATTTTAAAGAGTGTTTTTTATTTAAAAAAAGAATTGTTAAATCTATTTTATCCACCTTCCAATGTTAAGCTTCAAGTTTAGGAGGCTATTGGTATTTTTTCAAATGATGTGTATGGTCAATACTTGATTATGTTCCCCAAAGGATGGAGTAGGTAACAAAGACAACAAATTACCAAATAACTGAACAGTCACTTAATTTTGGAAAACAGTCTAGAAATTTCAGATCAAAGATAGCTATTTACTCCCCATTCACCATGCAAACCTTTACACACTTGAAGTGTACTGGGATCCTGGACTCTGGCTGGCTGGCAGAGCAAAGGGGCGAGGCTTGTCACAGATAATCCACAAATAAATCAGAATGACCAAATATTTTTCTCTTTTCAAATTCCTATTCAGTCTGATTCTGACCACAATGCTGAAAAAGAATACACCAAGTACCAAGTAGTTGACAGATTGCAAAACTGCGAGAGAAGGAAAAAAGTTATACTGGTCCTAAATATGATGATGAAAGCACACTGAGAAAAAACTCACAAACTATACAAGGTGTTGCTTCTTTGGTTCTAGAGACATAAGCATGTGAAGCAGAGACACACATTAGTAGATTTAAGGAGAAACCACTGCCAGACTACTCACAAGTAGCTCTCTAGCCTCTACAGTAAATATTATTATTAAGGATGAGATTGATAACTCAAGCTGAAACTATATCAAGCAAGTACAAACTCTGTTGTTTAGTAAAATAAAGTAGAAAAATGACTACTGATATTTCAATACTCAGGTCTTCGATTTATCCATTCAAAACAAAATAAACACCATGTAGGCAGTATGGTAATATTAACTTTTAGTATTTAGTCATAGCTACTTTCCTGGATTTAAGTGTTAATGTTAAAATACATTATCACTCTAGATATGATGAATCTCTGTGTCTTAAGTGATACTTTAAAATCCAAATCCCATTTATGAAGCAAAACTTCATTATCTAGAGTATATTTTCATTCCTTGAAAATGATCTAAAATATTCACTTGTTGATACTTCAGTATTTCAAGTTATAGATCATATATTCAGAAAAGAATTAGGGGAAAGAATCAGCCTCCAATATTCACAAATGTGTAATGGAAAATAACAGCCCTAAATACTCCTGTGCACTGCTTAATATTCTGCCAAATTCCTCTGCTGTAGCAGAAGTCATTAAAACAAAAACAAAGCACATTATAAAAAAACGAGTTTAAGTCAAGTGAAAGTATTATATGACATTGAGAGCTTCTTAAAAATACCTTTTTAACTCAGTTATGAAAAAAGCAAATATAGGTAATCAAAAAATAAAATATAAACAACAAAAACAATTTTGCTCCAATACAACTAAATACATATTCTTAACAATTTGTAACTGCTTTTAAGAAATCATCTATATTATAATTAGCTAAATGTTTTTATAGATATGGGATGTTAAGATGGAATGTGTATACTGATTCCTACTCAAAAAAGGGATTCCTAACTTCCTGTTTCAGATCTTCACAATTCTCACATAAACTCAAAACCCACAATACCCTTAATATTGTGAATGTGAAGTACTGACTCTCTGGAGAAAGACTTATCTTGAAGTAAGTTGCTTTTCCTTTGAAAATGACCTTTGATTCCTTTGAAAAGCAACTTTGTCAACATTACATGTCTAGAATAATGAAACAACCATTCATCCTGATTTGGATATGAGTTAGAAGAGGTAGAAAAAAACAAAACTAAAACAATCCTCCCCTCACAAACCTCAATCCTACTTCATTATTTTTCCCTTAAATTTAGCTATTTTAAAACACGAATAATTTTGCTATATTTTATGGAGCATTCCCCATCAAGATTAAAGAAGGGCTTATTCAGAGACAAACAGGATACAGGAGTAATGGTGCAGCTTCCAGGCAAGCTATAAATAGCTGCAGCATTTTCAAGAAATCTTGTGCCAGTGTGTAAGTTGCAGTTAAAACATGCAGTGCAGATTTTATTACAATAGTGTCACCAAAATTCATTGTTAAGTGAGAAAATCAATTCTTACCAAGTTTTCTTGGTTCCTGGCTGCTATTTTCTGCTCTTCTTCTGCCCCATTTTTCATGTATTTGACCTCTTCCACTGGTTTGATCCTATACTCATCTGAGTGCCAAAAAAAGAAAACACATTTTATAATTTTTTTCCCAATAGTAGAAAAGTGTCAGTCAGAAAATCCCAATAGTGTAATTTGCTAGACCCTTTCACCTGTGGCCTTCATATGTGGTTCATTTGGAACAATCTGGAAGAAGCTTAACTAGGCATCTTAGATCTTTTTATGAGCCCCTCTCCTCTGTCTACTAGAAAAAGCTCAGCATCACGAATGCTTCTAATCAAAGTGTCACTGCCTGGTCCTTCCACAGAGAGCAAATGCTGCAGAGGAAACAGGATACTCCATCTCTAAAGACTTTTTGAAATGTATGTTACACTAGGACATATCACAGAACTGTCTGATAAGATTCAAGAGAATATTCTTATTTTTCTCCAAGAGAGTATTAGTCCAAAATGCCTGTGCCAACAATTTTCAGTGACATATTCATTCTTTAATTTCCCTTTTGAAAAAACAGAGTAAGACTAAAGAGTTATATTGATAAATAGAAACAACTGAAGAATTGAGACTTTTCTTTCTGTGATCCCTATATTAAATTTTAGCAGTCTGCAATTATTTCACATTAATATATATATTTATTTCATATATATATTTATTTCATATATATGTATATATACACTTTAATTCAATCTCTCTGTAAAGTCATATGCATGAAGAGCTATTATACCTAACAGATGAAATGGTAGGTACATCAGTCAAGGCTGGAGAGTATAGTGGGATGTGGATGGGACCTAGCCTCCGCAACAGCCAGACAGAGAACACAGATCCCAGTATCAATATACACCATAGAACAAACTCAGGAAAACTTGCAGCTTCAGTTCTCCAGAAGACTGATCACTATGATGACATTTCCATCAGATTCCTGTCAACAGGAAATGATTTGAGCGCACTAAAGTCAAAAATAGGTGTGACTCTGAATCATTCTTAACCCAATCTGTGGGAAACATCACAGAAATTGTGAAATTAGAAAATATCATCAACCAACAAACTAACGATTGTCTGGCATATAGCATGAAGTAATGTCTAACTATAGGAACCACCTGAAAGACAGCTGTCTATCACTAAGAGAGTTTATATTTCAGTTCAGAAAGTTGCAATATATTTTCTTATTAACTATGATTAAATGGGTAAAAAGACTATACTCTTATTTAATTTCTTATCTTAGTATCTATAACACCACTTTCTAATATAGTTTCAGGTTTCCTCATCATATCACCCCTTAACACACAACTCCCAAAGATGTTCGTTACAGTAATATTTCTGCAAGTAATTATGCTGTTCAAATGTTTCTCAAAATTATCATTCTTAAGAATGTAATACATTTGCATGTATCTGAATAAAGACTTCATGTTCACTAAGCCAACTGTTTTTTCCACCTGACAATTTAGAGTTATTATTGATTCTATTTTTTTGTAAAGATATTAGAAAGACTAGTGTGAGGTTCAGTAATGAGCCCTTTAGGAATACCAGGTCCTAAATATATTAACAAGTTAATCAGCAGATTCTGATCCACAATTACAATACAAAAGAATTCTACATACCAACTTGGTATTTCGAAGAGACAAAAATGAATGTAAATTAATAATACTGACAAATTTGATGAAGGATTATTTACTGAGAATTTGGAAAAACAATTGCTAATTAAAAAAGAGAAGACACTGACAAATTTGCCCCCAACACAATTACACAGAGATAAAAATAAAAGGTAAAAAAAAAAGGTAAAAATGGGCCTCCCTAACTTCAGTTTGGGACATTAATATTTATAAATCCTGGCAGACTGAGATAATTACTCTTAATAATTTTTTTGTTTGTTTGTTTTTTCAGACAGAGTTTCATTCTACTGCCCAGGCTGGAGTGTGATGGTGTGATCTCGGCTCACTGCAACCTCCGCCTCCCGGGTTCAAGCAATTCTCCTGCCTCAGCCTCCTAACTAGCTGGGATTACAGGCGCCTGCTACCATGCCTGGCTAATTTTTTGTATTTTTAGTAGAGACGGGTTTTACCATGTTGGCCAGGGTGGTCTCGAACTCCTGACCTCAGGTGATCCATCTGCCTCGGCCTCCCAAAGTACTGAGATTACAGGCGTGAGCCATCATGCCTGGCCTACTATTAATAAACTTTAACTGAACTAAATTGTGAACTTAATTGCTAATGGTGAGTTTCTAATTATTTAAATACACAGAACACTGATATAAATATATATAGGTGAATATATACATGTCTATATATATATGGCATGTGTGTATATATATATATATATATATATATATATATATATTTCTTTATGTATCACAAGTGGATTCTATGATTTTGTCTGTAGGATGGGGAAGAGGGTAACATTTTTGGACCTAAGCAGAACCTTCTGAAAGACCCAGATGGCCCCTTGCCCACTGTGTAGTGAAGGTTTCTCCTAGGGAGGAGATGCCCTTGCACTTGCCCACTGTCCTCTCCCGTCTGCCAAGCCACAGACTAGTGCAGACATACTCTGAACAGCCCAGTGACATTCAGTCTTCATTTTCTTATCCCTCCAGGGAACACAACTAAATTGAAGGTAGTGGACAAACTATTACTACTTTTCCAATATGTTTTTCCAATGAAATGGAAAAGCTACTGGCTACATGACTTTCAAAGCAGCATTATTCTAAACACAGGCCATTTTTTAAATCAAGACAGAATCCCCACCAATTTAGACAGAAGATAGGCTTTAACATGTCATTAACAACCCTGGCTGGCTAGCCAACGTGGTGTTAAGAGGAACACAATAAGATTGGATACAAAGGAAGAGAAAACAAACAGCCACGACTACAAAGCCAGACCTATCATTATTACTTACACAACACACCGCACAAAATCCATCACGGTATAAAACAAAAAAAGCTGGGCAAGATCCTTCAATAGGCCACAATTTGTACAAAGCAAATATTTAAAAATGGTCTGTCACATTCTCAAAGGCTGGTGCCGGGAAGGAAGATATCCATCTGGAAACAGACATCTCATCAGCAAATGCACCACACATTCCCAAGGCAAGGCAGCCATCAGGAACGTCCTACCTCACCAACCAGCCTCTGAGCGAATGAATGAAGCATTTTGGGTTACGACAGTAAAACAATCACTACCAAAATCCAGTTTTCCTTTTGTTGAAGACATGGGGGATTAATTTGAGACTTTAGGTTCCCTTTATCAGAGCCCACACTGGAAGAAATGGAGACAGCCACCGTTACAGCCAGAGGGTCCTGGCGCAGAAAAACGTGCCAACTCGAGGAAGAGAAGGGAGACACAGGACCTGTCTTCCTTCGGCTCCCCCCAGCTTCCTTGCACCTGTTCCCAATTTTTCTTTTCTTCCTGTTGATCTTGTCAGGTGGCTTATTAAAATGCACGTCGGGAACAGTAGGCTGACTCCTGTTCTCTGCATGTAAACAGTTGCAGGCTGTGCTAGTCAAAATAGATCTGGGGTAAAAGCAACGCCTGGGTGATATTTTTAGCATTTTATTCCTCAGATTACATCCAAGTGGGGCTGGGATTGTTCAGTGGCATTGATCAAAAGAAGACTACGTGAGAAGGTGTCAGAGTAGATTCAAATTTTCATCATTTTAGAAAACTGTAAGATCCCTTCTGATCTCAAACAGTAGTGGGTACAGTCTGTTTCTGCCGTTTTTCCTGCTTCTCCCTTGAACATGTACATCTATGAAAATTTTTAACTTTTTAATAATCCTGACATGCCAAACTCATTCCAGCAACCATTTCTCTAGTTGATTCATTTAAAAGTCAGTTCTATTAAATACAAAGGTAACCTCGTGGCAGATCTTCTATCTGCAAAGCTTGGAAGGAATGGGGTCTGACCCACGAGTTCTAGTTTTGTAGCTAGCAATAGGTCAGAACCTAACATCTTTATTGGGTTGAACACAAGTTTGTTGGAGAGGAATTAAAGAGCAGAGAAGAGTGAAGGCGTCAATCACTTCAGCATAGCTAACTATGGTTTACTTCTACACTGTCCTCATCTGGAAGGTGTACACTCAGTACAGTCTGAGTACCTATGTGCTGGGCTCTGTACTAAGCGATGCAGGGATGTAGAGGAGAGGGGACGGAGGACAGCAGAGAGCGCCCAAGGAAAACCAGCTGTCTTGAGGGGAAGACTAATGCTCTGAGAACCCATCTTCTACTTGACTGACCACAGATAACTAGGGCTGACTCTAAATTTGGAGTAAACTTACACACAAAGACTCAGCTAAAGAACCTCATATACCACTATCAATTCCCTGAGTCAGGAAGTCCCTGAACGATAACTACTGTCCTCACTAGTAGAAAGTGATTTAGTCAGTTCCAATGTAATAGTCATTATTAAGCAACTTTTAGGGTAGTTATAAACTTCCTAACAAGAAGCTTTGGTACACTTAGTATAAAATATTCTCAGTTCCTTCCAGAGTTTGCTTCAAATTAACCTAATAGAGGCAAACATTTCAAAATAAGATTGCTTGATACATCTTTTTTTTTTTTTTTTTTTTTTTTTGAGACAGTTTCTTACCCTGTCACCCAGGCTGGAGTGCAATGGCATGATCACGGCTCACTGCAACCTCCATCTCCCAGGCTCAAGTGATCCTCCCACCTCAGCATCCTGAGTAGCTGGGACCACAGGTGCACACCATCATGCCTGCCTAATTTTTGTATTTTTTGTAGAGGCAGGGTTTCACCATGTTGGCCAGGCTGGTCTTAAACTCCTGGACCCAAGCAATCCTCCCACCTCAGACTCCCAAAGTGTTGGAATTACAGGTGTAAGCCATCATGCATGGCCACGTTAAGTTCTAATAATCTAAAAATATGATTTGTTAAAAGTAACAAGCAGGAAAATTATGTCTTTAAGTTTGCAGAGACTAGACATGAAAGGTGTCTGACCACTGTATCTCTACGAGGGGAAGTATAAAGACTGTACATATTTGTAAATATCCCTTATGATACCTCATAATCCAAAAATGTTAATGTCACTAAGACAGCAATTCTCATATGCCTTTTGTATCCTTATTCACTACTGAAACCTAATGCTTATTTACATTTAAATCATAGATAAACAAGCAAACGAAAAAAAAAAGAAATGAAAAGCCCTGTGGTGGTGCTTATTATTGCTTGGTGGTTGCTATGGTTTGAATGTTGACGTTCCCTCCAAAATTCATGTTGAATTTAATTCCCATGACGGTGGTATTGAGAGGTGGGGCCTTTGGAAGGTGATGAAGTCATGAGGGCTCCACCCTCATGAATGGGATTACAGCCCCTTGTAAAAGGCCTTGCAGGCGTGAATTTAGCCTGCTTGCTTTCCACTTTCTGCCATGTGAAGGCACAAGCGGACTCTCATCAGATACAAAATGCAGGCACCTTGGTCTTGGACATCCCAGCCTCTAGAACCGTGAAAAATAAATTTCCATTGTTTGCAAAAATACCCAGTCTGTGGCATTTTGTTACAGCAGCACAAATGAACTAACACAGTGGTGTAAGACTCATCTCAGTGCAGCCTCACTAATAAAGGGTATTATCATTTTGTAAAATATGTAATAAATTGAAGGATGAAAATGGTATCTAATTTTTATTTTTGTTTAATGTTTTAAAATTTACTAGTGACACTGGATACTTTTCCTATGTGTTGATCATTTATTTGTATTTCTTTATTTGTGAAGTGTCTCTTCATATCCTTTGCCCTTTTTTTCTTATTAGAGGTGTGGTGTTTTTCTTATTGACTTCTATGAACTCCCACAAATCACACCATTTTATGGGGACACTTCTGGCCCAAAAAGGTCTGAGCAAAAATACCTCTTGATTTTAGTCCAGACATAAAGATGGAAGAAACTATCTGCTTTCTGTCCTTGAGTCAAGTGCTGGGCACTATCCCCTGCTATCCTTTCTGTGTTTCTTCTTTACTTCAACAATATTTATAAAGCACCTACTGTGTGCCAGAGACAACACTCAGCCCTGGGAATATGTCTAGGAAAGGAAGCAGTCAGTCCCTGTTCTAAAGGAGTTAATGGCGAGTAGGAGAGGATGTAAGAAAATAAGAAAGTAGTGTGTACAGTTTTTATGGCCATGAAAAGCACATGTGGGGGTGGTGGTTATAAGAATAGAAAGAAGAGACCCCTAATCAAGGTTAAGCGGAGTCTTGGAGGACGTGATATATCTCAGTGGAGTCCTAAGGAACACAGCTCCTATGTGTGGGAAGGAGCTTTCGGGCAAGGGGTCAGTGAATTCCAAAGCCAAAGGGAGCACAGCAAATGGGGGGAACAGCAAGTCATGCAACATGGCAGACATGAAGAATTCCAGGAGGTAAGACAGGTGTAACAAGAAAAGGCTGATAGGGCTACAGGAACCGAAGACCTTATACAAGTCTTACTAAGGAGTCAGGCTCCATTCTGAAGGTGATATGGCCTCCCTGGCCAGTGTCCAGGCACTGAAGCTGCCATTAATAGGCTAAGCCTCTTTCCTCTGGCCTGTCCTCAAGCATCTCCTCTGGGGAGACTCCTAACCAGCTTAATCCAGGGCTTTCTGCCTCTCTCTGAAAAAAGGCAAAGGTGGAATTGATTAATACATCCTGAGATGGACCAGTCTGTTGAGGCAGGTGAGGAAGAACACATGGGGAAGACTAGGAAGGAGCCAGAGAAGTCACAGCAAGTCTCAAGAGGGAAGAAGGGTCAGCTGCCGGGGGGCTGGGGGTATGAGGCTTAAGATGCAACATATCCCAGGGCCTTGTTTCCTGCCTCCTCCAACAGACATGCCTTCACCTGAAGACCAGGAGGCATCACTGTCCTCAGAATGAGGAGCAGTCATGACTTATCCTAGGGGAAAAAGAGAATGCCACTGAATCATGATCCCAGCTCCTTCTCCTTTAACTGTCACTGAAACAGCACACCAGTGAATTACAACGAACACAGCACTGGCTTCAAAAGACCTTTCTCTTCTGCACCTGGCTTTGTGACTTCCCAGCTGTGTGCTGTGGAGATTGAGTATAGACCTCTCTGGGTGAACTGAATGAGCTGAGATGCATATGCACAGGATGATATAGTCTCTTAGCAATCCTAGGGTCTTGCCCATGTTTTTGAGAGCACAAGATGAAAGGCGCCCTCAGCTGCAAGGAGGAAAGGGTGACCTTAGGGTTCAGAGGTTCTATAAGAAGGATCAAAATGATAAAGCTTCTGTCACGACAGCACCTTTAATAATTAAGAGGTCCAGGACCTGCAGGCCCCATTCCTGAATCATTTCATCATTCCCGAGGCCAGACAACACATTTCCTTCATTCATCTGGGGTTCATTATTCAGTGACCAAGGAACTATTATCCAGTCATTAAGGGCCCTGGAACATTCATCTTCTGACAAGCTCCGACAAAAGACACAACCAGATCCAAATCCAGCCTGGACTCTTTTAGGAAGGTGCACTGCAAACCAAGGCTCTCTATAGCAGGAGGGGGCTTAACACCTGTGCTGTACAGTAATCATTCCCAATCAAGGAACAGAATGAGTGGCCAAGGATTCAGAGCCACTTCCAGAAAGGGAAGACACGCATGGTTGTTCTGAGAGACATTTATCTAATTTCCCAAGAGTCCTTCTCTGACTCTCCTACTGCTCATTTTCCACCCACTGAAGAACTGCTGGGACTCTTGAAGTCGCAGGTCAGCTAAATCCTCTCAATTACTCCTAGCAGGATTCCTGTTATCCTTGGTAACCACTCAGGATAAAAGGCTGTCCTAGTCAGCTATCCTCTCCCCTGCTTTGACTTAATCCTCATGTCTACCCTATGAGGCCAGTATCATGACTCTCTTTTACAGTTGCAGAGAGATTTGTCCTTGGTTGGTTAGTCACAGGGTAGTGCTGGGCTCAAATCCTGGTTGGTCTGAGTCTAGAGACAGGCTCTTAACTACCAAGTCAGTTTTTTTTTTTTTCCTACCACAAAGCACAAGAAGTAATTTTTTCAGGAGATGATGTAGGAATAAAGTATATCAGAAAGAATGTGGACACATTTCCAAATCATAATCCTTTGTAAATCACAGAGAGATGAGCAAAAGTTAGAAGTACATCTAGCCTTCATGGATAACATCAGAAAAACTACCATATCCTCTCTTGTCACCTCTCTGGGGCCTTTATCAGTGGGAGAATACCAGCCCTGTGCTACTTAAGTTAGGAATTCATGTGATATCCAAAGGAAATGCTGTGAAATCTTGCGTTAAAATGATGATTTGACCACCACTGCATCTAAAAGGAGAAAACTGAAGTTTTTCTCCAATATATGGTAATTAATGCAATGTCTTTACAACTTGTCTTAAAGTAACTTCATTTTAAGGCCTGCTGATATTCTGCTAGAACTTAGACATATATTCTTAGCATTAAGGCCAAGCAATAAAATCAAGGATATTTTCCTTCACTAAAGTGAACAGGAGCAGAAAGGGGAAGAGGAGGAGGAGGAAGGGGAGGAGGAAGAAGAGGGGTAGGAGGAAGAAGGAGAGGAGGCAGAAGAGGAGGAGGAGGAGGATAAATGAGAGCTACCATTTACAGAGCCCTTTCAATGTTCTGGATCTAGTTCTGAAAGTTTCACATATAACCCATTTAATGCTGACAACAGCTTTATGAAGTGGAACCATTAATGTCTCCATCATAAAGAAAAGGAACTAAGGCACAGTTATCTAGCTGTACATCTACAGAGTGGTGGGACTGGGCCAGGCCTTGAACCCAGTGGTCTGATTCAGAGCCCATGCTCTTATTAGTGTTTCCCACAAATGGGTAGTGAAGTAAATTTCTGATAAAATGAAAAGTTCTCTTTGTATACTGATATCCATTACAAAACCTGCAGGACTACAGCACTTCACAAAATGCATCATTTCCACAAACAGTGATGTTCTTTTTCAGGGTAAACTATATTGCAATAACAGCAAATATGAAAAGATACTAATATAGTATCTCACATGCCCTCCTTTGTATATGAAATCAATGAAACTCCACCATCATCAGGAGGACCTAAAACATGAGTTGTTTTTCCAGGGCTAGGAATAAATGTCTGCTGACTCATCTGTAGTTACTTCTTCACTGCCATCGAGACTGACGGTTATGGATTTACAGGATGGCTGTTAGGATTAGGAAATTATATGATCATTCCAAAAACTCTTCTTCATTTGTGTGACTGCCTTCTGAACATTTAACAATTTGGCCAAAGGTGAGAGAGAGAGAGAGAACGCATAGACATACACGCATGGATGCATGTCTTAAGGAAGAAATATATCTTAATGATCTTTATGCGCATCTGACTTAATTCATTTAATTGGATTTGGTCTTAAGTGAATTTCGGTGAATGAAAAATTCTCAGATAACAACCATCACAGAATAAAGCATTAGCCTTTGAGCATCTCAGGCCCCCACCCCCAAGCCACCTGGTGGAGGAGAGCTGCCTTTGGCCAGATGGGCTAGTGCACTTTTGTGATGCAGATTGGGGAAGGGGTGAGGAGGTTAGTGGGAGAATTGTGGCGGTCTGGATTGACATCGGAAAGAGCAAAGCTAATGAGCGGCATAGAATAGATACAGCGAGGCACTGAAAGCCCAGAGTAGGCTGAGCAGGAGGGAAAGTTTTGCAGAAGATGAGAGAGATGAGAGATTTTTGAGGTAGAAGAGAGACAGATGAAAAGTCATCAGAGTGGCAGAGAGCTATAGATTCTTGGAGGGGCAGGCTTCAGAATGTTGTGCTGTGGTTTATGAATGAGATTATTCAGTATAAATTTAAATTGGTTTTCAGTGATATTTGGTGCTTCTTTTCGTATGTCTCTGGGCTGAAGCTGGCTTCCAGGAGGCCTGACTTTATCTGGGTTATACAACTTTTAGAAAGAATTCAGTGGCTGCAAAATCATTAACGAAATAGGAAGAAACTGGACAGAGTCATTTTCAGCTCAAGTAATTCTCTTGTATGAGCACTGCCAATGAATTTTTAAAATGGAAAAATACATCTGAAATATCTTCTGTGATAAAATTACATCATTTCTCTCTTTATAAAAAATATTCATGACTTGACTTTCCACTGCAGATCTCCCAAAATCAGTGCTCACATTCGTGAAGAAAGCCCCCTGAAAGCTGGTGGGAGCACCCACTCTCGTGTGTGCACGCGGGGAGGCAGCAGGCAATCCCTCTCCTTCTTTCCTTCTGACCGTCTGTACCTTTTCTCACAAGAGCTTCATTCACATAAAACAAAAGATCATTTCCAGTTGATACGAATCACCAACTTATTTTCCCCTCAGAGACTAAAGTGTGTTCTGACAACAACAAAGAATAGCTCTTTAGGAATAATGTCTGGGTGAGTGGGGAAAACGCATGCTCCATGATAGCTTAATGGTGGGCAGCACAGTAAATATGAACACACTAACTTCCACAACCTGGGAAGCTTGAACAAGCCTATTTTGGCAACACATTCTGCTCAGTTTGTTTGTAAAAGATGGTAGCTGTTCTGAATATTTATCTTTTGAGGAGAGGGTATGAGGATTCATTCATGAAGGTTTCAGAGCGGTTCGATTAAATTAAAATCAACCAAAGAAAGGTAGGCTCTGTACTGAGAGCCTGAGGACATAGAGCTGATGCAGAGGTGGTCCTCATGGACCCTCACCCTCCATCTATTTGTAACCTATTTAAACGTAGAGTAAGACACCTTGAATGTTCTTAAAGGTAATGTTATATGCTGCTTTCTCAAAAAAGATGTGCAATAGAAAAAAAGAACTGCAGTAATTTCTAGAACTTTTAATGATTTTTAAGTTAGACATTTTTAACCTATAGCAAAGTATGAAAGGCCTACATAATTCTGTATAAACAAGCCAAACGTAAACTGGGGTGGATAGCTCATACAGGGTGCAAAACAGCCACAGCACCTTAGCACATCTTCTCTACTGTCTTCTTTCAAGCGGAGAGCTGCTCTTCTGAGATGCTGCTTGTGTTTGAAGGCCTGAGTTAGGTAAAATTCCAGAATTCAATAATTTTCAAGTATAATGCATGACCTGGACATGGTCCAATATTCCTCTTATTTGGTTTGCAACTGAAGCAGCACATACAAGGTGCAAAGAGATCTTTTCACCTGATCAAGCCAGTGGGTGAATGTGACTCTCCACCGCTCCCACTGGATCTGAGAGAGGTGTGCCCGAAATCCGGGGGTCTTGGCAGCACATAAACAATGAAATATTTGCCAAAGCAGTAGGGCAAGAATTGCAGGTTTACTGTCTTTTATACTCTCACTATGTCAGTTTCCAGAAACAGCTGATATCACCACTTGAGGCAACTGTTCCCTACAGAGCAAGCCACATTACCCACTGTAAGGTCTGGGTTTTAGGCCTTGAACTCCTTCCTGCACTAAGACTTCAGTCTCCTTTTAACTGAGGAGAGCCCAGAAATTATCTGTTTGTGTCTCCTTCAGGATGCTCTATGGGTAGACCTGGCCTTGGCTTACCAAACCCCATGCAAATAACCTGTTACCTGCCCCCTTTTCTACCCCTTCCAGTGGGCCACTCCTTTAACATCTCATCTTCCAGGATTCACCTTCTGCCAACTTCTCTTCACCACACAATCTGCAGAAGCAAAGAAACCCTCCAAAAACCAACTTTCTACAAAAAAGTGAGTGTACCTAACAGAAAGCTTACATACTCACCATATCTTTTTTTTTTTTTTTTTTTTTTTGAGACAGAGTCTCACTCTGTCACCCAGGCTGGAGTGCAGTGGCACGATCTTGGCTCACTGCAACCTCTGCCTCCCGGGTTCAAGCAATTCTCTGCCTCAGTCTCCCGAGTAGCTGAGATTACGTCACCTGCCACCATGCCAGGCTAATTTTTGTATTTTTAGTAGAGATGGGGTTTCACCATCTTGGCCAGGCTGGTCTTGAACTCCTGACCTCACGATCCACCCGCCTTGGCCTCCCAAAGTGCTGGAATTACACGCATGAGCCACCACACCTGGCCCACCATATCTTGTAATAAACAAAAACAGTGTCTTTTACAGAGAATATTGATGCTATTTGATGGTGATGCTGGTAGTGGGGGGAGGGAGGGAAGATGAGTAAGTATATTGACGTTAATTTTTTCTTTAAAAGGTAACAATGCAAAGCAGAAAGGAGATTCAGAATGGGAAATTATCTGGGGGCTTGGTTTGACCTCCACAGAGATCTATGCTTCATTTGCGTATTTGTTCTGTCTTCTCATAGAGCACTGCTCCTATTCTGGGAAGACATAAAAAGAAAGATAAACTGAACTGGGATGGTGGGTACAAGTGAAGAGGATGGGAACAGGGATCAAAGCTCAGAGCAGCTCTTGGAGATCAGAAACTGGAGCTCAGAGTTCCATGAGGAACAAAAGAGTGTAGGGATGAGAGTCTATGTTGCGGGGGGAAGGCAAGAGCCAGGTGAAAGGGAGGTGGCTGTTACAGGAAGGGAGGCGAGAGTAGAAACTTGCCTCTTCGGGCACCCTGGCCCTTAAGAAACTTGCTAAAAATGAACAAGCAAGCCATGTCTGAAACCCCTTCACTCTCAGGTTGAATGAAATGAGATGTCACTGTGTGACGATGACATGCTGTGCAGATGAACTGCAGTCCCAGGAGGTTCTAGGGCTGCAGCACTTCTCCTCACTTGGGCCATGCCCTGTGCCTGGGTACAGCTGAGCCCTGGAAACTGAAGTAGGAATTTAACTGTTAATGATGTTCTTTTTATCCCAGCTAGCATCAAACAAATTTGCCTCAAGAAGGTAAAAAAAAAAAAAAAGCAAAAGCAAAAAACATTAATGTAGAATTTTGACCCTATTAATCCTTACAGCCCCATCTTAAAAATCTTTGCTTTCACAATTTTCAAATTTCATTTTTCATTCCATGTTGCTAAGCCTCAGACCATGGTCATTGCTCTAAAACATAAAAACTCTGCCTCCTGCAAGCCACCACTAAAGAGGAGCTTGTATTGGTACAAAATTCTACCTCCCACTGCTGCCCTTAACAGAGAAAACCACAGATACAATATGCTCTAATGAAGCTCATATTTAATCATTCCCCAATATCCCAAGCCCGCCCATATCTCATTATCTCCATTCATACCTCCCTAATCCAGACCACCAACATCTCTTGCTAGGACTACTGAGCAAGACTCTAACTGGTCAACTGCTTCACTCTCTTCCTATAGTCTATTCCCTACGTAGCAGTCAGACCTCATCACTCCCCTGCACTCAAAACCCTCTCCTGACTTCTATTACCTTTAGAACAGAAGCCAGTGTACAGAGCAGTACAGTCCGGCCCTGGACTGCCTCTGTGAGTTTGTCACCCATCACCCTACTGGCACAAGGGCATCAGGCTTCTTCCTGGAATCCACTAGCCAGCTCCCTCTCAGAAATTTGGCTTTGTTGTTTCTCTGCCTGAAACATTCTGTTCCCAGGTATTCTCATGGTTTGCTCAAAGGTCAGTTCCTCAGATAGACCTTCTCTGACAGATGACTCTGAAACAGCCATCCTGTCAACTCTCCATCCCCTTTTGTATTCTCATGACACTTTTCCCTGACAGTACATGTTTGTCTCTCTTTTTATTACCTTTATTACCTGCTAGAATGTGAGCCAAATGAGGGCAATCATTATCATATTACATGTTATATCTCTTAGTAAAATCCAGTTTATAGTATTTGCTCAACCAATAGTTCTTAAATGAATAACTTTAATTTTCAGAGTTCCATCAGAGTTAAAAGCACATTGTCTTTCATTTTAACATGCTGGCCATTTAACAATTGCATCATGGGAAACAAGGCAAGAAACAAAGGAGGAAAGCTGCACTCCAAACTCAAGATCTTATAAACACTTTCAGATAAAAAGACATCTCTTGAGTGACAGAAGGCAATGAAGACTAAAAGGTTAATGAAAAAATATTGTGTTAAACAGCTAACACAATAAATGCAAAAATACTTGGTGCCACATTAAAAATAAAATCCTATTTCATACATAATTTGACAATTTCTTCTTTGGTTATAGATCAAAATCAACAGTGACATTTATACAGTGAGGCATGCATATCTATAGCTGGAAGGGAATTTAAATGTAATTTAGCTTGTCTTGAATGTGGTTTTCAAATGAAAATCAAACGTAGTCTAAATAAAGATTTGTACTCGTGTGACTGTTTTGCAATTTGAAGGAATTAATTAGCTTCAAAGATGTGCTATTTAACATCATGATTTTTCACTTCACCCTTACTCTTTTACCTTCAATGCTTATAGCCATGTACATAAACTTTTAAAATTATTTTTAGATAAAATGTAAATGTACATTTATATTATAGCTTCCAGCACAGATTATTACTATGAAGAAAGCTGACTATAAACATTGTATTCCTCACGGCCTGTGTCCTCTCCAGCAGGCATCTTCCCCAGCTATGGCTGTTCCAACCAAGAAACTTTAATTATGTAACCTTTAAAAAACTGTCAAAGACCATTTTTATTCATAGTTTAAACATGTGTTGTGAGTTACATTTTAGAGAATTTTATATATACTTAATATTATAGCCACAGAAATATAATCCTTTAGAATCTGACTTTCTGTAAATTTTTACTTCTTCTTGCCCTATTATAGTCTGGCTGGACCAACAGAGTACAGCTATATAAGTTAATAAACAAAACCACACTCTCAGAGTGATCAGATCATAGTACAGTAGCTCTTGAGAAAATCAGCAACCTGGGAAATTAAATGTTCTCCTTTTGGCCTAGATTTTGTTTATAACTGTCTTCTATTAGATATTTCATTATCCTTTTCAAACAACAGGACCAATCTACCCTACCCTGACTTCTACCACAAACCTTTAAACAGAAAGCCAACAAATGGAATCCTTCACTGACTAGCAGCAGCTGCACAGCACCAATTTAAGCATCAGTGGATGAAAGATAAATTTACAAACCAGCCAGCCAAGGTGGAAGCAGAGATACAACTCCACACACTTCAAGCTTTCTCACCTTCAGGCTCATGGTAATGTTCTGAAGCTACAGAAGATATTGGTGATACTTCTTTCTAATTTTTCATTGAAAAAGTAAATATCACAATGCAATTAACAATTTGGTCAACTCTGGACCATAAAGCTTTTAATAGCTGAACACTACCACCACCACCATTTTTTTCTGAGAGCAATCAACAAAGCAATAATCATATATAATCTTGCCAATGGCTCCACTGCAGGAAAGAAACTGACACCACACAGTTGAGTGAATTGTCCATAGTGTGGGGAGCAGGTAAATAGAACCTTTGAACATTAGCACTCAACACTCCCATAGCAATCACACAGTTCCACCCACTCACTCCCAAGACGCAGAAACCAGAGCCCACAGAGGTCACCCTGTAGCATGGTTACTCTGTGGCAGAATCCAAATGTAACCAGGTTCTGCAGGCAAGTCAATGGCTTCTCTATAAACTGGGCTCACTGGGCTTTACAGCCACTTGTTTTTGTTTATGTGCTTGTTCTAATAAAACCTTACACAGCACATAGCTCACTGTGATCTCTAAGAGGAGTTATTTCTGTGAAGGTTTGCTTACAGTAGAAAATTTGAGAAAAACTGAGAAATTGAGATTAAAGTTACAAAGAATGAAGATGGCTCCGTTTCAAATTAGTCATTGTCAAACTCTGCATCATGCTTCTGATTCCTTCTCTTCCTAAGAGACTTTACGCCTCAGAATGAAGAGCAAGACAAGGCCCGTTAGCTAAAAATAAACTTGAGATATGGAATTATATCATAGTTATTTCCTATCTTTACTTTTGTTCTCATAGCTTAAGCAACCTCTTGGGTGCAGGGCTGAAAACAGGCAAAATGAAACCAAACCACTTAACCAGTGTCATGTGAGCTAGCAAAGCCCCGAAGGTCACTGTCATTGATGATTCATAGCCTGTGGCCCAGAACTTTGCTATAAGTAACCATAACGGTTACTGCTAAAAACAAAGGAAAAGGGCCGGGCACAGTGGCTCATGCCTGTAATCCCAGCACTTTGGGAGGCCAAGGTGGGCAGATTGCTTGAGCTCAGGAGTTCGAGAACAGCCTGGGCAATATGGTGAAAATCTGTTTCTACTAAAAATACAAAAAATTAGCTGGGCATGGGGGGCTTGCACCTGTAGTCCCAGCTATTTAGGAGGCTAAGGTGGGAGAATCACCTGAGCTTGGGAGGTTGAGGCTGCAATGAGCTGGGATCGTGCCATTGCACTCCAGCCTGGGCAACCAGAGTGAGACAGAACCTGTTTCAAAAAAAAAAAAAAGAAAGAAGGAAAGTACTACACACACTAATGATATCTGCAGGTAAATGAACTTTAAGGAAAAAGTTTTGCTTTTTCTGAATGAAGTTTTTATTCTTCTTATTAAAAAAAGCACTATGCTAAACTTTACTGTCATAAAGATGAAAATGTGCTGTTTATGAGAGAATAATCCAGAGAACTTTCTAAATAAAGTTCACTGATTATTTATACAGCACTTTTTGTGTGCCAGGCATTATTTTAAGTGTTTTATTACTTATTAATTCATTTAATCCTCATAGCATCTTATGAGGTAGGTTCCAATTTTACAAATGAGGAACCTATCAGTTTGGTTCCCAAATTAATATGATTAGCCACTATACCTTGCTCCACAAGTTCTTTCTCAATGTCACCACCTACATAGTTATAAAATGCTTTTTTTTTTTCACAAAACTTCTTTAGAAAAAGGGATGTAGAATATTTGGAAAATATAAAAGAAGTACAAAAACTAACTAGTAATCAGCACCACCCAGAGATAATCATTACTAACCCTTCCTGGTAAACGGTCTCATCTACATAAGGCCATGTTCTGGCATTATTACTCAGGGTTCATAATCATCTAACCTGAGGTGAGGCTGAACACTTAGACAGCTTAAGGAATTAGCATCAAATTTTCTGTTTTCTAAATCTTCACCTAACTGCCAATCCCTAACATGATTCTTACATTGTCTATGTGAGCTTTTAAGTGTCTTGAAAAAAAATCCAGAGTAAAATTTTCAAATATTTAAGACTCCTGCCGTTAATGTGAGATTCTCTAAAGTTATGTCTCCACCAGTTGGTTAAAGTTTCCCAGTCTCCCCTGCTATATTGTATGTGTGGTGTACCTCTAAGCCTTTGTTCTCACTGACTCTCAGCCTAAACCTCCTGCTCTGTCTCACTTAGTTCCTTTGGCTGGTATTCATATTTTAAGACTCAGCTGAGGCTTTAATCATCCTCTTTACAAGTCTTCCCCCACTCCTTGGAAAAAGAGACCTTTTGCCTTATCACCCTATGGTACTGACATTTTCTGTCAAGATGTCCATCTATTGCATCTTTACCAGTTCCTTAAAGGCAGGGACCAGGTTTAACCCGTCTTTACAGCCTCCGTGCCTAGCACAGCACCTAATTCATGCAAGGTAGTCAACGAGTGCTTCTTAGGATGAAGTGAAATGCTAGGTTTTAAATGAAACCAACAAGTGCCAGTCATCAGACTCCATCTGTATGCCTGGGCTAACATTTCTATCAGTCAGATCCCTGTTGCCCTGGGGCTATTTCCAGTGATAGTGCTTTCTCCTCTGGGATAGATTTCACCATTGCCCTGAAAACACAACTAAAGGCCTTCTGGAGATGGAAACATTTGAATTATATTTATCAAAATAAACAGTTGTAGTGAATGATAAATGTTAAACATAAAAGATTCAAGACACACAGAAAAATACAAAGAAGAAATTAAGAATCACCTGAAACTTCACAATAAAGAGACTGCCATCGTAAAAGTTTTGGTGAATGGCCTTTCAAACACTTCTTTTATGCACTCACACAGAATTTTACATATATTTTAAACAAGTAAAATTTACAAACAAGATATGCTGCATAAAATCCCTTTACTAATTTCACTTAATAATCTGTCACAAACCTTTTGCCATATCAATAAATATAGAATACCTTGATCTCTAATGGCTCTATTCCATGCATGTTTCATCAGTGAGAAAGACCCTTGAACACACAGGTTTGCACACTTGTCCAATTACGTTCCTAAGATAAATTCCTAGCACTGGGTCTCCTGGGGCAAAGGGCATGCTCATTTACATTTTTGATATATGTTACTATTTTGTGCCCCAGAAAAATTGTTCTGCGTTGACATTCTCCATTATAGCATGAGACAGATGCCACCTGTTCCTGCCCAATCTGAAGGGTAAAAAATGTTTTGTTTTGCTTTGGGTTTTTTTGCTGGTTTGTTTTTTTGGTTTATTTTATTACTGAGAAGTAGAATATCTTTCTGTACTCTTTTGTCCCTTTATATTTTTTCTCTTTTGAATTGCCTGGCCATGAACTTTGTCCATTTTTCAATTGGTATGTTAGTTCTTTCCTTACAGATTTTGAAGGGTCTTTTTCTATTAGTCATATTAACTTCAGTTGTATTGCAAATATTATTCTCAGTTTGACATTTGTCTTTTGACTTAGTTTATGGTAGTTTACTTTTTGCCAATCAAAATTTTAGATTTTATATAATCACAGTTTATCACAAACTTTTTCTTTTGGTATTGGGTTTTGTAGCATTAAGAGAAAGACATTTTGCAACCTAAGATTATAAATATACTCACTTGCGTTTTTTGTAGTACTTTTACAGTTTCTTTTCTTTTCTTTTTCTTGAGACAGAGTCTCGCTCTGTCGCCCAGGCTGGAGTGCAGTGGCATGATCTTGGCTCACTGCAACCTCCGCCTCCTGGGTTCAAGCAATTCTCCCGCCTCAGCCTCCCAAGTAGCTGGGACTACAGGCGCACGCTGCCACATCTGGCTAATTTTTTGTATTTTAGTAGAGACAGGATTTCACCGTGTTGCCCAGGCTGGTTGCGAACTCCTGAGCTCAGGCAACCTGCTCGCCTCGGCCTCCCAAAGTGCTGGGATTATAGGCGTGAGCCACTGTGCCCAGCCTACAGTTTCTTATTTGACAGTTAAATTTTTAGATTAATCTGAAAAATTCTAATATGAAGAGATAAATTGGGGGATTTCATTTTTAATATTATAATCACAAATAACAGAATATCTTCAAAGAATAAAATGTGAATTGAAATGGTACCCAATTAATTGGTATATCTTTTTATTTCAGCTGCTTATGGATGCATTTATCCCATTACAATCACTGGGGCATCATCTGTGTCTGCTGCCTCTAGCCCTCTCATGGTGCTTTACTCCTTACTTCTACCAACATCTCACTCTGCATGATAAACAAGACACACACACTCATGTATAGATTTATGGTTGATAAGCAAAAAATGTATTTGTTAACCTCTATGGTGGGATTTCTTTTAAACTACACTTTGAAAGAAATGAGGCATAATATTATATTCATCATTCCTGAATCATGCATGTCCTTTGGTCTTTTCATTTAAAAGACAAATATTCACGTATACATCTTACACAGTACAGAAACTGGTCTAGGTCAAACCAGAGAAAGAACAAACCATAGGAACACACATATCTTAAAATCTAAAAGAGATAAGTATTACATGGACAATTGATCATCTTTTAAGTTTAGAGAATTATACATCTACAAATAAACTGATGACGCATTCTCCTCCAGCGTAATCAGAGGAAACCAAGCAACCATTTTCAGAAATGCAAACTGCATAGGTCAGAGGTCTGCGCAACTGCAGGCTGCTAATATGATGATGAGCATACTAACTCAGTGCTTATCATGTGCCAAGTACTATGCTAAGATTTACAAATATTAATACATTTTAGTCTCACAACAGCCCTATGAAGGCAGGCAAGTACTAGTTTTATTCCCCACACTACACAGATGGGAAAACCCAGGCAAAAAGAGCCTCAAAAATTTGCCAAGACTACATGTTAGTGAGTAGCCGAGCCAGGATCTGAAAACAATCTGCCAGATTTTCAGTCTGTGTGCTTACCATAACATTGTATTTCAGTTCCACGGAAAATAGCCCTAATGACCATATTAGAATCTCCAGACATCCTCATTTAAAAACTGAGTCTGACCTCAAGTGGCCAGTTAACAATGACTTCTCAAAGACTTCTGAGCAAATGTTGGTTTGGACTTAATATCAATGTGTTATTCCCAAGGAGGAATCTCCCTTAGTCGAGTCAGCATCTGCCATTGTAGCCACCGTCCCACTTCTTAAGTGAACTGGGGTAGTTTTTAACTTCAGTTTCCCCTTCTATCAAGTAGGGATAATCATGATAATAATTACGTTTGAAAAAGCCTCATACACCGTAAAGCACAAATCCAAGTTGTAACGGTTCAGGGGCAAAATAACCAGTCACATGTAAAGTTCCAAGTGCAGAAGGCAGGAGCTGTACTAGTCTCTACGGAGGACAGCCAGGGCCTAATGAGGCCCAGGGGCCAGGTAGGGGCTGCCTGGAGAGGTGCTCATAGCAAGGCAGGTCCCTTCAGTCACACCAGCCAGGAGTCCAGGAAGAAGCCATTGTTTTGAATGTCTGAATCTGTAGTGTCACTCAGGAGAAAATAACTCCAAGGGGAAGTGCAATAGGTAAAGAAACCTTTGACTTCCTCTCTTGTCACTGAGGCACGTTTTGAGAACTTCCCTCATCCCCAAGCAGGCCTTGCCTGCAGCTCCAGTCCTTTCACCTTTCACTGAATGGTGCCAGAGGGCCAGGAAGCACCCAGCAGGTCTCCACTGCTACAGACAATACAAGCACTTGAAGGGGCAAGGGAGTAATTGAAGAAAACCAAAGGGACTTGGAGGGCCCTGCCAGCGTGTCCCTGCCAATGGTCTCTGAAAACTCAGGTGCTCCCTCATCTTGCAACCCAGCTGCCTGGCAGCAGGGAGTGACAAATGGTCTTATTTTCTACTTATCTCTCTAACTTCAAAAGAACAGGCTCATGATACCAGCTGGCAAGGGAAGGAAAAGTAGCACTTGGATTTTTTTTTTAATATAGAAAGTATAGAGCATTTCTTAACTTTCTGTCATAGAAAACGTTTCCAAGTAGAAATTTTTGCTGGCTTTACCTCAGCTAGACCAAACTTGGCATCAAGGCGGCATCTAGCATGGTATCTATTTTGTGCTGGCCGAGGGGAGGAGAGTGAAGAGGTGGGGCCAGTCTACTCAGGCCCATCTACTATTTATAACAAGTGCTTCCATGCTAATTGTGCACTGGCCTTGTTCTGGACGCTCTCCTTATTAACTATGTGTTCCTCCTCAGAACTCCAAGTGGTGGATACCATTATTACCTCCATATTATAGATTTGGAAACAAATGCAGCTAAGTTATAAATCCAAAACAGCACAGGCAGTGGTGACACTGGAATCAAACCCCAGCTGGTAAGACAGAATTCACAACTACTCCATTCCATGCTCACATACACGCATGTTTCATTTTCCCTATTGAAATGAGCATCAGCATGGCCCAGGAACCACCTAAAAGGAAATAAAACTAACATATTTTGAGCACCTTCTCTGAGTCAGACACTGGGCTGAGCACTTTTACTTCAGAAGAATGCAGTTAAAAGCTCTGAGCCAAGGTCGACTGGCTTCTGTGATTCCATGAGCCCCATGTGCACTTCGAGCCATTAAGACCTTTCTGAGGCTCAGCTCAAGACATCAGGGAGTCTTCAAAGCCTAAACCCAAGACCATGTTCCTCACTTATCTTGACTTAAATTTCTCAGCTTTTATGACTATAATCTGGCCTATCACAAATCCGTCAAACACTTCTCCTGCCCTTAGGGCTCTTTACTGTCTCCTATGATTCACTAAAAACAGAAAAAGGGAAACATGATTTTCTCTCTCACCTTCGGGAAATAACAGCTTCAGAAGCCAACAGAAGCTTCCTTATGCCAGCAAAACAGCTACAGTAGAGGCAGCTAAAGTCTATCACTAAGCAGCACAGAGAGGAGCAAGGTGGCATTGCTCCTGTTCATTGGCCAAGCTGCCTCCCAATTCTGCCTCTCTGGTGGTCCCCCATGTACCCCTCTTTGCCCAAATCACCCCCTGACACACAAAAGGCTGAGTGTACACACCTAGTGCTCACTTAATGCATAGAGATTCCAAGCAGAAAATGAGGGCCACTGCCTCCATCAAACTCCTTTTCTCTTAGATCCAATAAAAACTAAAACTTGAAAGAGAAGGAAATTCTCACACTACCACTGCTACCTCTCAGTCACATAAATCAGCACTGTGCAATAGAAATATGTGAGTTATGTGTGTACTTTTAATGCTTCTAGTAGCCACATTAGATAAAAAGCAGCAGGTGAAATTCATCTTCATATATTTTATTTAACCTGATAGATCTAAAATATATCATTTAACATGTAATCAATAATTATTAATAAGCTATTTTATATTCTTTTTTCATATTAAATATTCATTTAATATGAAACTTAAAAGCTCATTTTACACTTACAGCACATCTCAATTAGGACTAGTCACGTTTCTCATGCTCAATAGCCACATGTGGCTCATGGGTACTGTGCTGGACTGCACTGACAAACATTATTCTCTCTGTTACTGTCCACAAACACAGGTATCTTTAATCCATCTTCGCTGAATGCAATCAAAAATTATGAGACATAAACAGTGAATTATGACTTTGCCTCCAAGTGCTTTTAATTTCTGAATAAATCTGATGTATTTTCTCATTTAATTTTCACCATAACCTTGTGAAATAGGTCTCACAGCATTTTAGATGAGTAATAGATTGGCATAACACCATCACACACACACACACACACACACACACACACACACACAGCCACAAGCATCTGTTATATGCTCTCATTTAGGTACACCCAAGGATCAGAACTTAACTGAAGCCACATAGCAATACAAAGTCCAAGTGAAAGAAAGCAGCCAAATTCTTGCTCGCTTTACTGCTGCTCAGTCTCACACCATCATTCCAGAAGAATTTACTGCAATAATCTAAGCCCCTCCATTTAAAGGGATGTTTATAAACATCAGGCTTAAGCCAAACTTGGCAGCAGTGCAGGCCACCTTAGTTATATGGGAGGGCTGGTTCAGTCAGTGCCCAACCTGATTCCTGAACAATCTCTCTGCCTCCAGCTCCTTGGCCATCTGGGAGCCCTCTGTCCTCTCAAGCCCATGCAGTTCCTGCCTTCGGGGAGCTAACCAGCTCACAAGAGAGATTAGACATATAAACAAATAAATCAAATAAACAAAAAGTATTCTGGGATGGCAGGAAAGAGATACCTTCTGAAGGTATTAGAGGAAGCTCTGTATAAAAGTTTATATTTGGAAAACAAGCAGGATTTAAAGACATGAAGTCGAGAAAACGGGCCCGTGCCAAGCAGAGGTCACCATGTACTGGAGGGCCTAGAGCAGCGAAGATGCAGGATAAGTTCACAAGGCTGCCTTGCTCAGTTGACTGAAGAAGGCGATCATGAAGGAACAGAGTACAAAACAAGGCTGCGCCTGTAATCTTAGCACTTTGGGAGGCCAAGGCGGGTGGATCACCTGAGGTTAAGAGTTCAAGACCAGCCTGGCCAAAATGGTGAAACCCTGTCTCTACTAAAAAAAAAATACAAAAATTAGCCGGGCGCGGTGGTGGGTGCCTGTAATCCCAGCTACTTGGGAGGCTGAGGCAAGAGAATTGCTTGAAGCCAGGAGACGGAGGTTGCAGTGAGCTGAGATCACGCCACTGCACTCCAGCCTGGGCGATGGAGTGAGATTCCATCTCAAAACACACATACACCCCCCACCCCCGCCCCACACACACACACAAAGGCAGCAAAGGTGGATATGAGCCACCTTCAGGTGCCTTGGATGTTCACTAAGGATTTGGGATTTATTGGCACAAACAGAAAGTTCTAGAGAAGATTTAATACCAACAGAGGAGTACTTTAAAAAGCTGATCTGATAGTGGTGCCAAAAAATGAAGAAGTAAAAACAGACCAAAAACAAGCAAAGGAACAAACAAGCAATAAAGGAGGTTAACAGGAGATTCCTCCTGAGGACACTGCAGTTCTTGGGGTGATGGGCTGTCACAGCCTAAACTACAGTGGTGGTAAGAAAAGCAATGCTAGGAGAGAGTGAGATTTATAGGATCTGGAAACTAACTGCAAAAGCCAAAAGTGACTCAAGTTTAAAGCCTACATTATTGAAACACTGGAAACAGAAAAAGCGCAGAAAAGGAAGTCAATATAACTGTAAGAGTTTCTCCCCACTTGGGGGCGGGCTGCAGGAGAGATCATGATCTCAAGCCTGACGTATTAATTTCCCTAATAAGGCCTAAATGTGTTCTATGCACCCACTTTAGTTGTCTAAGAGAATGACTGTTGAAAGAAATCCAATAAGCACTTGGCCTTCTAGAACTTGCTTAACCAGTTCATGATAACTTGAACCTGTTGGTCACTTACTTTTTGCAAGCTGGTCTTGGCAATCTGCTCAGCTGTCCTCTGAATGACCTCAGCAGATCTGCTGACCACTATTCACATCTGCCCTGACAACTGAGAGAAGGAAAATTCCAATCTGAAGATGAAACCTTCTGAAGTGGATCTGACCTCTGAAAGGGCCACAGTGTGTCAGGCAGAACTTTAGATCTGAAACTTTTTATGCTTCAACACTTAAAGTGAAAGAAAATATGTAAGTAAATATCACTGGTGAAGTTCCTTGTCAATGATTTCCTAAATTTTCTGAAATCTAGGAGTCAAGATGCCCATTTAGCATTTAATTCTGCATGGTGGAACATGCTACAGAAATTCTGTCACACACATTTGTTGTGGTGGAGCTCCTAAATAACCAAGACATCATGGCGCCCAAACTGCTTCAAAAAAATGGAAATTACCATTTGTATAAACACATTGGGCATCAAAGCTCCTGAGGATGTCTTCAGAAGCTTTGAAATTAAATTAACACCTTTAGGAAAAGGATCAAATGTGTGTGTACACACACTCAGAGACACATACTTCAGAGCCATCCCCAAATATGCCACCCTTCACAGACTTTGTCACATCTTCAACAACATGTGGTAATAACATTTAAAACATTTTAAATGTTTAGCTTTTAAAGCATAAATAAGGTCACTTTATTCGGTGAAAAACAGAGGGGTATTTTAGAAAGCAGAATATAATTGTCCAGGTTGAAATATATCCCAGTCATGGAGTCATAATTTCCTCTTGCAATGGGCGTTGGTCTCCAAAGACGGCTCCCAACAATTCCTCCTCTTTCTACGGGCACATTCTCAAGAGGTGGAGAGACTCTATTCCCTCAACTCTAGGCTGGTCTTATGACTTGCTTTCATCAACAGAAGGCAGCAAATGTAGCATTCTTGAACTTTCAAGCTCAGGTCCTAAGAGGCCTGGCAGCTTCCACTTTTTCTCTTGGAAGCCGGGCTGAAAAGTTTGGCTACCCAGCTGGAAAGAGTGGCCTTGTGGACAGAAGCCCAAATCCATCTGGGATAGCTGAGTTCAGCTGAGATCCCAGCTGTATGCAGCTGCATGACTGAGCCCGGGAGAGAACAACAGATGAACTCCAGCCATCCCCCAGAATCGTGAGGAATAATAAGCTGGTTATGTTTCAAGGTACTATGTTTGGGGTATTTGTTACACAATAAGAGACCACAGAAATAATGGGTTACAAATGGTTAAAAAGTGGGCCTATCACTATCACTCATCTGCCACCATCTGTGATCATTGTGGGATTTTGAAAACTTCTTCTCCTTGCGAATTAATTTAAGTGAAGAAACACAGACAAGACCTTAACTCGTCATATTTAAAATGTGATATTCAGTAATATCTAGGGTACTGGAACTGTCTTGACATTGGATTCTGGTAATTCTTCCCCCAGAGCCCTGCAGGGCTAGAAAAAGTATCTCCCTTGATTGGTGAAGTTCTCTCCCCATTGTATTCCTGCTGTATTTAACACAATCCCACAAACTTCCTAATATTTATGTTAGAGAGATTAACAAAATGATAGAATGCTGGAGTAAATAAAATTTCAATGTGGGTGTTGGGAGGATGAAGAAAATTTAGCAGAGGCCTTAAACGACGCTTTATGGCATGAACTACACAGAGGCACAGAGAGAGCAATGACCAGGTGGGCTTGGGGTAAACTGATTTTTAGCCCCAATCTTGACCCTCCCTGCACCTATACCCTTGCTGTAAATGCACTGTGGTCAGAGTGTGCTTTTTTGCCTAACTTTGGGCTCACTCATGTGACCTGCTTTGGCTAGTGGCATGTGGGTATGAGTGACAGTGTGCCAGCTCTAAGTCCAAGCTTCAGAGGCACCATATGTATCACTTGCACACTTGCCCTTCTGTGAAAGGAGATCATGCCCCCACTAGCTTGCTGGTCCCTGGAGAAAGATGAGAGATACATAGAGAAGTGTCACCACAGCTGACCCACCAATTCATAATCAAGAAAGAAACAGTTACTGTGGAATGCGACTGAGAGCTTCAAGTTGTCTTGTAACCAAGTATCCCCATTTTTCTAAGAGAGAGAGTTTTTTTTTAAGTTATTTCTTCTTTTCTCTTTCCTTCTTTTCCTCTGTTCCCATTTCCTACCTAGCTCTTCAGAAATGCAATCATAACCTTTACCTTCCCTTCACCAGACACTCACTACACTGGAAGCTTATCTAACTACGTGCTTACTTTGAAGCTCCAGGGCAGAAACTCTCTCCCACAAGGAGATTGCCTCAAGAGACAACAGTCAATTTGCAACCTAAAGTATGTCCCTGATGGAAGGCTCTCCCACCTGGAGAGTGTCTTGAGACAAAGGCCACTATACAACCTAGCTCTGCTTGTGATGCAGCCAGCTCGACCACCAGTAGATTAAGCACGAAAGCGAGTCACGCAGACCCCCAACTGCTCACTCCCTCCTCTGAATGCCATTCATGCCAAGTCCCCCTTTAAAAGTCCATGCTTTCTGCCCCAAAAGCAAAACAGTGCTCTTAAAGGCAGGAGCCTGTACCTCTTCCCCCAGGCTAAGCTATGGAATAAAGTCACTTTCTTTATGCCAGACCTCGCTCTTGTGAATTAGACTCTGCAAGTGGCAAGTGACTGAACCTGAGTTTGTTACAGTCTACGCAGCAATAGTTGACTAACACAAAGCTCCTTTATCAGATGCTAACATCTGCAAAATACACATGGTGCTTTAGAACAATAGAGTCTTCCTGGCTATACAAGTTGTGAAGGGATGGTTAAGTGGTCTCATTGCCAAGCAGAATGTAAGCACAACGTATTGAATATCACCAAATCTTGCTCTGACAATCTAAGGTTATCTTTTTAAAGACTGTCATTTGGTATTCGAAGTTCTCCATAATTTAACCCTAACTTAGTTTTCTAGCCAATTCTGTCCCATTTATAGTTTATGTTCCATTCATTAGTTCCATAAATTAGAATATTTATTATTCTTGAATAAGTCTTACATTACCTAGCTGTTCCTTTTCCAGTTTAGATTGAGACAGGTTTTGTTCTTTCAGTCCTTTAAGGCCAGGTTTGGATGTCATCTCTGTAAGAAATCTGCTCTGATTCTGCGGTTTAAGGCAGAGCATCTATCCCCTGACTGTTATCATGAGGTATGTCTTTTCCTCTTCGGGCATTTGGCTTATTCTACCTCGTAACACTTCCTTATCTTCTTACAAAGTCCTAGATGGCAAGGTTTATGGATTATTTACCTCTGTAATCTCCATGGCATTTAGCAAAAGGCCTTATACATAGGATACAGACCAATCAATACTTTTGTGCATTAAAGAATGAGGGCCGGGTGTGGTGGTTCATGCCTGTAATCCCCGCCCTTTGGGAGGCCACGGTGGGCAGATTGCTTGAGTCCAGGAGTTTTAGATCAGCCTGGGAAACATGGCAAAACCCTATCTCTATTAAAAATATAAAAAATTAGCCAGGTGTGAGCGCACGTGCCTGTAGTCCCAAAGCTACTCAGGGAGCTGAGGTGAGAGGATCACTTGAGCCCAGGAAGTCAAGGCAGCAGTGAACCCTGATCGCACCACTGCACTCCAGCCTAGGCCACAGAGCAAGACTGTCTCAAAAAAAAAAAAAAAAAAAAAAAAAAGACCTATGGGAGGCTGCACGGCATCAGGAAACAACATGGAGAAAGAAAGGTGGACTTTGGAGTCTGAGCAATCTGGATTCTAGCACTTCGTAGCTGGGTAACCTCGGACAAGTCCGTCTCTCTGTGTTCAGTTTCCAAGTATGTAAAATTTGCGTAGCACATATTTCACAAGATTGTTGTGAAAATTCAACATAAAAATGAATGTAAATGCCTTGCGATGTTTGACACATGGTGACGGCTCCATAAATGGTAGCTCTATTATAAAAATGATAATGACACAGGACATCAGGTAGAAGTTAAACAAATCCCTGATGTTAGATTATTTTCTCTTAAAAGTCAAGCGTTTCAGGATGACAGTAATGACTCTAGTTCCAATCAACTCTTTCCCTAAAAACTGTGGTTTCAGAGATCTGGACTGTAGTTTTATTAAGATGTTCATATATGTTACTCTTCTCCACAGTTCTCAATGCTATAGGTAGTTACCAGTAGAAACAAATTTGTTCCAGGCAATTAGTGCATCTCCTTGGAACAAAATGCAACAGTTTTCTTCCCAAACACACGAGTCCACTTTTAACTGTGGCTTAGCTCTTTCGTACCATTCCCAATTCTTCACCAGGAGACTAAAACAATCATTACAATGAACCAAAAGCTAGAGATTCTAAAAGTAGTAGAATTATTTGACAGTGACTGAATGATGCAGCTACAGTTATTTACACGTAAACATTATCTCAGTGAGGTTCTACAACATATCTCTATGATGTCCCTTACTAAGAGTTGAAGAAGTGTTTTTATAAATGAAAGCATCGTGCAAATGTCAAGTAGTAGGTATTATTGTTAAAATAATTCCACAAAAATTGCTTCATCTGCCTGGTACTAATTGAAATTTTGTTTATATATCCATACTTCAAAATAATCATCTAAGGGCCAATCTCAAGATCAGGCAAGCATAATAGCCTGTAAGTGGCCAGGTAATGTCAATGAGCAAACTGAACTCGGTGTGCATGCACCGGGGAAGCGTTAGCAGTTCACTGGAGGCCACAGCCTGGCTGCAGGGGCAATTGCTACCCCACCTCCTGACGGTTGTCTCAAGGAATGAAGACCTATTGCTGCCAGCTCTTTTGAAGAAATTTGAGGTTTTATGTGAAATATCCTGATTTTTAAAGGCTGTCTTGCTTTTTATTTTAAAATTCTTTGGGGAGGGGGCAAAAAAAATGTATTTGCAGACCAGGTGTGGCCATGGGTTGCCAATCTGTGGCCTTTGCACTAGATATCCTAAAGTCATTTTGATTCAACAGAGAGAGGTTAAAAGATGATTATTAGATTCATTGTATTTTTATTTTAAATCTGAAAATGTATAATTCACTCTCTATTACACTTTAAAAAAAAACACCTCACTCCCTCATTTATAAATCCTCACTCACTCCCCTTTTGGACTTCTGTTTTTAGTCCTACAGTTCTCCTCTACTAGGACACCCCATGGCCACTGTCCCATGCACCAATTTAAATTCTGCTGGTTCTTTGAAGCTTGATTTAAATGCTAGCTCCTGCAAAAAAAACCTCCATGTTCCTCCTCAAATACCACTTTGTATAAATTATGATGTAGATGATCCAAAGTAAAGATCCACATTGATTTCCATTAGGTCTCATCACCCTTTCACCTCAGACGGTATAACCCAATAATCACTGTAATTATTCACTGTCACAAAAATGAAAGGCTTAGAGGGAATAAGATCTAATGTTCCATAACAGAGTAGGGTGACTATAGTTAAAAATAATGTACTGTATGTTTCCAAATAGCTCAAAGATACGTTTTGAAATGTTCCCAACACACAGAAACAATAAATGCTCGAGGTGATAGATATCCTAAATACCGACTTGATCGTTACACATTCTAGGCATGTAACAAAATATCACAAGCACCCCATAAATATGTACAAATATTATGTATCAATAAAAAAAAGTGAAAGGCCTAGAATCAATGGGTCAAGAGTCAAGTTTGATAGGACTCACCGCCAAACACATCTCCGTTCTGGTAGTTTTTCCCTTTCTGGGCTTCCTCTTCATTTTGAACAGTGGCAACATGCTTGGCGGAGGCACAGCCCATAGTCTCATTCGGTCAGCTTCAGCCGGGCTGAACTGCAAATCATCTCTACAGACACAGGGACATTTTTTTTCTTTAAACACAAAGAAAATCCACCTTGCTGCTGAGTTGGTCAAGATGTGTGCACCTGCAAGAAAAGAAAGCTAGATTAGAATGGGCAGTGACTGCAGCAAAACACAAGCCTCACTATGTTGGTGTGCTGTGCCCTGCAGTATACTAGAAGTCATGCACAGACCCACCCATCGCACTGGTGTTGTGGTGGGCACAGAAGAACCATGTGCAGCGTGGCCCATTCTCACTTGATTTCCCACTCAGAAAGCAAGATGGAAAGGCATGTCCCTATGCAACACATGGCCAAGGAGTGAACTTTTTGAGGAGATACCAAAAATACGTATTTATTCAAATACGTATTTGGGCACTACTGCTTGCCATACATACTCTTAAAGTACCTGTAAGTTTACTAATGTTCTGAAATCTCAAAAACTGTCGAGGAAGGAGAGCCCACTCTTGAGATCCACCTAGTTCAGGAGGCTGGGAAAAGCTCTTCATCTTCCTCATTCTACCCTGAAGCCAGCCCTCCCAGCTCCTCAAATTTTGCCAGGAAACGGTAGCCATCCTCCTCAGACTGGTACATGGGCTACTTTATACATTTCTGGTTAAGGCTGTAAATAATTCAGTATTTTATTTTACCTGAGGTGACACTGTTTTGGAGACAAAGGAAGGAGATGGGGCAAGGTCTAAAACTTACTTCTGTCCATTTTCTGCTTAGCTAGCCAAATGTTTTAAGGATTGGGCAGAAGACGTCAAAATATGAAGAAAAGCAACAAAGCAGTTGTCAAGCTTTTGGCGTAAACTTCATGCTTCTACCGATTTCTCATAAAGGCTTAAAGAGTATTTACAGATACACTGCAAAAGAGATAATCTTCAAATTGACTTAAGTGACTTTACCTTTCCCTGCCCCATCCAAGGTGGCTCCTCAAATTCTGAGTGTTTGCTCTGCTCAACTTGCTCATTTTTGTTTTATGCTTTCATCATCCTCACCCAACCATTCCAGGCCTATAGATGACTTACTCCAGTCTTGTAAATGTTTCTTTTGAAACATCTCTCCTACACATTCCTTTGTTTCCATCCCTCCCACTGTAATACAGGCCCTTACCTCCTCAGAGTCCTGGCAGAACAAAGAAGGCATCAAGCCTCTTTGAATCTTCATCAGCACCCACGTCCCACTGCCCCCCGCCCATGAACAGTGGAAGTTTCTCAAGTTTCACAGATAGTGCTACTACACAGTAGCTATAAGCTTTCTCTACCAAGAAGACTAGAGCTCCTAAACCCTCCTTGCTAGGGCACTAAGGACATCTCTGGATGTAGAAATTTAATCATTTAAGCCATAAAATCTCAGCAAAGAGAATTTTTCAAATTAACATAATCGATCTAATAAATGAACTTAGATAAAAAGGCAGTGATCTTAAATTAAGCCAAGCAAATACAAATTGCCATAAATATTGACAATGACTATAACATTGGTCATTTCTCATATAATTCTTCAAACTATTCTCTATCAGTGGTTATGTTAAATTATTAATAGGAAGTGTAGAGTTGGTTGGTAAAGTTCTACAAACCAGGAAGATTTTCTCCTAGATGGCTAATGTTTATATCTTCCCCATACTTGATGTAACTTAATGTTAACAAGTCTTCATCTCAAACTATATGAAATCCAGGCCTGTGGATGGACACACACACACACACACACACACACACACACACACACACACACACACCCTATTCCATTATTTAGCAGTAATGTCTTCAAGGCTACAGTATTTCTATTTGATGGTCTATTCATACTGGTGTATAGAGCTCAGGGGCCTTATGGAGAAGAGATGCTGACATTTAAAAAATTGCACGCAATACAGTGTAATACAAGCTCTGATTGTGGTTTCACAGGAATCTATGGCAATGCAGAATTCAAAAAAGCAGATTAGATTATGACTGGGCAGAGGAAAGAAGTAGTATTTTTGTAGGGTATCAAAGGTTTGGTAGAAATTTACCAGGCTGAAAGGATGGTAGCATTATTCAGCTGCAAGGAACAGACTGAGCTAAGACACTAGAATGTGGAAGAGCATGGCCTATTTGTGTGTGTTCATTTCAGAGGGGTCAGGTGGGGATGGGGGGGCAGGGCTGAGGACTGGACTGCTGATACTTCGTGAAGGGCCTGCAGAAGGCCTTGCTACCTTCATTCAACTGAATAAAGGACATCGTAAGACCATAGGTACTCTTTCTGATCCAAGTTAGAGCACACTGTGAGAAAATATTAAATGAGTTGTGGAGAGGTCCATTCTGTCAACCTGTCATAGTTTTTGAAGAAACATCAATGAAATATTAGACAAGAGGGAGAGGACAAGGGGTTCAGCTGTAAAGGTGGGAGAAGGGAAGAATCCCCTCTCTAACCCGGAGGCTGCTGCGAGTTGCTGTTTTTGTTGCTGCAGCCAATGCTGTTGCTACTTCTGCTTTTGCTGTTGTTGTTGTTGTTATTGCTGCTGCTATTGCTGCTGTTTTGGATTCCCAGCCAGCACCTTCTCAGGGGCAGCATCCATCCCCCTGCTTCCTCATCCCCAGCATTATCACGTAAGGTAACAGGCGTGGGCTCCCAGACATGATTCCTTACTGTTCAAAAAGGAAGTATGGGAAAACGACTTCACACTTACACATATGCAGGAGAGATTGAAGTGAGAGGGCGAACCTAGGTGGCTTCCCTGCCACCTCTTCAGAATAAACTAAGTAAAAACAGGAGAGAGGGGGCAATCCTAACAAAATCAGGGTACACTGAGAATTAAGAGACAACTTAACAATCATCCTCTTTGAGAGTCCTCTTGCTTTTCCAATTTCATATCTACAGCCTCTTATGCTATCAAAGAAGCAAAGGGAAGAATTGAAGCCATGACTTATCCTTTGCTACTCCCGAAAAGCAGTTAGTGGTATTTCTTCTGTGTTTTAAAAGTTGTGTTTGCACAAAAAAATTTTATTTGAATTTTAAAGGTGGAAATTATTTGAAATCAAATACATTGCAGAAGGCTAACAGAAATAAGACACAGAAGAATGGCTCTTTTTTTTAAAGGATGTCTCTATTATTCAAGCATTGGGGTGAGGGGCAGGTTAACAAGCAGATTAGACATGATTTACACCCAATTCAAATGATGACTCAAGAAATTTCAATTTAATTACACATATTTTAAAGCACTATAGCTCAATATGAGTTCTCACCAAATTATAAATAGGTATAGATTTTGTTTCTGAAACATATGTGCTACATTATTTTATAGCAGTAATTCAAATTTAAGAGTGATGCTTTCAAGTTTCAGGACCTCATCAGGAATATATTTTAGTAATTTACTCATTTGAAGGTGATAATTATGAAGTCATTTGAGGGGCAAAAGATCTCTAATTCACAAAGTTAATCATAGATCACTGAAGAAAGTTTTTTACTATGTCATTTGGATTCTGCACATAAACACTTGTCCAATTATTCATTCATTTAATCAACAGATTTTGATTTTAAAATACTAAGTGACAGATATGTGTTTGGTAGGTATTGTGCATATAGTGGCAAACAAGGCAAGATATATGTTTTTCTTCTCTATCCCTATAGAACAAGAATGATCAGAGAAGGAGATAATTAGAAAGACCAGTTTTGCAGCAATGACGTACAGCTATTGCAGCTTAAATACAGGATGACAAGAGAGTTCACCTCACAGGCATTTGGCTCAGCTTTGGAATGGAGCATATCAAGAAATGTCAGGTTAGAGACCTGAGCAGAGCTAAAGAAACAGGATTAAAATATCCCTGATTTGTATCTCTTTTATAGCCTGATATAATGTCAAGGTTTCATTTCTACCGAAAATTCTTTCACTTAATCTCAATCCAACTGAGACCTCACACTGAGCAGACCTTCAAAAACATATCCCCAAAGACCGCTAGAATCATCTGCTCAAAAGACGTTCCCTTCAGTTTATGCTATCCTTCACGTAAACTCCAGCATTTTTTTTTTTAGCTTCCATTTTTTCATTCGCTTTGCTCAGCTTTTCTCTCCCAACCTCACATGCTCTATTGTTTACCTTCCTGAAACCACAGCGCTTAGAGAGAGGTAAGTCTGATGGTGCAAACAAGCATGCAGAGACCACGACCTGGAGCAGCTCTGAGACTTTTGTTGTCACATGTTGTTATTACCAGCATGTTATTTCTGAAGTCACAGATCACAGTGTGAGAATTAAATCGAAGCATCCCTTTGACATTTGATGGAATCTTCTAAAACTAAGTCCCACTGAGGATGACTTTTCTTTAATCTAAATGATCTTTGTCATAGGATCATCAAGCACCTCTAAAAACATGAGGTCCAATTAACTGCCCCATGGCTTTGTGTAAACCCCTCCCCAAATGGTTGTATGTCTACATTATCTTGCCTTATATAATTAGAAGTGCAATCCACGATACCATGAGCTAGCCTAATTGAATGCCATCTTTACAGGACATTTTTCCCACTTTTGATAAAATAATCAGCAAATTTGTAAGCCCAGTTGAAATATTTTTAAAAATGTATAACCGTGCATGTTTATTCTTCCTCTCCTTACACCGTACCTCAAGGTGCTTCAGATATCAGAAGGGAAACTACTGTTCCAGAATACTTCATGTGACAACATGAGAAAGTTCTCCCCAGGCAAGTAGGTCCATTACTTTTGTATGAATACATATCACATATTACACACATGAAATACCTTGTCCTTTTATAAGGAAAGATTATAATAATTCTTTTCATTACCTTAGTTTTTTTTAACTAGAAACAAGGTTTCATTAAAAAAAATCCTACTTTTATAAAATTGGGAAGGAATAAAAAAAGCAAAATCTGTTTTTAAGAAAAAGCAGAGATATTTGAACTTTTTTTAAAAAAAGGCTACAGGAAAATATTTCTATTTACATAACATTATGTGTAATTTCACTTTCCACTAATTAGTCATGGACTTTTTCATTTTGGATACAAAAGGCAAAAATATTGTAGATAAATTCCCTGTCAAGAAAGGCACTTCTAAAATACGAATTAAAAGTGATACATTCCATAAAGAAATTCTAGGCCAAAAAGAACATGAGGCTTGGAGGACTGGAAAGAAATCAAATTCTGATTGCAACGGGCACACAGAGAGCTATGAAGTCAGCAGTTAAGCAAAGGATACAGCCACATTATTAATAGATCAGGAGCAAAGTGCCCCCTTTCTTCTTCTGATTAAAAAGGCAAATCAAGACAAGACACATCTAAAAACTCCTCTCTTTTATTGAAGAAACAGCTAACATCTAAGCTCCATAAAGGAAAAAATATATATCTATATATATATAAATAACTAATCAGTCTGTTTGCCCATCTGCTGGGCTTCACTGTAATGAGTGTTAATACAGCAGCCCACCGAGGGGGAAGAAGAAAGGCAACTTAAAAGTGATTTCTAATCTTGAAGCTTTGGTATCCTTGGGCTACTGTTAACACCATTTCACATTTCATTGTGAACGTTAAAAATAATACATAAAGAGATGTCACATTTGACATGAGAATAATCTAGAAAAGTCAAGCCTTTCATTACCCAACAATCGCTGGCATCACAGAACACATTCATTCCTCACCTCACACTCGTCTGATGGCATGACAATCGACAATATGCTATTAACTCCAAAGATACAAGGATTTTGGCTTCTGCCTTCTTTATGGGAAAACTCTCATGTCCACATATAGTAATTCTACAGAGTTGTCTCTCAGAAATGTAACCACAATAAGTGTTTATGCAATAGGACACATTTCTGCTAGATTCAGGCAGTAAGGTGTGGGGCCAAGGAGAAGAGGTGGCAAGTGGAAAGAGTGTTGGAGAGGGCATGAGAAGCCCGAGCTCTGGTCCCAGCTGTCACATGCCTGCCTCAGGACCACGGCTGGGTTTCATGTCTCTCGGCCTCTTTCTTAGACTCTATGATCTACCTCAACATATGTCCAAGTAGTGATATAAAGGATGAAATGACCACTTAAAAAAAAGCCATGTCTTACCTACATTCAATTTATTTACACTCTTTGTTTTCAGTACTAACTCAACTAGGACATACTTGCAAGTCTGAAACCTCAAAATTTTCAGGAGGCCCTATAAGGTCTAAAGATGATTACCAATGATGTTTTGGCCTAATAGCGTTGATTTCAATTGCGTATTTGCTGGAAAAATAAACACAGCTTAGATCCCCTATTTCTTCTTCTCTATCTTGCCTTTAATGAATGAAATTAATTTTAACAGTATTTCTTATAGGGAGCTGGTTAGAAAAAGTTGGTGCAATAATTGTTCTTCAGCTAAGGATTTAAGAGTGTTGCACATTTCTCCTGCACCAGAAAACTCCTCTGTGTTACCTGTGTATGTTGACATGAGCTCATGCATGGCTGACACTATTTCTGAGAAGGCAAGAGAGGAAAACACCAGCCCCTGATTAAAGTCACACATTCACAGCTGTGTGGACCCATGCAGAAGACTTATGCTGCTTCTAGATTTGCTCCTCAGTGGTCAAAGGCAATGGCAGATATTCCTGGACTTTGAGTTCTCTTTCTTGTTCTTTTTTTTTTTTTGAGAAAGAGTCTTACTCTGTTGCCCAAGCTGGAGTGCAGTGGTGTGATCTCAGCTCACTGCAACCGCCACCTCCTGGGTTCAAGTGATTCTCCTGCCTCAGCCTCCCTAGTAGCTGGGATTACAAATGCATGCCACCATGCCCGGATCATTTTTGTATTTTTAGCAGAGATGGGATTTCGCCACGTTGGCCAGGCTGGTCTCGAACTCCTAACCTCAAGTGATCTTCCCATCTTGGCCTCCCAAAGTACTGGGATTTCAGGCGTGAGCCGCCACACCTGGCCTTCTTCTTCCACTTCTAAGACCCAGAATACCAAAGGTATTTGCAAGAGGTCTTCAGCTTGTGTCATGGGGGACCTCTGCACCACTGCTTTTACAGAAAGACACCTGTGACTAGAATTTCTTGACAGATGTGCTGCTGGTTCCCCATGTCACTTAGGACAAAGCCATGTGATTTCCTTGTTAGTATCTTAAAATTAATAATAGCAGCACCTGTTTTCCCCCTTTTTTTTCTGGACTGTTTTGAAAATCTAAGTAGATAAGAAAATGCTTTGAAAAAGCACTTATATATGCAAGGTGATATTCTGCGTGTACTCTGCTATGCCAGGTGGACAACACTTCTAATCAGACGTGGGGCTTTTCATGAGCACTGGGTGAAATCAGCTTGCCCAGAGGGCCCTCATAGCAGGCAACTTTGCTGACCTAACCCAAGCACACTCAGACTACCAATGACCAGGAACAGACAGAGATAACGAGAGAAAACAGATGGAAAGGGAGAGACTTTTAAAAATAAAAAAACACACACACAAAACTGAATGCAGAATAAGTATGAATTACTAAAAGGCACAATTTGATTTTAATCAAAGAGAATAAGTAGTGATCCTTCCAGAATAGCCATGGAAAAACATCCTAGGCACTCCACATGTTGAAACATAGTGTAAGAAACAGATAGGATTCCTGCCCTTGGAGGACCAGCATCCAGCCAGGGCTAACAGATCATAAACATAATAAAGTAAAATAAAATCCCAATGATTAATGTACATTGCAAGGAAACAAAGGATCAGAGATGCTTATGAGAGTCAGAAGATATTTCAAGCTAATTAAATTAGTGCTTGCCCTAGCTTTATTTTATGCACCAAGGGATGCAGGATCATACAGCAAAATGTGCAACTCTTAGCATACCCTCCGTAAGCATTTGCTGATGGAGAGTATAGTGAAACAGATGTCCTATCAGTCTGAGCTGCTGATCCTCCCTAACACCATAAACTACAACAGAGAACTGTAGCTGGATTAATCTCTCAGAAACCTGCAGTTTACTTTCATGGTGCCAGATGACAAAAAAGAGTTAATGCCACTGATCCCTTGGCCCATGCACACATCTGAAAAGCACATGTGTTTTCATCATTGAATTGCAAAGCCTCAACTTCTACACAAATCCAATATATTCCACATTTTCAATCCAGTTCAATCCCTTAGTTTACTGCTAGCATGACTTGTAATCTCAGCCTTAAGCTGGTTACTGAGGTAGATGTAAGGAAATACAATAAACACACGAAAGATCATGAATTTTCTAAGCTAATCATTAGAAGCAAACATGAGAATAGTTTTTTTTGTTCGTTTGTTTTGTTTTTATTACAGAGTCTCACTCTGTCACCCAGACTGGAGTGCAGTGGCGCGACCTCGGCTCACTGAAACCTCTGCCTCCTGGGTTCAAGCAATTCTCGTGCCTCAGCCTCCTGAGTAGCTGGGACTACAGGCACGTGCCACCATGCCTGGCTGACTTTTTTTTTCTCTTTTTTTGTATTTTTAGTAGAGACAGGGTTTCACCATGTTGGCCACACTGGTTTTGAACTCTTGACCTCAAGTGATCCACCCATCTCAGCCTCCCAAAGTGCTGGGACTACAGGCATGAGCCACCAAGCCCGGCCTTTTTGTTTGTTTTGTTTTCTTTTGTTTTGTTTTTGGGATGGAGTCTTGCTGTATTGCCCAGGCTGGAGTGCAATGGCACAATCTCGGCTCACTGCATCTCTGCCTCCTGAGTTCAAGCAATTCTTCTGCCTCAGCCTCCTGAGTAGCTGGGATTACAGGTGTGTGCCACCACACCCAGCTAATTTTTGTATTTTCAGTAGAGACGGTGTTTCACCATGTTGGCCAGGCTAGTCTTGAACTCCTGACCTCAGGTGATCTGCCTGCCTCAGCCTCCCAAAGTGCTGGGATTACAGGCATGAGCCACTCTGCCCAGCCAAGAATCGTTTTTTTAAAAACAAAAAAGCCTATTCATATTTTGAGTACCTGATTTGATATTTGAGTAAAAATATATTTAATATTCTTAGGATTGTCAATAATTTTAATAATGTAATGTAGTATTATAATACTTTGAAAAGATCTGAATCCTACAAATTGAAAAACTGTTTCCCTTAAAATTTACATACATATCCCTCTTCCCTTCCAAAATAACCACCTTCCTCCTTTTTTCCCCCTCCTTAATAAAATAAATAAAATTATCCATGAGAGACTGATGTAAACTGTGACCTAAGATCCTTCTCTCCTTGTGCTCTGCCTCGGGCCACATTATTTCAGGTCTGAAGAGAGTCTGAGATGATCCAATGATTCAGAAAACCTGCTTCCATCCTGCTAGGCAGAGAGCTGCTCAAGGAAATAAGCATCTCTAGAGGAAAGCCCTGACTATCCGAAAGTCTTCCTTCTGGAACTGTCAAGGTCTATCTAGAACAGCTCAAGATTAGGAAGTTTCCTGAAAACAAAAAAAGTAAACATAAAACCCTCTTTTTGGGGGGAAGGACTTTGTCTCATTCTCTTTTTCTCTCTCTCTCAATCTCTCTTTGTCTGTCTGTTTCTCTCTCTCTCTCTCACACACACACACACACACACACACCATAAAAGCTCTAAAGATGAAAACTACAACAGAGAATACCCAGTATTTTGTGATTTTTGTGACTGATGGAAAGAAAGATGTTTTGTGTCTCTGGGCAAATTACTTACTTCACAGTGCCTTGGGTCCTCATTTATAAAATGATATATGACCTCATGAATTTTGAGAGGAAAGTGTTTAGGACAGCACCTGGCACATAGTAGTAGGCAATCAATAAGAGATAGCTATTGTCATTACCATCACTGTCATCATTATTATGTAATGGAATAGTGATGAACTCTAAGATGAGAGGGGCAGGGACAAGAGACACTAGAAAGAAGAGATGGTCAAGACAGATGAGAGGTTAATTTTGGCAGCTTGGTGGTTTTTAGGAATTGTACCAAACATAAACAGGCAGACTGGATGCAGACAGAAAGCAGGAGACAGCAGTTCTGCAGCAGAAGTACATGCTCCCTGTACAGCACCTGCAAAGGCAGCCCTGAGCAGTGCCAGGGGTTTCTGCTGTGCTGGGGCAGGGAGGTCAGCCTCTGTGTGCCATATCCAAGGGCTCTAAAGGGAAAGACTATGTAAAGACAAGTCAAGGTCAGTGAGCTCTCTCCTGCTTCATCATAGCCTCAATGAGCATGTAGCTCACATCTTCCAACTATTACACTTTTATATGTCTGTCTCCTTCACCAGGCAGGTTTCCAAGGCCATGACCATCTCCTCATCATTCCCTTCTGTATTCCCTCCGGCACAATGTCAGGCTCATAGTAGGTCTGCAATAAATGAATGAATGAATTTTCTTAGAAACTCCTTTTCATGAAGAGATGAGACGGCTTTTAAGGAAGGGAGTACCCCTCTCAGCCCCATGTCCTGGGTCACCTGCATGGACAATGACTTCTTCAGTTCATCACCAATAACTAAATTTAAAAATGTTTATCTGGGCCATCATAGAGAATCTTAAATTATGTTTAGTATATACTCCCTAAAAAGACAGAAAAGGAGTAATATGTAGTTTCATACCAGTATAATGGAATTCTGAAAGCTGTTAGCACTTGTATGACTGGCCCTAATCTGCCCCCCAAAATTGTGCTATTTATTTATTTCAACAATCATTTTTGGGAAACCTGCTTAGTCCTCAACATTCCACTAGGGACCAGAGATTCCAAAATAAGTAAGACAACTAGACTGTAATGTCCATTTCCTCACTTTCCAATAGAATCCAGGGATATTTACTAGTACCTCTAATCTTGCCCATCTGAAAAAAAAAATCAAGGTTTTTGTTTGCATGTATAAGTTTTTGCTTAAACTTAAATCTTCGATTAGTTTACCATAACAAAGAACTATTTAAGGGTGATGTCCTTAGAAGGCAAAACAAATTGAAATTATAAATATTATTTTCAGGTAGCACAAATCAATGCCCCTTTAACCTACCACATTTAAGAAAAAGGCACCTCAGTTCTCATATTGCTCTCAAGAAATGCACAAGACTTTTGGGAACTTCATTGATTTTGTAGCACTTGGCCAAAAACACATTCTGTGCAATCATCCACTAAAGGAAAACAAAAAGCAGGCAACTGAGAGAAGAGACCCAGGAGGGCAATGCAAAGTCAGTTGAGTGATGGCCTCTCCCTTCTCATGTACCAGTATTCTACTGCCCTTGACGAGTTTGCTCATTACTCCGGACTGAAGAGTCTTTAGACCGTACCTACCACCATTTCTGGGATGTTTCATGGGGTTTGAGATAACAAAACATAAAAGTGAGGGCAAGATGCTCTTCCTTAACCTTGATGCCCTTCTTCAGCTGAAACACTATTAAAGAACACATACGGTTACACGATATGAGCTATTAGGACCTCACAAATGACCTTTACCAGAAATTGTAGCCTATTCCAAAATAATTATTTTAAATCAGCCAATGTTCTCCATTTGAAGTAGCGCTATTAGTGAACATGGTGTTCTTTCCTACAGCAAAAAGTACTTAGAGAAAGAGACCATAGTGACAAGCTCAGAACTAGACAACACAGGCAGGAAGAACATGCCTGAGGCTGACCACCAGGAGACGGCAGTGCAGCGTCAAGATGCATCAGCCAGCGCCTCGTGGTGTTAACACTCTTCAGCACATCACATCTACTTCCAGTCTGAGACATTAAAATTTGAAGTTTTTATCTGAATAGAGCACTAAAGGTGTGACTTGATGACACACTCTTTTATCAGAAAACAGTATAACAGTATTAGGGTAAATTGAGGATCTGATCACATTCTATTCTAAGGAGCCCTTTGCCCCAGCTGTCTGTCTCTGTGAGCCCTCCATTGGGTGGCCCAGCTGTGGTGGTTACATTCCTGCATACGACAAAGGTACAGCTGGCAAACTGCTTATTTTTCTTGAATCTGGGATGATATCCCATCACCTCTATTACATCACTGCCATTACCACCCCAGGAACAGGCCGATAAAAACAAAAGACATGCATTTTCCAATTCCAAGATCTCTCTGAAAATTTAAAAGAATTTTTAGAATCTAAATTAAAATCTAAATTTGTAGATCATTTTCTGGACCAAGCCCCAAAATCTCTTACTTATTATTAATCGGCTTTTTCTATGCCCAGATTTTTATTTGTTTTTTGCTTTTTTGAAAGAGAAAAAAACTCACATAGTCATGTCCAATGGAAATCAGGATGACCCTACTGGCTTTTCAGTGTGTCAGAATATGATTAAACATTTCAGTAAAAAATTTTACTTCTAATAAATTATCACATTAATTTTCTAAGAGAAAGACAAATTAGCATTCCTAAAGCACAAATTCTGTTGGGTCCTTCCTCTGGTCCCAAATCCTCCATGATTAACTAATGCCTTTAGGGTAAAGTCTAAGATATACCTGGATTTTCAAGCTAGACATGACTAAGGTCAAGGTTCCTAATTTTACAAATTAGAAAACTGGCTGGGCATGGTGGCTCACTCCTGTAATCCCAACACTTTGGGAGGCTGAAGCAGGAGGGTCACTTGAGGCCAGGAGTTCCTGATCAGCCTGGGCAACACGGCAAGATCCCTTCTCTCTTTAAAAGAGAGAGAGAGAGGCGGAGAGAGAAAGAGAGAGAACTGAGGCAGAGTTTAGATAACTTACTAGGGGTCCCCCAGGACCCAGCCCTGTTGACCCGCTGTTGCCTCTTCCTACTGCTCCAAGGTAGCTAAGCAACCTCTTCATCACATCAGGTGGGTCTCGAAAACCACCCCTCTTCCTCAATATTCTGCTCATAGTCCTACTTCTCCATTTCTGCTTAAGCTATATTTTTCCAGGAGGAAGTCTATACACCATTCCATGTCTTCCTTCAATTTGCTCTCTTTCCTAAACTCTTACTATGAGAGTCAACTATTTCATATTTCTTAAACATTTCTTTCAAAGTAGATACTAAGCGCTTTGAGGGCAGAAACCATCTCCTGTATTTGTCTCTCTTGCTATGCCAGGTGCCCTGTCAGGCAGAGAGCAGAAACTCAACAAATCCTCTTGAAAATGGTGAGCAGGGGACTGTCTTTTTCTTCTGCACCTGCCACAGGTGGCATGTGCCACCACCCTGCCTAGAAGGCTCTCCTTCACCTTTGCCTTAATAACTTAAGGTCTAGGTAAGCTGTTCTTCCCAAAAAGTCCCAGCACACCCCATAATTATCCCTTCATAGCCCTCATCATAGTGCAGGATATTATTACTTCCTAATTACCTGTCTACTGGGTACATAAGTAAGGAATGCAAACTCCTTGAGAGGCACAGATATATGTTTCTTGTCCCCTGTGGTATATCACCAGCTACTAACAGGGCTTAGCTCAGAACATGTGCTCAATAAATAAAAAATAAATGAATGCCTCCAAAAGAAAGTTTTAACTCCTTCTCATGGAATTCAAGGCTTTCCATCCATATTTCCAATCCCATCTAGCTTTTTATAGGCATCTTGCTCCAGCCAGTCTAGTCTGTAGCTACTAATCCCACTATGTACTTTCCTGTTCTCTGCTTAGTCTTCCTCTTAAATAGAAAGCCCTCCCCATTAATCTCCATCTGTTATTCAAATTCTACCCAACCTTCAAGGTCCAGAACAAGTCTTATCACCTCTAAGAAATCTTGCTCCAGGCACTCAGATCTTCCCCTTCTCTAACGTCATCTATATGTGTCTATGTGAGCCATTCCTCACCTATCCATGTTGCTACATGTCATAATTGTCTGCAGTTATTTTTCCATCTCAGTCCAACCTGGCCCACAGGGAGTCCTCTTCCTTTTGAAGTTAGCATTTACCTCTATTTTAGGAAATAATTCTATACACAGCCTTGGGACATCTTCACTGTTGTTCTATATTGTTAACTTGTATGCATTGTCATTTATAAATTTTTAAGGCAAGTCATGGTTTTGATGTCTTTGATTCTATCCAATTCTTTGCACAAAGTAGAAGATTAATAAACATTTCTCACCTGACATGTTGGTTAGAAAGCAAAAGTGTGTAAGATGAGAAACCTACGGAAATTAGTAAAAAAATAAAAGCTTTAACCAAAAGTGCAGCTGAAAATTTATAATTATTACAGGCTATATAAAAAGGTCAAATGTTGAGAGTATAATTACACAAAGTAGTAATTATTCTCTGAATAAAGGTTTTCAAATAGAAACTTTTGTCCATATGATAAAAATTATGAATAGAAGAGAAAATTTAGTAGAAAAGGAGTAAAAAGGCAAAGAAAGAAAAAGATATACCCTAGACTGACATCCCAAGCCCTACCCTGAGATCACGAGGATTGGCCTGCAGCATGCACAACTGCATCAGTTGACTTTTATTACAAGTCTAGGTCATAGCTGAGCTGATGCCACAGCTCTACAAAGGCTTGACCAACAACTGCCTGCACATGAACACTATAATTCTTCTTCTTCTTCTTTTTTTTTTTTTTTTTTTTGAGATGGAGTCTTGCTCGTGTCGCCCAGGCCAGAGTGCAATGGCATGATCTCGGCTCACTGCAACCTCCGCCTCCTAGGTTCAAGTGATTCTCCTGCCTCAGCCTCCCAAGTAAATGGGATTACAGGCACCTGCCACCACGCTGAGCTACTTTTTGTATTTTTAGTAGAGTCAGGGTTTCACTGTGTTGGCCAGGCTGGTCTTGAACTCCTGACCTCAGGTGATCCGCCCACCTCAGCCTCCCAAAGTGCTGGGATCACAGGCATGAGCCACCACACCCGGCCGAACACTATAATTCTTCTGATGTTGGATGGAGAGGAAGGGGGAATCAATCTCTTTTACCTGGTTTGTAATAACATTTTCTTACAATTACTTTTTGATGCACTGTATCTAACTACTTAGTTTTATTTATTTTATATTTCCCTGTATTCCCCCCCAAAAAAATATGAATAGCAGCTGCTTTCGATCATAAATACCAATTTGAGAACACAAATACTGTGTTCAAGGTTCAGTAATTCAGGGTTCAGTAACCTAGCAACAGAATGTCAAGAGACCTCCTAATCTATGCCCTCAACAGCCAAATACCTATATACCTCCAAGATATGGGCCTGTAGATCTGCTACTCAAGTCAGGTTTGGCTCATTACAAATTGATATTGGCCAATGAGAAAAAAAATCACAAAACGCTGGAGGCTTTTTGCCAAGTTTCAAGAACCTGAGTGTCATGGGATATAAATAGGAAGTAGACTTGAAACCAGAGGCCACAAAGTTGCCAGTTAGGCTTTTGTCTTGGAAAAACCCAAATTAGCCAGCATCTTTAACCCTCTAACAACTAATACCGAACATATGCTTTGTATGCCCTAGGCTGAATACCCATTTTTAATGGCAAGGAACAAATGTATTCATTACTAGGTGTGGTCCATCGAATGAGGAAGACAGGAAGAAAGAAGGTGACACTTTAGTGTTTTAACAAATTAACAAAAGGTGAATCCTCATCTCTAAGGTATATTATAAGAAATAAAAGAAAGACCCATGTCCTCCTCCCTGTTGTTTAATTTGGTTTGGTTTATCAGCTCATCCATCTCACTGTAATGGACTCTGGTTTCTAATGGGCATTTCTAGTTAAGGGTCCTTCATTTTTTAAAAGAATAGAGATGTTTTACTGGTTTTCCTTCTCTACCCAGTGGTGAAGGTCAGGACATAGGAAAGCAGCATAACAATGTGTTTTGTTTTGTTTTTTTTTAATCAACCATTCCAGCAGCGGCAAAAATAAATGAAACGTGCGAGGCTGTTTATTTGTACGTCAAAGGGAAAGCGAAATTCTCTATAGGGTGACATGATCATTTGTTTTCCCCAATGAAGCAAACAAATCAAATCGGAATAAAACAGGAGCCTACCCTCCATCATTCACGGTGTAATGAGTTCTTGCTAGATTAACCATTTTCCTTTCTTGTTATACTCATCCCAAAAAAACAGATATACAATGACATCAACAAAACAGCTAAAGGTCATCAATCTACAAGACAGGAAATGCAGCAGCCAGACTTTCATCCTTTCTAAACATTAGCTGACTCCTGGCCAGTGGCTCTGGTTCTGTAGTGCAGGAAATGGGCTCACTGATAAGACACATCTTTGGGAGGCAGCAATGATCAGGAGCAGATTTATCAGTTGCAGTATCCTAGGTCATGGAGATCCCTAACCCGCCAGGGCTCTCAACATCGCGTGGCTGCTTATTTGGTATGCTTAAAACCAAAAATCTTGGACTTACTGAATTTTGTGGTTCTTCTCCCTCCAACTCAACCACCCCTTATTAGAAGCTGAAAGCTGAACACCAACAACATTCTGTCAAGAAGACCAAAGACAGAGTGTGTGGAGGCATCAGGGAGCCCTGTCCAACTGGCATGAGAACAGACCATTCAATGGAGTAGGTCAACACACTGCCTAGAAGGAAGTTCAAAGCCTGATTGGCTGAGGCTCTGGGGTCCTAAGCAAGACTCAGGGGGTGTTCCTGGGTCCCAGGAGTGAGGTGAGGTGCTGATACTGACAATACTGCCTCCAGTAGTGGTGCTTAGAGTTGAAGATAATGGCAGGTATACAAGCCACATTTTCTCCATAGCTAGAGTCAAGGAAGGACACCTGTCCTCAACGTCAAACAGTGATGGAAAGCCACAGAATTCAGAGCATTTGCTGTACCACAGGTACAAAAACAACTGTCACTTTACCACTTGCCTTTCACACACATTGGCTCTGTCTTATCTAGATTACTTAGAAGATACTAGGGAGGCCAAGTCAGGAAGACTGATTGAACCCAGGAGTTTGAGACCAGCCTGGGCAACATAATGAGACCCCATTTCTTAAAAAAAAAAAAAAAGGAAGAAGAGAAAAAAAGAAAGAAGAAAGAAGAAGAAGAAGAAGAAGAAGAAGAAGAAGAAGAAGAAGAAGAAGAAGAAGAAGAAGAAGAAGACGACGACGACAATACTAACAGCCCAACTCCAGATGCTTATCAAGTCAATCCAGATGTACCGTGCCCTAGTGAGGTGAAGAGAAGCACTACCTTAGAAAGAGAGGTAGTCACCCCATTTTTATTCCCTCTGCTTGAGAGTAGAAATGTTTTAGTAAACAGAAAAATCTATTAGTATTGATGGATGTTCAATGCTATTTATAACATCTCCAGCCTTAGTACTTCTTGTTAATACATACACAACTCAACTTCTATTGAATGTCTACTGAAGCTTCATTTTATTTGTGATGTAAACATTCATACAGGAATGACCTTCTCCTGACAATGGGAGCAGTTGCTCAAATGAGCAGGGCAAACATTGGGATTTGGGGGATTTACTGAATGGCTTTCCTCCTACCTCTTGCTGTTCCCTGCCCCCACTAAACTATTTCAGTCACCACCTACTAACAGGATTTTGAATCAAATCTGCGGCTAAATGTCTACAGAAAAGCAGTGATGATTTCCAATTTGCCACCAAGGAAGTGTGTGTTTCTCCCAGGGTGCTTGTTGGCTCTGCTAACCTTGGTGTGGAAGGAGCCCGTGTGTGGAGTCCCTGTGGGGAAGGCCCTGAAGAACAAGAGCTGGAGAGAAACGGAGTGAAGGGAAACGGTGTGCTGAGCAGCTGTGGGAGGCTGAGGAGACTGGAAGCGGCCAGAGGAAAAGTGAGAGAAATAAAAATGGAAGCAAAGTGCATGGATGGATGCAAAAGTTTTTTGGGATGCCCTCCCTGCTAGGTCTGCTCAACCTCTTGCCTCAGCTCAAAGCACCTGGTTTCTAGGAAGCCTCTGTGGTCCATGTCCCTCCTAGGGCTCGCAGCTCTTTCCTGCACTTCCTACATCCTATCCTTACTGTGCTTTTATGTGTCTTCTTTCCAACTAGACCATGAGTGACAAAAGCAGGGGCTCTCTCTTATTCACTTTTTAGATAATCTACCCCCAACTCCTAGCACAGAAGGTGTTCAATGCCAAAGTACAGATGAATCATAAAACTGTAAGAGATGGTCACAGACAGATACTGGCCATAACAATTCTCAGCCAGCTTTGGGATCCTAAATCCACATACAGTACAGCAAACAGTAATAAATTTCTGTTATAAGAAAGTAAAGCCATTTAGTCAGTGGGAAATAAAGAATGAGAGCTGCATGTAGTTTCTCTCAATATTCTGCAAGGCCAAATTGGGCACTTTTATAACTGGCATCAATTCCTCCTGGGTACAAATTTAACAACTTGTACTCTTTGTTCTAAAAGTGTTAAGGCAAATCTTAAAAGAGTCCGACTTACCCTTCACCCTCTCCAGGAATAACTTACACACTGGAAAAATACAGCTTATTCTGTTTGAGTGATGAATTCCTTTGAATGTCAGGATATTTACTAAATAAATTATTCTATAGACCACTTTCCTTTTATTCTTCTAGTAAAGATGGTAGAGGCTGACAAGAAAAGTTTAGAACCCTGGAAAAGTCCCTATAATGTCAGTGTTCCCCAGACAGGGATCAAGATATGGAAAAAAAGTACTTCATAACAAACAGCATAATGCAATCTACATAGAAGGGTTAAATAACGTTTAAGTAGATATGATTACTATTGATATACTGCTTTATGAAAAGACACACACAACTTCACTCAAAGAGTGGAAAAACATTTACTTCTACAACACGGAAATTTAATAATAAAGGTATAAACACTACCCTAATTTCTAGTCATTTAAATGTGCCACAAAATCATTTATTCAAGAGTTAATTTATCACCCTTTTTAGAGTTTTACCTTCACCATTTTGTTACTAAACACAAAGTTTAATGCCCTTTAACCTCTGAATTAGTCTAAGTTTGCTTTTTTAAAGATTTTTTATGGCACATATTTAGGAATGAATTAAAATTAACTTTGCTATGTGAAAATTTTGAAATATTTAATGATAAGTGGCAACAAGCCAGATAATTGTAAAAGCCAGAGTTGGTATAAGTGAATGAAGAATGTTAAGTTGAAATACTTTTGGAGCTGTTTCAAATTATAGTAGAGTTGAAACCATATCCATTTACTATTCAGTACACATGTGCCAGGTATAATATATAGTTCTTATGGCTTCAAATAGTCTAGATCTAGAAGTAAAGACATTAACTCCCTTAGATAAAAGTCCTTTTATCTAATTCCCCAAAGGGACCCAGCACAGATGAAAGAATAACTATGAGATTGTGACAAACCTTCTACCCCTACCTAGTATCTCTTGGTTGGACTCAAAAGAAGCAAATACTGCAGAAGATAAACAAAGGAGCAAACACCATTGGACTATCTGTATCTTACATAATAAAATAGTAAGAACTTCCCCCACCGGAATCAGTTATCCAGCCCCTTAAATACCTGGTCCAAAGCTTGTAAGGGGAGGAAGGGAGTCCCCTTAGTCACGTATCCCCCACACTTAGCACAGGACACTTAGTATCACCTACAGAGCCAGAACGGGTCAGGCGAAGGAACGTAGGCTTTGGAGTCAGATTGGGGTAGAATCAGGCTCTACTATGTACCAACTATGAGACCCAGAGAAAGTTAATTACTCTAAATCTCAGTTTCCTCTTTTATAAAATGGGTATAATACTATCTACCTTACAGGATCATTCTGAGAATTTGAAACAATATCTACAAAGCAACTGCTATGATGCCAAGCACGTAGTAGGAACTTAATTGAAGATATCTATCCTTATAAATAAGCGAATACTTATCAGGAAGTACACATGCCTTTAAATGATAAAATGGCTATTATTTCCTAAATGCTCTTTATACTTAGCTGTCACTCCCATAAAAATGCTTCAGGATACTCAAAGCTGATGCAATCTCACTTTCTCTTTATTTATGTTACAGCCCATAGCAAACCAGACTGAGGAAAGAGAATAGAGAAGCAAGCACATGGATAGCTGGCAAGATACCCATCGGAGAGGCACCAAAGAGCCAGGAGCAGATGCAAAAGCCCAGAATAGTCTGGAAAATGCAGTACAGAGACAGCAGCTTTCAATGACTGAGCCCCAAAACCAGTGTTCATGTGAATGATCACAAAGAGGTCAGATTGCCTGCGGTAGACTTATTCTGCTTAAGAAGCCGAAAGAAATAGAATCTATGTAAAAATATATATATATATTTATATTCAACTAGTTAGCCTGGAGTCCTTCCAGCTGGAATCCATGTCTTTTCCCTTTAGGTTCTCATAGCATTTTGTTTGCTTCTCCACGACAGAGCTAAGCACAGTCTGTTTGATGACGTTAGTCTACGCATCAGGAGAACACAAACCCCTTGAAAGCAGGTAACCAGTTTTACTCATCTTTGCTCAGTAAGTATTTGTTGAATATACCAATTTACTTTTCAAGATAACGGATGCAATTCTAGTCACTTCTATGTCCTCAACAAGTTCCTTCCTTTAAGAATTAAGTTATAATATTCTGTAAGTATCTTCATGGCTTATTGATTACACAGCAACAGCATTTATGGATCATTTATTTACAACTTTAAAATACTGGGGGCACTATTATCATAATTATAGGGCAAGAGATAGTATCAAACCAAGTGATCACCATCACCTTCTCCAGAAAGCTGCCCCAGATACATTCTTCTGCCTAGTTTGGTTTTATAACTCTCTAAATGCTCAAACCATTTATTCATTTTTTTCGGTCAACATATACTGCTGCTGTGGGTCCAACATTATACTGAGCACCCCTGGAGACATCTAAGAATACATATATGAAAGGTTTTGTCTTCAATGAAGTGATTGTCACAGAGTAAAAGATGAGCAAGTAAGAAACTGCAATATAATAAGGTAATTGATATAACTAGCATGAAGCCAAGCATAGGAGATAAAGTTACAAAGTGTGCCTATCGGATGGAGTCAAGAAAAACTGTGCAGAGAAGGGAGGATTTTAGTTGAGTATTGGTGAAAGTTAACATGAAAAATATCAAATCTGGCACCTGTGCTATCATAACTGTTTCTAAAGAAAAAATATCAAATCTGGCACCTGTGCTATCATAACTGTTTCTAAAGAGGAACAGTGGAACTGTCTTTACCGTAAAAGAATATAAACATATCATAACCTTTCTGAAGGTCATCGAATTTCTATTTCATATTGCCTTTTTGCTGTTAGCTATGACAGTGAAATTACTTAACTTGGTTAATTAAAGAGGAAGTTAAATTTAAGGAAGAAGCACTCACTGAAAAGAGATCAGATGTCAACCTGACAACCCACAGCAAGGAAGAATCGGGTTTCAGTATATATACTCTTGTCAAACTTAAAATGAGATTCAGAAAATATAACTAAGCATAGAGTTGATTCAAGCACAAAGCTTGAGGACAGGCACACAGAAAACACAGACTCCAAAGGGATGGGGTCAGTGGTTCAAAATAGAGAAGCTAAGGTTTCACTTATATAGGCAGAAACAGTTTTGGGAGGATGGCAACATTTTCCCTACAAGGCCAATATGTACATTGCAGTGATTTGATTAATATAGCTTGCTACATCCCAAGGAAGGCTGCTTTAACATTCTGTGAGGAGGAGTAATGTTCTGAGAGGGTCTTACCTCTGGCACCACTCAGTCATTCCTACTCATTTACAGGAAAAACCAGAAGTTACAACTGTATACTCACATGACTCAAGCTACATAGACACATTCCTCTCAGGGCTCAAAATAATTTAACGTTCCAAAGGCTTTAACACTCTACACCTATACATAGAGAATTATACAGTTTCTTGATGTGTTTCTAGGGTTGCTATCAAAAATTTAACAGTGAAAACCAAACATGAATAGTATTCATAATATCCCAAAGTCTGAATGTTATATATTCACCCATTCATGATCCCATTCAGCAGATATTTATTCAGGCCCTGGTAGTGCCAGGAGCCATTCTAGATGCTGGAGCTATGATGGGAACAAGGAATGAAGTTTTCAGTGGTTATCTGAAAGGTTATTTGAAATATCTTAATATTAGCAATCCTAGAAAGGTAATCATTGATGGCAGTATTTTCACGCTGTCCCCAAAGGGAAAAAACACCTGTAAGGGAGAATTAGAAAAGGAGAGTCCCTGATTTGGGGATGGGAGGAGATTGGATGTCTCTCAGCTACTTTCTAAGACTTTGTTTCTCAAAGTGTAACCTAGGGACCAACAGGACTGGGATACACCTAGGATCTTTTTAGGAATGCAGAATCTCAGCCCTAGCCCAGACCACAGAATCTGCAATTCTAAGAAGATCCCAAGTGATCCCTAGTTATTTGTATGCACACTGAAGTTTCAGAAATGTTGCTCTGATAGGTTTTATTTACAAGTTTAAACACAGGTCACCTTACATTTGTGGCAGAATCAGACCTGTAAGGCTCCTTCTGACTTTTAAGAGACTCAGGCTTTGAGAACTTGTTTTTGATAGTTGGAACAGCAAAACAGCACTGCAACGTGAGTCCACACATGGGCCTGAGTATGCTTATACCATTTCTGAATGGCCCAAAGTGTTTATTCACTTTGGACAGAACTGATCAGAAATGCAGATTCACTGAGCCTGAGACAAATACATAATTGATTGTCCCCCCTGCCCCCTTCTTTTCACATGCAACATGTGGATTCAATGAACTCTAGTCAAAGACTCACAAGAATGTGACCTTGCCCTCTTTCTTTCTCTTTTCTCTTACAGCCTGCTTTTCCTCCTTTAAATACTTGTATTAATCCATTCTCTATTATATATATATCTATATAGCACTGCTATAAAGAAACACCTGAGACTGGGTAATTTATAAAGAAAAGAGGTTGAATTGGCTCACAGTTCCACAGGCTGCACAGGAAGCATGATGCTAGCACATGCCCACCTTCTAGGGAGGCCTCAGGAAGCTTACAACTATGGTAGATGGCAAAGGGGGAGTCAGCATGTCCTAGAAGGCAGGAACAGGAGCAAGAGAGAGGGGAGGTGCCATATAGATTTAAACAACCAGATCTCGTGAGAACTCTACCACGAGAACGGCACCAGGGGATGGTGCTAAAACATTCATGGAAATCCACCCCCATGATCCAATCACCTCCTGCCAGGCCCCACCTCCAACATCAGGGACCACAGTTTGACATGAGATTTGGTGGGGACACAGAACCAAACCATATCAATATTGAAGACCTCAAAATCCTCTTTGGAAAAAGTACAGGCCACAGGTCCTACTGTGGCTTATGTCCCTTTAGCCCAGGCATCTCCTCAACTTTGGCAAAATAAACCTCTAAATTCATTAAGACTCACCTCAGTCATTTTCTTTGGTTTCAAGGTATCTTTAATTATAATTACTGATTCTATTTACATATACCTTGATAAGCGATTATCCATACAAAATAACAAGTTCCTATTCTACTCAACCATATCATACTGAAAAATATAAAATATAGCAAAACTTGAAATATTGCTATCCTTTCCTTTGATTCTCAGTTTCAGTAACTGGATAAGGATTAAGTTTTAAACATACAAAGTTGCTTCTCCAAAAGTAAACAAAAGAAATCCATTGACTCTAAGTATTTGTTAGTGTTTTCCTCATGGATCTGATGCCAGTGATGTCTTCAGCACAAAGCACTCAGGGTCCCTACACAATTCCCATTAACCTTCTGCCCATATAATGCTTTGTTTCTTGCTTTCAATTTTAGAAATAAATTTCAATCAATCTCTCCAACAGCTGGAAAGAAAGAGTAAATATAATCTCTCTTCTCTTTCAGAGTTCGTTTTTGAAACTATAATTCAAAAGCACATTCTGGGCAAAGTAGGGACAGTAGCTTCATTCAATCTTATATGCTAACTCAAGTAGACAAAGGCTGTGAAATATCTGTCCCTCACTGTCCCTTCACCTCTGAGGTTTCACACATAAAAGCTAACAGCTATTTCTTGAAGAACAAGTCAAACACAGCAGCTATAAACAAATAACCTAATAAAAAAAAAGTTTTGGTCTAGATATCTTCAGAGATTACAAACTAAAATAGGTGGCAGTATCAAGCAAAGTCAAGGCTTCAGAACAGAAGAGAGGATATTAACATCAGTATATTCAGCAAACTAATAAAAAGACAAAACATTAAAACGCAGATCAATGTTTACATTGAGTAGCTTCCTTTAGGAAAATGAAACATTCGTTTCCTGAGAAAGGCAGCACTAGCAAAAATGTGTCACTAAATTGTATATTCGTCAGTACTTCAAACTAAAATTTTATGAAAAGCACAGAAAGAGTTGTAAAGCAAAAGCAGAACCGTCAGAACCGTCAGAAGCACTGCTTTCTGTTCAACCTGTACCTGGGGCAATGCTGCATTTACCTGGGACCGCAAGGATGCAAATATCTGAAGGCAAAGTCAGCTAGTTAATATTGCATTCTCCCTTCCACTCAGAGAATCTCTGCAGAAGGAAATGGGGTTCAGTTCTTTAAAATAAGCTTGGCTAGAGCACAACTCTGGCTTCCTCTCCCCAAAGTGATGTGGGCTGTAGTATGCATCACTTAGAGGCATTTCATGGTGCGCTTCCCAGCTCGAAGGTCTTCCTAGAAAGATCTGGTCAGTTTACTGTTTAGGAGGGAAATGTCCCTAGCTGAATTCAGACCAATTGCCTCTGGAACACATCAATCCTTTCAATGAAAGGCTTTATGCTTCTTTCTGACTCAAAGTTTTCTCCTCATGATACCAGGGACAACTTTTAAGGCATAAACAATAGAGATGAAACAAAGCTACTAAAATTTTTAAAAACCTTAAAAATCTCTCATCAAACAGAGCCGGTCATATTAAAACAAGAAAGACAGAGAGAGCTCAAGAGGGGACAGGCAAAGAGAATTAACAAGGAAGATACTGATTTTGCTCCTACCCTGTATAACCTGAACAATTACAACAATTTTGTGTAATACCACGAATATAAAGAGATTCATGGAACTTCTTTGTATTATTTATCTATAAAAAGATCAATCAAAGTTTGTTCTGAGCCATTGACCACACAGATGTACTGTGAACAAGTACAAATTGTGGCCCTCCTACATGCAAACAATCAACGTGGTGGTTACGCCCTCTTCTTGCCACTTTGCCTCATGTTACATGGGACAAATATGACCTTATTTCATAAGCAGAAAAACAAAGAGCTCACTTCTGGTGCAATCTTTAATTCTGCTGTTTCTGACAAATACAACAGCATCCAGTTACCCACCTCCAACTTGTGACCCTACCTATAAGATATGACGTGATTCTCCCTTTGGACTGACAAAGAATTGTTCTCACACTCACACCTGCAATGAAGAGAAATTGTGCTTTGCACTCAGCCTGTGGGGACTCTAGAAACCAAACTCTTTATAAAAGAAATAAGCCCTTCATAGGAGACATGGTGGCCATACCATCATCTTTCATTGCTCTCCTGCCAATCAAACCTTCTATCTTATAAACAATAAATAAGCTCTCCACCAAAAGCTTCTTGTGACATTCTCATTAGGAATACTTCTACATTGCACATGGACATGTCTAGGAGTTTGGAAAGCATTCCACACTACTAAGAAGGAAATTTCATTTAAGGAGGCGGCTTTGGCTTGGACTTGTGATTTCAATGTCACAAAATTTTTTGCCTTCCAGGGAAAGCAAAGGATTAATTGGGGACTGAGGAGTGCTTTTATTCATTTCCAACAACAAACTAACACTAACATTTATTTTTAAAAACAAAATTATTTATAAAGGATATAATCACTCAATGGAGCATTTGCTCATTAAGTTTATAAACACGGAAAACTTGAGCTTTCAGATGCTTGTAATTTGCTAATGCCCTTTTCGTGAACTTGGAGCACAAGAGGCCTACAATGTGCAATATGCTCATTTGGGAGAAAATTTTGCTGTTAGCTTTTAACTCATTTGTTTTTGAGCATTCCAGGCAACCATGCCTAAGTCTTTAGAGAAACGTGTCTGTGTGTAGAATTCTTCAGGACTACAAAACACACTATTACAACTTGAAGGACAGACTGAGATTAGAAAAATGTTCCAGATTGGGCCTGGTAGCTCATGCTTGTAATCCCAACATTCTGAGAGTCCGAGATGGGAGGATCACTTGAGGCCAGGAGTTCGAGACAAGCCTGGGCAACACAGTGAGACCCTGTCTCTCCAAAAAAAAAAAAAAAAAAAAAAATTAAATTAGCCAGGCATGATGGTGTATGCCTACAGTCCCAGCTACCTGAGAACCTGAGGTAGGAGGGTTACTTGAGCCCAGGAGGTCGGGGCTTCAGTGAGCTATGATCGTGCCGTTGCACTCCAGTCTGGGAGATGGAGTGAGACCTTGTCCCGAAAAAATAAAACAAAAACAAAAAAATGTTCCAAAGTTGGGTAAAAATATAAAATGGTTAAAAGAACAGACATGGCAATTATTTTTATATGGTCCATTTAAAAAAATCATAGGCTTAAAAAGCAATTTTTAGCCCAGGCATGGCAGTTCACACCTGTAATCCCAGCAGTTTGGGAGGCCGAGGCAGACGGATCACCTGAGGTCAGGAGTTCAAGACCAGCCTGGCCAACATGGCGAAATGCCGTCTCTACTAAAAATACAAAAATTAGCTGGGCGTGATGGCATGTGCCTGTAATCTCAGCTACGCAGGAGGCTAAGGTTGGAGAATCGCTTGAACCCAGGAGGCAGAAGTTGCAGTGAGCTGAGATTGCGCCACTGCACTCCAGCCTGGGCGATAGAGGAAGATTCTGTCAGGAAAACAAACAAACAAACAAACAAAAACACACAATTTTTATACTGTTGGTGAATTCAGAGGTCACATGAAACTTTTTTCTCCATCATCATTTCTGATTTTAAAGAATAAAATAAGTCATTAATAAGAACAAAAATAGGTTAGGTTCTCTCTTGTCCTTTATAAAGCCTTTCAGCCACATAAATTTAATTAAGTATAATATTGATATGGACATGGCAGAAGACAGGAAAGTTAAAGCAAAAGAGGCAATTTGGCTATATGTTTATTTTGATAAACTTTATCTGGCTATGCATGTATATATGTGCGTCTGTGTGTGTGTTGTGTACGCTTTTGTGAATGCCAAAACCTACAAGGTTGGTATCTCACTAGGAGTATTACCTCTGCTACCTGTCATCATAAAGCTCACAGATTTCTCATTCTTCCTATTAAAAGCATTGTTGACATTCATTAAAATGCATACAGTATTGAGCAGATAGCTTATTCTATCATGAGTGGCCCTCCCTGATTTAGTGCTACAGCTGGTCAGGCACCCATCAAGGGTGCCTCTGATTGGGGCGAGGGGAGTCCAGAAAAAGACAGTGACTGGAGCACTGTCTGGAGGGGCACCAGGTTCACAGGGCTCCTGAGAAGCCTGCATTCAGTGTGGTGGCGTGCTCTCCACCTCCCTGACATGGAGAATCCCATAAGAGGTGCTTCTCTGATTGAAGCTTGAGTAACAAGCCCTTCATGCAAGCACTCTACAAGGTGACCCCACACCTTCCCTCCATGACTGTATCAGGCATCCACCTACAACCTCACTGTCCTGCCTTCTAAGCAACTGACTCATAACACCTGGAATTGAAGACACCACACGCCCCAATCTTACCATAAAAATACCTCCCTCCGTCTTGTGTTCTGTCTGTTACCCATAACCTGCACATCAGGAAGGAGACTTTTCTGTGATTTACAACATCCAATGCGAGCCTTCCTTTCCTAATTTCAGAACTAATAAAGCCAAGCACATCCTGCCTTCTCCCTGAACCTGGCGTGGTGTTACCAAACACTGAAGGAAAGTGATATGGAGATACATGATCACACAACTGGACACAAACTCACAGTTGCTAATCCATAGCTTATAAATATATTACACATAGGGATCTTAATTTTGACTGGTACTGTATGTATCATGTTGAGATACATACAAGACTTTTCCAACTAAAACCGTTCTTGGAAGACTTAAATTATATTTCCTGGAAAATGGGTCCACTATCAATAATTTAGCTCAGTGGTTCCTGAGTATTAAGAAATCTAGTTAAGAACTAGAAATACCATTTGACCCAGCCATCCCATTACTGGGTATATACCCAAAGGATTATAAATCATGCTGCTATAAAGACACATGCACATATATGTTTATTGCGGCACTATTCACAATAGCAAAGACTTGGAACCAACCCAAATGTTCAACAATGATAGGCTGGATTAAGAAAATGTGGCACATATACACCATGGAATACTATGCAGCCATAAAAAATGATGAGTTCATGTCCTTTGTAGGGACATGGATGAAGCTGGAAACCATCATTCTCAGCAAACTATCGCAAGGACAAAAAGCCAAACATCCCATGTTGTCACTCATAGGTGGGAACTGAACAATGAGAACACATGGACACAGGAAGGGGGACATCACACACCGGGGCCTGTTGTAGGGTGGGGGGAAGGGGGAGGGATAGCATTAGGAGATACACCTAATGTAAATGACGAGTTAATGGGTGCAGCACACCAACATGGCACATGTATACATATGTAACAAACCTGCACATTGTGCACATGTACACTAGAACTTAAAGTATAATAATAATAATAAAAGAAATCTAGTTAAATTTGATTTTCATTGTTAAAATACTAAAAAATAAATTAAAAATTAAGTTTCGTCACCTTAATTCATTTAAAAATACATATATTTAGGCAGGAAGATTTGGAAGAAAGTGTATTATTTCAAATCTTTTACTCATATACTTTGAAGTGGTCACTAAGAAATGGGAGGAAGTAGAGGAACTTAGAACTTAGAAAGGCAGGGACTTAATAAGTTACCAAAGAAGAACTTCAGCTTGAAAACTCTCTCACTGCCCCTGCCTGCAACCACTCTCTTCACACCTTTCCTTTCTTCAGGAAATGAGATCCAAGAGAAAAAGAAGCCCCGTGGTCTCCCTGCTACTATTTCTTTGAAAGAGCTTGAGGTAGTGCCTACACACCTAGAGAAGGAAAAGAGTCTCTGGAGACCCAGGTCAGCATGCAGTCCACCACCACATGGTAAAAGCTCATGCCTGCAGTACTAGGTAAAAGCTAGATATTGTCAAAGATGCTCTAATAGTCCTAACTGGTTAGTTCACAGCTCTGCAAACAATTACAGGGCAATTAAAAGCAACAACAACAATCCTGAATGTCAGTGCTTACATATGTAGCACCCAAGGATTCCAGCAAATCCTCCAGCAAGCCTCAGAGAGAAGGGTCTTCCTTAAGACTTGAAAGATAAGCCAGATGCGGTGGCCCACGCCTGTAATCCCAGCACTTTGGGAGGCTAAGGTGGGACAATCACTTGAGGTCATGAGTTCGAGACCAGCCTGGCCAACATGGAAAAACCCTATCTCTACTAAAAATACAAAAATTAGCTGGGCATAGTGATGTGTGCCTGTAATCCCAGCTACTTGGGAGGCTGAGGTAGGAGAACTGCTTGAACCTAGGAGGCAGAGGCTACAGTGAGCCAAGATCCTGCCACTGCATTCCAGCCTGGGTGATAGATCAAGACTCTGTCTCAAAAGAAAAAGGAAAAGACTTGAAAGATAAAGTGGTATTTCCCATGTTGTCAAGACAGAAGCGGGTAGGGTGGTGGTAAGGGATGGTGAGCTCTAGGTAGAATGAATATATAAGCAAAGTCTAGGAGACTTGACAAATACGTCATGCTGTAAATAGGTCTGAGGACGGAGGTCAGGAAATGAGACCACTTAAGTGGACCAGGGTTGGATAATGAAGGGCCGTACTAAGATATTATCAGCCACTGATGTCAGCAGAAATGTGAAATGACCAGATTTTTTTGTTAGTGACATCATTCCTTCAAACAGAAGAGATGGGGATAGAGGCAAGGAAATTGGTAAGAAGCTTTACAGTGGGAGTCCAGTGACCAGGGGAGAGATGTCGAGGGTCTAAACTGAGACATTGTACCAAATAACGAGAAGACAGAAAAGGTATCATTTAAGAGGTAAAATTCCAAGAGTTTGATGAATATTTAGATGTAGATGTTTAGGTAAGGAAGAAAGTGAAATCCAGGCCAATTCAGAGACATTTGACATGAAGAGCAATTAGGTAAATAGTAAAACTGACACCCAAACATACTATCTTTGAGTTGTTAGGTGGAGATAAAGAGTAGACGAATGAATAGGGCTGAAGCACAGGACAGAGTTGTGGACCAGACATGTGATATCACGCATGCAGAGAGAAGAAAAAGCCATGAAACGTGATTATTCAGGACAGTGTGCACTAAGGCTGTCTGTAACATTCTTGAATCATGGACACTTGGAAGGCTGGTAAAAAGCATTAACCTAACAACTAAAAAATGCACATTTGCATATGCAGACAAAGCGCTATATATTTCAGAGGAATGACAGATCCTTCGAAGCTCATCTCTGAACCCACAGGCCAAGAATGCCTAGTATAAAGCAAGACTAGGAGAGGACTGAGGAAGGAGACAGCTAAGAAGCAGAGCACACAGAAGAAGAAACTGTAAGAACAGCCCAGAAAAATTAGAGCCTCTACAGTGATTAGAAGCCACTCTATCTAGAAATGTTTGTGAAGTAATGGGCAGTACAGATAGACAGGACTGAGTCTCAAAACAGATAATTAATTTGTTGTTGTTGCTTTTTAATATTTTCTTATGGAAAATTTCAACATACTCAAAGTAGAGAAAACAGTATAATGCAGTCTCTTATACCCACGATGAAACTTCAATTATCAAGTCATCGTTTCATCCCGAAATATCAGTACCTGTCTCCAAAAAAAAAAAAAAAAAACCACGAAAAAATCATAACCATACTACCACTATCACACCTTAAAAAATTAACAATAAGTCCTTAAAATCATCAAATATCTGATTAGTGTTCAACTTCCCCCAGTGGCCTCATATTTTTTCATATTGTTTTGTTTTTTTTTTCACTCAGGACCCAAGTAAGCTCCATACACTGAAACTGGCTGACAAGTGTCTTTAGTCTCTTCTGATCTATAGGTATCCATTACACGTCTGTCTGTCTTTCTTTTCCCCTTGGTTATTTGTCCTGTAAAGTTCTGTTTGTTTTGGAACTTTGCTGATTGTATCATTGAAGTATCATTTAACATGTTCATTTAATTCTTCTATATCCTGCAGATTGGCACTTGGATATAGTGATTTGATCAAATTCAGGTTCAATATTTTGGCAAGAATAATTTATAGGGAGTGTTGAGCTCGATCAGACGACACAAAAGTAGGATTTCTTAAAAGATAGAGCTGACAAATCATACTTGCCGCTTGGGAAAGAAGCCAGTAAAAAAGGTGAGGCTGAAGAATAGGAAAAGGAATAGAAATAAAATATAGTAGACAGTGAGGAGAGAGACAGAAAAATATAAAAAGTGACTGTATACTCTACTCTGAAGCACCAAGCTCTGGAACCAATTCAAGCAGCCCTGAGCATCTCTCGATGGCATTTGAGATAATAACTGACATCCATCGCAATAATCCTAAAGGCATGAAGAAGAAAAGACTAAATTGCTTTGCATTTACTTTGATCCAAAGTGTGAAGCATTTCCTGAATTCTAAAGTCTATCATTAAAATTGTCAAAATTAAAATTTTCTGTGTTTAAAGAGTTAATCTCCCGAGAAAATTCATAGAAGTCTCTACCATATCACCCATATGGGTAACTATTTTGTCCTCTAAACACAGGGTCCATACAATCACATCCTTCTACTTGGCAAGGGAAATATTTAGCCAATAATATTATGTTAATGTAATTGTTATGATAAAATGGTAATAAAGAGAGGTTATGATTATGCCCTTTTAATTAATCTTCACCATTATCCCTATGTAACATTTTTTTCATAGGAACTAAAACTTTCATTTTACAAAATGCACCTATGAGAAACATGGCTCTGCTAACTAATGCCCTCCTAAGGGCCACATGCATTGCATTAACCAGCTCTCTCCAGAAAACCTGTCTCATTGTCTTTGGCTTTTCTCCTGTCCCTGCCTCAAAAGAACAAATTTTTTTTTCAATATCTACAGCAAGTATGTTCCAATGAGTTGAGTGTTCCTGTGAACTATAATTACCCTTTCGTTAGCAACAAACTCCAGCTCTAAAAACAAAGCACGTTTTAATTTAAAGTGTAGTCGAATCAGGTAAAAAAAAAAAGGTCCAGATAAATTAATAGGTTTTTCCTTTTTTTATGGGGTTGGGTGGGGGGGTAAAGAGTGGAAAGTTTAATAGACAGAAGAAAGGAGAAGGAGAGCAGCTCCTTGCGAGAGAGAGAGAGAGAGAGAGAGAGAGAGAGGTCTGAAAAAAGGGCGTGGTTTTACATTATAACATTTTATATTCTAAAAACTTTCTCTGAAAACATGCCTGATTTTAATGCATTTATAAACACATCTGTGAGGTGACTTTATTAGAATGAATGGACAAGTCATAAGTCAGTGACAGCTTCCCACATGCCAGTATGGAAACTAACGTCAGTCCTCTGCAAAGTGTAAAAAATAAGGGCAACATATTAAGTTTTTCATGAAGCTTTACTCATCCACAAGGCCCAACTCAACCGTTGTCTCTACTGAGAGGTCTGTCTACACTCTATGAAAGCAGTAATCCACCATCTTGCTATTTTCCCATATTGCATCACATATAATATTACAGCACAAGTCACGCTACACATGACCATTGAACAAATATTATATTCATCCCAGGTGTTAATACGCTGAGGATACAACAGGAGAGGAAGGAATCTTCTTTGCTTGGAAGAGTCCTCTTTTGATCTCCCTAGATAGAAGACCATGTACCTCTGTACTTAGCACCTCCTAAGTACTTAAGTACCTCTGTACTTAGCACAAACTCCTACTTGGTGCTTATCACGGATTCATTGAATGCTTGAAAATAGCACTTTTTTCATTTTACTCACAACAATCTTGTGAGATGGACAGAAGGATATATATTATATATTCATTTTTATATAAAGGAAGTAGGTCCAAATTAACATAACTTCCCAAAGTCTCACAGATAGTAAGTAGGCACCCTGAAACCCAGTTGTATTAGTCCATTTTCATTCTGCTGATAAAGACAAACCCGAAACTGGGAAGAAAAAGAGGTTTAATTGGACTTAACAGTTCCACATGGCTGGGGAGGCCTCAGAATCATAGTGGGAGGTGAAACGCACTTCTTACATGGTGGCAGCAAGAGAAAATGAGGAAGATGCAAAAGTGGAAACCCCTGATAAAACCATCAGACCTCATGAGACGTATTCACTACCACAAGAACAGTACGGTGGAAACTGACCCCATGATTCAAATTATCTCCCACCGGGTCCCTTCCACAACACATGGGAATTATGGGAGTACAATTCAAAATGAGATTTGGGTGGGGACACAGCTAAACCATATCACCAGTTCATTTTGAGAATCACTGGGTGAGAAGATCCATGAACCAAGGTAGTTACTGTACAAAGCTGGGGATAAGAGGCAAAGGAAGAAAACATTTAAAATCTTCCTTTGCAGAGGCTGACAATTAGGCCCTGGGATCTCTTTCCAGAATGTCTTCATTGGGAGGCAGAATCTTCCATGGAGACACAGGTTACACAAATTGAAATGAAAGGCATTTTAGGAGGCTGTATTCCCCCTAGGCAAGAGTCTTATAATTGAAATAATTTTCAATGACCAGCTCATTCTCAAAGGCCATGATCTGCTTCTGGTCGCTATGGAAAACACTGCCCTCATATACCCCCTGTCATGGGATTGGGCCTTCTTACCTCCTCCCCAGCAGGGACAGGAGGCTCTAAACAGTGCAATCCAGTGCACTTCAGGATATGCTTGGTATCCAGTGCCTCATGACCCCATTTCAGGGACTCCACACCAATGGGATCTTGGCCTGCTATCATTTCTGTAGCTCTATCCTTCCCTTCCCTGTGGTTAGGGGGAAGTTCAGTACTGTCCCTGCAGGCTTGAGGGAGGATAGATGTGAATCCTAGAGAAATAAATCACCAACAGTGTAATGACTGGAGGAAATAACCTGGAATGAAGAACTTTCCCAGTGCCCCTTAAATAACACCAAGTAGACAAACCTATTTTAACTTTTACAGGTACTATGTTTAAAAGGAAATTTTCTTTTCAGGGTTTCAGGAGCCCACAACAGGGCATATGTTCTTGATGAATGCTAGAGGAGATGAAGTCTCCTTCTGAGAGAGAAGGGAGGAAAGTTAACATGGTATTTTTAGACTTGTTAGCCGGTGGAATATAAAATCTGGCATCTAGTGGAGAACAAAACTTGGATTTAAAACCAGATAACTATCCACCTCAGAATAGCGATTGTATGCCCAGTTCCAAACAGCAAAAAGCAGGTTGGGTGAGATCTTACATTACATGTTAATAATCTCACCCAGAGCTCTTTACGCAAGGCACAGAGGAACAGTCCACAGAAATAAAATAAATTTGCACGCAAGGAGTAGAAATGCTAAGTATATGGTTAAAGGATTTTGCACCTAAACCACAGGGAAGAGCCTGCAAGCAGAGGAACTCCTTTCAGGAAAATGCACAGTACAATTCTTTATTTAGCTGCTTTGGTCACCTTTTCTTCACGTTCAAAACTCAGCACATTACTATTGTTATTACTGACTTCACAACTATAATGCTTCATATAAAGTTGGACAGGAAGAATGCAGCAGTGATCAAATAAATTAAATTGTCACACAATGTTAAATTATTTTAAATGCTGATGATCTCAGTATTAAATTCTGAATCACTGGCAACAATCACAGAGAACACTGAACCATCCAATTCACACATTAATGTATATTAATCATTGCCTGACATATTCCTTTGATTTAGAATTTTTTATATATATAAATAGTTTTATTCAGCACAGAATGTATCCAGGAAGATGGAGATAAAGATTATAGAAGAACAAGAGCTTTAGTCCTAGCAATCAAGTAAGTAAGTTGGGATCCTCAGAGTATTTCTAGATCTAATCAAAATCATGACCCAGAGAGCAAAAATAACTTTCTCAATCACTCAGATCATAAGATTGGAGCCAAACTGATACATGCCATGGGGAAACTAATGTTCAATATTAAATAAAGCTCTCTAATAATTCTAGGCCCTATATCTGCCTATTCTAAAAGACAGGCAACATGCCAACCAAAGGGAGGGGTTTGCTATCATTTGTGAAGGTCAATTAGAGCTGGACATTTTACAGACGTCACTTTTCACGTAATCTTTATCATAATCCTGTGTTAAATATTATCCGCATTGTGCAGATAAAGAGATGCAAACTCAGAGGGGCAAAGTGACTTAACAAAGGCCATTTTACTAGTAGAATCAGAACTTGCACTAAGTCTGCCTGATCTTTAAGTCTGTCTGATCCTTCCCAACCTGGATTCTATGATCATGATGATTGTTATGAACAACTACAATTTTATTGGATGTTATTATATTATGTACAAGGTCTAAGCAATTTACATACATTGTCCCATTTAATTTAACCATTACCATATGAGATATTATTATTTCCATTTTACAGATGAATATACTGATATTAGAAGGGATGAGTGGCCTGCAAGCTCATCCAAGCATAGAGGAAAAGTCAGGATTTGAATCGAGTTTCTTTTGACTTGAAAATCCATGATACACTTTATTACCAGTCTGTTCCATTCACTGACTACAACATAACTAAATGGAATCCAAGAGTTTGCTGTGACATTCACTAATATTGCTCATAATTTTACCAGTGAATATCAATCAAGCCCTACGAACATCAATACCAGCTGAACAGGAAACACTTGCAAAATGGGCCTACACATTTCTTTAATTATTGTCAAATTTTCTGACATGCTTCTAAACCAGATTAAAAAATTTAAGATTATCTTAGGTTTATAACAGCTTTAAATACACAAATAAATTTTCAATCAATTTAGAATTGTAAATTTACTATACAGTACTAGCTGGCAGTGTAAACACAGTGGTTAGGATTACTAGTTCTGCCTACTCATCTATAAAATGGAGATGACACAACTTATCTCAAGGCACTGTGGTACGAGACTTAAATGAAGTCATGTATGTGCTTAGCTGCACGTAATAATCACACATTATAATAATCACTCAACATTCCTACTGCCCTCCTATTTTGGAATTGGATTTAAAAGCAAAAATGTTCCTTTAGGTTGAGTAAGAATACAAGGACTAACAAACTAGTGAATAAATTTGAATTGTGTCATGACTGTGAATCAAGATTTGGGGGCAGATCTGATACCCGATTTCTGGACAAACCAGGTCTTCGCCCTGCCACCCCTTTTTGTAAAGAGGAAGATCAAAATATTTAAAGTATCTTTCAGCGTAGGAAAAGTTTAAGAAAAGGGCTGTGGGAATTAGTTAATGGAGAAAGAGAAGTAAAAGATATAGCATAGTTAAATAAGAAACGGGAGAAACAAGGTAACTTGCTGAAAGTTAACTCAATCACAAAAACCAAGAGGAAGCTGTATAGAGGTAAAAATGCCTAGGTGTGCTGGGAGTGGAAATTTCCACTAACCAAAAGATGATGTTTTCTGCTAACAGAAGACTTAGAATTTTAAGAGGGTACTTCTCCCGTGATGCCTCTCCAAAAGGAGTAGGTAGAATTTCAGTTTACTTCTAGGACATTAGGTCAAACAAAAAACATCAAATAGGATCCTTCAGTTCAAAATACTGAATAAGGAGAACTTCTCTATCTTTCAGCTATCTCTGGTGTCAACATTCAAAAGGAAATGCGACCTTTCTAGGATTTGATTTTCTTGGAAAATGTAGAATCTGGCCAGCCTCTCAGCCAGGTCCCTCTAATTAGAAAAGGTAAGCCAGGTTTTCCTAATCATTTTTTAACATAAGTGTTGAATACGTAACACATATTTTTAAGTGACATATATTTCACAGACTTTATAAACCCTTCCCTCTCTCCTCTGTCCTGTAAGTATCAAAGATATTCAAACTTACTATCTTACTTATTAGAATATTTTTGTTCAACTTCTTAGTAAATTTCTTTCAAAGGAGCTTTTAGAATCATTGGATTTCCTCAAGGCAAATACTTAGGTAGCTTCCTCTAATATTAAAAAAAAAAAAGGCCAGGTGCAGTGGCTCACGCCTGTAATCCCAGCACTTTGGGAGGCTGAGGCAGGTGGATCACCTGAGGTCAGGGGTTTGAGACCAGCCTAACCAATATGGTGAAACCCTGTCTCTACTAAAAATACAAACAACAACAACAAAATGGCCGGTGTAGGGCGTGCGCCTGTAGTCCCAGCTACTTGGGAGGCTAAGACAGGTGAATTGCTTGGACCCGGGAGGCAGAGGTTGCAGTGAACCGAGATTGTGCCACTGCACTCCAGCCTGGGTGACAGAGCAAGACTCCGTCTCAAAAAATAAATAAACAAATACATAAAAATAATAGTAATAAAAAAGGAAATCAATATGTTTTCTGATGCTGTTCATCTTAAAGCAAGTCTCAATCATGCTAATTTCTACCAAAGCAATCAATATCTACTGTGGAGAAATCGGAAATCACTTCCTACCACCCTTTCCCAACCATCATTTAAAAATCCATCTTATTGGCTCCTCACTTTCAAAGGACAACACCCCAATCAGAACTCAGAAAGTAGAAACATGTCTAATATATATCTCAGGGTTCAGTGTCTTTGGAAAAATTTATTGGCTACCATACTGAATTCTTATTTCATTTTAATTTTTTCTAAATTAACAACCACAAAAACCTAAATAAATCATTAGTTTTAATTTTTATGCCACTTTTCATACCATCTTTCTTTTGACCATCTTTGTAACTCCAAAACATAAGACAATAGCCCATAATGGTTTTGGTTTTTTGTTTTTTAATAGAGATTGAGTCTCCCTGTATTGCCCAGGGTGGTCTTGAACTCCTGAACTTAAGTGATCCTCTTGCCTCAGCCTCCCAAATTGCTGGGATTACAGGCGTGAGCCACTGTGCCCAGCCATAATGTAGGTTGAGTGATTGATCTCAAGTACTTTACAAATTGTTGGATTAATCCCAAGTATTTAATAAATCTAGGCATTGTTAGCCAGTATTTATTTTAACTAAATTGCAAAGTCTCTCAAAAAATGTTCTCTCTGACTTCTCTGGTGTCTTGTATGTGTGGCTGTGTAGATTTAAAAAGGCTCCTATAGAGTGAGTTTGATGGAGTGATGTAGAGCAAGGGCCTTGCAGATAGATAGCCCTTGGGTAGTATCACATACTAGATGATTTCATTATCCTCACTGAACAGATGAGGAAACCAGGGTCTCAAGAGAGTAAGTAACCTGTTCAAGGTGAAACAGCCAATGAGTGGCAGAGCCAGGACCCAAACCTGAGCAGTGTGATTTCAGATCAGAGTGAACACACAAAAATAGGGACAGAAAAAGAACAGTTTTGTTTTGGTTTTGGTTTTTTTCTTTGAGACAGAGTCTTGCTCTGTCACCTAGGCTGGAGTGCAGTGGTGTGATCTTGGCTCACTGCAACCTTCGCCTCCTGGGTTCAAGCGATTCTCCTGCCTCAGCCTCCCGAGTTGCTGGGATTACAGGCATGCACCACCACGCCTGGCCAGTTTTTATATTTTTAGTAGAAATGGGTTTTCACCGCGTTGGCCAGGCTGGTCTCGAACTCCTGACCTCAGGTGATTCACCTGCCTTGGCCTCCTAAAGTGCTGGGATTGCAGGCGTGAGCCACTGCGCCCAGCCAAGAATAGTTTTTAATGACACATCTTTAATGCAACCCAACGACATATCTTTGGTTATCAATGACACTTAAGAAAGTAATCTCTGTGGTCACCTCCCACTGAAGAGATCTTTGTTGCATTTAAGGCAACCATATTTTCATGGGCTCTCTACCAGCTGTCGAACTTCTCAAGGGCCTGAGGTTTTTAATTTAAGAAAGACCAAAACACAGCTCCTACCCTCAAGGGGCATGGAACCTAGTGAGGAAGGCGATCTATCAGCAGAGCTACCTGCCGATGGATTTTCAGTGTGCCAACATATTATCCCCTCTGTCCTGTAACAACACACTGGCCCAGCCCCAGACCTCAGTCCATGTCTGGCCTTGAGCAACCTTGTCTATTTACTCCAATGTGTCTTGCCAAGATGATCATTTTCTACATGGAGTGTGAGGTGAAAAGTGTCTGGAAACATTGCACTATGGAACTTGAGGGGGCTGAACAGTGAGAGGAGCCAGTCTGTCCTTCTGGTACCAAGTCATCCAGACAAAACATTGCCATAGAAGAACACACCAAAGGACTTCCCTGGGTGATGCAGACAAGCTGCAAGATCCCTTCTAACTCTCAAATTCCTAAAAGGGAATATAACTGGAGAATGAAAATTTTTCTCAAAATAGCACCTCCTCAAGACTTTCAGGGCAACACAGAGTTTGGAGTTGAGCTAAGTTCTATATTACCTTCATCAGGAAGGAGAAGTCTGTTTTTGAGAGTTCCTAGGAAGGTGAACTCTTTAGCCTCCTCTTTTTTTTTCTTTCACTAGGAAAAGTCCATTAAATCAGGGGACCCTGGTATCAGTCCATGGTCTGTTAGGAACCAAGCCCCACAGCAGGTGAGTGGTGGGTGAGAAAAGCAAAGCTTCATCTGTATTTACAGCAGCTCCCCATTGATCCCATTCCTGCCTGAGTTCTGCCTCCTGTCAGATGAGTGATGGCATCAGATTCTCACAGAAGTGCAAACCCTATTGTGAACTGCACATGAGAGGGATCTAGGTTGTGCGCTCCTTAGGAAAATCTAATACCTGATGATCTGTCACTGTCTCTTATCACCCTCAGATGGGACCATCTAGTTGCAGGAAAATGAGCTCAGGGCTCCCACTGATTCTAAATTATGGTGAGTTATATAATTATTTCATTATATATTACAATGTAATAATAATAGAAATAAAGTGCACAATAAATGTAATACATTTGACTCATCCCAAGACCCCATTCATGGAAAAATTGTCTTCCATGAAACTGGTCTCTGGTGCCAAAAAGGCCGAAGATCGCTGCATTAAATGGTGTTACAGCTGGAGATTACACATAAATTCCTTCTGGACCCCACCCAGCAAGCACACAAACAACCTGACACCTCCACGCCTCCTGCCCACCTTGACCTTACTGCTGCGTACTACCTTTGCACTCAGGGTGTGACGCCAGGCAAAGAAAACAGGTTCTCATGTAAGATAGGAGCCAAACACAGAGAGCAAGATGGGAGGAAAAACAAAGCGCCAAGGGAAGGTCTGGGTGGAACTTCTTATGAGACAAGGATTTCCTGATCGATGGCTGTTGGTTTTGCTGAAATAACAGGCTTGATTTTGTGTTTCAGGTCAATTTTCTCAGTTCATTTTGGAGTACGCCTGATCTGAATGCCAACCTCTTTTTGTGCTTGCAGGATGATTTTGTTTCCAGAAATGAACAGTTGTTGAAATGTAGGGGGGTACGAGAGGGAGACAGAGAGAGGGAGCTAGATAACTGAGAATCCTTCCATGGTGAGATTCAAACATCTCAATCTTCTGAACAAAAAGTGTCAAGAGGATTTCTTCACCCCATCCCACAGGCTCTCTTTCATCTAGTCTCCTTTTCTCTACCATGGACAGAAAAGGCCCTGGGTTGTCAACAATTCCTTTTTTCCTACCCTTCAGAGCTCAGCAAAAAGGTCAGATTCTCAGAGGGACCTTCAAAAGTACCCCCCAACCCGCCGCTCAATCTCACTGCCCATTTGTTGACTTTACTGATATGGTTGGTTATCAGTATCTGAAATGATCATATGCCATCATTTCTTTCCCTCATTATGGCTGTCACCTCTCTTAGAACAGATGTTCCATGAGACCAGGGACCTCCTGCCTTGTCTGCAGCCATATTCCCAGCACAAAGCCCAATCAATACCTGCCACGGGTAGGTGTTCAACAGACGTTTATCGAAAAAGGGAAAGCTAAAGGGACAAGAGAAAGGGGGAAGTCCTAGGAAGGGGAGAGGGGAGTGAAAGTTTATTACCTTTATGTGTTCCAACTTCTCAGTCTATTCAGTGAGGAATAAGTGGCATAGTACAGGTCACATTTTTTTTTCTCCTTTAGGGAAGCATGTTGCTATGTCAAGGGCTCCTGGGGGCTGGGCAGAACTGGGTTCCAATGCCACTCTGCCTCAGAAGTAGAGGAGTGGCAACTTTGCATCATGCCGAATGTGTCTCGTGGGCTGCCGACTTTGCACCACATCCTTCTACACACCCTTTGCAGGTACACCGTCCACTCTCCAAGCCGACCACTGCCAAATCTCCAAATCTCAAACACTTCCCCTGTTCTTCTTGACTAGTACCATAATGCACTTCATAAAGAAAAGAGATGCCGTAAAATAAGAACTACTCCATCGCCCCAATAATAATGTCGCCAATGTGGCTGCATCTATCCCATATATCCTACCTTCCTCCAACAAGTTGTAACACAAACTCGCCTTCTGCTGAGGCCAAGCTCCCCACTCCTTCTCATCTACCAAGGACTTCTCTTCTGCAATTTTCCCTTCTCCTGCATCCATCACCAGCATCTCCCTTTCTATTGGATCATTTTCTCCCACACGTCCCATTCTCTTCTCTGGGCACTCCTGTTGGGCTTTGGTCTCCACGTGCTACTGTCCTCACTAGTTTGACTTTCTGACCCCACAGCAATGGCAACGGCTGCTTCTTTGTCACATGGTACTCCACCTCCACCTCCATGCAACATTAGTTGCAACTGATCATTCCTCTTTCTGCTTAATTTTAGAAAAACATTTGTTCAGATTTCAGATTTTGTCCTTCCCAATGCTGAAAATTACACTCCAGCCTTTCAATCACTTTCTTAGCTTAGCTACTGTGATACCACACCCTGATAGTTTTCCTTTTGCCTCAGTTGGTTGTTCTTCCAGGCTCCTTTCCTATGTCCTTCTCTTCTACTGGACTCCTCAAACTTGCAGGGCCTTGGAGCTCAGTCCCAGGCCAGTCTCTTGCTTCAAATACCATCTATACGCCAGGCACAGTGGCTCATGCCTGGAATCCCAGCACTTTGGGAGGTCAAGGTGGGCAGATCACCTGAAGTCAGGAGTTCAAGATCAGCCTCACCAACATGGGGAAACCCCAACTCTACTAAACATAAAAAATTAGCTGGGCATGGTGGTGCATGTCTGTAATCCCAGCTACTCGGGAGGCTGAGGCAGGAGAATTGCTTGCACTTGGGAGGCGGAGGTTGCAGTGAGCTGAGACTATGCCACTGCACTCCAGGCTGGGCGACAGAGTGAGAATCCATCTCAAAAGCAACAACAACGACAAAAAACAAATACTATTTATAAGTGAATGATTCTCAAATGTATCCTTTCATCCTGAACCATATCCCTGAGCTCAGTGCTGGAATGTCTAAATTCCAACAGAACTTAATACAGCCAAACCAGAGCTATGGATTGCCCTGCCTCAAAATCACTAAGCTTTCTTCATCTCAGTCAAGGCATCCAATGACAGAAGTCCAAACCCAGAGAATTGTTCTTGACTTTCCTCATACATCTCACCAGTAATGCTCTATACCCTACTTCCAAATATATTTTAATCCAACCAGCTCCCACCTTCTCTATTGCTCCAAACCTGATCCAAGCCATTATCTATCTCTCATGGCTCTATAGCAATACCCACTACCGTAATAACGTAAGCAGGGAGAGTGATCTTTCTAAAGCTTAAATCAAATTATCCCACTCCCTGGCTCAAAACCCACCAAAAGTTTCCCAGTATCCACAGAATAAAATCCAAGAACTTTCAACAAACTCCTGCAAGACCTTGCCTCCCTCTCTGACCTGAATTCCCTCCATTCTCCTTGCTCACGACTGCCCAGGAATGAAAGTCTTAGCTCTGTTTCTTAGACGTGGCCAGTTCGTTTCTAGGAATATCTTATGTGGATTGCTCATCTCAACTCTTCTTTGGAACCCTGTCATGGGTGCCTTCCATCACCCTTCTCATCATTCAATTCTCAACCCAGTGCTGCCACTCACAGGGGCCCTTGGAGGCCCAAGAGCCACACACACTCTACCCCAGCACT